>NC_000004.12:14322916-14947916 GCF_000001405.40 Homo sapiens
AAATCCAGGCTGGGGTCTGTGAGGAAATAGTGATTAAGTAATGGATGAAACTGACGCTGAGCCTGGGGGGACTAGAGATGATGTATTCTTACCAGAATCCAAAACTTGGGCCACTTAGCTGAAGTTGCACTCATGATGGATATATGGAGGGAAGTCCTAGACAATGGGACGTAGAACTGCTAAAGATGTGAAGCTGCTGCTAGAAATGTTACCCAAAGTGGAGAAAGATGGGGAGAGACATCCTCCTTCATGCCCTGCCAGCCGGTGATGTTGTTGTCCAATGACCAAAATTACTCAGAAACCAGAAGGCGGGGGAGCCTGGGAAATGCAGTTCCCTGCACTATAGAACAAGGTGAGGAGAGGGATTGAATCTGAGAGGCAGATGCCTGGTGGGACAGTTGGAAGGAACCAGTGCTAGTCATCAGAAGCCACAACAGAGTACTTAAGATAGCTTGCTATTCCAGTATGCTGTTAATGAAATTCAATTTACATCCTAGTCATCTTGTCAGTGTCCATCTCTATGTGCATTTTGCTTTGTAATAGAAGTGCAGTGTTCAATTTGCCTACCAAAAAAAAAAAAATACAACCAACCAAACAAAAACAACCTTTCAGGACATACAAACACTCTCAGTTATAGACATCTTAAAAGCAAGATTCTACATTCTTCGAATATCTTCCACTGTGAATACCAGTCTGTTTATTCAGGTGAAAACCTATCATCAGGAGAAATAGAGACACATGCACTGTTTCTATCTATCTATCTATCTATCTATCTATCTATCTATCTATCTATCTATCTATCTGTCATGTATCTACACAGAGAGCTACACACACACACACACAAACACACACACACACACAAACACACAGGCACACACACTAACACACTCATATAGAGAGAGAGATAAAGTCCCTAAGGAATTTTCAAAATTATTTCCTTGACATTTTGAAGTAAGTGTGTCTGTCTGTATTGCATGTATTGGAGTAAATAAGCCACATATGACAACAAGAGTACAAAGAGAATGTAGATAGAAAAACATAGAATATAGATAGAGAATATAGATAGATAATCACAATAGTGGCATAGGAAGATACATTATGATTAGTCCACCATAAAACTACAAAAAGAGAACTTAGGTGTATTTGATATATTGTAACAGACTAGTGGACATTATATCCAATAAGGGTGTTATTGGTCAGATTAATAAGAGGGTATTATTCCTCAGAGGCTGCTGAAATCAACCCCCATTCATTAATATTCTATAAAATAAATTAGACTACTTGAGCTTCTAAACATCTGGGATCAGGTGTAACTTTGATGGTCCAAGAACAAGTGATCTGTCAAGAGGCCTGAGGTTTGTACTGAAATCTAATGGCAAAAATGAACTGAAACACTTTGGAGAAGAAACAGCCTGTAGTTTTAATTTGATTCTCACTGTCTTCCAAGGAAAAATTTTCCTGGATTGCTGAACTTTAGACATTCTCTGCCTTCTGAAAATCTCATCCATGCTATGAATAAAATTCTCATTTTATGGGGAAGAGGAGAAAATTAATACATGTAGTCCTGACTTTACCTCTTCTTTTCCAATATCTTGCTGGGTTTGTCTACCTGTTAATCCACTATAACTATTCCAACTTGGTTCATTCAAAACCAATCTGGAAGCCATTCTTCCTCCCCTGTCTTCATGTTTGTTACAAGTAATATGTTTAAGGATCTCAATATCTTTCCAGTGACCCAGGCTCCATGCTTGGACAACCGATACTTACTCCTCTGCTGTTTCACCCACACTATCTTAACATGCTTTCAAGCTTTACCTCCTATTTCCACTTCTACTTCTCCATTCACACTCCTACCATCCTCATTCTCACCTGCACTGTTGCAATAGCCATCCAAAAACTCAGTGAACTTGCAGACTTGTGCTAAAGTCCATTCTTCATACTGCTGTGGATTAATCTTTCTATGGCATGGTTAGGCTGTTATTTTGCTTAAAAACATTCAAATTTTTGTAAATTTTAAGTTTAGGGGTACAAGTGCAAGATTGTTACATAGGTAAACTTGTGTCATGGAGGTTTGTTTTAGGATTATTTCATCACCCAGGTATTAAGCCTGGTACCCACTGGTTATTTTTTCTGATCCTCTCTTTCCTCTCAGCCTCCACCCACTGAAAAGCCCCATTGTGTGTTCTTCCCCTCTATTTGTCTATGTGTCCTCAACATTCAATATTTTCTTACTGTGTACAGTTGTTTATTTACAATTAACATTGCAGAAGAGTTAGAAAAGATATAACATAAAGATAAAAGGCAAACCTTATTTAATTTTTTCTTTTTGGAACCATATACATTAGCCAGTCACTTATTCTGCATCTTTGCAATGTGTTTTCATGTGGAAGGACTTGTAGCTGACTGCAAGCTGTTCACATTACTTGTACCTGAAATTCTTATATCCAAGTACGTATTAGATGTATTCATTCTGCCAGAAATGCTTCTCTTTGTTTTCCTTTTTTCTTTTTTACCCTTGTCCCTTCCTATACATCTTTTTAAACTCATTTAAATTCTATCTCTACAAAAGGTTTCCCCTGATCTATTCTCTCTCCATCCTGGCTGATTTAATTCCTCACTTTGATGACTTATCAGAGCTCTGTACCTCTCTCACTTTGTTTTCTGCATTCACCCTTAACCAAATTCTGTCTTGTAATATTGCCCATCTAAAGTGGGACATACTGCCGTTGCTGACTGTATCTTAGGTTCCCGGAGAGCTGGAGCAATGTTATCTCTGTGACCTGTATCCCTTACCAGGTCTAGCATGGTTTGTTGTATGGTAGTTAATATTCTTTTGTTGTTGTTGTTCTGTTTTTGCTCCTGCTGTAGTCATAAGTGGCCTTTTTAATATTGCCTTTATAAGTCTTTTTGTTATCTGGTTAAAGGAAGAGAGCAAACATGATGTCCTCAAGACTAAAAAGATTCAGACTTCCCTGTTTTCCTGTAAGACAGAACTGAAAGAAGCATCGATTTACATTAAAATGAAAATAATAACAACATTATTTATTCATGTCAAGGCTATGAAATAAAATCAAGGGTTTGTCATGAGGAGTTGAAAACTAAAAAATAAGAAATGTATCTGAATCTGTTGTCTCCTAGAGTATAGGTATCAACAAGGCCACTGTTCAGGAGTATGGATTTTAGGTACTCTTATGGACTGAATTTTGTCCCTCGAAAATGCATATGTTGAAGTCCTAACTTCCAATGTGATAGCATTTGAAAATGGGGCCTTTAAGATATAATTAAGGTTAGATGGGGTCATGAGGGTGGTGCCTCCATGATGGAGATTAGTGCCCTTATAAGAATAAGAAGTGATTAGTGTTCTCTCAGTATCTTGCTTTAATATGTGTGGCTACAGTGAGAAGATAGCAGTCTGTAGACAAGGAAGAGTCCCCTCCCTAAAACCTGACTACGTGGGAACCCTGATCTTAAACTTGACAACATTTAGAATTGTGAGAAATAAATGTCTGTTGTTTAAGCCACACAGTCTATGGTATTTTGTCATAGAAGCCTGAGCAAACTAAGACGGGTATATTGTTTAAAACGGCACTGATAATTCACCTGGAAGTATAAAATATTCAGAGCTGCCTGAAAGTTAGTTATACTAACTCAGCCAACCCAGTGATATGTACAGCATAATGATGACAGGAAGAAAAAAAAAGCATTTTCTGCATGTTTTTTGTCCCACTGCTGTCTCCTTTCCCTGTCCCTGTGCATTCCTTATTAAGTTCAATTGTATTATAGATAACACCTTTTATTACAGACTTTGCTTTCTCATTACTTGAAGCTCATTTTGAGTTACAATCTATGTAATATAAACTCAGATGTGAGCCAGGATTGAAGGACATAACAATAACTCAATTTTTCTGTAAAACAAGTAGGAAGTTGTTCCCATTTATGAATAAGGAGTCTAGATTTAAACATTCCTATAGGAAATGATGAAATACAGTTTGAGTTCCTAAGGTTATATATACATAAAAAAAATTAGTCTCAGAGAAGTCAAGTAGCTTATCTGAGATCATTTAGTAACATGGGATGATTTGTGTCCAAAACTGATATTCAGTTTACTTGTTTTCTTTTTCAAAAGGCTAGCGCTTTTATTTAAGTTGGGAAATATGATCTCACTTTCACAATTTCTCAAAGTGTATCTCTAGAGATATTAATAAGACTATATTAAGAAACATGTCCTGGTTTGGGAGGCTGAGGCGGGCAGATGGCTCAAGTTTGAGACCAGCCTGAGCAACATGATGAAACCCCATCGCTACCAAAAAGTATTTTTTAAAAATTAGTCTGCCGGGCACAGGGGTTCACACTTGTAATCCCAGCACTTTGCGGGCCAAGGTAGGCAGATCACCTGAGGTCAGGAGTTCAAGACCAGGTTGGCCCACATGGTGAGATCCCGTCTCTACTAAAAATACAAAAAATTAGCTGGGCGTGGTGGTGCACACCTGTAATCCCAGCTACTCAGGAGGCTTAGGCAGGAGAATTGCTTGAACCCGGGAGGCGGAGTTTGCAGTGAGCTGAGATCGCTCCACTTCACTCCAGCCTGGGCGACAGACTGCGTGAGACTTTGTCTCAAAAAAGTAATAATAAAAAATTTAAAAAACCTCAAGTCATATGACCCAGCAAGTTTATTTCTGACCCTCTTGGCTCTAGCCAAGAGAAATAATTAAATATATACACAAAAATGTTTGTATAAAATTATGCAAAGCATGCTATTCATTATCACTAAAAACTGGAAACAATTCAAATGCCCATCAACAGGGGAATGGCGAAACACACTGTAGAATATTCATACAATATAATACCAATAACAGAGAACAAACTACTAATACATGCAGTACCACGGATGGATCTTAAAAACATGCTGAGTGAAAGAAGACAGATGCAGAAAAAAAATACCTACCGTATCATGCCATTTACACAAAATGCGAGAACAAGCAAAGCTAATCAATGAGAATGGAAGTTAAAATAATGATTCTCTTTTAGGAGACTTAGGTTGAAAAAAGAAGGCAAGAAATTTCTGGAGTACAATGTGAGTACAATGTTTTGTTTGTTGACAAAGTGGTGGATATGCTGGTGTAAGCATTTGGCAAGCAGCATTAAGATGAACAATTATGATTATGCATTTTATTGCAAATAAATTATGCCTCAATAAATTACTGTGAACGTTAATAAAAATTGCTATGGCAGAAAAATTCAATCTTCTTGATTTTCTCATTTAAGTATCTTATGAATAAAATAGTCAAGAATTTCAACTGCTCTTTTTCCTTGTATTTTTCCTTCTGCATGCCAATAGCAGTTCTTTTACACTACTCTTCCTGAAGAAAACAACAACAACAAAAAACTTGTTTGTAATGACCTGTAATTTGTAATGAGCAAATGCTTTCACATACATAAAACTTGCAGGAAGTCTCTGGAATTATAAAAGTTTCAACAGGAGAGCAGCTGGGTCTAATGTATGCAATCCAATATAACACACTGCATTATATCTAGGGAATATATTAGCAAAAATTACTTTTTATTACAAAGCACTAGGCCTTCTAGAAATTTTTTATGACTCACTAAAACGGTAGCAAAGTGTAGAATATTTTGTTGTTGTTGCTGCATTTTCCAGAAACCACACACTTTATATTGAATTAATCTATAATTGTTGGGCAATTTCTTTTTCCAACTGAACAGCACTTTTGAGATTACGTTTTTCTGCGAGGTCATGAAAAGAAAATTGGAAATATCACATATCTGCTGACGTGACATACAAGGGTCCTTTCATTTTGCATTTTCTTTTTCCCTCTGAATGAAGGCAAAAAAGCTCTTTAAAGACAGAAATGCTTCCTTGGGGTTTTCTCCCCTGAATGAAAACCATTTATCCTATAATTTGAGGCAACATGTCTTAGAAATAAAGACTGAAGTCAGAGGTAGTTGTTTTGTTATTTTGTGAACATTCAAAGTCCACTGGCTCCTTGTATAAAACAAACCTATGTCTTTAAAACACTAAGTGTTCTTACTTTTATATTCTCTTCACATGCTATTCTTTTTTAAAGAAACAACTGAAGGAAATTGCTTCCTCCTTTTCCCTTCTTTTATCTCAAATAGAAACATTTACTCTGAAAACTTTTGTTGCATTGAATTTTTGGCCTACCAATTTGGCATATGGTCTTTGTCCACCTGAAGCAGAGCTGCAGCACGTTGCCACCATCTTTGTGGGTTTAATGCTAGCGTTATTGTCAAAATAGTGAGCGGCATTTATGACCTTGCACCTAGCAGGCATTTTTTGTATTTTCATTGTTTTTGAGCCTGGATTTGCTTGGATCCAGTAAACTAAGTGAAGGTTTAATGAAGGTCAGGGTCAGAACACAAAAACAACCCTTTCGTTTTAATTAGTTCCCAAGAAACCTTTCTTTATTTCAGGTAAGAGCTAAGTTCCCTTTAATGTAAATGCTGATGCCATGATGAACTAACTGGGGACTCTCCCCTTGTAAGTACCTATTAGCTCACATACTTTTAGGAATGTTACATCTTCTCTTTCTCTTTTTCAACTCTTAAGCCACATCACTCATGACTGACTTGCTCACATATTCCTGCTCCCATTGATCTCTTTCTTCTCCAATTAGCTATATGTAAAATATATTGGGATGTTTATTTATATCAGTTTCACACAATTCTATAATTACTTTATGAATAGATCATTTTACATAATACATTTTAATAAGATATGGAGGGGGAGTAAACTTCTTTTTAAAAAGAAATTAGGAAAAGAATCACAAAGTACCCAGAAGAAGGGGAGAGAGAGAGAGAAAGCTGATAAAGCATATAAATCATTAGTGTCATGAATAAGTACAATTAAGAATTTTTTTAAAAACTGACTATTAGAAATGAGATAGCATATATGAACAGATTTGCAATTCCATGGGAATGTATCTAACTTTGCAGAGTAAGTTGATGTTTTCTAGCAAAATGTAAACTACCAATATGTATTTTTAAAAAATAACTAATAGGAAGAGCTTGGATAGAAGTATTCCAATAAAAATAAAACATGCTCTAATCCCTTGTTATCTTTCTATCTAATCCTTAAGTAGAAGACATTCCCATTTTTTTTCAAATGTTCTAAATGGTATAAAGTAGCTTTCTGACTCATTTTAGGAATAAAACATACATTTTATATCAAAACTTTATAAACATAATACAAAATATATAAACACATATTGATTATAGAGGTAAATACAGATGTTAAAATTTTTAAAAATTTCAAATGGAATCTCTAAAATGCATCAAAAGTATGATACACCATTACCAAAATTCCATAAGAGTTCAGCATCATGAAACACATGCTAATAATTTTTTTAGTTTAAAAATAGATTTATTGTTATTTTTTCTAGAAAGCACCTGTTGCTGATACATTCATGAGAAGTGAATGTTATTGAAGTAGTGTAACCTGGTGACCTATATAGAATATCTTTGTTGTTTTTACACATAGTTTTTAAAAATTTTTTCAATAGATTTTTAGGGAACAGGTGGTGTTTGGTTACATGAATAAATTCTTTAGTGGTGATTTCTGAGATTTTGGTGTACCTGTCATCCAAGTAGTGTACACTGTACCCAATGTGTAGTATTCTATCCCTCACCTCTCTCTCATGCTCCCACCACCACCCCAAGTCCCCAGAGTACATTGTATCATTCTTATGGCTTTGTGTCCTCATACCTTAGCTCACACTTGTAAGTAAGAACATGCTATGTTTGGTTTTCCGGTTTTCCATTCCTGAGTTACTTAATTTAGAATAATGATCTCCAATTCCATCCAGATGGCTGCGAATAATGGCTGCGAATGGCATTATTTCATTTTTATGGTTAAGTAGTATTTCAGTGTGTGCATGTGTGTGTGTATACCACATTTTCTTTGTCCACTTGTTGATTTATAGGCATTTGGACTGGTTCCATGCTTTTGCAATTGCAAATTGTGCTGCTATAAATGTACGTATTCAAATATCTTTTTCATACAGTGACTTCTTTTCCCCTGGGTAGATACCCAGGAATGAGATTGCTGGATCAAATGGTAGATCTACTTTTAGTTTTTAAGGAATACCCATACTGTTTTCCATAGTAGTTGTCCTAGTTTACATTCCCACTAACAATGTAAAAGTGTTCCCTTTTTACTGCATCCATGTCAATATCTATTATTTTTTTATTTTTTGATTATGGCCATTCTTGCAGGAGTAAGGTGGTATCGCATTGTGGTTTTGATTTTCATTTCCCTGATTATTAGTGATGTTGAGCATTTTTTTCATGTTTGTTGGCCATTTGTATATCTTCTTTTGAGGATTCTTTTCATGTCCTTAGCCCACTTTTTAATGGATTTTTTTTCTTGCTGATTTGAGTTTCTAGTGTGTTCTGGATATTAGTCCTTTGTCAGATGCGTAGTTTGCGAAGATTTTCTTTCACTCTGTGGGTTGTCTGTTTACTCTGCTGATTTTTTTCTGTGCAGAAGCTTTTTAGTTTAATTAAGTCCCATCTATTTATCTTTGTTTTTGTTGCAATTGCTTTTGGGTTCTTAGTCATGAAGTCTTTGCCTAAACTGATGTCTAGAATGATTTTTCTAATGTGATCTTCTAGAATTTTTAAAGTCTCAGGTCTTAGATTTAAGTCTTTTATCCATCTTGAGGTGATTTTTGTATAAGGTGAGAGAAGAGGATCCCGTTTCATTCTTCTACACGTGGGTAGCCAATTATCCCAGCACCGTTTGTTAAATAGGGTGTCCTTTCCACACTTTATGTTTTTGTTTGCTTTATCAAAGATCAGGTGGCTGTAAGTATTTAGTTTTATTTATGGGTTCTCTATTCTGTTCCATTGGTCTACATGCCTATTTTTAGACAAGTACCATGCTGTTTTAGTGACTATAGTCTTATAGAATAGCTTGAAGTTGGGTAACGTGATGCCTCCAGATTTGTTCTTTTTGCTTAGTTTTACTTTGGCCATCCAGGCTCTTTTTTGGTTCCATATGAATTTTAGGATTTTTCTTCTAGTTCTGTGAAGAATGATGGTGGCATTTTGATGGGAATTGCAAAAAAATTATTATGAGAAAACAAGTTTAATAAAACAAATGACATGACTCTATCAGTAAGGCAGGTTCATTTGTACTAAATCTCCACATAAAATAAAAATTGAAGAAAATCATTCAACACAAAAAAAAGGCTACTTTCCAATAGCAAACACCAAATTAAATGTGGATATGCCCAAACTTACTTTTATTGAAATTAAGCATAAGGTGGAGATGTTAGATATTACATTGTTTTGGGAGGCTTTTGCTAATTCAAGAAGAGTAGATAAGGGATATAAGTGTAAAGATTATAAAATAAAATAATATTTATTCAAGAAATGGATGACTGAAGACTTTAGAAAGAAACTGAAGAAGAAATGAAGGAGGGAAGAAAGGAAGAAAAGCTCTAGGAAAACAAAATTAAGTACTAGAATTAATATAGTAAGTTGATAAGGTTCCTAAATGCAATGAAAATATACAAAATAAACACTTATTTTTCTTATACTAACAATGTCTAGTTAGAAAATATTTTCTTAAAAAAATCAAATAGGCCGGGCGCGGTGGCTCACGCCTGTAATCCCAGCACTTTGGGAGGCCGAGGCGGGTGGATCATGAGGTCAGGAGATCGAGACCATCCTGGCTAACAAGGTGAAACCCCCTCTCTACTAAAAATACAAAAAATTAGCCGGGCGCGGTGGTGGGCGCCTGTAGTCCCAGCTACTCGGGAGGCTGAGGCAGGAGAATGGCGTGAACCCGGGAAGCGGAGCTTGCAGTGAGCCGAGATTGCGCCACTGCAGTCTGCAGTCCGGCCTGGGCGACAGAGCGAGACTCCGTCTCAAAAAAAAAAAAAAAAAAAAAAAAAAAAAAAAAAAAAATCAAATAGACACAACCTATAAATAGCTAATAAGCAATTTAAAAACAGAAAAACAAAACCTACATAAAAATAACCAGAGTATTTTTGTTGGACATAAGATAAGGCCAGAACTAAAGAATAGAAACAATTTTCCTGCACAGGAATAACGAGTATCATAAAGATGTCAATATTTCAAAAACTAATGAGCCTATACAATTTTAGTTGGAATGCTATTTTAACTTGAATACAGCAATTTTAAAATTAATATAGCAGTGAATATTCTTGAATAACAAGCAAATTTAAAAAATTACAAGAGCAAAATAGATTAGTGAAGGGGGCATATTTTACCCTTTCTGAGATATTAGAAGTTTCCATAAAGCCTGGTAACCAAAACTATGTTGATATTATCTATGAATAACAAGATCAACCAAAGGCAGGGAATATAAGATAAGGAAATCAATGCAACTTCATGTTTTATATATGGTAAAAATAGCATTTCAATTCCATAGAAAGAGGCTATTTTATTTACAAATAGTGCAAGCATAATGTAAAGAAACAAAATAAAGAATATATTAAAAAATTCCAAATGGGTTAATGTTTAAATATCAAAAACCTGAGATAGTAGGAGAGATGTTTAGAAAATATTAATAAATCTTTGAGTGAGAGAAAACATCTTAATCAATAAAAACATTTAGAATTCCTCAAAAACAAATTTGACTATGTGAATTTAGGCTTTTAAAAAGACTAAAGCTACCATAATGGGCTCAAAAGAATATATATAAGAAAGACAAAAGGTTGATATTCTTAAACTGTCAGTAGCACCAGGAGACTAATGGTAAGTACATATATAGTCTAATAGAAATATGGGTACAGTTTTTTTAAAGGCAGTTTTCAGAAAATGAAAAGCAATTAGTCATAATAAACATAAAAGATCTAGTCAACCTCTCTTTGAGTCACAAAGAGAAACTACTTAGCCCGTGGCTATTGCCATTGCTAATGGCGTAAGCCAGAATTGGTGAAAATGTAAAGAAATAAGCCATCCTAAACATTACTGGCTAGACTCTGAATTGGTTACATCAGAAGAGTAGAAGCTTCCTGTGAACCTGAAAGGAGGTTCCTTTTTAAAAGAATTTATGGCTAAGTCTTCAAAAGCAATTGCAGCAAAAATAAAAATTGATAAGTGGAATAGAATTAAACTGAATAGTTTCTGCACAACAAGAGAAATTATCAAAGGAGTATACAGACAATCTACAGAATGAAAGAATATATTTATAAAGTATGCATTCGACAAAGGCCTAATATCTGGCAGGTATAAGAAACTTAAACAAATCAACAAATAATGCCATTAAAAAATGGTCAAAAGACATGAACAGACAGTTCCCAAAAGAAGACATACAAGTGGCCAGTAAACATGTGAAAAAATGCTCATCTTCACTGATCATCAGAAAAATGCAAATCAAAACCACAATAAGATACCATCTCACACCAGTCATAATGGCCTTTGTTAAAAAGTCTAAAAACAGCAGATACCAGTGAGGTTGCAGAGAAAAAGGAATGCTTATCCACTGTGGGTGGGAATGTAAATTAGTCTATCCACTGTGAAGGGCAGTTTGGAGATATCTCAAAAGAACTAAGAGTTGAAGCCAGCAATCCCATTTCTGGGTATATATCCAAAGAAAATAAGTAATTATACCAAAAAGGCACATGCACTCATATGTTCACTGTAGTGCTATTCAAAATAGCAAAGACATGGAATCAACCAAGGCACCCATCAATAGTGGATTAAATAAAGCAAATGTGGTACATATATACCATGGAATACTATACAGCCATAAAAAAGAACAAAATCGTGTCCTTGGCAGCAACATGGATGCAGCTGGAAGACATTATCCTAAATGAACTAATGCAGAAACAGAAAACCAAATACCACCTGTTATCACTTAAAAGTTGGAGCTAAACATCGAGTATACATGGGCATAAAGATGAAAATAGGTTGGATGCAATGGCTTATGCCTGTAATTCCAACAGTTTGGGAGGCCAAGTTAGGAGGATCACTTGAGCCCATAAGTTTGAGACTAGCCTGGGTGACATAGTGAGATGGCATCTCTATTAAAAAATTAAAAAATTAGCCAGGCATCGTAGTGCATGCCTGTAGTCCCAGCTACTCAGGAGGCTGAAGCAGGAGGATAATTTGAACCCAGGAGATCAAGGCTGCAGTGAGCCATGTTTCTGCCACTGCACTTCAGCCTGGGCAGCAGGGCGAGACATTTTCTCAAAAGAAAAAAATAGAGATGAGAACAATAGACCCCAGGAAATACAAGAGGAAAGAGGGAAGGAGGGAGACAAGGCCTGAAAAACAACCTTTAGCATACCATGCTCGCTAACTGGAAGACAGATTCATTTGCACCCTAAACCTCAGCCTCGTGCAATCTACCTTTGTAACAAACCTGCACATGTACCCCCTGAACATATAATAAAAGTGGAAGAAAATGAATTAATCACTCCTTCCATACCAGATGAGTTTTCTTTCCTGTTGAATAATATATCAGCCATAGTCAGTTGTCTAAATATTTGTTTGTTTATTTCTTTAGAAAGCAATCAAACGTGTGAGTTTCAAGTAAGTATGGTGAACTGGTTTTCAAACACTTCTTAAGTCTGGCAATAATCATATCGACATTTATTAAGTCTGTGATTGCCAGGACTCAGACAGAAGCTGAGGCAAGACTCATAAGCAGAGAGGTGGAGGCCCATGCTGGGCTGAGTTACTTAAGACTTCAAACTTGGCCTGTGTGAAAACATAGATGCACTCTAAAATAAGCATGAATATTTACCATCAGAAAGACCTGAATTGGAGACCCACTTCTGCTCTCAAAATAGAAAATAATAATGATTTCTACTTCCCAGCAATATTTGAAGTTTAAGAGATATCAATGTACAGAAAGATAAGCATATGTGATATGCATTTAAATATAAATAATCTCATGAATAATAATATGTAATACATACTACATGGAGACCTCGTTCTAAGGGCTTTATGTATATTAACTGGTTTAATTCCTCACAAAATAGGCTGTGAAGTAGTTAATTTTATTATCTCTATTTTACAAATAAGGAAACTGACATATAGGGACATTAAGTAACTTTCCCAAGCTCACACAGCTACCAAAGGCTAAAGCTTGGATTTGGAGGTGGTTCTAGTACCTTAAATTATACGCTATGTCACTTCACTTGTTGCGCTTACGACAATAGCTTTATAAATAGCTTAGCAAACAGGTTCTAACTAATAATAGCTAGCAAACTGTAGCTTCCTAACTGACATAACTCTACACTCATTGTATATGGTGGAAACTACAATCTGGGAATATTTTATGTTCTTTCTACTGGAAATATTTTGTGTTCTTTCTAGTTTATCACCTTCTGTCTGTCTACTAATTAATATTTTGTTCTTTCTCTAAAATATACCCAACATTCTCACTCAGAGAAGGTTTTCCTTTTTTATAAATCCACATTTTAAAATATATCTTTCCCAAAAATATATCAATTTCAATCTGCACCATCCAAGTGGAAGGCATGGCACTTTGAACCATTATGAGTGCTCCTGGCTGCGTACACTTAATTTCCCTCCGCCACTTTTCTCTGAGAGGACACCTAAGAGCATCGCTTCCATTTGACAGAAGAGGAAATTGGTGCTCTGTGATTCCATAAAGCAACAGAAAGACTGGAGGGAAGAGGTAAAGTTTCAGCACAAGATATTTTGTTGGTTGGTTTTGTTTTGTTGTAAGTCAACTCACCACTGAATAGAAATATACAATTTAATCTATAAATATTTGGCTTGCAAAGAGTCCTTCAGGATCACATCTTTCCAGAGCAAGAGGCGCAACTGCAGAGACATCTTCAGTGACTCCGGAAGCAAATAACCAACTTACAGACCATTGACACCTTTGCCTTGATGTCTCCCTCCCCCATTTGGCAATTTTTCTGCTCATTAGTCATTTCCTCCAGAGAATGAGTAAGATCAGAAGGAAGATCAAGCTCAAATCAGTCAATTACATCTACTTGTCAGTAACTGAAATGAAAGGATGAAGGCCTGGTGGGCAAGGATTCAGAGACAATTTGAGGGATTATCTGTGAATTTCAATTACCCTCCCACTTCTTTTCTCCATTAGCATGAATAATTAAGAATCCAGAGCCTGGAAAACCAGTGAACTTATGAAATGCTGGAGCCAGACAGCACCGTAAATATAACTTTCCAATCTCCTCTACTTATAGATGAGGAAACTTAGGGCCCAATGCAAGCATCTTGCTAATGGCAGCTCTGGTGGCTCCTTGATGTTCATCCCCTGTACCTTGCAGTTAAACGAAAAAAAAAAAATCTAGCCTCCTGTTAGTAAAAGTGCAATTTTGTCTATGATAATATTTCCAAAATAGGTAAAGTCTCAAAAGGAGCAATGTATGATGGGAAATGACCTAGGAATGAGAATGCTTAGGTCTAATTATGGCTTAATGCTGTGCGATCTTGGGTAAATATCCTAACTTCTTTGGGCTTTGGTTTTTCACCTACAAGGAAGGGATAATTGCCTCTGCACTATCTCACAGGCTTTTGGAGAGGGTCATAGAATATAAAAATAATAATATATTACTGGTAATAGCTGCTTTCTATATGCCAGATAGAGTGTTAAATGGTCAACATGCTCATCTCTTAATCCCTATGACAGCTTTATGATTCAGGTAATGTTGAGGTTTTGCAACCTAAAACCCAGAGAGGTTAAATAATGTGTTCAAGATCACATGGATAAGCACATGGGAAATATTTTGTTATCTCTAAGGTAGATGGGTGTGTGTGTGCACGCGCGTGTGTGTGCATGTGTGTGTGTGTGTATGTGTGTGTGCGAGAAAGAGAGAGAAAGAGAAAGACAGAGTGAGCTATCTTTCCATTATTGCTAAGATAAGTTGGGTTTACTACTGTGAATCCAATATTCACCTTAGATTCTGTTTGACTTGAAGTGGAGGCAGCATTTTGAGAATCTCAAAATAAAGGAAGGAATCAAGAGAGTATGGAAGATCTCTAAGGCTAATATAATGCTTTTAGACTTTAGCCTGAGGAAACAGCTAAGTGTGGAAGAATTTTGGGACGTGAGACCTAAGGCACAATTTAGGAGAGATTAATCAGCTGTCTGAATCTAAGATCCATGGCACAGGGAGGAGGGGTGGTATATGTAAATAATATAATGCTTTTGAAAGTCTTGAACAGGGTTAGGATCCCTTGAATGATTTTGTGGCTGCCTTCAAGCATTGCTCTGGGTGAGTCTTAAGAGAATGAAGAAAAGGACACTGGGAGGGAATTATTTTCTTTATCTAAAGAAGTATTTCCCATTAGTATTTTCCTAGGGGACGATTCACATACCATAGAATATCAGAACTGGGAAAGACTTTAGAAAATCAACCTCTATTATACAGTAGAATAGGGTTTTAAAATGACTCCTCTCCCCTTTACCCAGCCTCACAACCAGGACTCAGATGCCTTTCTCATAAGAATCCAGCCTTTTAACAGGATTTAAGTATTGTGCAATCTTCCACCCTTATATTCATGTATTCATGAATGCTTGTTGGGTGAATATTCATGTATTCATGATGGATGTGTATACAGACAATTGCAATCTAGTGTGTTATGGACTACAGAGTATTCTTTAAAGCAGAGGCTGGCAAGCTTCTACCTGAAAACTAAATCTGTCATGCAGCCTGTTTTTGTAAGTAAAATTTTACTGGAACACAGCAATGCTCATTTGTTTACATATTGTCTATGGTTGCTTTCAAGCTGCAATGACAGAATTGAGTAGTTGTGATGGGGTATGACCCACATAGCTCTTTACAGAGTTTACAGCTCCTGCTGTAGAAGAAAGAGTGCTTTTTGCAGAATTGAGAAGAGGGACAGTAAGGCTATCTACACAAGAGCCCTCAAACCTAGCTGCAGAGTAAAATCACCCAAGGAGCTTTTAAAAACACTGATGCTCGGACTCTATCCCTTTTTATCCCAAGATATTCTAATTCAATGGACCGGTGGTTAGAGCAGCCGTGGTGTTTTCTTAATTGCCTCTAAGGTGATACAAATTTAGGATGCCAGTATGCAACCAGAGTACAGTAAGACTGTTTTAGAAAATATAGCATTTTGACTGAGACCTAACAGAAGAATAGTATGTACCAGGCAAAGAAAAAGAGGAAGAGGACCTTCTGCATGTGCAAAGGTCTGGAGTGGAGAGAATGTACAGTCCATCTGGGGAACTTCAATTGGCTTTATAGAGGAGAAGCTGGCAGGGAAAAGGTAAAGTGGAAGAGAAGATTGGATCTAACCATGAAAGTTCTTGCCTATCCTGTTAAAAATATTCGCAAGTTATTTTAAAGGGAAATGATTGAAATGACTGAAGGGTTTTAAACAGGGAAGGAAACATAGATTTGCATTAGGATAATGTTAGCAGAGCTGTCTGGGGTATAGATTGTATGAGTTGGGGGAGGGCAGGGGACAGGCATGGTGATGCTGCAAGGAACTGGAGGCAGGAAGAAAAAAGAGAAGGCCAATCTCAGACCCCATTAAGACCCTTTACCATGCACCTGCATTGGAATCTAAGAAGTGGTATCCTGACTGCAATTGTACCTATTTGTAATGGCAATATACACCTTCTGTCGCTCAGCAACTTTCTGCATTACTCTCCTTTGTCCCTTAATATTATTTGAGCAAGTTCTACTCCCATGCTCCATAAGCTGCTTGAAAAGGACCCCATGTTATGGTCTCATTGTCCCTCATCTCTCTTGGCATGCCCAGAAGAATGCTTTTGCCTATAGGAGTTGCTGAAGAATAATCAGTTAAATTGCATACTTTTTTTGGTGGGGGAGTGAGGAAAGTGACTGGTACAAAATGAGCCAGCTCACCAGCAGCAGAACTCAGAGCAGCACCATCACCTGACTCAGGAATCAGAGACATCCCCCAACTATGCTGGGAAGCTGTCTATCTGAGCTAACGCACAGATCAGGACACAGGGATTCCAAACTAGCCTCTGCTGCCTACCTGCTGCATGACCATGACCACTACTCGCAGGTGAGAAGAGCTCCCACAAGGTCACAGAGTTCCCCTTCGACAGCGCTAGGTGCCAGCATATGTCATGAAAAGTGGTGCCCAATGAGGCTCACCTTTCCCTGGGGACAACTTAGCAATAACGCTAGATAATTTCATCTCATTCCTTTGCTTTTTCTTCTTTCTCTCCTAAATCTCATTCCCTACATTATCCCCTACTTTCGGATCTTAAGAACAATAGCCAAGCTGAGTCCCTTTTCTCATTGAGAATTTCACATCCCTTCATTCATCTGCAATGAATCCAACAGGGTGGCATTTGAACAAATGATTTTACTTATCTCTTACAAGCTCTAAATCTCCTGGCACAGGAGCCTCTGTGCAAAATGCAGAACTATTTATGTTATTTTTTTAAACAAAGGAAGTTCAATTTTCTCTTTTGTTGGGGAGGTTTTAAACCATCGTAAACTTCAACTAGTTCTATTGGTCCCCAGCAGGCTTGTTCCTCCTGCCTGTGCACATAACCACTACTTAATTTAGAGTGATTCAAAAGGCAGGGGAGACGAAAATGCAGAGTTCATGCTGTTAGAAGTGATCACTCTGCTTGGAGACATATGTAGCCACAGAAGGCTGAACAGATCAGAGTAGCTTAAAGCACTGAGAGATAAAAGGACCAGCATTGCTGATCGGGACCCCAGAGACCAGAGACGGGCCTGATGCATATATACAGCCCTGGCAGCCTTCATAGCTGCTGCCTTTGCTTTTCTTGCCTGCTTTTTTTTTGTTGTTTTTATTTTAATTTTCTTAGTAAAACTCTGATGAATTCAGGGTAAGAGAAGGAAATGGGAGCTGTGCAGATGTGTTAATTCAAACCTTACAGATGGAGTTTTCATTTCACATACATGGGGCATGAAGCTAACATATCCTATTCTTGATTTTTAAGGTAAAAAAATCATAAAAACAAAATGTCCATATGAATGCAATACGGTATGTGATTTAATAGAGAGAATTAACACACCAAGTCCACAGACTTAGGTGCAAAGACTGATTCTGGCACTTCTGTAGCTGTGGGTAGTGTGTATTCCAATGGATAATGTATCAGGGTTCTCTAGAGGGACAGAGCTAATAGGATAAATATATATATAAAGGGAGTTTATTAAGTATTAAATTACATGATCACAAGGTCCCACAATAGGCTGTCTGCAAGCTTGAGGAGCAAGGAGGGCCAGTCTGAGTCTAAAAACCAAAGAACTTGGAGTCTGATGTTTGAGGGCAGGAAGCATCCAGCACGTGAAAAAGATGTAGGCTGGGAGGCTAGGCCAGTCTCAACTTTTTCACGTTTTTTGCCTGCTTTATATTCACTGGCAGCTGATTAGATTGTGCCCACCAGATTAATGGTGGGTCTGCCTTCCCCAGCCCACTGACTCAAATGTTAATCTCCTTTGGCAACACCCTCACAGACACACCCCAAATCAACACTTTGTATTTTTCAATCCAATCAAGTTGACACTCAGCATTAACCATCACAGATAATAATCCCTAACTTGGTTAAGGGATTGATTAAATCCCAAATTAATCATTGAAAGATTAAATAGCGTCATGAAGATTAGATGCCCAGTGCAGTCATTGCTATAAGTGGATGCTCAGAAAACTTACCTCCCTTCTGTTTCTCATTTGTAGTTATATAACCTTAGGGAGGTCACTTACATATATTGAGTGTCAACTTTAAAACAGAGGTAATAGTGTACATATGATAATACATTAAAGGAATAAAATAAGGTAATAAGTGTTAATGTCAGTATAACTTATAAAGGGTTGCATAAATTTGAGGCATTTAGTTGTTACACACTCTGTTAGTCTAGATAACATGTTAACAAGCAACAGACAAGCTACTTTGCAGATTGAGTATTCATTTTATGGCACGCACTGTACTAAAAACTTTAAAAATATGTTCTCTTCAATTATTACGCCATCCTGTATAGTATATAATGTAGAGGTAGCTGACATTTATTCTGCATTTACTACCTGCTTGTCCCTGTTCTAAATGCTTTAGATGTATTACATTTTCATGTTCCTAACCACCCTAAGACGTAAGTAGAGTTATCCTCATTTTACAGATGAGGAAACTGAGGTGCAGGGAGACTAAGTCACTATCCAAGGTCATACAACTAGTAAGTGATAAAATAATATTTGAAGGCAAGCAGTCTGTTTCTAAAGCCTATAGTCTTACCCATAATATTATATGACAAAGTAATGACAGTTACAAGCATTTATTCTTTGAGCTCATAGCTGTGGTTCTCACTTAAAATTATTAACTTATGAGAATATTTCATAATATATAACAACGTTTTTGTTTATGACATTATTTCCAAAGGCAATGAATATATTACTTATTTAAATAAATTCTGTTGAGAAAAATGCTACCATTAGCACAGAGATGACTAATTTGCTACCATCAATAGGTAGCATTCTGAAATTGGGTCTGTAACCTGGGTTGGTATACTTATGCATATATTTATTAATACATATGTACTCCCATAAAGCTGGAATGCCATTTAATAATTCCTCTCTGCAGGATGCAACAATCAGAAGACATATATACCAGTCCAATATCCAGAAATAATTAAAATGTGATATTAACTCATAACTGCTGTGGGCTTGCATTCACATCTAAAGCATTTAGAGCAGGACAGAATCTCCTGAAATCTTCTTTTTAAGAATTCAGGTAGTCAGAGCACTTCTCTCTCTAACCGTGTCTTCCTACTTTCCAAGATACATTCTCCTTCAGCCCCTAGCAGTACAAATTAATCTTCTCTCTTTTTGTTTTTTTTTCCAGCCTTCTGACCAACACAGCAACAGCTGCTAAAGAAAAAGCACAGTAGAAATAAAGCAAGAGCAAGATATGGTAAAAATTTGTGAAAATGCAAGAAAAAGATTTAGTCCATGTGTATATATGCATATGCATATGTAGACACACATACATTTACATAGTGCAATTTATATAATATATATGCAAATATATACACATAAACAATTTAGAATTAGTGTCACTTATAAGAGGGTACAAGGATATACTTATATACTTATGTCATATTATTATTAATTGTATCTTATATAATTATTATACCACTATGTTATTAAACACAAATGCTTAACAATTTTAAGAAGCCATGATTTTTATGATATTTAATATTATATTGTATAATCATAGTGAACTCCCAATTTCTTGAAACTGCATTTAATTTTGCCCCTTTTCTTCATCACCTCTAAGTTCTTTATAGAGTGGAAAGCAGCTGTCAGGATCATTTCTGTGTGTTTGCTGACAGACGGAGTCCACAAAAGAAAACAAGCCTTTTCCCCAGTTTGATGGACTCCTCATTCCTCGCCAGCAGTGAATAAGGTGTCCAGGACTGTCTCAATGAGAAATCATGTGTCAGCAAAGGATTATATAAAGCCAGTGGGACATATTTTATTCTGCTTCTCACTTTTGGCTACCACTGTTCTTTTTCCTAAATCAAATTTTCTTCTGGCTTTGAAAGGTACTAATGGAGCATTATTAGTCCAGAAAGAATATTGCAATGGAGAATTGTAATTACTTTACTGCTATGGTGACATCAAACCAGATCACTTAAGAATAATGGGGCTTTAGTTCCCATAGGGAGATTGAGGTTTGGAGGATACGTAGAAATAGGAGTTCCATGACATGTAAGACAGAAAAGGAAGACAGCATTGAAACTTCTTTGGTTGGCATATTTATGTGTGAGACCACCCCCAACCTCTGCTGACATCTGTGTTTGAAGATGGAAATTAAACGTTGAACGAGGGCTTCAGCTCTTTTCTCAAGCTACTCTTCCATTGGCTTTAGGAGGTGAAAGATTTCTCAGCCAAAAATCACTCCTGTAAATCCAATGCAGTTATCCTTGTACTTATAATCATTTTTTTTCTATAAATCTTTAACAACTGACAAATACGTAGTTGGCTGGGCTTTATGCTGTAATAAAACACAGGCAAAGGAAGCAAGGTTGGCAAAGGGTTGTCTGATGTCCAAAACATGATTATTTGTACAACATAATACGAGTTAAACTATATTTGGAATTCTTAGGACTTTCTTAATTTGACCTATCAAACAGCTGAAGAGCAGTGTGTGGCTTTTAGGGTACGACAGAAAGTGTGCTTTGGTGTATATTCAGAAATCTTTTCTCTGTGTGAATTCCCAGATGAAAAGAGTGCTCAAGCCAATCTCTTTGCTGATACTCGGTGGGGAGCAAGATAAAAACTTCAGATATACCATCCAGATCCTAGAGAAAAAGACAGTCAGAGGAGAAGACAGAGAGGGAGAGAAACAGAAACAGGGACAGAGAAGAGAGAGAGAGAGACAAAGAGAGCGAGAGAGAGAGAGAACAAACACACAGGAAATGGCTTTGGAGGGAGAGAGATGTAGTTTCTATTCAAAACACTACCTCTTTCTCAAGGTTTGATTTTGGTGGTAGGCTGGACACTTGGCACCATGAGCTGGAGTTCCACAGAATCACCACACTTGGAATGGCTGGTGATTTATTTGCTGTGTGATCTTGGCCAAGTTACAAAACATCTCTGAGGTACCATTTTTTTAATCCATGAATCTCAGATACTTTATATGATGATTAAAAGGCTAACATTGAAAATAGCATCTGGCACATGGTAATAAAAAGCAGTATCTGGCATAGGCACTCAACTGTTTGTGCCGAATGAGTATTATTAAACCCTTTGACCTCTTTTAAACCTTTCACATCCACACACATGAAAGTTTGTGGGGTCAGAACTCAACTCTACGTCCATTTGGCTCCAAAGTTTAAGCTCTCACCATCTACAGATGCTGGGTGTGTGTCCCAGACCCACAATCTTCACCATGTGACCTTTGCAAATATCTGCGCCTTGTTGAATCAATTTAATTATCTCTAAATTCAGATACTAAGAGGACGATGTTTATCTTCCTTTTAAAGTGTTGATGAATCTGTCAAATTTCATCTTCTCCATTTTCCTAAGCCTGCATGTTAACCATTTTCTTTCTGATAGTAGACTTTATCTTAAAACAACAAAAAACGAATAATAAAATATTTTAAACATACAGAAAAGAAAAGGAAAATGCATTGTTCTCAACTCCCAGATTTAACATTTTAACTCATGCAACAAATATGGATTGGGGACAAGACATTCGCCATTCTGAGGACTGAGGACATGTCTGTCTGGGAACCAGATGCCCCTTCCCTTGTGGAGTTTATATTTGACTGACAAATATCAATGTGGCCATATTTGCTTTAGGTAGTCTTTTAAAAATGATATATTACTGACAGAGCTGGAGGCACCCCACAAGCCCGTGTTCTTCCTGCTAAACTTCCCGAGGTGGGTGTCTCTCCTCAACTGATTTATTTCCAGGGATGGTGTGGAGCCCAGTCCTCCCCCACCTGTCCAGGGAGGGACCTATAATCCCCATGTGTCAAGGGAAGGAGGTGACTGGATCATGGGGGTGGTTTCCCCCATGCTGTTCTCATGATACTGAGTTCTCATGAGATCTGATGGTTGTATAAGTGTTTGACAGTTCCTCCTTCACAGGCTGTCTCTTCTGCCACTCTGGGAAGAAGGTGCCAGCTTCCTCTTCCTCTATGATTGCAAGTTTCCTGAGGCCTCCCCAGCCATGCAGAACTATGAGTCAATTAAACATCTTTCCTTTATAAATTACCCAGCCTCGGGTATTTATTTATAGCAGTACCAAACTAACACACTGAGAACAGCCTAATATGCTGGACATGAGTCACTTCTGTTTTGTGCTGAAGTCAGCTGAGAAATTGTGACTAATTATAGCAATAGCTACAATGCTGTATTCTCCTTTTCTTTCCAGTTAGAATAAAAACAGAGTAAATAGATTAATAGCCCACCTAACTCCCATCTATCCTTATACGATCATGAAGATTTTCCATTTCCTTGACCTGCTTTATTTGTTTCTGAGTACATTTCGTTGCCATTTCATTATATTCTAATTATTTAGTGTCGGTCTCCCCACTGGAGAGTGGGCTTCATAAGAGTAGTTTTCTGCCTCTTTTTGCTTTCTATGGTATTCTCTACACCTAAAATAATTTCTTGCATGGTGGAGATGTTTAGTTTGTTTAACTATTATATGTATAATAGGTGGTATAAATATATTATACATTTAGTTCATCCAGTTACCCTTCCAATTAGCCACAGTTTACAGATGAGGAAATTGAGGGTCAGAAAGAATAACTGGCATGCCAGTGTTGCAGCTATACTAGATGATGAAGTCCCCAGTATTTCTGCCTTCCTACCCTCCTCTCTATTTGTACAGGTGTTTATTTTCTCCTTTGTCTCTAAATCTCTCTATCGTTAGCCGTCCCATCTTCCTACACCATTAGGGCTATGCCATGACTTACTCTATCCTGACTCCCTTTGCACATGGGCTGGAGTCCTACCCCCAGACCTACTTCAGTGACTGTGACTGTGCTGCCTGGTGACATGCTGCCTCTCTCTGTTACAGTCTGTCCACGCGGGTTCCACCTCCTTGCACCCTCCTGTCTCATGTTATCTCCTTTCAGTCCCACCTGATATCATCCACTTATCTATCCAGAATGATTTTGTGCACTCATAGCAAAGTTCAAGACTCCTGATTCCTTTTAATACAGATCTGACACTGCTGAGCTATTCAAAATAATGGCTAAGGAGGGAAGTCATAAAACATGGTATACAAACGCATGCGTGTTGTGCAGTTAGCATTTTAGTTACACATTTGTCTGTCAATCATTTAGAGGGTAAAGTTTATTCCTTTGAGCATAGATATTGTGGATGACATTCTGTTAATTTTATCTTGAATAAAATCACACAATGTATCATTTTTAATTTTTAACTTGTATTACTTTCAAGTGGAGTAATATCTTTTACATGATTGCAAATGAATCTGAAGGTGGATCATCGTTATTCTCATGATTATCTTCCAAACTTTAAGTTAATGTGCTCTTACCACATTCAACAGGGATGTTTTTAGTCATCTTTAACAACAGTTTCAACGGAATTTTCAAACACATAACACTTTCTTTTTGCATTCTTATACCACTACTTGAGATAATATTTTATTAAATTATGTAACAACACAAGAAGTGCAATTGTCATAACAGTTTAGAAAACAAACACATATAACTTTTAAGAAGCAGACTTTGTAGCAAAAATAATATGGTGCATGAGTCAACTGACTAAATTCTCTGAGCACTTATTGTGCCACGGATATTAATAATACTTTTTAAAAAGATATCAGAACCTTAAAAGTTTCTACTCTACTGAGTTGTGCCTGACTAACTGTATCTCCTTCCAAGCCCTGTTGGTAGGTCTTCTCCCCACTGTTGCGTGTGCGTGCTCCTCTGTTAAAATGTCTACTGTCAGGGTCCACTTCCCTGGGGAGCCCTAACTCCTCGCAGATAAACCAAGATATCACATCCCCACAGTCCTGCTGGACTCTGACATTCCAGGAAGCTCATAGCAGTTTTTTTCTCTTTTTTAAAAAATCCCATTTGAAATGTACAAAGGGTGTTGCACATTGACTCCAATCATAGTTAAGGATGCTGAACCTGGAGGAAAGAAAGCACATTTAATTCAGATAAAAGCATAGCTCATTTTCCCAACCCCACCAAATCAGGCAATTATAGCACGGGGCCAGAATTTTCTCCCACATTTCGCACGTAAAACATAATTCCGCCACCAGCTGCTCACCAGCATTTTGTTGTCTCCTCAACCGACAACAAAATGACAAAACAGATCAGCAGAGGGTGATCTGCCAGCATCACCAATGAGATGCAACTCCCCTCCAACCAGCCTGTCATTAGGAAACCGTTTTCTGTTTCTAAAATAAACCCTCTGAAATCACTGCCTTCCTACATCTGTGCTTCTACCTAGAAGAGAGAGATGTTCTCCTAACTCACAACAGGTGCTGAGATATGTCAGTGGAGAAAGAGGACGAACTATGCATAAGTAATGAGAAGCAGAGGGGCAGTTACTCAGGGTCTGAGACAGAGTCTTTTTGCTCATGATGTGTACAGCATTAAGGAAATTTAGAAATTTGGCATTAAGTGTGTGTAAAAATAGGATCCCTGGAAACCTATGTTTTGTCACATCAGCTCCTTACATTTTCCTTTTATGTTACTCATTTTCCTTCTGATCTTACTATACTCTCTATCCACATCACCCATCTTTCCCCAACTCCTCTCCACAAATACTCATTAAGAACCTATTAAGTAAAAATGTACTAAATGCTTTAAATGCAGGAAAAGAGGGCTAGGAAGAATATTTCAAACCCAAATTGGCAATAGCTGCTTCTGCCCTGCAGGCAGGTGGCATCATAGTAGGAACATAAACTTTAGCTCCCCATTCCTTGGTAGACAGAGGGGCAGAGAGAAGGGAAGAAAATGTGAAAAGTCAGACAGTTCTACTTTGTCTCTAAGGAGAAAGCATATGCCAAGAGGAGCACTGCATACCAGAGTACATTAAGGAATCTTCACATAAGCAAAAATGGAATGGAGAGCTATGTTGGTTTATTTAAAAATAAAAATTAAAAACAAAAAACAAAAAACACCACAGCCACCACCAACAAAACCCCAAATCCCAAAACAAAACTGAGAGGAATTAAGCTTTCAGGAAGCAGTAGGTGCTAGAAGGGTCAGCGCCTGACAGTGGGAGGCCTAGAGATTTCAGCAGACAGAAGGCAAAAATCCAAGGTTCTGTGTAATTCTCCTGGTGCTGTTACAAAAGTTCAGTAAAATTGGTGACATGCCCACAAGTCTTGATGAGTAACAATTTGGAGGTAGGATCCAAAGGAAAGGAATTGAAGATTAAACATGGGGGAATGTGTCAACATCAAGAGATGATAAGATCATGGGTTGACAGAACTCATTCAATGGGGCTCCAGGAACAAAGGTAACCAGTGAGCACTTACATCCCTACCCTCAATGCATCCGGCAAAAGTTTCAGAATGGCTGAATTGTGTACAGGTAGTTGTTTCATTGTGCATGCAATAGAGTTCAAGCAGATTTCCTTGGAATATTAAAGATTGGACACTCCAGCTGATATCAAAGCATATTCATGAATCCCCCAGCAGCTGTTAGCATTCCCATTTGACAGGTGATGAAGCTGAGACATAAGAGAAGTTATATTATTTGTTCAAGGTTACATAATTAAAAGCAAAGCTATAAAGAAGCCAGTTATTGTTTTTATACCATGCTAAGGTATTTTAGGGACACGTAAATATCAAACATTTTGTAGGTTCTTTAATTTATGTGATCCTTATTACACCATAGGACTAGTTTCATTTTACTGATGAGGAAAAAAATGTGTTCTGTGTAATTAAGCAGTTTTTGCTAGATGCCATATTTTGGCCATGATTTTAATCCATTTTTTTCTCACTGCTAAACTGTGCGTGAGATCAGGACTTTCCTTGAGATCAGGACGCTACTGTTCTATTCTGGTCATTTGGGGCCCATGTTTCAGGGAGAGAAGCCTTTTTAAGGGAGGTTATACAGTTTTTGAAAAAAAGAGGGTAGGAAAAATGAACTCTAGTCTCAGAGAGAGAGGAATGAAATATCAGGAGTCCAAGTTGTCACAAACAACTTGTTCTAAACAAGTCAGGAACATTAGAAAGAAATGCATGACGAAAAGTACTTTGAAGTTTTCTGAGCTTCCATTACTCTCATAAAACTATAAAGTCTGTGTGCTTACTTACATAACTAAAAATATTTATAAGAAAGTGAAAATGGTCCACGTTCTTGTTTTAAGGAGCAATGAGAATTTTTGGATCTTTACAACCTTATTTTATCAATCCACAAGGCTCAGGGGGAAATAAACCACATGGATGAAATGGGTGGTGACAACCTCAAAGAGCCAATAAGAATAAGGTACACCTTGGAAATTATATCATAGGAAAAAGGTAGATATAGTCCTGAGATAGTGGCCCTGAGGCTTAAGGAAGGAGAATATGTGGTTTCCTGATATGATTATCTATTCTCTTCTCCCAGCTTTTCTGTAAGTCAATATGGATAACCAAATGTATAAGAATATATTATCATTATAAGTGATATGGGAGTTCCTCTAGAAGGTAGCTATGCTCACCACTATACCAATGTCATATGAGGTACGTCCTCTTGAAAGGGAATATTTCTATTTAGAAAATGAGTTGATGGTCAACCATCTACATGTGAATATACATACTCAAGTGTGGAATCTGGAAAGAGACTCCAGAGAACAAAGGAGAGCAAAATTGTTATGCATAAGAAAATGAAAAAGATTTGAAATATTGTTGGATTCCCAGAGTAAAGAGTTGCAGAAAGAGCCAGAAAGACTTCTAGGGATGGGTTGCAGTATTGAGAGGCACACCTCAGCTATGGCAATTCATTGATGGTGGAGATCCAGAAAGAACATTTAAGAAGAATCAGCCCTAAAACCCAACATCCACTGTGAAGCTGGCTTATGAATATCTCTCTCTGGACAAATTTTCAGTAAAGCTAGCTACACACTCAAAGGCCTTCTGAGAGTCACTTTAGTTGCTTTTGTTGGTACTAAAACCCAGAAGCACACTTGCATTCTCTGTTTGGAAAGATTAATATAGGAAAAGCACACGCAAGATGATGAGGAAACACACTAGTAAAAGCCTTCAGGAAGAGCATAAATCCGAAGGCATATATGAACTTGAGAAGTTTAGCACTCTAAGAATTAACAAGTGTCTTGTTGGTAGGGAGGGGCATTGGACTCTGCATAAGTCCTATAATGAAGTTTGAGACCAATAATTTTTTAAATCCTAAGAGGTCAGGTCACTGATGCTAGGATCGTATATATTTGAAACATGCTTATTAAAACAAAGCAAAAGCTTGGGTTAAATGAACAAAACATTGTATTATTAAAATAAATTACAGCATATTTATAAGAAAAGTTCCATTAAAAATACAGGAGAGGCCTTATCATGGTCTTCTCCAAGTCTTAGTTAGATCAGGCGTTTATAACAGAATGCCATAGCCTAGGTGGTTTAAGACATTTATTTCTCACAGTTCTGGAAGCTGGAAGTCCAAAATTAGAGTGCCAGCATGATCGGGTTCATGGTGGAGACTTTCTCCCTGATCAGGTCCTCATACAGCTTCTCCTTAGTTTCTACACGAAGAGAGAAAGAAAGATATGTTGCCTCCTTCTTTTTTTATAAGGACACCGATCCCATCATGGTGGTCTCACCTCCATTACATTACCTAAATTTAATTACCTTTTAGAAGCCCCATCTCCAAATGCCATTACATTAGATATTAAGGTGTGAACCCCAAGTATCTGAGATATGTCTCAGATGTAGGAGGTTTACTTTGCCAAGGTTAAGGAAACATTCATGACACAGCCTCAGGAGGTCCTGAGGACATGTGTCCAAGGTGGTTGGGATATAGATTGCTTTTATACATTTTAGGGAGCCATGAGGCATCAATTAATATGTGTAAGATGAACATTGGTGCAGTCCAGTAAGGCAGGAAAATTCAAAGTGGGGGTTTCCAGGTTAGAAACAGATAAGAGAAAAATGGTTGCATTCTTTTGAGTCCTTGATAAGTCTTCCACGGAATACACAGTTTAGTCTGGCTCAGTGATTCTGCATTTTTGCATAAACAATATGGCAGAGGAAGCAATCAGATATACACTTACCTTAGGTGAGTTCTGTCTATCCGTGGTCCACAAGGAATTTTCTTGTGGGCAAACTGTAGGGAGGTATGTAGCTTCTTACCTTTTTAGCTATCTTATTTGGAATAAAATGAAACGCAGGTTTGCCCCAAGCAGTTCCCAACTTGACTTTCCCATTGACTTAGTGATTTGGGTATCCCAATATTTATTTTCCTTTCGCAAAGGTTTTGACATATAAATTTTGGGTGGACACAAACATTTAGTCCATAGCATTGCCTTGGCTTATGGCCCACCAGGAGCAATGACCAGTCCTGTCGGTGGATCATGCCCAGTCCTGATTTGACTGTTCCGGGTATGCTGTTTGCCTCACTGTACCAAGACATCGGCATATTCAGCAAGAGCAAGCTTCCAGCATCATCTTTGAGCATTTGGGCCAAGTGGGGAGGGCCTTGAACTAAATAAACATGTGTATGTTGAGCTAGAACAGAGTTTACAGAGCCCCAAATATATAGTTATAAAAGTATATTTGTGAACTTATTAAAAATAATTATTTTATGTAGACAGCCTTGAAAGAATTTTGCTTTCTTCCTTTTTTTGGTTACTCTGTATTATTTAGTCTTCCTAATAATTATTTACTACTGCATTTTTAAAAGTATAAGCATGTTATTTTTAGTGTAGTAATTATATAGTTGCAATGTATTATTGAAGGATCACTGAACTTTGGAGGAGACCAGGAACATCACGGGGGTGGTCTAGTGACGTCAGTGTAGGCGTCCCTGTGGCCTGCCTGTCACCATTGGCATCTGTCAAACAGAGCCAAGTATACAAACACTTCTAAAACACTGTTATTCTCGAGACAAATAAATCTGCTGCCAGAAAATCACAGTTGCACTTCCATTTCTGCAAAGAGAAAAGAAATTTTATGCTGAAATATTCAGCCTAGGCATACCAAAGGAAGCCCAGTAAATGAATTATGTGCTATTCCCCATGATACAATGTAACATGAATCCTAAGAAATTTACAGGCTTCAGCAATACTAATGAGTTACATGGTCACTACAACTTACAGAAATAAATAGTTTCATTTCAATGTCTACATTGCCACGCTGTCTTCATCATATAGCTGGCCACTTTAGCTACACCTTTGACAGTCAATACATTTCTAAAGATTATATGGGTTTCCAACATTTGTTTTGAAAACAACTTCAGCATTTCTTCTTTTTTTTTTTTTGTTTTTTTCTTTCCTATTTAGGTAGAGTCAAAGGTGTTATTCCTTCTGCAGGAAATGGAGACCAAAATGAAAGTAAATAACTGAGGGCTCATCAGCCCATTCACTCATCCATCTGTCCACTGAGGGATATTTCTGAATACAAATACTACCTCTTTCATTTACTTCTGATAAGACTTACTGCACTTTAAGTAGACCCTCTAAAACTGTCTTATTTATCCGTACAATATGGGAGTTTTTACTCCTATATCTCAGAATATTGGAAAGATTAAATGAAGTTATGTATACTGAGTGCCTCTAATAATTCCTTTTTCTCCAGTTGGGGGACAGAGTATAAAAACTGTGATTCTGATGCCAAAATACTGAAATTTTAGAGTACTTCCTTTGACTATTTCTGTGACATACAGGACATGTATAGGGAATTGTGACTGTCCAGCAGGCATGTACAGAGTGCACTGTCCCTAAACTTCAAGAAAGTCTGTAGCACAATATCTCTATAGTTTGTTTGGTTGTATTGAGAATATTCTTTCTTTTTTTGAGATGGAGTTTCGCTCGTGTTGCCCAGGCTGGAGTGCAACGATGCAATCTCAGCTCAGTGCAACATCCGCCTCCCAGGTTTGAGCGATTCTTCTGCTTCGGCCTCCCAAATAGCTGGTATTACAGGTGTGTGCCATCATTCCAGGCTAATTTTTTTGTATTTATTATAAACAGGGTTTCACCATGTTAATCAGGCTGGTCTCGAACTCCTGACCTCAGGTGGTCCACCCGCCTTGGCTTCCCAAAGTGCTGGGATTACAGCCGTGAGCCACTGCACCTGGCCGAGAATATTCTCTGTATATGTATTCTTCCGCATTTAAGAAGTTACACTAAGTCATTTTAACTCTTTGCAGCCTTCCCCTCTCACAGAGAGGTGAGCCAGGTTTCTTCCCAATCACTAGAACTAATACTTCATTGAATCTTGACAAGGTATTCTGCTGCACTTAGCGACCCACAAAGCATAGTTACACCTGGGATTTCATCACACTACACACATTCCAATATTTATCAGATTATATGAGATTTTAAAAAAACTGTTTCCATCTTTAAAGGGCTCTAAGGAGACAGCTGAGTTCCCTGTTCCAAAGCAAGCTAAAGCCCTCTAGCTGTGTTAATACCTTGTGGCCCCCTCTTTCCACCACCTGGGTTCTGCTATTTTTACTTTGGTTGGTTGAATGATTCCCAAGTAACCTGCCAAGGTAAATAAGTACCAACTCTACTCATGAATATTTAAGCCCAAGTGGATATACTGGGTAGCTTTGTGGCTAGCATTGGATTTCCATATAAACCATAAGGAAGCTGTTGTGACTATGGTTGAGCCGAGCCTTGAACTCTTCAACAGTGCAGTGATCCCTAGCCAAGCTGCAGAGTCTGGAGACTGCATTCTGTGTGCCAGGGTCCACCTGTGGTATAAATTGCATGGATCCTTTGTCACTTCCCTGTTCTGAGACTGCTGGGCTCAGACACTGCCCCATTGTCTCTGCAGCGTCTCTGCCTCCACAACAATAAGAGAGAAGAAACTCCTGGGCCATTTCTCACCCCTACCTGCCACCACCTTTGTTAACAAAAACCAACATGTCTGTTAAGGTTATAAATGGTTTTATATTTGCACCAGAAAATTATTTTCTTTGCTATTATTCTTTTCTGTTGAATGTTTTCTTAGACGTTTTCCAGCGTTCAATGCAGTGGTAGACAAAGAAGTAGGACATGTATTCAACATCCATTTCACCATTTCTGCATTTTTCTTCTAAAATGTTATGGTTTTTTCTTTCTATTTATATTTTGTGATGGATGTTTGTTGTTAGCCATCTTGACAGTAGTTGTGATGGTTAATTTTTTTACATGTCGACTTGCCTGGACCATAATACCCAGGTATTTGTTAAGAAAGAACTCTGGATTTGAGGGGTCTTTTTTTTGGATGATTTTCTGGGAGGGTATTTTTGAATGAGATTAATATTTAAATTGGGGGAGTTTAAGTATAGCAGATTACCCTCCATAATGTGGGTGGGTGTTATCCAATTACTTGAAGTCCTAAATAGGACAAAAATACTGACTTCCCCTGAGCAAGAAGAAATTCTCCTAGCAAACATTCTTCCGACTTGAACTGCAACCTCAGTTCTTCCTGAGTCTCCAGACTACCAGCCCACTTTGCAGATTTTGGACTTGTCAGCTTCCATAATTCTGTCAGTCAATTCTTAATATGAATATCTTACTTTCTATATATACATCTTCTTGGTTCTCTTTCTCTGGAAAACCCTGACTGTTATGGTGTGTTGGTCCAGTTGAAGGCAGAATGTTACATATTTGTAGATTTCTAGGATCAGTATGCTGCAATGGTAATGCATTTGGACAGTTCCATAGTCTTGAAAACATGTCGGGTACAAAGAAACACACTTTGGAACCAGAGAGGTAGGTTTGGAACTTGTCCTGCCACTTAGCCACTTGTGCTGTAAGTTGTGACCTTAAGCTGTCTAGTCTTTCCAGGGCTCAGTCCCCACATTTATAAAATGGGGATGATACGTGTGTTAGGCTGTTTTTGGATCACTATAAAGAAACGCCTGAGGCGTGGTAATTTATAAAGAAAAGAGGTTTAATTAGCTCACAGTTCTGCAGTCTGTGCTGCCAGCATCTGCTTCTGGTGAGGGCCTCAGGAAGCTTCCAATCACTGTGGAAAATGTGGGGGAACCAGTACATCACATGATGAGAGTGGGGACAAGAGAGAGCGAAGGGGGAGGTGCCACACTCTGTTAAACAACCAGATCTCACAGGAACTCGGAAACAAGAACTCTCATCAACAAGGAGATGGTGCTAAGCCATTCATGAGGGAGTCGCCCCTCTGATTGCAACATCTCCTATCAGATCCCACCTCCAACACTGAAAACAAAATTTCAACATGAGACCTGAAGGGGACAAATATCCAAACCATGTCAATAACTGTTCTCACCACTTAGGTTGTGATGAAAATGAAATGAGTCAATAAATACTACACCCTGTAACAGCACCTAGCACCTAGTAAGCTCTCAGTAAATGCAACCTATGTACAAAGAGATTGTTGCATGAAACAGAAAGATCTCTCATCTACTGGATGCTTGCTGGATGTCTGGCACTCTGCTAAGTGCTAATGTATATTTATTCATGTTATCTTCATAGCCATTTTTTATTTTAATGTTGTCACTGAAAGAGATGAAGTAATCTGCCCTCAATGGTGCAATTAATAAGGGATAGAGCCCAATGCTAAAGCATTTCCATCTTCCTCTGAATACCATATACTTTTATGACACAGTGCCTGAGCTACATGTGCAAAATACTTAGCCGACACATAGCATACAGCAGGTACTCAATAAATGTAAGCATTGGTATAATAATTAGTGGCCTAGGTTTTTTTTTTTCATTTCTCCTGAGAAAAACTGTCAGTAAATTATGATAAACTATTTGCTTTCCTAAGAACAAATAACATGTGGTTTGACCAAGGTTTATTGCTATTATTATTAATGTTGATAAACATGTTTTATATCAGAAAAATTTTACCAAGTTATAAAAATTAAAATACATTATTATTTTTAGGGGACAAGAACAAAAGAAAAATATAGAATCCAGCAAAAATAAATCAGTTTAATATGGTTTGTGCAATTGGTATTATAATCATAAAAATTTGAAATACAATGACACAAAATAAAAGATGGCTTTGTTCACTGTAAATCAGAAAACATTTATTATCTTCAACTCTGTAAGGACCCTGGCCTGAGTAGAATAAGGGAGACAGGTGAACTAAAACAAAGTTGTTCACCTTGAAAACTGTTTGTAAACTAACTGAACCTTTGCCAGGGAGAAGATCACTGATTTCATTGGTTCAGTAAATTGTTGCCTGTGGTAACCAGGAATGATGCTCCTGTGGCAGTTTTAAGCCTGCTGTTGATCCTCTTCCTATTGAGGAAAAGGTCTATGTGTTCGTTCCTGTTATCTGGGGCAAGTTTAGTGACTAACACGCCATCAACAGAAAGCGGTAGAAATGGTACTGTGCGACTTCCAAGACTAGGTCATAAAAGTAATGCAGCTTCTGCTTGGTTCACTGAAACACTTGCTTTTGGGGCCCAAAGCCACCATGTAAGGAGTCTCACAACTCCGAAACTGCCATGCTGTGAAGAAACCCAGGCCACATGGAAAGGCTGAACATACGTGTTCCTGTCTTCAACCCCACCGAGGTCTCAGCTAACCCCAGACCTGTGCTATGTAAAAAACTCCTCCAGGTGATTCCAACCCCAGCCACCAGTCGTGCCGGCTATTCCCTGCCCATATTCCTGACCCGTGGAATTGTAGAACACATTAAATGGCTGATTTGAGCTGCTTAGTTTGGAGTAATTTGTTAGACAGGAGTAAGTAACCGGATATCACATTTTAAAGTCCAAGAGATCACAGGCAATGGAGGCAGAATGAGGTGAAGAGAACGGTGAAGTGGAAGTAAGGATGCTCAGAGAAGAGTGCCATAGAATTGTGCTGCACTGCCCTCTCCCAACCACTGTGAAGCAGGTGTGATGACTACACTCCTTCTGAGATGTGGAAGCTGTGGGTGGAGGCTGGAACTGGCTGCTCCAGGTTGAATAGGAAAGAAAGAAAAAGGGCCTTCTTGTTATGGACTGAATGCTGTGTTCCATCCCCCAAAATATAAGTTGAAGTCCTAACCAACATTGTGATGATATGAGGAGGTATGGACTTTGGAAGGTAATTGGGTTTAGATGTGGAATGAGAGTGGGGCCCTCATAATGGGATTAGTGTCCTTAAAATAAGATACTAGAATGCACATTTGCTCACACACTCTAACTCTTTGTCTCTCATGCACATAAGAGGTCATTGAGCACATGATGAGAGCCAGTCATCTACAACCCAAAAGAGACTCAGCACCAGAACCTGAACTGAACTGCTCTGCCCAGACTCCAAAACCTTGAGAAATAAATGTCTATTCATTAAGACACCCTGTCTATAGTAATAGTAATCCAACTAGACTAAAGATTGTATTTGAACCCAGATCTGTGTGACCACAATATTTTGCTCTGTCCACTGCTGCACAGAAATGCTTTCCAAAATGGGAGCTCTCAACATTGGGATTCACGGCCTAATCCTAACTCAAATTACAGCTGTGACATGTTGAGCAGGAGTCTTTATCTTGTGATGCCAGAAAGACATCAAGTAGTCTCTAGAAAGAAAGATTTCTTCTCCACCAGAGAATGATTTTGAGAATTAAGTAGGATGATGTCTTGGGCAAAGGAATAAAAGCTTTGAAAAAAAATAGTACTTTTCTTAACTCATTAGATGGGACCTCTGACCTGACCTATATTCATTTTGTAGTAAAATTTGACCTGAACCTAAAGGGAGTAGATTTATAGCCTTAAGGTATTGAGTGTAGTGTAAATTCTTACGAGTTTCCCTACAGACAGTTAATGTGTTTGCTTATGTGGTGTTGCCCCAGGCCCCTCTAGCAGAGCTGTATAATATTGGGTACCATAAAATCCAGAAAGCCCCAATGCACATTTGGCTCCTCAAGTTTCAGATAAGAGATTGTGGAAAACTATTGCATTCACTGATACACCATTTCCTTCTCTTTCCCAGCCATGCTGCCACATGTTGTTAAGTGTGAATGGGTATGAGAGGTGAGAGTGTGCTGGCAGCCCTCACAGCCCTTGCTCGCTCTCAGCGCCTCCTCGGCCTTGGCGCCCACTCTGGCTGCGCTTGAGGAGCCCTTCAGCCCGCCGCTGCACTGTGGGAGCCCCTTTCTGGGCTGGCCAAGGCCGGAGTCGGCTCCCTCAGCTTGCGGGGAGGTGTGGAGGGAGAGATGGGCTGGAACCGGGGCTGTGCACGGTGATTGTGGGCCAGCGCGAGTTCCGGGTGGGCATGAGCTCCGCGGGCCCCGCACTCGGAGTGCTGGCCGGCCTTGCCGGCCCCGGGCAGTGAGGGGCTTAGCACCTGGGCCAGCAGCTGCTGTGCTCAATTTCTCGCCAGGCCTTAGCTGCCTTCCCGCAGGGCAGGGCTTGGGACCTGCAGCCCGCCATGCCTGAGCCTCCCCCTCTCTCCGTGGGCTCCAGTGCGGCCCGAGCCTCCCTGACAAGCGCCACCCCCTGCTGCACGGCACCCAGTCCCATCGACCCGCTGAGGAGTGCGGGCGCAGGGCACGGGACTGGCAGGCAGCTCCACCTGCGGCCCCATTGCAGGATCCACTGGGTGAAGCCAGCTGGGCTCCTGAGTCTGGTGGAGACTTGGAAAACATTTATGTCTAGCTAAGGGATGGCAAATACACCAATCGGCACTCTGTATCTAGCTGAAGGTTTGTAAACTCACCAATCAGCACCCTGTGTCTAGCTCAGGGTTTGTGAATGCACCAATGGACACTCTGTATCTAGTTAATCTAGTGGGGACGTGTGGAACGTTTGTGTCTAGCTCAGGAATTGTAAACACACCAGTCAGCACCCTGTCAAAACGGACCAATCAGCTCTCTGTAAAACGGACCAATCAGCAGGATGTGGGTGGGGGCCAGATAAGAGAATAAAAGCAAGCTGCCCGAGCCAGGGGTGGCAACCCACTCGGTCCTGTTCCACATTGTGGAAGCTTTGTTCTTTTGCCATTTGCAATAAATCTTGCTGCTGCTCACTCTTTGGGTCCACACTGCCTTTATGAGCTGTAACACTCACCACGAAGGTCTGCAGCTTCACTCATGAAGCCAGCGAGACCATGAACCCACTGGGAGGAACGAAGAACTCCAGACGCACCGCCTTAAGAGCTGTAACACTCACTACGAAGGTCTGCAGCTTCACTCCTGATCCAGCGAGACCACGAACCCACCAGAAGGAAGAAACTCCGAACATATCTGGACGTCAGACGGAACAAACTCCGGACACGCTGCCTTTAAGAACTGTAACACTCACCGCGAGGGTCTGCAGCTTCGTTCTTGAAGTCAGTGAGACCAAGAACCCACCAATTACGAACACAGGTATTTCTTTATATTTCTTAAAACTTTATTTGACTGTGACATTTAACAGGATGTTTGAAAAGGGCATATAACAGCCTGCAAAGAGCCTAGACAGATTTGGGTTCAAAATCTTGCTCTGCTCCATGTTCTTGGTTGGGTGTGAGTATTTAGCATCTCTAAATTTGTTTCTCTAGGTTTTAAATGCGGGGAGTGATATATCTCTCGCAAGAATCAGGCCTGGCACTTTAACCACCTTCAGTAGTAGACATCACTTTAATTAAATGCACGTGTTGCTATTATGTTTGCTAGGAAGCCTTGCTGCCACAAGCTGTCTGTGGCAATCACGACCATTGCCCATGAAGCCAATTTGCATCTCTTGCTCATTAAGTAGCTCACAGTGGCTGGAAATTTGACAGCCTTAATGTTTGAACTTCTTGAACAGCAGGTTTAGAACTGCCAGTGATTTTCCAAAGTTGTGTCAAACATCAAGCATTACTGAGGTAGGAGTTTTCCCCAGATGTCTGTGATGAGAGGGAAGTGGTCTCCTCTGGATATAATGATTCATGGGTGCAGGTGTTGGGCTGAATGACACAGGAAGGTAAAATCAGGGCTTCTCTTCAAGGAAACGTTAGCCTCAATGTAACTCCTGAGCCAGGAAGCCATTTAATACTAATTAAGCAGCAGAGCTTGAGCCTCAGGCTGGGTTTCGGAGATCCTCCCTTCTCCTTTTTTTAATGGACCCTTATTACAGAGGCAGAAGGCATATTAACCTAGGACCCAGAGCCTGCTACCATAAATTCACCATAAAATCTCGTTGACATTGGTTGACTGTCAGGGATATAAAACTCAGTGCCCATGTTTTCAATTATACAGGACAATTACTCTGTGCATGTCAGTACATGCAGACCATAGCCATAGTGTGGGATTCATCCCATTCTAACATGTGTGGGAACAGTGGCAATCTGTCTTCACACAGTGTGCCGGGAGGGGGGGCGGTTGAAAAAGTCCAAGCAATGATCCAAACTCTCTTGTGCATCAGTTCTAGGAAAGGAAAAGATATGTTCTGGTTAGTTTCAGTAATGTTCTTGGCCTTCCTCCCACGTAGCATATCATCGTGCATTAGAACGATCATTTTACTTATTGACCTCCACTAGCCGTTTGAAGGCTGGAGCCATGTCTATTATTATTATTATTAGTCTTCAGAATCTGTAATAGCACCATCTGTAGAGATGGTACTCCATAACTATATCAACCTCAGTCTGTGGCACACAGTATTGAGCTCAGTACTTAGGACAATTTATATTGAGTGTGTCTCTATAACTACAGCACCTCTGTCCTTTGGAAACTTACCTGTAGCTACTTTAGATGGATATTCTGAATCATTCTGTCTGTGCTCAGAGCCAAATTATCTGACTGTGGCTGAATCAGACACCAGCATTCAAGGCAAGTTTTTACCAACTTCCCTGGTCACGTGACAAAAACTTCAAACTACACTCTGCCTGTCTAATCTAAATCCCTCCCCTCCAGGCTGTTGAACATACCTCCAGTGTATTATCTTTCTAACACAGACACGTGTTCTGCTACGAGTGCTACATAAAATGTTGATTTCTCAAACATCATGTGAAAGTTCTTTACCTTAGCCTTTTGGACTAATTAGCTTATTCTTTCATTGAGTTCAGATGTGTTTTCTGGTATAAACACACTGAGCAAGACAGGTCTGTCGCTTCACTGAAGCTGTGCTATCTGTAAGATTTGGACAGTTAGGCCTTGGTTTGACTGTAAGCTCTGCCACAGTCTTACCAAGTCTTACCTGTGGCAAGATTAGGAAATCTTCATGAGCTTCAGTTTCTTCACCTGTAAAATAGGAATAAATAATGCTACCTGAAAAGTTGTGGTGAGGATTTCATGAGATGCTGAATGGAAAGTGTCTGATGGATCATGATGTAAAATAAATACTAGTTCTCTTCCTATAAACATAACTGTTCTTTGATTCCACAGGAAATACCTTTTTCTATGATCTCCTACTATTTAGGTTTTACCATCCTTCAGTATGACTGGACATACAGGTATTTGTAGTTTGCAAAGTAGTTTTTGTGTATGTGAGGGCATGGTTCATACCCACAGCGTGAGATAGATGAAGGAAGCATTGGCTTTCCCTTACAAAACAGAAACCAGCGATGTTGAACACAGAGAAGATAAGGAACTTTGCAGAGTGACAAGAGTCCTAAGCCTCAGAGCTAGATGCCATATCAAGTGTTAATGAATCAAAATCCCTCAAGGCTTAGCATTTTAGTGCCATGCCCACATTTAGACTGCCTGAGTTGTCCTCTTTGCTGTCTTTTCACATCCTTTAGCAGGGTCTCTCTCCTCACTGTACCTAACTCTTGACCTGCATCCCCACTGCCGTAGGGATGGGTTTTCTCAAACCTGTTCAATCTCTTCTTACAGCTAGATTCAGCAATACTAGATGTCAGTTCTCCATAATTTTGATTTTTATGGGAGACATTGAAAGATCTATCATGTGAAACTCCAAACATCAGAGAATGTAGTCTTTTGTAGTGATAAGATTGGTAATGGAGGAAGCTTAGTGATGGAGAGAAGGTATCAGATGCCATGGCAATTGAAGGGCTTTTCTGGCTGGTCAAATGAAAGCACCCACTCTGCTCCCTTTTAAAGACTTCTTTCCTTTTACAAGTATGTTAACCACAATAATCAATTCCATTAGCATTTACACAATTGCAAATCCAAGTTGTTAAGTATTTTGAGCATGAGTCCCCAATATATGCATGCTTTTAAAAATTTTGAATTGTATATTTGTGCTAAAAGACTAATATATTTTGTATGTTGTAAAAAAGGACATTAAAAGGAGGTGATAAAGATGACATAAGAATATGTTGAAATGTCTGGCTATTCCTGATGGCATTATAGCAACCATATAAAACTTGGACTTCTTTTTTTTTTTTTTTTTTTTTTTTTTTTTTTTGAGGCGGAGTCTCGCTCTGTTGCCCAGGCAGGAGTGCAGGTGCAGTGGCGCGATCTCGGCCCACTGCAAGCTCCACCTCCCGGGTTCACGCCATTCTCCTGCCTCAGCCTCCCGCGTAGCTGGGACCACAGGCACCCGCCATCATGCCCAGCTAATTTTTTTTGTATTTTTAGTAGAGACGGGGTTTCACCGTGTTAGCCAGGATGGCTATGATCTCCTGACCTCGTGATCCGCCTGCCTCGGCCTCCCAAAGTGTTGGGATTACAGGCGTGAGCCATGGCGCCCAGCCTAAAACTTGGACTTCTTACATAATTTTTCTGTTCCTGATTACTAAAGTGGGATTATAATGTGTAGTAACTATATGTATTCATTTTATAGGATATGTACATATTTTATTGGATATTTGTAGCTTTTATAGGTATGATAATACAACATGCACAGTAATATATGTATGATAATGTGTGCACCTTGTTAGTATTCACCTTGCATTTTACCTTAACTGTGCCTTATGTTGCAAGATATTAGCTGATGCTCATGAAAGTGATATGGATCAACATTTTAAATGTTCTTCCAGATAATTTCAGAAGTTTTGTTTTCATCTTACTATATGCCGGAATTCTTTGGAACATTATTTTAATTCATTAATGTGGCTGCTGGGGATGACTTGAGTCTTAGAAAAACTGTCAATTCTACCGTTTTCTCATTCACATATTCTTGTGCTATTCTCATTGCCTTCAATCAGTCATTTCATTCTATAAACACTGTTAAACCACTTGCTTACACTCCTTGCATTCGCATAGTTGACATAAGATCATGCAACCCATAAATATAATTAACCAGGAACACATAAACTGCAGCGCATTAAAATACAAGCGATAGAGGTCCCCGGCTTCCCCTTGAATATCTGTGCTCTCCAATACAAACAAACAAACAAACCAAAAAACAAAAAAAACAACGAAACCGAAGTTTTAGCTGGTTGGGAAGATTACATACTACCCTGGTCTCCTTTGCTGCTAATTCAATCATTTGACTAGGTTCTGGATAGTGACATGTGAACAAATTGATGAGTGCGACCTAAATAGAAAAAGAATATGTGCTTCCTAATTTTTTTTTTGGCAAAAGCTGAAGCTTCCATCTTTTTTTCACAATAGGGAATCCTTATGCTCAGAATGGCTGAACAATACTATTGTAAGTTTGTGAGTGTTCCACACCACAGAGTTACTATTTGAACCCTGGGCTGCTCACACCCATGCTATTAGGGCACTTGGAAATAAACCTCTTATTACTCATTGATATTTTTGTTTTTGTTATAGCAACAAAGTGAACATTCCCAACTAATACAATATGCTAAAAGTTAATACATTCGGCCGGGGCGCGGTGGTTCACGTCTGTAATCCCAGTACTTTGGGAGGCCGAGGTGGGTGGATCACAAACAAGGTCAAGAGATAGAGACCATCCTAGCCAACATGGTGAAAACCCGTCTCTACTAAAAATACAAAAATTAGCTGGGCGTGGTGACGCAAGCCTGTAATCCCAGCTACTCAGGAAGCTGAGGCCGGAGAATTGCTTGAACCCAGGAGGTAGAGGTTGCAGTGAGCTAAGATCATGCCACTGCACTGCAGTCTGGTGACAGAGTGAGACTCCATCTCAAAAAATAGAAAACAAAAAACAAAAAAATAGTTAATACATTCGTGTGGATACCTATCAGACCCACTGTGCTGTATAAGTCCCAGTGACCCCCTCCAGCCTCCAGGATGCCTGGTTAACCATATCAATAATAGTCACACAGCTTAAATTTTTTCTTACCTTTCAGATTAAAAATCAATAAAACAGGATCTTTTTTTTCCCTTGCCCCATACAGAACACTAGACATTTGAATAATTTTCTGGGTTACCGTTAATTTTTTCCCATTTTTCTTCTGTATACTGTTTTTACCAACCTTGAGCAACATTTTTGAAGGCAAGGAATAGCTTTGTCTGCAACTTTTTTGAAGGCAAAGGTATTCTGTACTTGTAACCATTTCTGTATATCAGTGGTTCTCAAAATATGGTCCCTGGAATTAGCATCAACTGGGAATTTGTAGGAAATGCAATTTATTGATCTGTACCCCAGAATTGTTGAATCAAAAATTCTAGGATGGGCCCGAACAACTGTTTTTTTTTTCTTCCTTTTTTCAAGTCTTCCAGGGGACTCTAGGCCCAGCCTAAATACAAGAATCACTACTGTGATAGTTTGCTCTTAAATCTCAAGTGCTTAAGGAAGAGCCATAATTAAATGATAAAAGGTGGTGAAGTGATGGGATTTAAAGTGATGTTAGGCAGGCAGGAAGTGCTGTGGGACTCTCCAAATAAAGGTTTTAGAATGTCCCCAGTGAAGGACAGAATGTTTCCACCAAAAGATTTAACAGCTTGTGATAGAGGGCTGGCTGATCATGGCAGCTGATAAAGAAAAGTTCTTCCTTAAGTAAGTGTGAGAGTACTACAGAGCTGGCAGAACTGGGTGGGCAGCTCACCAGGCTGGGGCTGCTATTGGGCTCCACAAACAAGAAGTCTGTGTGGGATTAACTCCCAAGAGAGTACACAGTGGTATAAGAATGATCAAAACTAAGATAGTGGCTCCCAAGGGGTGAAATATTAGCATAGAAGGACACAAATAGATTTCATGAGAAAAATAAACATCTATGAGCAAATCAATGTGGGCCCAACAGTTAACACTTTCTCTACTACAGTACTTGCCAAGCCTTTAATATCCTAATAACCATTTCAAATCTCCAAGAAAGGGCTATAGTAAGCAGCACCTCAGGGAAATTTATGGATCAGCTATTCTTTGAAACAGACTTTTAAAACAATGTTAGGAACAGAATGTGTACAAATTCCAACTCAAGTGTTTTGAGTAGAGGGAAATAATTGAAAAATAATGAAGACTGAGCTTGAGGCAGGCGGTTCTAGGTAATTTATGTGGATACCAGTGTTTATAGTTCACCTCTGTGACTTGGTTAGGATCTAGTGCAGTTCATTCTCATTCATTCCACAAGGTGGAATGCTAATCATTGGATTTTCATGATGGGTGTTTTGTTGATAATCTGTTAATTTCTGTTAATGATTATGTTGATGATAAAGCTGATATCTAGTGATACTTGCCTCTTCTGATATAGTCCCATTGATGATCCTAACACCAAAAGGCCCATGAATGGAGTGGTTGTGGTGGGTAGAATATGAGATCATTAATTTCCTTGAAATCAACAAGGCTTGAAGGAGATAACTACTGATATAAGGAATCTAGATGGCATGTTGAATCTGGTTCAGGACACAGTTCATCACTGAGGATATTGAGAGAATCTTGGTCAAAATTTTGCATTGAATCAAGGAAATGTCAAATGTGCATTGGGTTCAAGATGGAACTCAGCCAGGCTGCAGATGGAAAGCCAAAGAGAAATCTTGGGGGTGGGGAATGGCAGAGACGTGGGTCTCAAGGAGAAATGGCTGTGGTCTAATGGGCACAAACCCTCAACCAAGCCACTTTGAAGACAGTGTTTGGAAAACCAAGATGAGCTCAGAAGAAGCAGCTTGAACACAGGATCTGAGGCCCAGCTCACCGTGTGTGGTAACTATAAGTGGTCAGTACAGCTGGGCAGTGATGAAAAGGGACTAGGAGATGAGGATGGAGAGCTATGCAGAGACAAGATCAACAGGTTATACCTTCACACAGCAAAGGGAAATCATTACATCTGCATTTTAGAAATAGTAGGTGGGAAGGAAGTGTGTGAGGAAGACAAGCCTCTAAGCAGAGAGACCAGAGAAGTGGAAACAGCATGATCTGTTGAGATTGTTGAGAGCCTGGGCTCTGTCATCAGATGGACTCAGCTTGAAACCTAGTTTTGCCACTTGTTAATGAGATGAACTTCTATGGCCTACTTAACTTCACTAAATGTCAATTTCATATCTTCAATAGGAAATATAATAATGTATGCCTTGGAGGGATATTGAGAGAATTAAGTAATAAAAGGCATATGTAGCAGGTTCACAACACAGATATACAGAGAAAACAAAAAATTTAAAAAAGTTTTGTCTGGTGTTTCTCATGAGCTCTCAAACACCTGGTAAAAGAAACAACAACAAAACACTTTGTTTTAGTTAACTCTTATTTAAAGAGTTTGTATTAGTTTGCTATTTCTATCCTAACAAATTACCACAAACTTAGTAGCTTACAACAACACACGCTTGTTATCTAACAGTCTGGGAGGCAGGCGTCCATACAGGTCTCACTGGACGGAAGTGAAGGATTTGGCAGGGCTGTGTTCATTTCTGGAGGCTCTAGGGGCAAATGTGTTTCCTATTCACTCAGGTTGTTGACAGAATTTAATTTCTTGCAATTGGAAAACTGACATTCCTCTTCTCTGGCTGGCTGTCAGCTGAGGGACATACCTAGTATTTAAAGGCCACTGGTCAAGGCTCATTCCTTGGGTCATGGCTTTTCTCCTTCATTTTCGAAGCTGCCAATGGCTAATTAAATCTATGCCATGCCACACTTCTCTGATCCTTCTTCCATTGTCAACTCTCTATCTCTGACCACAGTCTGGAAAGGGTATTTCCTTGTAAGGACTCATGTGATTAGACTGGGCCCAGCCAGATGAATCTGGGATTACCTCCCAATCTCAAAGTCTGTACGGTTAATTGGATCTGTAAAGTCCCTCTTGCCATGTGAGGTAATACATTCACAGGTTCCAGGGATTAGGCTGTGGACGTATTTGGGAGGCCATGATTCTGGATAACACACAATTTCTCCACATAATGTCTGGTTTTATTTGGAAAAAAATAACTCTGTTCTCAGATACCTTTTAACCAATCTACTTTCTGCTTCTCTTTGGCAAAAGCACTGCAATGTGTATACAAGGCGGAAATAGAGGGTTGAGGGCTGAGAGGTGAGGAGGGACATACATGTGATTTTCTCTCTCTCTCCTTGTTAGAGTTTATTTATGATCTGTGATTGATTGATACTCACCTTGATGTCTTTGAAATTAGGAAACCTAGGTTGTTGTAATGGCTTCTAATGAGTCCCTGGCCCAGGGGATCCCTTCCTACAGGCCTTATTTGGCATCACTTTGTTCCTATCATGGGTCCCTCTGGCAAGTTCAGCAGCCAGAACCCTCAGCCACTATCATCCTCTCTTTTCTGTGTCCCTTAGGCACTTTCCGATCCTTTCCACACCAAACAGGAGTCAAAGGGATTCTGGGGAGCGAAACTCAGGCCTTCTCCTGGGCCCATCTACCTCTCTCAAACATGTGCACCCTGTGTAACTGCCCCTTTCTCTCCTGGAGATTGTGAAATGGGAAAAGTTCCCTTATCCCCCTCACAGGGTGTGCGATGGGGGTGTGGCCCACTTCTTAGGTGCCCTGCTGCTCAAACCCCTGGGGGAAGCATGCAGACAGGCAGGTCATGGGGTTCCAACCCCATGGCAGCATCTAGGGTTGAGTGTTTACAACTCTCAAAGCCCCAGTGGGCGTGTGTTACAGTGTGTTCTTTCTGCGTAGTAGACCACAGACAACTTGTGTTAATCAGCTCAATTAGACCCTCTTCCTTATGGCAAGGACAGAGGGCTTTCAGTATCCTGGGGTTTTTGCCCTAGTGTACCAGAAAAACCAGATCACACATGGGCTTGGGGAATGAGTGCAAGGTTCTATTGAGTGTAAGTAGCTCTCAGCAGATGGATGGAGAGCCAGAAGGGGGATGGAGTGGGAAACTGGTCTTCCCCTGGAGTTGGGCTGCTCAGCAGCCAGGCTCTCTTCTGACCGTTTTTTGGCAGATTTCCCCTTGGCGTCTGAGTCGTTCTGTTGTTGATGGCCTGCCAGTATCTGTCAGCATCTGTCAGTGTGTTCTGCTGGTGTGTTCTTCTGCTGGTGTGTTCCTCTCAATGTTCAGCCACTTGTGTCTGCCCACTAGGGTCTTGAGATTTTTATACGCACAGGATGAGCATGTGGCAGGTCAGAGTGGTCTTGAAAAATGCAACAGGAGTGCCTGTCCTCACTTAGGTCCATGGGCACAGGCCTGAGGATAGAGCCCTCACCAGGGACCCTGCCCTTCTCTACCTACCTTCTCTGCCTGTCTCTGCTCCCCTCCCATATCAATTGGAGTGAGGGCAGAGGGGACAGCCTGCCAAAAGTCTTCCCCCACTCAATGGAGGAAGGAGGAAAGTACATTTTTCTTCCCGAAGTGTTCACCTAAAATAGTACAGTGCACCTACTTCCTTTTCATGGCTTTGGGACCTGGGAGTGGAAAAATCAAAGCAGCTGGCATCTTTTACCTTTCTCTTAGTGCCCCCCCATGTCTAGTCTTATCTTCCTTTCTAGGCATATGAGAGATTATTATTCCCACTCTTTTTTATGTAGAATGGGCCTTGTTACTATTTTTGAACAGCAGAATGGGAACAGAAGTGATTGAGGTCACCTTTTGGCTGTAGAGGGGAAACACCCATGTAGGATTCTTCAATGTCTCTCTCCTCCTATATGGATGATCATGGAGAACTTATGGGAATGATAAAACCATGAGATAGAAACATCCTGGTCCATGAAGCTTCTTGAGAAAGGACAGTGGCCTGAAAAACCACCAGACATTAGGAGACTCTGTAGTCTAGGAATTAGATGGAGACATTTGAGGTTATCTGTTACCATCCTAGATTATGATGCATGCTGGTTACTTCCCTCTTTCTCTTTTCACTTTCCCCAGAGCCAGAACAGGCTTGCTGCCTCCCTCTTGATATTTTTACATGTATAAAAGAGGCTCTCTGGTATATGGATTGAACAGGTAGAGCCTTAAGCAACCACCTGCCCTTGGGTAAGTCACTAACCTCTTCTGTACTTCAATTTTCCCATCTGAAAATAAAAATATTGGATTCTTTATCTCATTAGTTTGTTAAAAGGGTCCACGGATTATACATGAAAAGTGTTTGGAATAGTGCTTTGTACATGAAATGGGTTAATTGTAACTATTACTACTTTCTTAATGTGGAAATACTTAATCTGGTCTTCCAAGTCTGGCTTTCAAGCTTATTACCTCTCTCAGAAGGTCAAATCTTGGCCATTTCCTGTTTGGGGAAAATAAGACGTTAGGACTGCAGAAAACAAGAAAATTAAAAACACTGGTTTTGATATTTTAAAAATATCATTATTCATGTAAAAGCATCTGGAATATAAATGTAGTAAATAAATACCAGATATTATTAATATTATTTTAGATTTCATCTGCTATTGAGTCTAGGGCTCCCCATGTTTTATGAGGATTGGCTCAGACATTGGTGGGGCTGAGTCTCTATGTGATAAACCTCTCTACAAATACTGCAGAGATAACAGTTCAGGCAACTCAGAGGTTTCATGATGTCCCTAGGTCCCCCTGCCTCATATGAGTTGGATCTGGAAACATTTCTATCTTCCAATTTCCTTTCCACCAGGAAGGACCAGGACATGGATAAGAAGAAGCTAATGTGGCATTCATCTCAGACAAAAAATCTAAGAGATCTCAAAAACAAACAAAAAAACCTCAGTAATCAGGAAAAATAATATTATATATATATATTTAAAAAGTAATGCAAAATATTTCCATGATGATCAAAATATTGAAAGTTTAAATAAAAGCTTGACCTACTAAGCAAACACTGTAGCCTGAGGCAAAAAGAAAAATCAGCAATACTCATCTCATTTTTTGTTTAAAATGTTGATGTTTTGCTCATCATGGATGATTGGCCTCAGTTTTTATTTTTTTCAAATATTGCATTGAAATATTATTTACTTTGATAACACACACACACACACATATGTATCCCCTTAATTTTGTGCCCAAGACGAATGCCGCATTCACCCTGACCTTAGTCCTTGCTCTTCCACTAAATCATCCTTTTACTATGAAAATGTAGATTTGTGCCTCTAAGTAATCACGCTGGCTTTAAACAAAGTAGAAAAAAACAAACGAAACAACAACAACAAAACATGTTCTAGTCCTCAAGTCATGCAGTTGGAAAGAAAAGTAGAAAGCAAAGAAGAATAAACTCTATCTTATCTCACTGTTGTTTTGGCACACTCCATGCAAGTTTTCAGGACAATGGATTATTTTCTCTTTTGAGCTTTCAGACAGCTCGGATAGCAGGGTGCCTATTCTCTATCAGAGGAAAAGAAGAAAATACAGCTCTTCTTGCATTTGGAGAAGTGCAGTTAAAAACTAACAGTCATGATAGATTTCTCTCAACATCCACTGTTGTGAACTGAATTATGCAGCCTCATAAGCTGTAACTGAGTTATAAATTAACTCCTGGAGCCATGAGGATGTTCATTTAACGTCTATAATGTTTGGGTTTTTCCGTAGGAGGAATTCGGGGCTAGTGTACAGGTTCTACTTTTCAGCTCCAGTGTGGAAAAGAAAGAAAATGGAAAATAGGGAAAAAGCCTCAATAAGGAGGTAATTTCAGGCCCCCTTATAATTGAAATTGCAATGATTAATTCAGCTCAGCACTTAAACACGGTCTATAGCTGAAGTGCCCCCACGCTGGCCAAGCTAATTATCTCTGCCCACGTGGTGGCTGTAAGAGTGGGTACAGTGGAAGCTGACAGTGAATTCATTTTGGAGCATCAACCCAGGAGCACAGATTGGAATCAGTTAGACTTATGGGCCCAGGAAGAAATAAAGGGAAAGAAGGGAATTTAAAAGAGGCCATAAAGAAATGGCCTCTAAATTACAATTTGAATCAAATCACTGTTTTGTATTTCACATGTGTAAATGCATTTATGTATTCAAAACACATTTGCTGAGAGCACACTCTCACCTAGGCACAGTGTAGGATACCGAGCATGTGATGCTCAGCAAAGACCCATGGAAGCCCTGCCTTCACAAAGCTTACAGGATATTAGAGATGGCAAATGATGATAAAATAACACAAAGTAGGAGAAGAATTATAAAACATAGAAGATGCAAGAGGCAAGGTATAAGATGTTATGAGAGTAGATAATGGGCCCCGTCCTAGGCCAAGGGGCTAGGAAAGGTTTCTCTGAAAAAGTGGCATTTGAGTTGTGATGTAAGTATTAAGTAGAAAAGAAAATGAGGATTATTTTCTAGGCAAAAGAATGAGCATGCACCTAACATAGTGGCTAATATTAAGTACTTTTGAGGAAAACTATGTGGATCATTTCTGAAATCATTTCTGAAAGAAGACAAGTAAAATCAGTGAGGTTAAATACTTCTATGTTTGGTGAGTAAGTGGTATAGATCTGCCTCATTCAAAAGCCAATGGTTCTATATACAAGTGAGATGATATAATATTTGTTTTTCTGTGTCTGGTTAATTTCACTTAGCATGATGTCTTTCAGTTTTATCCATGTTTTTACAAGTGCTAGAATTTCCTTTTTATGGCTAAGTAATATTCCTCTTTGTATACATATATATTCAAACACACACAAACACACACATCGTGTTTTCCATCTTTGCTATTCTGAATAATGCTGTAATGAAAACAGAAGTCCAGATACCTTTTTGAGGTACTCATTTCATTTCCTTTGGATATATACCCAGCAGTGCAATCGCTGTATCATAAAGTAGGTCTAATTTTGTTTTTTTGAGGAGCTGCCACATTATTTTCCATAATGGCTATACCAATTTACATTGTTGCTAACAGCGTAAAAAGGCTCCAGTTTCTTTCCACCCTCACGGACAGTTGTTATCACTTGTCTTTTTGATAACAGCCATCCTAAGCCGTATGAATGATCTCACTCATCTGTGAAATGTAAAAATGTCCAGCTCATAGAAGCCAAATGTAGAATGATGGTTGCCCTGGGGCACCACCCAGGGACATGTTGGTCAAAGGTTGGACATGATTTGGCTCTGCGTCCCCACCAAAATCTCACCTTGAATTGTAATCTCCATAATCCCCACATGTCAAGGGTGGGACCAGGTGGAGGTAACTGAATCATGGGGGCAGTGTCCCCCACGCTGTTCTCGTGATAATGAGTGAGTCAGGCATTTCCCCTGCTTGCGCTCATTTCTCTCTCCTGCTACTGTGAGACAAGGTGCCTTCCACCATGATTGTAAGTTTCCTGTGGCCTCCTCAGCCACATGGAACTGCAAGTCAATTAAACTTCCTTTTCTTATAAATTACCCAGTCTTGGGTATTTCTTCACAGAAGCGTGAGAATGGATTAATACTGGGCACAGACTTTCAGTTATAAGATGAGCAAGTTCCGGAGTTCTAATGGACAGTATGAAGTGATGGATGTGTTCATTTGATTGCAGTAACCATTACACTATGTATACATATATCAAATCATCACATTGTAAGCTTGAATATATTCAAGATGTAGTTGACCATTAAATATTTTGCTTTTTTTTTTTTTAAGGCCAATGTTTTCTCCATGCCTTTTCTTCATGAGCAATGGGTCATTAGGAAAATGTTCTAACTGGAAAATTTGATGTCAGTGTTCTCTGCTGAGGAAGAGGACATCTACCTCATGGCCTTGTTACTTTATTTAATCATGTTTCTGTGAAAATCTGCAAAGAAAGCCCTGCCCTCACAGTTGATTCTGTAATAATCTCAATATCAAATAAGGTTGGTGTTCTGAATATCTCTCTCCTACCTGACTCTACAATACTGAAATAAGATAATGTTCTCTTCTGTATTGACACCAACAGTTCATGTTATTAAAATTAGAAAAATATTTCGTAACTCAAAATAGTCTCCACCTGCATTAAATCTTGGCCTCTGACTGGGTCTTTAACTCTGCTTTATCCACTGTTCTGGGCTTGGGGGCCTCATCTCCTATGATGCGTCTTTGGATAGAGTGTGCATTTCTATGTCCAGATAGCAAGTATCGCCTTGAATCTGTTTTTACTTTTTCAAAATCCTTTTCTGGGGCAACTGCTGACTTCCCAACAAAATGAACAGTGAGCACTGTCACACTGAAATACTTTATTAATGGGATTTATATCAGATATTTAAAGCAAGTACTGGAGCAAATGGCTCTTTTACAAATGCAAAATAAGCAGGTTGGCATGGTATGGTTGGATCATCCAATCCAATATTATTTGAGTCATATCTGAATTCTCTCTTAAATGTCTTACGCTGGGAGGCATAGGACTTCTTCCCTTGCAATAAATCCTATGTAGCTCTGACCATTCATTACTTATTATGAATAATTGAAGCTTTTTCTTTGTCATTTAAACACATTGTTCCTAATTTTGCTTCTTTGGTTTCCTCAAAACAAGTGTCTTTCCATGTGACACTCCATCAGATCTTTAAAGAACAACTATTGTATCTTCTACCATCTTCTCTTTTCTAGGCTAAATACTTCTAGTTTTTTTCAACATAATTCTCTCCAAGCACACCAATCAATACTCACTTTCCTTATACCCATAAGATTAAAGGGGGAATATAAGAGACAGCTCTTCAATTAAATAATAGCCACATCCTCTCTATCTCAGAGAAAAGGGTTAAGTTTTCATAGAAAGCTACTCTTATTGTTCCTTCACAATCCAACCTCCTTATTAACGAGGTCTCATTCATGGTTTAAAAATATCTCATTTGGACAATTTCTTTCATTAAGTGCAGTAATTAAATGCACTCATTAATGTCATTAAGAGTATGAGGGTATTTCTTATAATAAATTTGTATGGATCCGGGACATAATGTGCCTGAGTTTAGGATAAATGGAAATAAGAGACAACATCAATCTTCAAATCCCTGAACTGAAAAGTAATTCATCTTGCAAATGCTGTAGTGTCTGTTTAATCAGAAAAGTTAATTTAGACCAGGTCTGGGATCCAGCCTTAGGTTGTACAACTTTACTTTAGGTAGGACTTAGGCAAACTAGTGCCTATTCAGAGAAAATCACTTGGGCTATCCAAGAGATTTGAGCATGGAGCCTTTTTCTGTTTGGTTCAGTGTTGTTCACCTTGTGTCTATCAGATTGTCCAGCACATAGTAGGTAGTCAAAGGTAAAAGTCAATGAATTAAAGACACTTAGTTCCTACATGTGGGAATAATCAAACATGTCAAGAAAATTATCTTTGGGAAGAGATGATTCAGACAGAACATGGTAATGACCTTTAAGTGTCTGAAGTGCTGTCTTTTGGGAAAGAATTTATTTTGGTCAAAATTTCCTCAAGAAATGTTTTAACAAAATCTTTCACATAAAAAAAACTATAATTGGTGAAATATATGTTTGTATATAAACATACATAATGTTATACATAATATTCTTATATATATGAATATAGAGCAGAAAAAAAGACACTTTGTTTTCTGTCCTCCAAAGGTAATGAAGAGTTGAGAGTTTATCTTGTTAATCTCAACTAATGGATACCAGATTAACGAGTAGAAGCTAGAAAAAAATTAAGTGTTGACTTCATGAAAAAACAAACAAACAAAACCTTCGTCATTTCCCCATAACTTTCTTTTGTTTGTCTAGAAAGATTTTCATGGTCACCTTCTTTTCTCAAACTAGCCATATCTCATCAGTCTGTCTGTAAAACTGTTACTCATCCTTTAAGACTCAATTTAGGCTGGTGCAGTGGCTCATATCTGTAATCCCAGCATTTTGGGAGGCAAAAAGGGAGGATTGCTTGAGCCCAGGAGGTCAAGACAAGCCTGGGCACATACCAAGACCCTTATCTCTACAAAAAAAAATTAGCTGGGCATGGGGGTGCAAGCCTGTAGTCCCAGCTACTTGGGAGGCTGAGGTGGGAGAATCACCTGAGCACAGGAGTTGGAGTCTACAATGAACTATGATTGTGTCACTGCACTATAGCCTGGGTGATAGAGTAAGATTCCATTTCTATTAAAAAAAAAAAAGACTCAATTTAATGATCACCTCTTCTGAGAAGCCTTCCCTGACTTTCCAGAAGGACTCCTGCTGGTGTCCCTCTATATTGTCCATGCTGTGTTCCACAACACCATCTTGTGTCATAATTGTTTGCAATTCTGTTTCCCATACCAGGCAGAGCTTCAGGTACCTGGTTGTACTTCCTGAGCCTCTCAAGGTTCTGGGTAAAAAAAGTTGCTCAATAATATGACTATTGCCTGATGAATAACTGAATGAACGGTTGCTTGAAGAAAGATAGTGGTGGAAAATCGAAAGCAAGGTGTGTGCGGAGTTGGGAGGTGGGGGGCAGAAGATGGGTGTTACTGGCAAAAACTGCAAGGCTTTCTATGACTTAGCCCTGGAAACCACATATGGCCACATTCACTTGTGCACGGCATTCTTTTGCTCACAAATTAGTCACAGGGCCAGCCAGATACGAGAGGAGAGGACTACAGAAGAGTTCAATCACTGGAAGGCATGAATCACTGGAGAGTTGTCTTTGGAGACAAGTTATCATGGTTTCCTCTTCTACATACAATAAGGTGTTTAAGAAGATTATAACAAATTATCTGATATTATTTTTTATTGCTTCAAAAATTGTCTATTTTAAATTATTTAAAGAATTATGGAACTTTTCACTTTTATCTATATCTTGAATTTGATCTTATGTGGACAATCTTCCTTTTTTCTCTCCTTGGCACAAAACCATCTATCCAGAGGTCACCAAACTTGTTTTTGTAAAGGGCCAAATAGACAGTAAATATATTAGGCTTTGTGGGTGATGAGGTCTTGGTTGCAACTCCTCAATTCTGTACTTGTAGCAGCCATAGATAATACTTGGAAGAACAAGTGTGGCTGTATTTCAATGAAACTGTATATATAAAAACAGGTGGTGGGCTGGATTTGCCCCCTGGCCTTTAAGTTGCTGATCCCTGAAATAACCTACAATATAGTAACTTTCACTCAAATGCCAAGAGATATACTTTTCTATCTGTAATAACAACAACAATGACAAAACCCTGTGGAGAAAAAACAGCAATAACAACAAAACTTTCCCAGGGCCAACTGAAGCCAATCACGATTTTAAAACATGACTTTTATAACAAAATCTAAACAGTTATAAGCACATCATGAGAGACACTGTTAATAATGGATATTTTGTGCTGAGCAGCACTATAAATAATAGACTAATGATGACCTTATTTTATATCTACAATTTCTCCAGTATTTCTGTTTCTAATTTATCTTCCATAAGAGTTGAAGATAGAGCCAAAGTATTACCTGAAAGTGACATGATTGTAGGAGTGTTGCCAGCATGGAAAGCTGAAAATGCCTTCTGAGCAACCGAGAGCCCCAGATTGTGAGGGTATGTCCAAAGGTTATTTTTTACGAAATGGGAGCTCAAAACTCTATAAATCAATTTTAATGAAATAAACATTTATTTTCTTCAGGTTCTAATCTTGAAATAGGTTCAGATTCTGGGCCTGGAGAAAGACAGATTGCATACACCAACAGCACAAGGTCAGAGTGAAATCTTCTCCATTTGAGTCTCTCCCTGAAGCTTGATGACTTGAGGATTTTGATATTTCGTTTACCCTTTCATATTGCCTGGCTAGGTCCTGGAGGTTCAGGTTTGAACAAGCCTCAGTGAAGGCCAATGATTTTCTGAGGACATTTGCAAAGTAACAAGTATTTCGTGATATGGATGCAGAAAGAAACTGATATTATTTCTTAAATATATAAATAATATACCCAATTCTTAGAATGATATATTGAGTACTGTAAACCTCTTTGATGAAAAATTAAAAGAGTAAAGTGTTGAATTTTGGAAAGGCTGGATTATCTATCTCTATTTATTTATTTATTGTCATACTCCATGTCTAATGATATTTTTTCCTCTTTTTCATTTGTCTGGATGGCCATATCTACACACCATGTGTGAATCACTATCCTGCATGAATACTGAACATAGGAAGTCTTAGATTTAGATGCTAACAGGTACCATACAGGCAAATACATATATATATATATATATATAAAATATATATATGTTTATATTTATATTATCGTATTAGGGTTCTCCAGAGGGACAGAACTAATAGGATATACATATATATCCTATTAGTGTGTGTGTGTGTGTGTGTGTGTATGTAGGATATGTATATATACACACACACATATATGTGTGTATGTATCCTATATGTGTATCCTATATATATCCTATACACACACACACACAAATATATATGAGTTTATTAAGGAGTATTAAACTCATACAATCAGAAGGTCCCATAATAGGCCTTCTGAAAACTGAGGAGCAAGGAAGCCAGTCCAAGTCCCAAAGCTGAAGAACTTGGAGTTTGATGTTTGAGCCCAGGAAGCATCCAGCACTGGAGAAAGATGTAGACTGGGAGGCTAAGCCAGTCTTGCCTTTTCACATTTTTCTGCCTGCTTTATATTCTAGCCACACTGGCAGCTGATTAGATGGTGCTCACCAAGATTAAGGGTGGGTCTGCCTTTTTCAGCCCACTGACTCAAATGGTAACCTCCTTTGGTAACACCCTCACAGACACACCCAGGATCAATACTTTGCATCCTTCAATCCAATCAAGTTGACATTCAGTATTAACCATTACAATTTTATATATATATATCTCCCAGGCAAAAAAAGTCTATTTGGAGGTCACCAAACTTGTTTTGACACTAGTCTTTATTCAACACTAGTCCTTAGATTAATGAAGAACTGAAGAATACAGAAAATGCTGGAGATGGTGGGCCCTAGAGAGACTGTGCCTAATCTGAGGGATGGGCTGCTGCTAGTTAACTCAGCTAATTATATCTTGTGGGGCTGAAGACCAGAGATTTTGTTTCTTTTTAGTGTGAAAAAGAAACTGTATTTCCCAATTATAAAGAAAAAATTATTAATTTTTGAATAAATATTTTAAAATAACCCCTCATTGGCCAAATATGACATGTTTGCACCATGAGACATTGCACCAGACTTGCACCATGGGACATTGATTGGTGACCACTGTTGGAATCTTCATGTGGAGAAGCATCTCACCTGCTTTATTCACTGCTGCATTATTGCAATTAACAGAGTGAGTAGAACATGGAAGGTGCTCAGCAAATAATTGCTGAATGAATGAACAAATGAGTAAATTATGATTGTGAAGGGACTCTTGTATAAAGCTTAATCTTAAGTGGAGTCAGAATATTAATTTATGTATCAGTTAGCATTGCTGCATAACAAACCACCCCAAAATTTTGTGGCTGAAAGCAGCAACCAGTTATTTGCTCATGATTCTGTGATATGGCAAATTAGGCATGTGCTATGGTCTGAATGCATCCCCCAAAATGTCTTGAAACTTAATGGCCAGTGTGACACTATTAAGAGCTCAGGCCTTTGAGGAGGTAATTAAGTCATGAGGGCAAAGCCCTCATGGATAGGATTAGAGTTCTTATAAAAGGCCTTGAGGGAGTGGGTTAGCAATCTTCTGCTCTTCCTCCATGTGAGAACAAGGAATTGGAGGCACTATCTTGGAAGCACAGAGCCAAGTCCTTCACCAGACACCAAACTTCCTGGTGCCTTGACCTTGGATTTCCCAGCCTCCAGAACTGTGAGAAAATAAACTGTTGTTCTTTATAAATAACCCAATCTCAGGCATTTTGTTTTAGCAGCACAAATGGACTGAGACAGCATGACTCAGCTGAAACAGCTTATGGCAGCATTGTTTGGTATTTGATGGGATTATTGCTGCATTTATCATCAGATGGCAGATTCTCTGAGAGCTGGCTACTCCTGGATACCCTATTCACAGCACTGAGGCAATCAGCTAAAAGGCTTCCACATGACCTCTCCATCATAATAGAATTTACATGGCAACTGAGCTTTAAAAGGGCGTGCAAGCACTTACCAAGCCTCTATTTGCATCACATTTGATACCTTCTCCATGGGCCAAAGCAAGTCATATGGCAGACCACTGATTCAGTGTGGAAGGGGGTTGCACAAGGTTGTGAATATCAAAAAATGTGATTTGTTGAGGGTGATTTATGTATTAATCCACTATACGGGTAATAGTATCTTTAAAAAAAGAAAACATACTACCATATATGCGATAAATACTGTTTTTAAGGAATTAGGAACAGAATTTCTTCCTAGGGTAAAAAGACACATAATTTCAGTGTCAGCTTCCTCTCTCTCTGGAATAACTCAATCGTAATGGATGGAAAGCAATGTTTGGTCCATCTATTGCTCTTTTCCGAATAGACTATAAACACTTCTTACCTTTTTATTGCAGGTTGTCATATGGCACCAAGCTTTGTTTTGATGCTGATGTCAATGTTGATTTTTATTTATTCTGAAACATTGTTCCTCTATGCAAGGAAATAAGACCTCTAACTCATTTTACATAGGTCGCTGAACAGCCAGCAGACAGTAATGACCCTCTATTGACCTCATCAGGGAGGATTTGAACTGATAAAGTATGGGTGAAGGATTATTTATCCTATTAGTCTGGGGATACTTATTTCCTATGTCTAAAGAGCATATTTCACCCCATATGAGCTACATTAAATACATGTACTTTTTTGTAGACATAATGGAAAGACTGTGTTTTCTCTTCCCAGTATAATGAAGAATTTAAGGCCAAACTAAATAAGGGGGGGAAAAAATTAACCCTGGAGCAGGTTTTTGATAGGTAAGGACACCAATTGCCACATATTTATAGCTGCTCATTTATTCAATACATGTTGATTGACTGAGTTGGGCACTAATAATATATAAATAAGAATGCTTTGTTCACATCTTCAATTATGTGGAATCGACACTTACATGAAGAAGCAGTCAGTGGACTAGAGGATAGATAAGTGTTCTGGGGTTTGGAATCTGTTTTCTATATACTGACTTTTAAAGCAAAATCACTGTTTGATCTTGAGTAATTAATTTCACTTTTTGAGAAGACTGGCTTTTAACTGCAAGAGAACATTTATTGTATGCCTATCATATTTTTCATGTGTTCTAATTTAATTTTCACAATACTCTTACAAGAATGACAGTTTTATTTCTGCCTTGTAGATAAATGTATTGGGGCTTAGAAATATTTAAAATTCTGAAGAATAGCACTCAGCTAATAAGTAGCAAAGCTGGCATTTGAAACCCAGTTTGGTCTGGCTTTAGTGGCTGTCTGCTGTTTATACAACCATGCTTCTTCCCATTGACTGCAGAGATTCTAAGATACTATTAAAAATTCATCTGGGCCAGGCATGGTGGCTCATGCCTATAATCCCAGAACTTTGAGAGGCCACGGCAGGTGGATTGCCTGAGGTCAGGAGTTCGAGACCAGCCTGGCCAAAACAGGGAAACCCTATCCCTAGTTAAAATACAAAAATTATCTGGGTGTAGGGGTGGACACCTGCAATCCCAGCGACTTGGGAGGCTGAGACAGGAGAATCACTTGAACCTGGGAAGCAGAGGTTGCAGTGAGCCTAGATCCCACCATTGCACTCCAGTCTGGGCGACAGAGTGAGAGACTCTGTCTCAAAACAAACTCTTGCCTGATTTAGTCTCATCAACACTGGAGCTTGTTCCAGGGTTAGTGCAAGTAAATGTACCTGATCTAGCTCTGCCTTGGAATCACTGGCTACCAAACAAAAGGTAATAGGATTAGATATTTTTTATTTTATATTAGTACCCCAATATTAGTTACAGTAGGCTAAGTAATGCTGCAGTATCATCAATATATACCCCCAAATTTTAGTGTCTTAACACTACAAAAGTTGATTTTTTTTTTTTGCTCGCATTACATGACTCGCATGGGTTGATGATGTGTCTCATTCAGACAGTTACAAAAGCACCATCTTCTAACCGCCCCATGCACAATCCATGGTTTTCTTTCAGAGAAAGAGGAGATGATACAAGTGCATTTCTAGGTGACTGCTTCAAAGTGATACATGCCATTTATGATTATATTTTATCAACTAAAACTGGTTTCAGGTTTTAACCAACTGCGGGATAACAGAGAATTACTATCATTTGTGTGCTTGGAAAGGGAAAAGAAAAAAAATACTGGTGAATATTAGTTATGCCTGACTGCCAAAAATCCAAAACATAACCAAAAATAGACTTCTTTTGCTACTTTCCAGAAAGCTAGGAATACAGCAGCCATTCTTTATCCACTGTTCACTTTCCATAGTTTCAGTCACTCATGGTCAATCGTGGTCCAAAAATAGGTGAGCACAGTACAATAAAATATATTCAGAGAGAGACAGAAAGAGAAGGAAGGAGACAGACCACATTTAAATAACTTTTATTACAGTATATTGTTTTAATTGTTCTATTTTATTATTAGTTATTGTTGTTAATCTTCTAACATGCCTAATTTAGAAATTAAACATTATCATAAGTAATTATTTATAGGGGCACACATAGTATATACAGGGTTTGGTACTATCCTTGGCTTCAAAGATTCACTGGAGATCTTTGGACCTAACCCCACAGATAAGGAGGGACTACTGTATATTCTTTGGTTAGAATGGTGTTCTCAGTCTCTTCTGGGTTAAGATAACAGTTCTCAGTGTTTTTAGAGTTCTAGTCCATTCATTCGTTTGAGACTAGGACTTTAATGGGTCTGGGTGCTCTAGGTGGAAACATTAGCCTGCCTACTAGCTTCCTTTCTAATCATAATTGCTCCATGTACCAATCTAGCTATCTTCCTTACAAATTAGATCTGCTTCTGTTTACTATGGCTTATTTTGTAGATGAAATTATTGGAATCATTATGCTATTCTTGGCTCTAACACTATGTTTTACTCTGTATCTCAATTGGAAATTTGAAGACCTGAGGCCTCTTTCTCTTTTAATACAATGCAAAATTTCTGGTTAAGAAGATTTCTTTGGATAAAGGGGACAGTTGGAAAGCCTTAATTTTTAAAAATGATATATCAACGTATGTAGTCAAATATTTAAAGAGTAGATGTGGCTTCAAATGTAGCTGGATAAAGGGAGTTGAAAAACTTAGTTCTGGATTTGTTACAGCCTCTCCATTTCTTAGCTCCATGTCTCCTTTGTTGACAGGCTTTCCTTTTGAGATCGCAAGAAGCCTGCCAGAAGCACTCAGGGCTATGTGCTTCCAAGTTCAGCCCCAGTGGGAAATAGTAGAACTTTTCTCAGCTTGCTGCCTTGAAGACCCTGGGATTAATTCTCTTTGGAGGACATGTGTCATGTTCTAAGAAAGGAACTCTATTTGGCATATCAGCCCACATTCTTCTGCTTTCACCTTTCATCATTTGCTTTTTTTTTTTCTTTTTTTACAGTAGAGGCTGAAAAACCATATTTTGTATTTACTAGATGTGTTGGCTATATAGAACTGGCACTCAGCATTTATTCTTATTTTCTTCTATTCTTTTTAAAAAATCCATAGACTGACAAAGTAAAAACTACATTTCTAATTCCTTCACAGCTTGATTTTTAAATGCAAATTAGACTTTTGCCAATTACATGCACCTACCTAACATTTGGAAGGCAGAAGTAAGTTGGAGGTGATTTTCCTGCTGCTCTAGGCTGTTTTGTGGACTCATATGTCCCCCCGCTGCAGTATGCTTGTTTTAAGTATCCTGCCTTGGAGCTATCACTGAGAATTTGCAACAAGAAGCAATGGTCAGACTCCACAGTCTGAGGCCCCATATAACCAACTTTCTAGATGGAAGAAGGCAATTGTGATGAGAGTTATGGTGGTAGTTGTTTTTCTAATCCTGGCTTCCCGACTCCTGCTTTACAAACCTACCTACAACCAGGGTGATCTTTGCTTTAAACTTACAGCTCCAGCAGACATATCTAAGTTCTGCATAGAACATTATATAATCTGTATAGACACAGGTAAGAGCAAACAAATGGGCCAAAAAATGACCATACAGAAGAAGGGCAGCTTTTTCTCACATAGCATAGTGACTAAGTATACAGGCTTAGCAATGCATATTAAAGTTCAAATTCTAGGTCTACCGTTAAGTTGTATAAATGTAGACAAGTTGTGAAAAAACTTATCAATTTTAATTTTCTTTTCTGAAAAATTAGCATAACATGAGGTTTGAAAGCTGTATAAAAGTTTACATAAAACAATGTATGCAATATTTTGCCCTCTCCATCCACTGAAAAACACCCACTAGCATCCTCTTATCTGACTTCCTCAATGCTTTCTCACCTGTGGTCAGTTAACACAAGGTACTGATCTTCAGCTACAAGGCAGGGCTTCCTCTTGTCATTTTCTGTTTCCCTACCCACTTTATGGTGGTTCTCCTTCCTCTTTAGCCCTATATGGCCGCCGTTCCAAGGTCTAGAGGCTCATTTTGATTGTGGTTTTCTTGTAAATGCTTCATGAAATCAGAATACCTTTCTTTTAAAGTAACATTTTCAGGAATATAATCACTACGAGGTGTTCAGTCCATAATTTGGACAGTCATAGAATTTGGAGCTATTCTTGCCCTTCAGGGAATGGTGTGCTATTATCAAAGCAGGTAATTTTCAAAGGGAGAAACCTTCATAACCTGAAGATTTAAGAGCACCCTGGCTTGTTGTTTCTGAGGATAATTCTTTTCTGATCAGCTCCTCTCTAGCCTTTAGCTTTGAGTGAGGCAATCACACTTTGTTGCCTTTATTCATTTGGAAGGTTCTTCCTATTTCAATTTATGTGAACCCATTTAAACAACAGTAAAAATGGAAACTCATCCAAATAAATTTAATTCCAATTACTCTGACTCTTTTGCATCTTCTGGCTGTAATTTAAAGCATTTTTCCAAACAGGCATATTTAAAAGGTGATAATTCACTTGACAGCTGGAGAAACTAGGATCATTAAAAGGAAACATAATTAACATTATTTCCAATTCAACCTATCTTTTCTCTGTGTTTTCAGAATACTAGCACTGTTGTTGGCTGTTTTGTAGGATCCTTTTCTTGCTGCATAACAAAGGATTCAATTTGTTCATTTAGTCAATGAACAGTTACTGAGCATCTGCTATCTTTCAGGCCCATGCTAAGTCTTGGTGACAGAAATATTGAAAAGATATGGTCTCACCTCCCATCTCTCTTTATGTAATCAGATTTGATGTAAGAAAACAAAAGGAAGGAATGAAATGAGAAAAGGAAGTTATACAATGAGAAGAAAAGGAAAGGAAAGATGGCAAAATAATACAAATGAAATCAACGGGGTTTGGAGATGCAGAGGGGAAAAAATGAGAAGAGATGAAGGAGAAAAAAGGCAAGTACAAGAATGGGAGCAGAAAAAGACATAAAAATTTAGAAATATGGTAGTATTGAAATTTATATACTGCTATGCTCATATGCATGCATATAATTTTATGTATTTTCTAGAACTCAAATAACTTGGTAAAAAGCCCTCTCTTCAGTTCCACTGATGTCAGCAAAAACATTTAATCTTGCCACTTATCAGATTTTCTGTCTCTTCCAGTTTAAGTCAAAGACTTTCCCCAGGTTAATGCTGGCTATTTGTAACTTTTTTTTTTTAACTTCCCTCCTCCTTTTTCTTCTCCCAGAGTGTTATGTGGGATACTTACGTGACATTGCAGATGCAGATCTCTCATCTGAACCCTGTTTCTGGGTACTTGCTGTTCCTGCTGGTGATAGAAGTGATCTTTCATGTATCAGTAATGGCCTCTGGCCTTGAAGTCCTCTGTGGCAGACAGAACAGTGGCCTTTTGAAGATGTCCATGTCTATTCCCTAGAAACTGTGATTACAGTACATTACATGGCAAACGGGAATTAAGGTTGCAAATGGAATCAAGGCTGCTAATCAGTTGACCTTGAGATGGGAAGATTATCATGGAGTATCAAGATGGTCCTAATATAATCATAAGCATCCTTAAAAGTGGAAGAAGAAGACAGAAGGGAGAGTCTAAGATGTGATTATATAAGGATGGCAAGAGTAATGTCATGTTGCTGGCTTTAAAGATGTTAGAAGGAGGCCACTAATCAAGAAATGTGGTAGGGATACTGAAAAGGGTAAGAACACAGATGTGTTCTTAGAGGAAGAAGTACAGTCTTATGAATGTCTTGATTTTAGCCCCATAAGACTATTGTCACCTGCATAACCACTCATTGGGGTGCATAGGAAGTCTTGGGTGTTGTGTACACATGAGGAACTAGGAAATAAACTTCAACCCTCTTTCAGCCCAAACAAGTCATTGCACCATTTCAACTTTCCAGGGGTCAGTCTATGTGGGTATAGAACTCCTGAAAAGTGTTCCCCAGAGGATTCCAAAAGGAAAGAAGGCAGAATCCTCCCTCTTGTTGTAGGCTGTATCTTTAAGTAAGGCTTAATGAAGCCCTGCCCCTAACTCTGGAAAAGGCTGAGTTTAGCTTTTCTGGTTCCATCTCAGTGAATGTCTTAGTTCATCTTATATTGCTGTAACAGAATACCACAGACTGGGTAATTTATAAAGACTAAAAACTTATTCAGCTCACAGTTCTGGAGGCTGGGAAGTTCAAAAGCATGGTGCTGGCATCTGGCAACGGCGATCCCACGGTGGAAGACAGAAGGCGGAAGTGAGCCCATGAGACAGAGAGAGTATAAGGCGTATATTTAATTTTATAACAAACTGCTCTTATGATAACTAACCCACTCCCATGATAATGACATTAATTTATTCATGTGGGTCTATGCTCGTGACCTAATCACCTCTTAATTAGACCCCATCTTCCAACAATATAGCATGGGGATTAAATTTCCAACATGAATTTGAGGGGCACATTCAAACCACTGGAGGGAGTCAGGCAGCAACTTCACTCCACTGTGTGCCCTAAGACTCTCCAAACATTTCCACCCAAGCCCAGAAATGGCTTTTGTCTATCTTGTGTAAAGGAAATTTGCCTCGGGTCTTATCCTCCATCCTCCCTCTTCTAAAGTTCATAGTAACATGCTCCTACCTTAATTAGCTGACCTGTGTTCCTTGAAGTTTAAAAGAAAGCTTTTGAATTTTAGAAAACTAGTTTCTCAAAAGAGTCTGACTCTAACAAGCAAAAGCCTCTGCCTGCATAGTGTTGGCTTTTGAATGCATTTCAAGAGCCTGTTTTTAAAAGGAAGAGACTGAGTAACTTTCCCTTTTTCAATCTTGGTTTTCCACATCCCCTGGAGCAATAGGTGCCTCAGCTTCAAGAGGCTCTCTTGCCCTTGTATGATTTTGTACTCCCTCTTCTTTTTTTTAGAAGGTTCCCTTTACTTTTTCACAGAGCTACTTGTTCCTCAAGTTCCTCAAGACTTAGTTGATTCTTTGTGTTGTGAGGAAAGAACTTTCTGTCTCCTGCCATGACTTGAGCTGAGCCAGGAAACCCACCTGTGCAGTTTACACCTGGTACTTCCTGCAATTGTAGCACGTATTCCCTGATACTCTTAACATTCTGCTACCAGCTAATTTCCTTGCCTTTCCCATGACTCAGATTTTCTATGAAATGGACTTGTTAATGGTAAATTTCAGTCTTTATGAACAGCCCTGCAAATGCTATCACATTTATCTTCCCCACTCAGTTTAGAACTGAAATGCATGAGCATTCATAGATAATAGCAAGTGTCACACTGCTCTCCCTCCTGGCCATAAAACCTGGGCTCCAAACTTTCAACTCTACTTCTGTTCTTTCATTACAAACACTTCAGGAAAACAAACAAACAAACAAAAAAGGCTGCTAAACTGTCCCAGGTTAATAGCATGCTAGGGTTAATAGACTAATGTGACTAACTGAGCCCTCTAGTTTTTCCTGCTAGAAAGAGTTGCACAACACCATTCTCCTTTCCATTTCTTCTGCATTTCAACTGAAATAATTTTACACAGTTTTTCACCAAGGGTGCACATACACACAGATTCTCTTTCTCTCTCTCCAATGCTCATTCTTTCTTCTGTATAAACACACTCAAATATTTTCACAAACATGCACTAATTCTCAAATACTGTATTACCTACAACTTTCATTTCTTCTCTTGATCAAATATAAAAGGAAATTTGCACATGTCTCTCTATGCCTCTTTTCAAACCCCTTCTCTTTATTTAGGTTCCTCCAATTTTTTCGTTTCTTCTGCATTTCCTTCTCCTCTGACTTGACCCTGCTTCCATGTCTGAGACTCACCAAGAATAATGAGAGATGTGGACGGTTATTGTTGTATTGCAGGTGTAAATGATTGGAAACAGACATTTGAGAACAGCAGCTATGTATGCTGGACTTTACCCTAGGGCTTGAGGAGGTTCTATAAATAGGATTTGAAGGAGGAAATTGTTCAGATTTGAGTTTTATGAAATCATTTTGACAGTTGGTTGGGTCATGAACTAGAGGGAGGGATATTATTGGAATCAAGGACACAAAGCTTGAGACAAGAATCACAGAGACTTATCTCAAGTGTGGACAGTGGCTGTGGAAAGGAGAGAAAGGTTTGAGACTGAGTTAGGGGATACAATGGACATAATTATTTCCTTTCCATAATGGTGACAAAATGAGACACAGTGTGTAAGCGTGGACTGTATGTAATTTTAACTATGAGAAAGTCTTCATTAAGTGTTACGTGTTCCAAGAAGCAGTTGGCTTCCTAGAACAATAGCCGGCAAGGCTAAAAATTAGATTTTTGTACTTGACAAATTCATAAAAGAGAAATGATGGATTGTGAATTTGGATTTTCAATGCATCTGTGAACAATTTTCTTTTCCTTTTTTTTTTTTAACGTCTGACTAAAATTATTCATTATTCTGAAGATGAAAAACATCTTGTCAGCGTGTGGAGGAAAATTACCTCCCAGAGAATTCTGGAACATTCTTAAGAAATTTTCTTAAGATCAACTCCATATGCACTATAACTTCATGTGATGGAAGAGCACAGTACAGGAGAAAAGTAGAGGTCATGTTATTTAAGAGTCATAGAAACAATGGCTGACATGACAATTCCCATTGAGCTAACAGGTGAATATTTTTTAACTTCAGCTGCTGGATCCACAGAGGTGTTTTACTAGGAAACCAGAAGCAGGTATTTTACCTCCTAAATAATAAAGTAGAAACTTTAAAAGCAGCCTTCTGCCTGGATGATGACTTTGCTCTGCATATAACAAGAAAGAACTCTAGGTTCACACTTACGATCTGGGATAGGACAGTTTCAGAGGAGATTTAGCTAAGGAGATCTCTGTCTTCCAAACCTCTCTGTCTTGCACAGGTTTATGTAATAACAATGATTAATAAAAATAGTAGATTCTGAATTTTGTTTTGGAATAAAATTAATAAGGCTGCGTGCTTCTGAGAGAGAAATTTGTAAAGTGGCAGACAGGGACATCAAGAACTCTAATTACCACATGCCCTAGAACCCATCTGAGGAGAAAAGATACAGTCTCAGACAAGATAGTTCCTCCTCGAGATGCCTGATTAATGTCCCCTGACTAATCTTCCCCAGTGCCCAAGTGAGAAAGGGTTAGAAGTTAACCAGTCTTCCCTATTATAGTCACACATGTGCCTCATATTATTATTAAACATGTGAGATATGTTATTTTAGATATGTGGGATTAAGGGAACTATATTTATATCTATACATTATTAATATTGGCTTAAGTGTATGTATTTTAAAGTAGAATGTTAGCACATGCCCATTAGCTGTAGTAGGCTACAGTATGCTTGCTTTGGGCAGCAAGAGCCAATTGCACACCTCTCTACTCAACTTCCAGTTAGGTGAAGCCAAACTGGTAACTTGAAATTGGCCATGAAGGGAGTATTTCACCGCTGAATTCTGCAAATGAATCAAGGCTAATATATACATATATGTGTGTGTGTGTGTATATATATATATGTATATATACATGCGTGTGTATATATATATGTATATATATGTGTGTGTATATATATGTGTGTGTGTAGATATATATATACATATATATACATATATACACATATATATACATATATATACACATATATATACATATATATATATGTATATATACACATATATATATATGTATATATATACATATATATATACATATATATACACATATATATACGTATATATATACATATATATATACACATATATACGTATATATATACATATATATATACACATATATATATACATATATATATATATATATTTGAGTTTCAGTCATTAAACACTTACCAGTACATCACTGCATGCTGATGTTTCTCAACATAATATCTCTGAATCCCTTTCACCCAGCACAAAGCCTGGTCTAACATGTGTGATACATGTCTGTTAAATGAATGCACAGAGAAAGAGGAGAGCTCTTTGGAAGAACAAGAAGAGAGTCTTCAAGACAAAGTTTTAAGCAGAGAAACTTGAGTTTTGAGGCATGTGTAGGAAAAAAAAGGTATGCCTGGGAACAGATAGTGAGAAGGTCTTTCAGAGAGATAGGAGGCTCAGGAAAGTGAAAAATATGAGGAATTAGAAGAATTATTACAGAGTTGAAAATGAGGTGAAAACAGATTTGAACAATGGCAGAAGATTAAGACCCAAGGTTTGATGACAGATGGATCTGAAAAAGCCATCACTGATAATCCCCAGTTCTAGTCAATGCCTTAAATCATCAAAGGTGAACAGAGAGGTGACAAAGTAGGGCTCCCTGCTTCACAGTGATGCTGTCAGAAGTGAGGATGTTGCTATCACCTCTCATATTAACTTCAGAGAAACTTTTCTTTTTTGAGAAAACACAGACTAATTTTAGAAGTCTTCTGTTTCTGATTTAATGTTAACACAGTGACCTGATACTGTGCAAACTCTTGTGAGTTACAAAGATCCAGTGAGCAATTTTCCTTATGTTCCATGTTGTCAAGTGAGCTACAGTGAGGACTGCCTCCGGAGACTTGCAACTGACCTGCAGCCATTCCCAGGCACATGACTAGTTGGAAGCATGCACCTGCTATTCTTGTGTTTCACTCAAAAAGAACCATGGATGCTGTGCCAGCTTCCATAAAACTGGTAAAGAAATGGTATGTCAAACACCTATCCCCAAAATGTTATGGGTGATGAAAGCTTCTGGGATAAGGAGGATAAATAAAAAAAAAAAATTCCAGTCCAACACAGCTTTAGGACCAGAACGCTAGAGATCTCCTTCAACATTCTTTCTATACAATGAAGGAAAATGAGGATAAGACAGACAATTTTATTTGAAAATATTGCCCAAAATGAGGTCTCCTTCTCTTCCGTCAAGTCACACACATAATTATGATGTTATCCTTTACACCCTTAATGGGATGCAGTGAAATCAGCTGCAGAGTGGTTAGTGCCTGGCCTTTGGAGTCATAATTACCTGAATCTGAGTACCAACTCCACGTTCTCTCTGGGCAACACTGCAGACATTGTATAACCTCATTGGGCCTTAGTTTCCTCACTTAAAATTTGGGGATTTCAGGGTCTACTTGACAGTGTTATTTTGAGGATTAAATGAGATGAATAAGCAGAGTGCTTAGCGCAATCCAGAGCATGTGATGAGAGGAGCTCAGTGTATGTTAACTATTGATTTTGTTGCTGTGATGTGATGATGATGATTATTTTATTTTAACTTAATCTTTGGATGATAATATTTTAACAGTTCAAACATTTTCACAAATGGCAAAGATTGTATGTGTGTGTGTACATGTGCACATATTAAAATTTGTAAGATCACAGGAGATAATATGCTTTCAATGTATTTCAACTGATGTTTGACAGTCTTGACACTCCAAGACATTAGCTTCTCTCTGTGGAAATATTGTAATTTAATGAATAGCTTACGATTTTTAACCAGGTCTGCTCTGTCATTGGACCCAGGAGAAGTTTTATAGGAGAGAATGTTACTAAGAGTTGTAATAAAATCTAACAAGTGTCACCTAATAATTAAACAGATTAATCACTTTGACCACCAAAGTAGTTGACCACCATGACTGCAGAGCATTAAGACTTAGCAATTCATGATTAAAATCAGGAGGGCTGTAAAAATCAGTGTCTGTGAATGTTCTAAAGAAGACTCACTCAGCTCTGTAATATAGGCCTCCCAATGGGTTCTGGACCATAGTCATCCATCATGGGCTCCTCATGCACTGCAGGAAGCAGCCACCAGAAAGGAGATGCAAAGCTCCAGTGGTTGCAAAGGCACCATCTGAATGACAAATGTCTCCTGGTGACAACCTCCAGCTCTTGGGGTTGCTATTCACTGCTCACTAAATGATCTCCTCATTCTCACTCTTGGCCATCTCCAATTCATCCTCCACACAGGAGCCAGAGTGGTCTTTTAAAAAGGTGACTGGATCTTGCTATTCCTTTGCTTGAAGCCATCTGATGAACTTCCACCGTGCTTTGAAGTAAATCTAAATCCTTTACATTGGCCTTCAAGGCCCAGCATGCTCTGTCTCTGCTTACCTCTCCAGCCTCATCTCAGACCTCTCTACCCTTATCTCTGCCCTCCAGACATCGATTGTTCTTTCAGAGCCTCAGACACTACTCTCTCTTTCTACCTTCGAATCTCACAGCCTTTGTACTCGCTGCTCCTTGGGCCTGGATCGCTCTGCTCTGGCTCTTTGTGTGCCTGGCCCCTGCTCCTTCTTCAGATCTCAGCTTAAATGTCATCTCCGCAGTGAGGGGTAGCAGCTGTTCCTCTGGGTATTCTGCGTTCCTGTTTCTTTCCTTCATAGCAGCTCACATTAAAAAAAAAATATTTGTTTACTTGTTTATCACCTGCTTATGACAGCTCTAAGAGGAAGGGACTTGTTCTGTTTTGTTTGTCACCCTACATCCAAGGTATTTCAGCACCTGATACTTGCTAGGTAATCCACAAACTAATAACTGTCAGTCCTGATGATATAATGAATATGTATTGAGCACATACGATGAGTCAGGTCCTGAGCTGAGTGCTGCACATACATTTTCTTGTTTATTCCTTATACCAAGGTGATAATAGCTGCTAATATGGTGTCTGTTTATAGATGGGGAGACAGGCAAAGGATGTTTATGTATTGAATCTGACGTCACACAGCCACTGATGACAGAACAGGATTCAAACTCAGGCAGGGTTTAGCCTCTTAATCTTTACCTTGTGATTGCGTAAATGATTAAAAGGTTCTTTGCCACAGTCGATCATCTGACTCCTGCTGGTTCTCTGAGACTTGTTCAAGCCTCAGTCATTCAGTGTCAGACCCCTCCACTCCATCTGAAATGGTGTCTCTGTTGTCATTCTTGTCACTCTAAATTTACTTCAAACAGAGCATTTGCCACACTACTTTGAGATCGAAAACTTCCTTGTCTCCCCCACTATATCTAGAATTCCTTTGTGGTAGAGACTGGGTCAGTTTTATTCACTTTCTCTTCTATCCATCTTCTATATAATAAATATTAAATACATACTGTATCCCAATCTTTTTCTATAGGCTGAGAATATGGCAAACAAGACAGATTAATTCCCTGCTTCATGGATCTTCTCATTTATTGGGCAGGAAGTAAGACACTAATAATGTAAATAATTTAACAAATATAAAATGTTACACATAGTGATAAATTGCATGAAAGCAAATAAAACAGAGGAATAAGAAGAAGAGGGCTTAGGAGACAAGACAGGGACTTACTGCAGACAGCGTGGTCAGGGAGGGCTTTTCTGCAGACGTGATATTTGAGCAAAGACCTGAATTTAAGAAGATCCGGGAGAAAGTGTTCCCAGAAGAGGACACAGCTAGTATCCCAGGTGTAGGACACAGCATTGAGGATCTAAGAAGAGAATGAACTAGACTTATTCCAAGGGCAGAAAGCAAGTGTACCAGGCCCAGGTTGTGTGTTAATCAGATCTGTTCAGCCCTGCATGTCCATGGCCTCAGCCACCTACCTGCCTGGCATCTCAGCCCCTAAAATGGTTTCTGTGGTCCTCAGTCACCAAGCCCTGTGGGGTGAACCTGTGCCAGCATGCCTCATTTCTTTATACCAGCAGACGTTGAGTCTCCCTGAGCAAGGTCTCCTTTGAGCCAGCTGAAACAGAGCTGCTGAAGTCCCTGCAATGAAACCAGTAAAACCAAAAGAGACTCAGTTTCCTCACTGGCTATTCAAGGTAGCTGAATTACACAATCCAGAAGCTAATGGGAGTCAATACTCTGCAAGGAAGACTCTGACCTATTAGAGACAGAAGACAAGAGGGAACTAGCCAATTACTCATTCATCCTTTCTTTTTAAAACAAACTCTAAGACAGGCCTTTGTTTTCGTATGAGATGTCCAAGGGCCTAAGTAAGGAGCAACATTTATTGTATTGCTGTGGGCAGTGGGCAGCTTGAGTTGCTCTCCTTTCTTCCCCACTGCATGTCCTGTGTTTTTCTTACTCTTGTTTCCCTGGGATGAAGTGCTCAAATAAAGCATTGATGTATAAGATTTCGCCTCTGACTCTATTTTCTAAGGAGCTAGAGCCAATACAAAAAATGAGTCTACCCGGAACATAACAAATGAGAGGAGGTAGGAGATAACACTGAAAAGATGAATAGGTTGTGTCCTATAGGGTCTTATAGGTCAGAACAAGAGGTTTAGGCTTTATTCTAACGCAGTCCATGGGGAGGGGAATAACATAATATAATTTACATATATATGCAAGTTATATCAGATATAATTTACATATATTTGTAATAGTCTGTCACTAACAGAGCCTCTGCTGTGTATTAAGCAATTGATATATGTTTGTTGATTGATTGCATGGATGCAGGTCCCCTCTAACAGGTTTTATTCTAGTCAGTCTGGCTCAAACCATTGATCTTAGACTATTGGCCCACCACCCATTAATAAATGCTTGTGGTAGACTCAAACAGCATATGCACATTTTTATTTCACCTTCTGGATTTTTCTTCTCATAGACTTCCTTTTGTCTTGTAACCCCCATCTCCTCCCCTTGGGCATCATTTTTTTAATTGAATTTGAGTTAAAAATCTGAACTGTTAACTGTGATTTAAGAGGTGATTCAGAAAGATTTAGCATTTCTGAAATTATCTGCAGCTGAATTGAAAAGAGAAATGTTCTTTTTGTCAAAGTAATTCAACTTTGAATATTTTGGAGGTAGTTTCTTGCATTATCTCTGCTCACAAGCACTGTGAAGTAGAATTGTGGCCACTTCAATGGTAGAGCTAAGAATTTAAGCCTTTCTGCACAAGGCTTCAGGCCTTTTTCCATTGAGGATAATTGCACATGCTGGAAATTGTCAACCTCAAGGAAGGGTATTATTAATCTTCTATGAGAACCAGAGTTCAGCCTTGGGTTTGTGGAGGATGGTGAAGAGTAGTTGGCAAGTGGAAGGCAGGACACCATTGCTCCTTCCCTGCAAAGGATGTACCATTCCTATATTCATGGTGAAGTCTCTTATAAATACTCAGAGCTAAAAGAATGAACAGCAGAAAGAATACACAATTTTATAAATTTTATACTATTATATGTCCTAGCCTATTTAATGCATAAACTCTTGCATAATTTTGAACATTTTTTTCTATCTTTTCCTCTACCTGTCTAAAAACCCCATTTTACTCCTCCCTCAACAATGAAACATGAGGCTGGCAAGATGGAAACGGGCCAGCATCTGAGACTGCAGTGCTTATTAGTATGGTTCTTAAAACACAGCCAATGTAAGCCAAGTCCAAGTTGGAGACAAAAGTTAGTAGGTGAAAAGACCAGAAGCAAATCTCAAGACCAAAGTCTTAAAACGAAGAATGTTAATGAAAGCAAGAATGGAGAAGCTAGGGGTGAAATTAATCCAAATAAGTGTGGGCAGAGTCAATGAGTAGTGAGTCGGCACGGTTACCTCAAGCATCTTCGAGGCATCTAGGTCTTGCCTGTATCAGTCACTGGTTTCACTTTGGGTACAAAATGGGTACGGGTTCACTTGGGTACAAAAACCCTCCAATCACTCTTGCACCTGAATTCCAGCTTAACAAAACTACTCCCACTTCCTTAAAATGACAATCAATGTCCTTATGGGAACACTGTTTCTGTCTCTCTCTCTCTCTTTCCACCTAAATACATCTTCCTCTAAGCATAAACAGGGTTCTTCCTGCTAGTCTAGTCCTGGTATATTGTCATCAATATGAATTTTCTAATAAATGTGTGCTGAATTCAATGGTATAAAATGAAACATAATTTATATTTATTTTGTATATAAGTACATATGCATGTATTTATATCTCATCCTCTATCACAATTTGAATCAGTTAAAGTAAATAAATTTGCTTTCCCCAAAATCTTCATCCCTATACTCTACTCTTCATTGCTTGATTTACTTAGGGTAATGTTACTTTGCAGACCACCCAAAATATATTACCGAACCTGAAAGATGAGTAGTATTTTCAGTATCTGTGAAATACACATATATCACCATTTTCCACATTTATGTGGTTACAAGAATTAAAGCAAATATACAACTTCAATAAAATAGATCAGTAGATCATGGATAGAACTCTGATTTAATTCATTTTGTAACTTTAAATCTTTGCATGGTCAACATCATTTCTGAGACTGACACTTCCTTGTTGGACTCCTTCATACTCTGTCATTCATCTTGATGCCCAAAATAGACACTCCATGAGATCAGGCAGTGTCATTAATGCATCTTATTTGAAACTCAGCATGAGATATTTGAAAGAAATTATATAAATCCAAATAAGGGATTTGTGTAAGACCTGAGTTTAAGTCTTGGCTAGAATACTCACTGGTTGTGAAACACTTCTTTCTTGTATTGATTTTTAAAATGCTCGTTGAACAGTATTTTATGTCCAAGATCCTGGGGACCCGGCATTGAATGATTGTATGAGTCATATTTGGCCAGAGAAATGGAAATGACTGTAGGTGTATCAAACAAGATAAATTTAATATGAAGAGATAGTTGGCAGACTTGTTGGGAGGGCTGGAGGATTTTTTTTTTTTTTAAGGTGAGGATTACTCTTACCCAGAGCTAGAGAATTTAAGGAAGCTACCACCAGGACCTCAGTATGCTGAATCTAGTTTGCTACTACTACTCAAGAACCCACATAGCTGTGTCTCTGCTGCAGTGCTGATGGTCTTCTGATGCTACTGCAACAGCTGCCACTGTTGCTGCAGAAAACTTGGACGCACAAGACTGCATTAGTCCACTGTGTCTACTCTTCTTCAAACAACTTATGACTCTCTCCTATCTTTTAATAACATATCCTTGCCTTCCCATTAGTAGTACCAAAACCAGAACCGTGCTGGCAAGAAAGCCTGGGGCATGTAGTTTCTACTGTTTCAGCCATAATGATATGAGAGAGTCTAGAAAGAGGGTCACAAGTGGTTCTGAATTGTTAGCAGAAAATATGACATCATTATGGCACCATAATAGTGACAAAATGTTAGACTTCACAGAGATCAACTTAGAATGCCCTGGATAGACAAACAAATAGAGTTATCCCTAACTAAATTTTCATAGTCTTATTATCCAAATGGTTGTTATAACAATTTGCAGAATTTCTATGTGAATGTTGCTATTCAACATGCCAACAACAAGCATGTCAACAACAAGCCAAACAACAAGCCAAACAACAAGCCAAACAACAAGCCAAACCCTGAATTTGTGTGCTAGTGAAAACATCCAAGTTATTTGCAAATCCTGTCAATAGAATGCCGATTGTACTGCAGTAATATCTCAAATGTTCTCTTAAAAGGATCCCATTCAGTGCTCATGTTTTGTAAACATACCATGAAGTTATTGCTACCGTCTTCACAATAGTATTAAGTGAAAATATCTTCCAAGAAGGTGTAAGAGGAAGGAAAGCAACAAAATACACAATGCCAATGCTTTACAAAAAATTATAAATCATGCAGACAAAATGACTTGTTGTGAGTGAACATCATCATGACATAGGCAAAGATACCATGTTTAAAAATGCAGTTGTAAGTTTCATAACATGTTATCATTAGTTGTATAACTAAGCAAAAGGCACAAGAGTAGGTTTCTCATTCTCATTGTTTTCTCTATGCCTTTGGATATTGATGCATATGAATCTACTTTTTTTTTTATTTTTTATTTTTATTTAGTATTATACGTTAAGTTTTAGGGTACGTGTACACAACATGCAGGTTTGTTACATACGTATACATGTGCCATGTTGGTGTGCTGCACCCAGTAACTTGTCATTTAGCATTAGGTATATCTCCTAATGCTATCCCTCCCCCCTACCCCCACCCCATAACAGTCCCTGCTGTGTGATGTTCCCCTTCCTGTGTCCATGTGTTCTCATTGTTCAATTCCCACCTATGAGTGAGAACATGCAGTGTTTGGTTTTTTGTCCTTGCGATAGTTTGCTGAGAATGATGGTTTCCAGCTTCATCCATGTCCCTGCAAAGGACATGAACTCATCATTTTTTATGGCTGCATAGTATTCCATGGTGTATATGTGCCACATTTTCTTAATCCAGTCTATCATTGTTGGACATTTGGGTTGGTTCCAAGTCTTTGCTATTGTGAATAGTGCCGCAATAAACGTACGTGTGCATGTGTCTTTATAGCAGCATGATTTATAATCCTTTGGGTATGTACCCAGTAATGGGATGGCTGGGTCAAATGGTATTTCTAGTTCTAGATCCCTGAGGAATCGCCACACTGACTTCCACAATGGTTGAACTAGTTTACAGTCCCACCAACAGTGTAAAAGTGTTCCTGTTTCTCCACATCCTCTCCAGCACCTGATGTTTCCTGACTTTTTAATGATTGCCATTCTAACTGGTGTGAGATGGTATCTCATTGTGGTTTTGATTTGCATTTCTCTGATGGCCAGTGATGGTGAGCATTTTTTCATGTGTTTTTTGGCTGCATAAATGTCTTTTGAGAAGTGTCTGTTCATATCCTTCGCCCACTTTTTGATGAGGTTGTTTGTTTTTTTCTTGTATCTACTTCTTGAATCTAAAACTCCAAGAACTGAAGACTCTTCCGGCTCTGCAAATTTGCATATAGACAAACCAAAGACACTTACTATTTCAGCCATCCTTTCACCGCTGCTTCTCCCTCCTTTATAACATAATATAATAGCCACAGTAACTACATGCTCTCTCTACCATCTTTCACCACCAAACCTTTCTCAGGCAGCTCTCCAATTGGCAGATAACAATTTTAATTATGTTTTAATTGATTTTATTTTGCTAAGCACTATTTTAACTCATCATGTATTTTTAACTTATTTTTGTTTCTATTACAGTATTCAGAGGAGGAAAATGTACTTTGTTTCAACATGTACAGTATCAATACAAACTACATTTGTATGTATACAATGTATACTGCACCTGCATTAGTAAATGATAGGCCGGGCACCCACAACATCTTTCATGAAAGGGAAGGCAAGGACCCTTCTCCCAATTTAAAGAAAACACAATGTGGGTTTAAACTATCCCTAAATTTGCCATCCAACACAATTTTAGGTACCAATTACATTTGGAAATTGAAGGATGTTTTTAGTAACAAAAATGATCATGAGCTATTTAGATGGAGAAACACAAGCTATGAAGAATGGGATCAAACTATCTGAACTAAGACCTGAAAAATAAATAGAGTAGAAAAGGCAAAAGACGGAGGGGGCTCAGAGTCAAGGGCAGTCAAGGATGAGCCAAAAAATAGCAGATGCTAAACCATAATCAAGGGAAAATGTTTTCTGCTCCAAGTCCTTGGAAAGGGTAACTATAAGACTGTAGAACAGGAGTGGAAGAGTAGCAAGAGGAAAACTGCCAAGGTAGATACTTAGGAAATAGCTTATAAATCATGTTGAAAAATTCAAGCTTCATCTTAGGGGCAAGGGAATACTCCAACAGATTTAAGTAGGTGAGTAATGTGGCTGTATTTGGATTCTATGACTATTTTTTGTGCTCTGTGTAATCTGGATGAAGGGTACAGTATTGCAATTGTGAAGAACCATTAGCAGGCCATTGCAATAGCTTTGCCAAACCTTTATTTTCCCTAATGGGAAAGTTATATTACTACCGTAAGTATCATTTGTATTCATCACCTTTCCATCTCTGGTCTTTGCTAAATTTAATATTATTTATTTTTATCTATGTTTGATATGTGAACTAAGTCAATGATATTTCATCCTTACATATATTTATTCTTTTGCATAAACATAGATGTGCGATTTTCTGAAGTTTTAGATTAGCTGGCCTAAAATTATGTGTGCTAATAACATCCAATTTACATTGACCACTTGCTATGTACAGAGCCCTGGGCTAAGTGCTTAAAATGCAGTTTCTCACTGAATTCTCATAAAACCCTTTGGATTGTCATTATGGTTTTTTTGTGGATGGACAGGCTGGGGCTTAGAGAGGTTGCAGAACTTATTCAAGGATATGGAATTAGTTACTCATGGACATGAGACACAACCCAAATTTTTTAGACCTTAGGGTCAGAGCTTTATTCACCAGTTGCACATGATTGAGATCTGTTCTTTGTGAGTCACAAAACACAGGGACATCACAACACAGGGGAAGAAAGTACCAGAAAAAGCCCAGGCTGGGGAAGAAATTAGAGACTTTGTGAGGACTCTCAGTTCCTCCAACAATGATGGAATAGCAGGTAACATTCTATTCAGTGCAGATCTTCATTTTTCCCTCTGTTAATTCACCATTTACAGATAGAGAAACTGAGATCTAGAGAGCTGACTAGATTGGCTCAAGATTATTCCACTAGTCTGTGGTAACATGACACTCAAGTTCACAAATATTCAACTAAAAATCCAGTACTATTTCTACTACATTCATTTGTAGATGGAAAAGCTCAAGTGTTTCAGAGGCTTGGCAGTTCTTAGAACCACAGGGGCTGGTCCTGCAGTATTAAGATGCATAAGAAGAGGTCTTCAACTTGATGACCTCACAGTTCTGCCACTTCTGTCTGCACTCCACTTCCTGTTCTTCTTTTGTTTGTTCACTTCCTTTTTCTTTGCTCTTTGCAGCAATCACTGCTCTTGGTGATGTAGGTTGTGAGGCTTTCAGGAAATAGGATCTCAGAGCCTTTGAAAATTATTCACATTATGCTATTTGGGATCTGAGTCATCTTCCATGGAGGTATATTGAGAATGGATTAAAAGCACATCATTTTATTCAAAGAACAGAATTGCTGATGTCTCCTAAAGAATACAAGACCAAACAAGAATTTACTTTGCATAAGAACCCAAAATGAAAAGATAATCCTCTAAATGCCCTGATGAGCCTTTGGAAAGGACAGAGTTTTTCTGAAGGACTCGAAGGACTTTTGCACGGATTACCATGTTTTTCCCCTCATGAATTTGCTTCTTATTTCATAAAGGAAGACATAAATATTCTAAATCATGAGCAAAAAAAGAAACTATATCCAATTCTAATTCTGCATTCTTTTATTCTCTAACTTATAGCTCTGGCTCTCAAACATTAAATCCTGTATCAGTAGACAGAGCTGCAGGTGTTAACAACCATTCCTGTAATCTTAAGTGAACTTAATGTGACTCTTAAATGCCCTCTAGTCCAGATGGTATGTTTCCTTTATTTGGTATTTTAATGTGGTAGTATATTTAAAACAAAGAACTATTTTTAGACTTGTTGGTCTAAACCACTTGTTGGCAAGTGGTTTTTACATCCAGGTATTTAGAAGAATGTTAGAAATGTTAATGTGAAAAGGATCATTATCAATCATCAGTTTTTTTGTTGTTGTTATTGAGTGTGTGCCAAACAGGAGGTGCTGGTATTCATGACTTTATTAGTTACACAATGCCAAGTATGGATTGCTGGATTTATCTATGGAAAATAGACAATATTTGTACCTTCTCAATACTTATAAAATAAATGATACAGTTATAAATTTTACATTTATCATATAAAGAGATGCCAAGTGGGTAAATTGGTCCATGAAGAAACTTTTCAAAGGAGTTAGGTAAGTTAAAAATTAGCTTATTGAATATAATACAACTAATAGAAATAATAGCAGCCATAATAACCATTTTTGTTTTCTATGTGTAAGGCAATGACCTAGTAATTGCACATATATTATCATAAATTTTTCATTCATGCTACAAAGTAACTATGAAACTTACTTAACATATAGGTAAATCAAACCTCAGGGACGCCAGGATACTTGCTCAAAATCACACTCCCGTCAAGCCAAGATGGCACCAGGTCTCTATGACTTTGAAACCAACATTCTTTCAACAGACTATTGCTGCTATAGTGCTGCATAGGCTGCTCAGTTGATTCTCTCTCTCTCTTTTTCACACACACACACACACACACACACACACACACACACAAACACACACCACTACTTAGTGAGACTTTCTCACTTGACAGAAATAAAATGGAAGACTCAGAAAGGAGAAAGAAGACCATAAGGCTGGTTGGTGGTAGTACTAAAATTGGAACCCAGCTGTCTACCTGAGCTCTTTCTTGTCTACCTGTCTCTCACCTATGATATATATAAATCCAAGCTGATTTCCCAGAAATCTAACCTGGAATGACTCTGTTTCCTCAATGGTTAGTTTTTTCTTATTCCAAGAATCCTAAGGCTGAGGAGAGGAGACAGAAACACTCCAATGCTGCTGAAGCAGAAGGAAAAGGGGAAGCAGAGCCCAGGGACTACAGTTCTGGCTCCAGCTCTTTAACCATCTGAACACCTGGGGAGGCACTCAGCCCCATGTGGTTCATCCCTTGTCTAAAAGTCAGGAAGAGAGAACATTCTTACCTACTTATGGGGTTGTTAGAGAGGTCAAATGAGGTGATAAATGGGTAAGTGCTTTGCAAATTCTGAAGCGCTATTGGGACTGTAACATTCCACAAGCTCAGGATCATATAAGAGTAACCCTATAAGAACAGTAAACACATTCTGTGCCCCCAACCCGTTATATTGGCCCATGTGAATTAAGCGAAACTATGGTGTATATTTTAATTGTGTCTGCTACACTCGCCTCTCCTTTTATTGCCATAGAGTTTATTTTAATATCTGTAGCACTTCTTAGACCAGGAGCAGGTGCAGCCTGTGAAAATGAGGGTAATAATCACCCCTTTCTATAGTGGGTAGAAGTGAAAGAATATGAATATGTCCAGTTTCCTATGCTTCAGAGGGACAATTGTGAAGCATACTCTACAAGATTCTTCAGTGAGTATGTGTAGGGTTGAACCACAGCTACTCACCTCAGTTTCCAACTTAACACCATAATCTTTCTTGACTGTTCCTTTTCTGTTGTCTCAATTATTGTCTCCCTATCTCTGTTTCATGGGATCTCTATCTGTGACAGTTAATTTTATATGTCAACTTGACTGGATAATGGGGTGCCCAGCTGTTTGGTTAAGCATGATTTCTCATTGTGTCTGTGAGGATTGTAAACCAAAAAGTATCTCAGACAGGTCTCAATCAATTCAGAGGTTTATTTTATCAAGATTAAAGGCCATGGCCCATGACTCAGCCTCAGTAAGTCCTGAGAACATGTGCCCATGGTGGCTGGGTTACAGATTGATATTTCACATTTTAGGGAGACAGAAGTTACAGGCAAAGAGACAAACCAACACATGTAAGGTATACATTGACTTGGCTCAGAAAGATAGAACATCTCAAAGGGGAGGGTTGGGGTGAGGGGTGGCTTCCAAGCCATAGGTGGGCTCAGAGATTTTCTAATTGGCAAGTGGTTGAAAGAGTTAAACTTTGCCTGAAGAGTTGAAGTCAGCTTGAGTTAAGATAAGCGGGAGTTGTAGAAGCTAAGGTTCTTGTTATGTATATGAAGCCCATAGGTAGCAGACTTCAGAGATAATAGATGCTTAATGGTTCTTATGGGACCTTGAAAGGTATCAGACTCTCCAGAAAAGACCTAGTAGGAGAAGATTCTCCACAGAATGCAATTTTCTCACTCAAGAGACAGCTGTATTAGTCTCTTCTCACATTGCCATAAAAAAACTACCTGAGACTGGGTAATTTACCAAAAAAAAAAAAAAAAGAGGTTTAATTGGCTCACATTCCACAGGCTGTACAGGAGGCATGGCTGGGTAGGCCTCAGGAGACTTACCATCATGGCAGAAGGGCAAAGGGGAAGCAAGCACATCTTCACATGGCAGCAGGAGAGAGAGAGAGAGAGTAAAGGAGGAAGTGCTATACACCTTCAAACAGCCAGATCTCATGAGAACTTCCTCACTATCATGAGAACAGCAAGGGGAAAATCAAACTCTTTGGTCCAATCACTTCCCACCAGGTTCCTTCCCCAACACTGGGGATTACAGTTCAACATGAGAGTTGGGTGGGGAGCCAAATCATAATAACAGCTTTGCTGGGGCATCACAAAATAAGTAAAAATAATATATTTGGGGTTAAACATTCTGATTTCCTTCAGAGCTTGCTATCTGTAATGTAATGCTGTACCAGAGTCAGTTTGGAAATGGGTGTCTTATTGCTACAGTCTGTTTTTCAGTCTTAACATGTTTTAATGTTAATGCTGGTCAGTTGTGTCTAAATTCCAAAGGGAGGAGGGAATAATGAGGTGTGTCTGACCTCCTCTTCTCTTCATGGCCTGAATTAGTTTTTCAGGTTTCATTGGGATCCCCTTGGCCAAGAAGGGTTCTGTTTAGTCAGTTGGGGGTTTAAAATTTTATTCTTGGTATACAGCCTGTTTCTGGATAACATTAATATTTGAATTAGAAGACTGAGTAAAGCAAATTTCTGTCTCCCCATGTGAGTATACCTTATCTAAACTTGTCTAACCCATTGAATGCCTAAATAGAATAAAAGGCTGAGTAAGACAAAATTTCCCTCTCTGCCTGATTCACCTGGGGTATAGTTATTCTCCTGCCTTTCGACTCTAACTCAGACTGAAACTACCCAGTTAGCTCTTCTGATTCTCAGGCTTTTAGACTTGGACTGGAACTACACCATTTGCTTTTCTGTGTCTCCAGCTTGCTGACTGCAGATCTTGGAATTCTCAGCCTCTGTCATCACATAAACCAAGCCATTAACTAAGACATATGAGTTGATGTTAAGCCCCTTATATTCTATCATCTTTGATTTCTTTTGTTTTAGGAAAAATTTTCATAACTTGTACCATGTGCTAGGCACTATAGTGGAGGATGCTGGAATATGACAGGCTTCTCCCCTTAAAGCCCTTGAAGACTAGAAAGGAAGACAGACATAGAAATAGACAATTGCGTACAGTGTAGTGAGGGCCACAGAAAAGGCAAATCTCCTTGGTCTCTGCAGCAGTGTCCATAACTGGATTCAGCTCCCATTATTAAATTTCTGGTCATGCTTCCTCAGCACAATCCCCCTCCCCCAGGCTTGGCACAGACTTCCAGCCAAGACATCTTTCCTAATGATATTTCTGGGCTCTTACACTGACGCAATGACAGCTGTGAAGAATGCTTCATCCCAGAAAGGTCAGGGAACAGCGTAATCCACAGACTAGCAGCCACTTTGCACAAAGCCCATTGCCGAAACACAGATTTTAACCTTTTGGATTTCTCTAAAGTTGGCTTCAGTTTCTGCACCCTGCCCAAGGCTGGCAGTGCTGAGGGAAAGGCGAAAATGGGAATTATGATGGGGCGGTCCCAATAACAGACTTCTTATCCTGTCCTGCCAACCTCTGCAAATGTTGCACTGGGTGCTTTGGACCTGTGTTTATTGGACAACGAATGTCTGATTAAAAGTGGCAATGCTGCAGCTCACACTACAACAAATGCATAAAAGTGAAGCATGGATATGCTAACCAGTGTCTTCCTTCATGCTGTGGGAACAGACAAAAGGATTCAGCTAGGGACCTAACCTGTCTAGGCAGACAAATCACTTTTCTTTTGGCTCTTCCACAAGTGAGTGTTAAATGACTGCTCTGAGGCAGACACTTCAATGGGCACTGAGCATGTGAAGGTAATGAGACTAAATCCACTTTCCTGGGGCTCCCATAGTCTGCTGAAGAAGTTGGATGCAACATCAGGTTGCAGGGCACCATGGCGTTCCTCTGTGAACAGCCTCTTAGGAAGGGACTGGGTCAAATGGTTTAGAGAAGAAGGTTTAGGTTTAGGTGTATCCACATTTGAATTCCAGTTTCAACACGTACTAGCTTCTCAGTGTAGACAGTGATTTCACCTCACTGAGCTTTAATCCTTCATCTGACAATGGGACAGCAGTGTGTTTACACAGTATGGTTATGGGATGATCTGTGGAAAGAGCTGGCACATGGTGTATCCAAGAGGAGGGGCATGTTGCTATCTCCATTTTGTACCTCCACCCTCCCTGCCCAAGGGTCCTGAGCTGCCCTCTCTGTGCTGCTCCTCTGCATCATAGCCACATCTGAGACTCTGTTTTGCCCTCAGCATTTCAGATTGTGACTGTCAACAGAAATTAAGTCATTTAACCCTCTAAGTCTCAGTTTCTCATCGGCAAAATGGAAATAAATAATCGTATTGAATTGCTATGAATGCTTAATAAGGCAATGGTTGAGAGAGTACTTTGTAAACTATGAAGCCCCCTAAATAGTTGTTCATTACCTATGTGAAGAGGCCCTCAGGAGGGAAGTAAAAGTGCTGAGGGAATTTTCCTGGGTTATAGGTGCAGCTGCTCCCTCTGGTCTGAGTTTTGTATTTTAGGGTTATATTGCATATGTTTTATTTTAAAAGATGTATTATTTTTTCATAATATGAAAGCAATGCATCCTTATAGTATTGCATTTAAAAACAGTTTATTGCAGCACTACTCACAATAGCAAAGATATGGAATCAACCTAAATGCCCATCAAGGATAGACTGGATAAAGGAAATATGGTACATATACACCGTAGAATGCTATGCAACCATAAGAAAGAATGAGATCATGTCCTTTACAGGGTCATAGATGGAGCTGGAGGCCATTATCCTTAGCAAACTAACATAGGAACAGAAAACCAAATACCACATGTTCTCATTTATAAGTGGGAGCTAAATGATGAGAACACATGGACACATAGAGGGGAACAACCCACACTGAGGCCTATTGAAGGGTGGAGGCTGGGAAGAGGGAGAGGATCAGGAAAAATAACTAATGGGTACTAGGCTTAATACCTGGGTGATAAAATAATCTGTACAACAAACCCCGTGAACCAAGTTCACCTATGTAACAAACCTGCACATGTATCCCTGAACTTAAAAGTTAAAAAGAGAAAAAAAGAAAAGTTAAGAAAACCAAAGCCTTCTTTTATTCCACTCTACTCATCACATCCTGATAACAGCTTTGTGTATTTCTTTCCATAAGCACTGTATGTTTGGGTTTGATCTGTCTTGGTTATCAGGTTGAATAGTGCTCTATTGGCCTGATTTAGAAAGCCCTGAAACCAGATGAGAGAGAACAGGAGAGAGAAGAGTGAAGTCAATGAAAGGAAGTGGGTAAACAGACAGCTCCTGGTCTTCAGTAAAGTGTAACTAATACTTATGTTTGAGATGTTTGAGCCCTTAATCTGAATATTAAAGGAGAAAGCACCAAGGAGGTGAGTGGTATGTCCTCCCTCCTGATAAAGAAGGTCCCTCGTCTACATGTTGCATCATCTGTTGTTATCTGGGCTCTGGGATGACACAGCTCGTCTCAGCATCAAAAAGTTGAAATGGTGCCTTTAGATTCTTTGTGCATGTCCTGCTTCTATAGTGGAGCAGACACTATTCTGCATTTCTGTGTCTTTCTGCAGGAAATGCTTCTTCACAAGCACACACACACACACATGCACACACACACACACACACCACACACACATGTTTATTCCTGAAAATAAAATAGATAATCCATGGCCTGAAGGAGCAATGTGGATCTTTGCACCAACGTCCACACTGTCCCACCCCACCCTGTTTCCCTACTCAGGAAGCCCACCCTGCTCTTGAGATATAAATAACCGACTACCCAAACAGTGAGAGAAGAAAGAGAAGATGGTGATTCTAGAGAAAATTCAAAATGGCACTTGCATCAAGCAGCAAGAAAAATAGTCACAGGAGTCACAGAAGAAACCATGCTGTTTCCTGCTAAGAGTGCTGAGGGTATGGAGAGTAAATCGGCAACTGTTGATGGAGTAATAATGGCAGCATCTTCTAGGAACAGGTGGTGGCTCACAGTCGCCATGGAGGGGCCCCTGAAACCACCCCCAACCAACACACATACACATACGTGAGCTTCTACTTTCCATCTTCTCTTCAGAGTGAGAGATTAGGATGCTGCACATAATCCACAAAGGAATGAGCTGCATGTGGTGTTGACCTTGACATGTTAGTCACCCATTGTCTCTGTTAATTCAATCTTTCTCTGTACCTGTATTGTCCTGTTTCTATCTGTTCCTGTTACCCCAGTGTGAGAGAGGAGGGATGAGCAGGTATGTTCTGTGCAACACATATTCCTGATATAGTAATATCAGATAATATGAGAGTTTCTGAAGCTACTTGCCTTGGAAGCGATCAGCAGGCAAGCCCAAAGAAGTAGTTCCATCTATTGCAAGCAAGGCTGGGATTCCCTGGACTACAGCAGATGACCACACTTTTGATTGTTATCTTTAAAAAACAATAACAACCACAGTTTGGAATTCTTCTCTCTTTGGAAGGCTAACTTCTTATAGTATGAGGAATAACCACTGCAGGGTATGACTAGGCATAGATTCTGGGCTAATGCTGCTACTGAGTTAAATGTGGAAACAAGTGACCCATTCGTATATCAAGACATTCAGGAAAGCAAGTGAGTTATGGAAAATATTTGTCTTTGAGTGAATGGGTTTAATATGCATATTTCTAAAGTCCCCCAAATCCACCCCCAACTTGCCTCCTCATGAGTGTTCAGGAATGACCCCTCACAGTGTTCAGTGTTGGGCCCAGCATCATCTTACCACCCTACAGCGTCTACTGCTGATGTCCATTGTGGGACTCTATCCTGCTGAACACAGCTATTCTGCCCTGGTGATCACTGTTTTATCTCTACCCAGCCCTGGGGAAGAGGGTGAGAGCTCTAATATGTCCACTCATAAAAATATACAGAAGTGACTTCATCTTCCTGGGTCTTTGCCTTCGCATCCTCCACGCTAAAATACAGAAAATACCAATGAGTGGCATTTATTGAACATTCATTCTGTACAGGCTCTTTCCCAAGCATTTGCAAGTATTAACTCATTTAATCCTTTTCTTAGAGTTGTGGTAAAGATTAAGTGAATCAATACATGTAAGTGCTTAGGACATTGCACAGAATACAGTAAATGCTCGTTTTCTGCTATGACTGCTACTCTAACTACTATAACTTCTTTTGTGGTTTTTGTATTAGCTTACTAGAGATGGCATAACAAAGTACCACAGATGGGGTAGCTTAAAAAACACATGTTCATTTTCTCACAGTTCTGGAGGCTGAAAGGTCCTGGATAGGGATGTTGGTAGGGTTGATTTCTTCTAAGGCCTCTCTGCTTGTAGATGGCTACCCTCTCCTTCCTGTGTCTTTACAGGATCTTCCCTCTGTCTGTGCCCAAATTATATCTTCTTATAAGAACACCAGTCATATGGTGTTAGGGCCCCCCCAATGACCTCATATTAATTTAATTACCTCTTTAAAGGCACCATTTCCAAATATGGTAACATTCTGAGGTGATGGAATTTAGGGCTTCAACACAGCAATTTTGTGAGGACACAATTCAGCTCTTAACAGATGCAGTATATGCCTTTGCCATAAGTTCCTACTGTGAGACTCTAGAGATGACTTTACATTGAGATTGCAATGAAAGTTGAGATGGCAAATGATAGATAAAGAAAGGGAATATAGAAAATGATTTAAAATTTAACATGGACCAGGCACAGTGGCTCACGCCTGTAATCCCAGCACTTTGGGAGGCCGAGGCGGGCAGATCACCTGAGGTCAGGAGTTTGAGGCCAGCCTGGCCAACATGGCAAAACCTTGCGTCTACTAAAAATACAAAAAAATTAACCGGGTATGGTGGCAGGTATCTGCAATTCCAGCTTCTCAGGAGGTCGAGGCAAGAGAATCGCTTGAACCCAGAAGGTGGAGGTTGCAGTGAGCTGAGATTGCGCCACTGCACTCCAGCCTGAGTGACAGAGCAGGGACTCCATCTCAAAAAAAAAACCAAAAACCAAAAAACAAAACAACAACAAAAAAACTTAAAACGACTTAAAAACCATGTAGCTATGTTTAACATCCCCAGACCACCTTGAGGAGGTCCCTAAAGACTGACTCCATTTCATCCCTGCAGCCTATTACCTTCTTATCTTTTGTCTTCTAGTTAGTTGGTACTAATATACGTCCATGAGGCTGCAGAGAAAAAGAAAAAATACTGTTTTCTCATAGTATCTTATAGTCATCTTCCCCAGTTGTGATTCTTCAGCTCAGACAATACAACTTCCCAGAATGATGAAGAGGATGAGTGTCCATTTCCTTCAAGAAAAATCCATCTGGATTTTATTCTTTGGCCCCAACAATGCTATCCTAGTAAAACTTAGATCATTCTGAATTATTCTTTAATTCAACATAACTATCAATGTGAAACATACTTCTACATGTAGTTCATATTCCATTCCTATCTTTGGAAAATTGTTTTATATTACTATTTTTTATTTTCTGCATCTGAGTTCTTTTTCTTCAAACCTGTTTTCCTGTTCCTAAAAATGTTTTCAGTCATGCTATTTAACTTTTTTTAGTATTGCTCTTGTTGCTTCAAATGTGGCTGACATTTTTTGCAGCAGTTTTATATTTCTCGTTCACTTTTAAATATCTATTCTCTCTCACTCTTTAACCTCCTTCTATTGCACTGTCAGTTTCGTTTTCCTTAAATCTCTAAGATGTATTCTTTGGGATATTCTTTTTTAAGGAAACTGTTTTCAAATGATTCTGGTGACTGATTCTTTGCTGTTTTCTGGAGTAATTCTGAGAAGTTTCAGATGTATTATTTTGCTTACATTCCTTTCATCAATATTATTATTATTTTAATTTCATATTTGATACATACGCTCTTAGCCACTTATTTTCTATTACATGTGTTTGAAACGTGTAGAGATCAGTTTCTTCTGAGCCAGTTATTTGCTCTCAGCAAGTGGGAAAGCTGGCAGAAGGCAAAGGGCTGAGAAAGTCAACAGCTTACATTTTGATTAATGGTCTCAGCCATTATTCAAACAATGCCCTTTGGCCTGAGGGCATGTGTTTCCCCAGTTTGAACATTCAAAAGTTTTTAGAGCTCACGGTGAAGTTCTGGAAGTCACAGTTTTTCTCTGTTATCTGATTTTCTACCCTCTTCCAGATTGTCTCTAGGTGGCTACTTCAACAATACTATTGCTAATGAAGTTGGCATGTTTTCTGGCTTCCTTCTGCTTCATTTCCCAAGCTTCTCTGTGGTCTCTTCTATCCATTCAGCCTTCTTATACATCTTCATCTTGTATGCTAATGAAAAGATAATTGGAGGGGTCTTTCCACACTATGGCATTTATTTCAGAGAAATTTACCCCTACCCATATGCTTGAAAAGTCTCCCATTGTCCCCCATTTTCACATGCTTTCTTTCAGGTATCATTTATAGTTTGTTATCTGTAGCTGTGGTTAGTGTATTGTGCTATTAAACAGGAGATGATATTCTCATTTTTTATTTTTTTAAATTATTTTGTCGAGTGTCAAGGGAGGAAAGTGGCCACAGATGTCTTTAATTCACCGTATTTAATTAGCCCAACCAGTCATTCTTACACATAATTCCTTTGTTTTAAAATAACATGACTCTCAAATAAGTTTATTTCTATTGAGGTGTTTATGTAATGCCACATTTCTTCCCATCAAGGCACTTAGTCTATTCAAAATGAGTGGCTTCATAAATGATAATACTAGACATGAAAAATCAATGGCCATGTCTATTTAGAGGAACATGAAGAGAAGGTGCTATTTTTTCCTCAGTCTTTCATGGTATAATGAAAACTATAAGCTTAAAGAAAGCAGGAGCTTTCTTTTTTTTATTTGCCATAAAACCAGTCCTTAAGTTAATGCATGGGACATAGTAAGTTCTTCATAAATTTATGTTGAATTTGTGAATTACATCCATGCCTATAGGTCTTTACTGACATCTTAGCTCTACATTGACTGCAAACAACTTCTCAAAGAAAAAACAACAAATACAGTACTACAATGTACAAGAGAAATTATAAGATTAGATTAATCTAAAATCACACACACACACACACACACACACACACGCACGCACACACACACAAATAAGCTTTTGGTCCAAAGAAGCAACTTGGTTTCCGAAGTCTGAGTTCTGCAAAACAAAGAAATAGTTTGGTCCAAGGTTCAACTTAATTTATGTCCAATCAGAGAACAGATAGTGCTTACCACTTTTAGGTAATACATTTTTTCAGCTTTTATTTCCATTAATATTAAAGAAAAAACTTGCAGAATACGTACCTTATCACAAGCATTTTTAAAGCAAATAACTGGCCGGGTGCGGTGCCTCATGCCTGTAATCCCAGCACTTTGGGAGGCCAAGGCAGGTGGATCACAAGGTCAGGAGTTTCGGACCTGCCTGGCCAATATGGTGAAACCCCGTCTCTACTAAAAATATAAAGATTAGCGGGCGTGATGGCGGGCGGCTGTAGTCCCAGCTACTTGGGAGGCTGAGGCAGGAGAATAGCTTGTACCAGGGAGGCGGAGGTTGCAGTGAGCCGAGATGGCGCCACTGCACTCCAGCCTGGGCAACAAGAGTTGAAACTCTGTCTCAAAACAAACAAACAAACACCACAAATAACTGTTGGAGTTGCAGTCAACATAGGTTCTGATGATTGGGGGAATAGTAAATAAACCATGTATGCTATGAACCATGGAATACTGTATAGCACTTAGAAGCAACATGCTGGAGATGTTCATAGCAACATGACTACATTTTCAAAACGTAGTGCCCGGTAAGAAAATGGAAAAAAGAGCCGGACCCGGTGGCTCACGCCTGTAATCCCAGCCCTTTGGGAGGCTGAGGTGGGAGGATCACCTGGGGTTAGGAGTTTGAGACCAGCCTGGCCAACATGATGAGACCCTGTCTCTACTAAAAATGCAGAAGTTAGCTGGGCATGGTGGCACACACCTGTAGTCGCAGTTACTTGGGAGGCTGAGGCAGGATAATTGCTTGAACCCAGGAGACAAAGGTTGCAGTAAGCCAAGATCACACCATTGCACTTCAGCCTGGGCGACAGAGCGAGACTCTGTCAAAAAAAAAAAAAAAAAAGGAAAAGAAAATGGAAAAAAGAACAAAATAAGATCTATAGCTCACTATCATATAATGTAAGTAAAATGTTAAACATATAGAACAACAACAATATCCACCACAATCTGTAAGAACCCATACACATGAAAGGACAGAAGTAAAATAAGACTAGAATGGTTGGTTTTGTAAAAGGAGGAGATAAGAATGGACAATGATGCTCAGCAAACTAACACAGGAACAGAAAACCAAACACTACATGTTCTCACTCATAAGTGGGAGTTGAACAATAAGAACACACGGACACAGGGAGGGAAACATCACACACTGGGGCCTGTTAGGGTGTGGGGGGGCAAGGGGAGGGAGAGCAATAGGACAAATACCTAATGAATGTGGGGCTTAAAACCTAGATGACGGGTTGATGGGTGCAGCAAACCACCATGGCACATGTATACCTATGTAACCAATCTGCACTTTCTGCACATGTATCCCAGAACCTAAAGTAAAAAAAAAAATGGAGAATGATAAAATGTAATAAATAAATAAATACAGCCAGATTGTATTTATCAATGGAATCAACAATAATCTGGGGAGTATGACAAATTCAACGTAATGCAATGTGAGGTTAAAAATACATAAATTAATAGGATGCAGGAAGGTATATTATGAAAACTAACAGGATCAGAGGCTGCAAAGAAAGGACCTACAATATTTCATAGGAAATGTGATACAGAGGATGATGGAGAATGAAGGGTAAAAATAACCTCAACAATTACACCTGCAGAGGTGTATAAAAAGAAAAACAACTTCCAAGTTATTCTTCTATTCACCAAGTGTTGTTATACATTAGAAAGAACTACATGGATGTCTATATTGTTCCAAACAAATCTGAAATACTAGGTTTGTAAACTGTGACCTGTGTGGGCAGAAGTACAAATACAGTAACGTAGGGGAGTAGATATCAGGAGTATCAGCTTTATCTCTCGGGACGCTAAGGCAAGACTGCAGCCTTGAGGGAGAGGAGGAAAAGCAGAGAAAGCTATCCAGAGCAGGGGTATCTAGGGACCCAGTCACAGATAATAAAGTGAAAGATAAGGAAGGGCTTACCATGGGAGCCAGGTAGTGGGGTTGCGGTTTCACAATATTCATAGACCCAAAGACAGGCAGGAAGTGGGGTCTTTGTTTCTTTTCCACATTTCTTTCTAGGGATAAAAATTCTATTGAATGTAGTAAAATATTATTTTTTGTTTAAATATTTATTATGAGAGTAATATTTGTTTATTACGTGACATTTTAAAAGTAAAGAAATGCAGAGAGAAGAAAAAACTGTTCATAATCCAATGAACTACCATTATCATTTCAATATGTATTTTTTTTTCTGGTCTTTTCCAGGTATAAAGCTACTTTACAAAGTTATAAAATATGCTTGCATGCTATTTTTTTCTGATTTAACATGATAATTTCAGCATTTTGTCAAATAACAATACACTTTTCACAAACATCTATTTTACAATCTAAATAACATTGCATTGAAGTACATAAACAAAATTTACATAACTCTTCTCATTTTATTGTCTTAGGATATTTTTTCTCATAATATAAACTAATGACTCTTCTCTGTACTTAGAGATTTATTTTTTCCATATTTCATAATATTTCCTTAGGAGAGATTTCCAGAAGTAAAATTGTTAAGAACAAAGATGATAAACATTTTAAGGATATTGACATATGTAGTAAAGTTACTTCTAAGAAAGGCTGGGCCAGTGTATACCATCACCAGCAGAGGATGTAGGTGCCTGAGGACACGTTTGAGCAGTTGCTATATTAGGTCAGAAATTCCCAATCTTTTTTGTTTGTAAAAAATCATATGAGCAGCTTGTTAAACCCCAGGTTTCAGACACAACTCATATACAACCTGATTCAGTATATCTCATGTTTGCAGCTTTAACAAGTAACCCAATGTGACTAACGTAAGAATTACAAAGAATACATGTTAAAAATTCCATTTTGAGATATTACTGGGGAGCCTTTTATGTAGGATTTGTTTCTATAGCTAATGAGATGTTATGAATCCAGAAATCCCCTGTTTTCAATAAAACATGTAAACTTTAAGATTCAGATCACTCTACCTTGTGTTTTACCCTGAACCTGCACGGTTAATTTTTCCTGGATGAGCCCAAATCACATAGCTCTTAATTAAATGCTGATTTCATGAACATAATGTAGAATTTTAAAAAATTGTTACATTACTAGCTAAGCAAAAATGCTAGTGAAAGTTTGCCAAGGGCCAACATTTTTTGGTAGGAGAAAAAATATCCATAGAAGAAAAAGAAATGACACTTGAAGCATCTGGGACTTCAACATGTTCTGCATCTTGGAGCCACTTCTCTCCAAATATGTCTCCCTGTCTCCTCTCCTGGCCCTATTTAATAACAATACACAGGGGTTCCAGGAGTGACTAGGGTACCTGTGTCTAGTGACCTATGTGAGTCTTCCTCCTGTACAGCAGAACAGTTTATTTTCTTCCATTTTCTTAGCAAAGTCGCCCACTTAGGGTCCTTACCAGTTGCTAGTGGTTGGGAGCTGTCTATGGTCCTGTCTGGATTGAAGCTGGCATACAGAGAAGAAGAAGCAGGATTAGGAAATGGAGAAGCAGCTCTAAAGGTATTTAAGTCCTTTGTTCTGGATTTTTCTTATATCCATCTGTTTTCTTGTCTTTCCATCAGCTTAGAGCTATTCTATGGGGTACCCTAATATCAATAAATAATTTCTTTTTAATTTATAAGCTTATTAGAGTTGGGTTTTTATGACTTGCAGGTGGGATACTTTTAATTCACTCATCAACACAGTCACACTTGCTTCCAGAGCCTGTTGGCCACACTACTGGGCTTTATGGAAAATGAGAGTAGAGGGTGTTTGGGGTGAAAGTGGGTGTTTGCTGTTGTTAGTAAGCCCTGTGACAGAGTGGAAAGTGCTAAGTTTTTTTGAGTCATACAGGTAGGGATTAAATCCTAATTCTCCTACCTCATAGTTGTATGGACTTCAGTGAGTTGTTAACTTCTCTAAGCCTCCATTTCCTTCCTATATAAAATTGGGATATTTTATCTTACATGACTTTACAGTTTTAGTGAGATTTTATGTACAAGTGCCGACGATGGAGCCCTTGGTATAGCAGGTGCTTCATATGACCCACTCTGAGTTGTAGCTCTAGCATCTTTCTTCAAATGATGACTTTGAAGTCTGTATTTCTTCTGCTTCTATAAAGTTTGCCTTACCTAGCACCTCTGAAACCAAACATTCTTTATTTCTTCCTTTCATAACCAAAACTAGATTTATTGAAGTGAAGGCAGGAATAATCAAGTTTTTAAATTGGCTTTGGAAAATTTGTTATCTAATAATCATTTTCCTAGGGTGTGATTCTCTCTGAATAGTCAAGTTCACTTATGGAATAGAATGATTATGGGTAATCCCATGAGAAAAAAAATCTCTTGTTTTCTACCACATTTTAATTCTACACACTTTTCTGTGCATTATCTCATTCAAGCTTCATAACATCCCTCCAAGATAGTTAATGAGAATATTATCATACTAATAAATAGAAGTCAAAACTGAGGCTCTCCCACTCGTTAATTTTCTCAGAATTAATATTGCTTTGTTGGGCCAGGCACTATCTTAGGTATTGGGGATCGACGAAAAGAATACTAAGTTGTGGTCTCAGCCTTCCAAAACCAGGGTGGAGGAGAGAAAAATAAATAGAAAGTATAGCTTGCAGTTATGGGGGAGTTAGGGGCCCACCCGGGGTTCACATTACCAAGAGCTCACACTGCAGAAGAGCAAGGAAGCCAGATTTGAAATAAATGATGTTGCTTCAGGATCAGAACTAAAGCTAAAGATGAAAAATGATGGCTCTTTCTGATATTTAATATTTGTTGTGCCATGGGAGACAGATTTGATACTGTGTGTTCTGGTTAATCTAATATTCCACGTAATTGTGAATTCTGCAGACTATATGATAATTAAAGTTTTGAAAAAATCAAATAGAAAAAAATGTAACAAACCACTTTTGGTTCTGGCCTTTAGAGATGTTTTTCCGAACATCAATTTGCATCATAATGTAAACTAGAAAGTCAGTAAGGTCTAGGGTGGTAATTAAAAGTAAGGGCTGTGAGATCACGCTGCCTGTATTAAAATCCTGGCTCTGTCCCATGCTGGGAAAAACTACTTAACAACTCTGTGCCTTGGTTTTCTCATTTTAAATGGAGATAGTGATGATATCTACTTCATAGAGTTTTTGTGAGCATAAAGGAGGTAATTAATCCACAGCCTTTGGCATAGTGCCTGGAACATGGAAGACACTCAATAATGTGTTAGTGCTTGAAGAAGTGGTGGTTCATGATGGAAAAAAGGGTTCGTAGGGCCCAGCACAAAGTGATCTTAGTTCTGATTGTGCTTCTCTGGAACCTTCCTCAGTCCTATTATTCCAACAGTTAGGAAGATCCCTAAAGCCTGGGTTACTGCACTGGTAGTACAGGCAGAAAACAGTAAGATGACAAGGGTGTAGCAATTCCTCCCATTCCCACCATCTTCCTTACGAAATAAGGCTCTCTGGCTGTAAGAGCAGTTAGCCTACCTAATCCTGCAAGTGGGAGCTTCACAGCCTAGCACAGTGTCCCAGATGTGGTTCCAGAGGGTTTCATTACATCCTTATCTCCTTAGGAATAGATAACCAAGCAGCCCATCGAAAAAATTTTGGAAAACCTTAGTCATTTTAAGGAGTAACTTAAGAGCCAATTCATTCACATTAATAGCTCATAGTTATTAATTAGTAGGACCAATTAGTAGGCAAATTTAATGACCCAAGATGGAAGAAGTTAAAATTCAGCTTTTTGAGTTAGGTATTGCTTAAATGACTTACGTCTATTACACAAAGAAAAAGAGTCTTAACCCCTTGAAAAAATTAATTGTGCACTACTAATCTCCTTTATCCATATCAATTTCCTAATTTAATGCTGTTTACATTATTGAACACTTCATGAAGGCTAGCAGTGCAAAGTCTACTCATAGAAAGCTTTCCCACCATGATGCTTATCTCAGAGTACTCAAGACCACATAAATCTGCTTGAGCCTTAATTATGAAGCCAATGGCAATTAGAGATACTTCAGAATGTTATTTTTTTTTTGGGTTCAATTTATTTATCTTTCATAGGGACAAAAATAAATGTTACTTTTTTTTTCAGATGGAGCCTCATTCTGTTGCCAGGCTGGAGTGTGGTGGCACAATCTTGGGTTAAGTCACATGCTCAAAGGCCACTTAGCTGGTTAGTGACTGTGCTGGGACTTGCCTACCACCAAAGTTTCTGCTCCTTTTACACTGTGGCTTAGTTCCCTGCTGCATGTGTTGTGTTCTGGTGCCTAAGACATTGCCTAGAAAATGGCAGGCACTCAACAAGCATCTGTCAAGTGGACGATGTACAGCACCCACACCAGCTTCATCCTCCCTTTGTTGTCACTAGCTCTCTCACTGGAACAGGGTTGACAGGTGGTCATCCCTGCTCACCTGTCCACATTTGCTCTGTTTCTGCATCAATCTTAAACAGATAAAGAAAAGGTCCTTAATCTCAGCCCTATCAGCTGATAAGGGCTGGATATTTCTTCGCACAAAAACGAAGATTTCCCTATCACGGAAAAGGACTCTAGAAACTGTAAAACCCCAGAATTGTAGTGTTTCAAATTCATTTCCCAGTGGGACACTCAAAACAAGACTCATGCTTCCTCTCTGGTTTTCCTTTCCAAAGAGGCACACGTGTGCTCTGAAGTGCTCTTCTACATGACAAACACAAAAATAATTGACATCAACTGGGCCTGAGTTTGCATTCTGGTTCTCCACTTGGGGCTTATTAGTGTGAGCAAAGAAATCAAATTTTTGGAATGTTTTTCCCATCTGTAAATTTTCTGATTGTGTCTAGCATATAGGGCTAAAGTTTTTTTTTTTTTTTTTTTTTTTTTTGAGATGGAGTCTAGCTGTATTGCCAGGCTGGAGTGCGGTAGTGTGATCTCGGCTCACTGCAACCTCTGCCTCCTGGGTTCAAGCAATTCTCCTGCCTCAGCCTCCCGAGTAGCTGGGACTACAGGCGTGTGCCACCATGCCCAGCTAAATTCTGTATTTTTAGTAGAGACAGGGTTTCACCATGTTGGCAAGGATGGTCTCAATCTCTTGACTTCGTGATCCACCAGCCTCAGACTCCCAAAGTGCTGGGATTACAGGTGTGAGCCACTGCACCTGGCCTACTTTTTTTTTTTTTTCTAATTTACCTGTTTACATGAAATCTATTTGTAACTATAATGTTCAATTTTTTTAATTTTGTTTTTGTTGTCAGATATATAACATTGTCTTTACTGGAAAACATACCATGGCACTCGCATTTCCAATCAAAATAATCTCCCTTTTCTTGAAAACCAAGTAAAAATATCACTTTTCCTTGATATTCATGGCTTTATCAGTAGTACAAGCTTGTATGTTTTCACTTCCTGATAAAATATTTCTGACGAGGAGAGATACCCTTATCTATGAAATTATATATTGTAATTCAGCAAATACTTTATCTTCTGGAACATGAGTTTAATTGGCATATTTAGGCTTGGGCAATTCTTGCTAGATTAATTCAGATTAAGATCCCCAAGGTTTTGCTTTTATGCCAATCTCTTGAAGGAAAAAAAAAATCTGTTCTAACTTCTCCCAAAGTGTTTTGACTTTTTGCAAGCTGTATAACAATGGTTTTATTCAAATTGATGCAAATTTGAAAAGCCCTTGACATTTTCCCTTAACCAGGCATTAAAAAGAATCCAAGCAGCAGGTGCTGGGCTTTATGCAACCAGCCATCAAATGAGCTTCCTATTTTCTTTTTCTTAAGTTTCCAGCAAACTCTGAACTCACTTTACAGTCTAGAGAAATAGGCCATTGATTCAGCAGCACATAAAACCAACTGAGTTTTTGCCCTGAAGTAGAATGTTCGGCAGATGTTTCTGTGGCGATTGGAGGAGCATCCTAAAGCAGATTGTCAAGGACACTCTGGAATAACAGCTGCTATAAATCAAATTCTTCCCTCTTCTTCCCTCTCCTGCTCAACTTCATCTATTAACTGTAAAATAATGACAACTAAAACTCTTCAACGAGTACCATGAGTACTACAAGGACTTGCATTTACTGCAAAGCCTGTAAAACTCCAATCTAGTGTTTAATAAGGTGGGAGGAGAAGCGGGGGAGAATTCCCACAAAGTTAGAAGTTTATGGAATTCGTTACTGGAAAGTTTCACTGTGTGAAGTTTATAGACTTGTGATTTGATGCCTGCTAACGTTAAGCTCCTGGTGCTTTTTGTTATTTGTATTTGGTTTTTTGTTTTGTGATAAGGTTGGAATGTTTATCCCCTCTAAAACTCATGTTGAAATTTAATTTCTATTGTAACAGTGTTAAGAAGTGAGACCTTTAAGAGGTCATTAGGTCATCAGGGCTCTATTCTCCTGGGTGGGATTGGCGACTTTATAAAAGGGCTAGATTCGTCCACCCTTGCCCTCTTACCTTCTACCATGTGATGATGCACCAACAAGGCCCTTGCCAGACGCTGGCACCTTGTTCTTAGACTTCCCAGCCTCCAAAACTGTGAGTCAATAAATGTATATTCACTGTAAATAATGCAGTACCAGGTATTTTGCTATAGTAGCACAAAATGAACTAAGAATATTTTATTTTTAGTGTTTTGGGTGGTACTACTGATTTCTTTTTCCTTTGTGATCTTTTTATTTTTTATTTTATTATACTTTAAGTTTTAGGGTACATGTGCAAAATGTGCAGGTTTGTTACCTATGTATACATGTGCCATGTTGGTGTGCTGCACCCATTAACTCGTCATTTAGCATTAGGTATATCTCCTAATGCTATTCCTCCCCCTTCCCCCGACCCCACAACAGTCCCCGGTGTGTGATGTTCCCCTTCCTGTGTCCATGTGTTCTCGTTGTTAATTCCCACCTATGAGTGAGAACATGCGGTGTTTGGTTTTTCGTCCTTGAGATAGTTTGCTGAGAATGATAGTTTCCAGCGTCACCCATGTCCCTACAAAGGACATGAACTCATCATTTTCATGGCTGCATAGTATTCCATGGTGTATATGTGCCACATTTTCTTAATCCAGTCTATCATTGTTGGACATTTGGGTTGGTTCCAAGTCTTTGCTATTGTGAATAGTGCCGCAATAAACATACGTGTGCATGTGTCTTTATAGCAGCATGATTTATATCCTTTGGGCATATACCCAGTAATGGGATGGCTGGGTCAAATGGTATTTCTAGTTCTAGATCCCTGAGGAATCACCACACCAACTTCCACAATGGTTGAACTAGTTTACAGTCCCACCAACAGTGTAAAAGTGTTCCTATTTCTCCACATCCTCTCCAGCACCTGTTGTTTCCTGACTTTTTAATGATTGCCATTCTAACTGGTATGAGATGGTATCTCATTGTGGTTTTGATTTGCATTTCTCAATGGCCAGTGATGATGAGCATTTTTTCATGTGTTTTTTGGCTGCATAAATGTCTTTTGAGAAGTGTCTGTTCATATCCTTCGCCCACTTGTTGATGGGGTTGTTTTTTTCTTGTAAATGTGTTTGAGTTCATTGTAGGTTCTGGATATTAGCCCTTTGTGAGATGAGTAGGTTGCAAAAATTTTCTCCCATTCTGTAGGTTGCCTGTTCACTCTGATGGTGTTTTCTTTTGCTGTGCAGAAGCTCTTTAGTTTAATTAGATCCCATTTGTCAATTTTGGCTTTTGTTGCCATTGCTTTTGGTGTTTTAGACATGAAGTCCTTGCCCATGCCTGTGTGCCTGTGTCCTGAATGGTATTGTCTAGGTTTTCGTCTAGGGTTTTTATGGTTTTAGGTCTAACATGTAAGTCTTTAATCCATCTTGAATTAATTTTTGTATAAGGTGTAAGGAAGGGATCCAGTTTCAGCTTTCTACATATGTCTAGCCAGTTTTCCCAGCACTATTTATTAAATAGGGAATCCTTTCCCCATTTCTTGTTTTTGTCAGGTTTGTCAAAGATCAGATAGTTGTAGATAATGTGGCATTATTTCTGAGGGCTCTGTTCTGTTCCATTGGTCTATATCTCTGTTTTGGTACCAGTACCATGCTGTTTTTGTTACTGTAGCCTTGTAGTATAGTTTGAAGTTAGGTAGCATTTGTTCTTTTGGCTTAGGATTGAGTTGGCAATGCAGGCTCTTTTTTGGTTCCATATGAACTTTAAAGTACTTTTTTCCAATTCTGTGAAGAAAGTCATTGGTAGCTTGATGGGGATGGCATAGAATCTATAAATTACCTTGGGCAGTATGGCCATTTTCACGATATTGATTCTTCCTATCCATGAGCATGGAATGTTCTTCCATTTGTATCCTCTTTTATTTCACTGAGCAGCAGTTTGTAGTTCTCCTTGAAGAGGTCTTTCACATCCCTTGTAAGTTGGATTCCTAGGTATTTTATTTTCTCTTTGAAGCAGTTGTGAATAGGAGTTCACTCATGATTTGGCATTCTGTTTGTTTGTTATTGGTGTATAAGAATGCTTGTGATTTTTGCATATTGATTTTGTATTCTGAGACTTTGCTGAAGTTGCTTATCAGCTTAAGGAGATTTTGGGCTGAGATGATGGGGTTTTCTAGATATACAATCATGTCATCTGCAAACAGGGACAATTTGACTTCCTCTTTTCCTAATTGAATACCTTTTATTCCCTTCTCCTGCCTGATTGCCCTGGCCAGAACTTCCAACACTATGTTGAATAGGAGTGGTGAGAGAGGGCATCCCTGTCTTGTGCCAGTTTTCCAAGGGAATGCTTCCAGTTTTTGTCCATTCAGTATGATATGGCTGTGGGTTTGTCATAGATAGCTCTTATTATTTTGAGATACGTTCCATCAATACCTAATTTATTGAGAGTTTTTAGCATGAAGGGTTGTTGAATTTTGTCAAAAGCCTTTTCTGCATCTATTGAGATAATCATGTGGTTTTTGTCTTTGGCTCTGTTTATATGCTGGATTATGTTTATTGATTTTCATATGTTGAACCAGCCTTGCATCCCAGGGATGAAGCCCACTTGATCATGGTGGATAAGCTTTCTGATGTGTTGCTGGATTCAGTTTGCCAGTATTTTATTGAGGATTTTTGCATCAATGTTCATCAAGGATATTGGTCTAAAATTCTCTTTTTTTATTGTGTCTCTGCCAGGCTTTGGTATCAGGATGATGCTGGCCTCATAAAATGAGTTAGGGAGGATTCCCTCTTTTTCTATTGATTGAAATAGTTTCAGAAGGAATGGTACCAGCTCCTCCTTGTACCTCTGGTAGAATTCAGCTGTGAATCCATCTGGTCCTGGATTCTTTTTGGTTGGTAAGCTATTAATTATTGCCTCGTTTTCAGATCCTGTCATTGGTGTATTCAGAGATTCAACTTCTTCCTGGTTTAGTCTTGGGAGAGTGTGTGTGTCGAGGAATTTATCCATTTCTTCTAGATTTTCTAGTTTATTTGCGTAGAGGTGTTTATAGTATTTTCTGATGGTAGTTTGTATTTCTGTGGGATCGGTGGTGATATCCCCTTTATCATTTTTTATTGCGTCTATTTGATTCTTCTCTCTTTTCTTCTTCATTAGTCTTGCTAGCAGTCTATCAATTTTGTTGATCTTTTCAAGAAACCAGCACTTGGATTCATTGATTTTTTGAAGGGTTTTTGTGTCTCTATTTCCTTCAGTTCTGCTCTGATCTTAGTTATTTCTTGCCTTCTGCTAGCTTTTGAATGTGTTTGCTCTTGCTTCTCTAGTTCTTTTAATTGTGATGTTAGGGTGTCAATTTTAGAACTTTCCTGCTTTCTCTTGTGGGCATTTAGTGCTATAAATTTCCCTCTACACACTGCTTTGTATGTGTCCCAGAGATTCTGGTATGTTGTGTGTTTGTTCTCGTTGGTTTCAAAGAACATCTTTATTTCTGCCTTCATTTCGTTATGTACCCAGTAGTCATTCAGGAGCAGGTTGTTCAGTTTCCATGTAGTTGAGCAGTTTTGAGTGAGTTTCTTAATCCTGAGTTCTAGTTTGATTGCACTGTGGTCTGAGAGACAGTTTGTTATAATTTCTATTCTTTTACATTTGCTGAGGAGTGCTTTACTTCCAACTATGTGGTCAGTTTTGGAATAGGTGTGGTGTGGTGCTGAAAAGAATGCATATTCTGTTGATTTGGGGTGGAGAGTTCTGTACATGTCTATTAGGTCTGCTTAGTGCAGAGGTGAGTTTAATTCCTGTATATCCTTGTTAACTTTCTGTCTTGTTGATCTGTCTAATGTTGACAGTGGGGTGTTAAAGTCTCCCATTATTATTGTGTGGGAGTCTAAGTCTCTTTGTAGGTCACTAAGGACTTGCTTTATGAATCTGGGTGCTCCTATATTGGGTGCATATATATTTAGGATAGTTAGTTATTCTTGTTGAATTGATCCCTTTACCATTATGTAATGGCTTTCTTTGTCTCTTTTAATCTTTGATGGTTTAAAATCTGTTTTATCCGAGACTAGGATTGCAACCCCTGCTTTTTTTGTTTTCCATTTGCTCGGTAGATCTTCCTCCATCTCTTTATTTTGAACCTTTGTGTGTCTCTGCATGTGAGATGGGTTTCCTGAATACAGCACACTGATGGGTCTTGACTCTTTATCCAATTTGCCAGTCTGTGCCTTTTAATTGGAGCATTTAGCCCATTTACATTTAAGGTTAGTATCGTTATATGTGAATTTGATCCTGTCATTATGATATTAGCTGGTTAGTTTGCTCATTAGTTGATGCAGTTTCTTCCTAGCCTTGATGGTCTTTACATTTTGGCATGTATTTGCAGCGGCTGGTACCGGTTGTTCCTTTCCATGTTTAGTGCTTCCTTCAGGAGCTCTTTTAGGGCAGGCCTGGTGGTGACAAAATCTCTCAGCATTTGCTTGTCTGTAAAGTATTTTATTTCTCCTTCACTTAAGAAGCTTATTTTGGCTGGATATGAAATTCTGGGTTGAAAATTCTTTTCTTTAAGAATATTGAATATTGCCCCCCACTCTATTCTGGCTTGTAGAGTTTCTGCTGAGAGATCAGCTCTTAGTCTGATGGGCTTCCCTTTGTGGGTAACCTGACCTTTCTCTCTGGCTGCCCTTAACATTTTTTCCTTCATTTCAGCTTTGGTGAATCTGACAATTATGTGTCTTGGAATTGGTCTTCTCGAGGAGTATCTTTGTGGCATTCTCTGTATTTCCTGAATTTGAATGTTGGCCTGCCTTGCTAGATTGGGGAAGTTCTCCTGGATAATATCCTGCAGAGTGTTTTCCAACTTGGTTCCATTCTTTCCGTCACTTTTAGATACAGCAATTAGATGTAGATTTGGTCTTTTCACATAGTCCCATATTTCTTGGAGGCTTTGTTCATTTCTTTTTATTCTTTTTTCTCTAAACTTCTCTTCATGCTTCATTTCATTCATTTCGTTTTCCATCGCTGATACCCTTTCATCCAGTTGATCGCATCAGTTACTGAGGCTTGTGCATTCGTCACGTAGTTCTTGTGCCTTGGTTTTCAGCTCAATCAGGTCCTTTAAAGACTTCTCTGTATTGATTATTCTAGTTATCCATTCATCTAATTTTTTTTCAAAGTTTTTAACTTCTCTGCCATTGGTTCGAACTTCCTCCTTTAGCTCCGAGTAGTGTGATCTTCTGAAGCTTTCCTCTCTCAACTCGTCAAAGTCATTCTTCATCCAGCTTTGTTCCATTGCTGGTGAGGAGCTATGTTCCTTTGGAGGAGGAGAGGTGCTCTGATTTTTAGAGCTTCCAGTTTTTCTGCTCTGTTTTTTCCCCATCTTTGTGGTTTTATCTACCTTTGGTCTTTGATGATGGTGATGTACAGATGGGTTTTTGGTGTGGATGTCCTTTGTGTTTGTTAGTTTCCCTTCTAACAGACAGGACCCTCAGCTGCAGGTCTGTTGGAGTTTACTGGAGGTCCACTCCAGACCCTGTTTGCCTGGGTAACAGCAGCGGTGGCTGCGGAAGGGTGGATATTGGTGAACTGCAAATGCTGCTGCCTGATCGTTCCTCTGGAAGTTTTGTCTCAGAGGAGTACCCGGCCGTATGAGTTGTCAGTCTGCCCCTACTGGGGGGTGCCTCCCAGTTAGGCTACCTGGGACCCACTTGAAGAGGCAGTCTGCCCATTCTCAGATCTCCAGCTGCATGCTGGGAGAACCACTACTGTCTTCAAAGCTGTCAGAACGGGACATTTAAGTCTGCAGAGGTCATTGCTGTCTTTTGTTTGTCTGTGCCCTGCCCCCAGAGGTGGAGCCTACAGAGGCAGGCAGGCCTCCTTGAGCTGTGGTGGGTTCCTTCCAGTTCGAGCTTCCCGGCTGCTTTGTTTACCTACTCAAGCCTGAGCAATGGCAGGCGCCCCTCCCCCAGCCTCGCTGCCACCTTGCAGTTTGATCTCAGATGGCTGTGCTAGCAATGAGCGAGGCTCTGTGGGCGTAGGACCCTCTGAGCCAGGTGCAGGATATAATCTCCTGGTGTGCCATTTGTGAAGCCCGTTGGAAAAGCGCAGTATTAGGGTGGGAGTGACCCGATTTTCCAGGTGCCGTCTGTCACCCCTTTGTTTGACTAGGAAAGGGAATTCCCTGAGCCCTTGCACTTCCCAGGTGACGCGGTGCCTCGCCCTGCTTCAGCTCACGCACGGTACACTGCACCCACTGTCCGGCACTCCCCTGTGAGATGAACCTCGTACCTCAGTTGGAAATGCAGAAATCACCCATCTTATGCGTTGCTCAAGCTGGGAGCTGTAGACTGGAGCTGTTCCTATTCCACCATCTTGGCTCCCGTGATCTTTTTATTGAATATTTTGATTTACTTTCTGCCTTTCCTTATAATTGAAGGCCAAAAAAAAAAAAAGACCCCTTCTCACCTTTCTATGCAATTTCCTCAAAAACTTTCAACACTGTCTTCTTTTGTCCTGGTCTCTGGGGACTGGGAGAACACCAACAATCTAGTTTTAGGAGGTGGTATTTGCTTTGGTTTAATGTTTTGTGCCAAGTCTTTATTTTTTTCAGGTTCAGAAATGACTCTACGTCTTGCAGTCCTTTGAGTCATTCCAAAAATTAACCTCATAGTGTCCTGGCCATATTTTTCTCCACCCACTTTTTTTGGTTCCCATTGAACTCTACACAGCTTTGCCACCTTGATTATCTGGTGCCATAATTACCTGGGAGGCAGTCATGGGCAGTTGGTGAGGTTTAGGATTTTTCTGTCAAGCAGTCTCTAACTCTGACTTTCTGAACATCATGACTTCACACTTGGAAAGGGTTGGTAATCACAATGCCAGCTTCATGGGGATATTGTGAGAACTAATAAAAATTCACCATAAAACACCACACAAAGGATGTACTCATGGAATGGTCACATTTAGCTGAGCTCTTGATTATCTTTTCAGATAACCAAAACCTCCTCCAGAATAAAGGCAGCATCTTAACTCTTCTACCTTTTCAGCCCAGAAGAGTACCTTTCATATAATTCAAACTCAACAAAGAAATGTTGAATAATCACATGACTGAACCAAAGTCCAGTCTCAACTGGTTTCTTTAATGACTGCCTGGCTGAGTAACACAATTTGTGTTTAATTTAGCCAAATGTAATTTCCCTTAACAGGTGTTTTACACACCCTTTAAGACTCATCTCCTCCAGACCAATTGCCTTGACTGTTCTTACCTCTGAACTTTACATTCCATTGTCTATTGTCCATACTATTTTAGATCTCTTTCTCTATGAGGAATAGATGTAATATTTCCCAAATCAGAAGCCTTTGGTAGGTTCCTAGTATCCTCAGGATGGAGTTGTTAACCCTCACTGTGGGATGTAAAGTCTCTATTCTCTAGCCACTGTCCATCTCTCCAGCCATGTGCCATGACACTGTCATGCTTTTTCAAGCCTCTTCTATTTAAAAACTTTGATTTACTTTTCTCTCCCTCTCTGTAATACTGACACAGAATTTTAATTGTTGAATTACTCCTCACTAGCCCTTATTCCACCATAATGGTAAAACCTATTTTTTTGGTCCTGCTTGCAAACCCATTTCCTGACACATAGTTAGATATTTAAAAATGGTGATTGAATAAAGAATTCTCATATCTTTGGAATACCATTCCCTGTACATGGAAGGCAATTTTACCCTGTGCCACCTTAAAATAAATGTTCATGGTTAAAATCCTATTTAGTCTCCATCTTCAGGCTTTCCTGACAACACCAGGGGAAATGATTCATGCTCTCACCTTGTACATTCCTTTTTAAATTGCATGTTTTACTCAGAATTGCTTGTTTACATGTGCATCTCTCTTCTACTAGGATGTGAGTTTGTGGTGTGCAGGGACAATATCAACACACTTTCCGGTACTCGAAACTACAACAGACTTGGCATATCAGAGATGCTCAGCCAGTGTGTTGATTCATTGCTCTGATTTCCAAATAGTGGCAGGTTTCCCATTCATCTAGCAAATCAATCTTCAGCTATTCCAGAGCACTGTAAAGGGTAATCCCATCATCTTTAAGCTATTATTGAGCAATTCATGAAAATGTGATGATTAATAAGCCACCAAACTGGAAGAGATTGCTATTGCTAAAACCTTTGTTAGGGAGAGGATTTTACAGCCTGGTGGCCAAAAAGACATGTGCCTGGAATATCTGAGAGAGACAGAGAGTCTTTTAAAGTGTGAATGACGGAATGACAAGCATTAGGAATGTGCTTAAGTTTCTTTGAAAGATATAAATTCAGGTAGGAATTGGCACTGAGCAGAACCCACACCACCTTAAGATTCTAGAAGCATGATCTCAGGCTGCAAAACTACTCCGTGAGAGAAGCATGCATGGAAAATATCCTGGGACTGAAGAGGAGGGAGCATTCTAAGGTAGTGTTGTATAGTGGAAAGAACACTAACAAGCTGTGTGATCTTGGGCAAGTCTGTTGACCTTCTCTGGCTCCATTTCCTTTATTTGTAACATGAGGGCATTAGAACAATTAGCAGTGTCCAAATATTTAAGTAGATACAAGCCATATATAAACAGCAATGTGTGACATAGTTAAAACTGGTGTTGCTCTGATTGATGCTGGAATGGATCCTGGAAACCGCTTTTCAATCCCTTTCAGAAATGGCCACTAAGGTACCTCTAAGGGACTTTAAGACACCTGGGAACACAGTTTGCAAACAAGTGGTCTAGATTAAGTCAAGTCCACATGTACATCTGGCGTGCTCAAATTTTGTGATTCAGTAATTTAATGCCACCTCTCTGTAATAATAGGTATAACATTAACAATAGCTACACACATTCACATACACACGAAGGCATACATATGTGCACACACACACACGCAAATATTTTTGTGTTTACACACTTATTTCAATTACACACAATTGTATAATCACAATTATACAATTACCATTTACACAGTTATTTATTTCTATTATTGCTTTCAGTTTCACTTCTGAACTTAGAGGAAGGTATGGCAGGAATTGATAGTCTCATTTTACAAAAGAAGATGCAGCAACGGGTTGGTGTTGTGAAGTTGGTGATTGTGGGTCTTGGCATGGCTTCTGATAGGCATTAAGTGGATGTCAGTCTTTTAAGAGTTGCATGATATTGAACACTTTAGGTGTGCTAAGACTATATTCAGCAGTGGTCGCACAGAGAAAGTAAGAGTCCCTGATGTTTAGGTAGTTATGGTCTAATGGGCGATAAATGCACATAGTTGAATTTCAATATAACATATTATAAGATAAAGTTCAGCTCAAGGTCCACAAATAAAAAGAAAGTCACTTAGTATAGTGTATGTTTAAGTAGTCACTTTCTGGGGGAGTTGTTGGTTGGCCTGAGAATTAAGAACATTTCAAGCAGAGGGAACATCACGAGCAAAGACACCACATCTTAAACAGCATGGTATCCTGAGGATATAAGGTAGGAGATGAAGAAAGGCAGGATAGGGACTGGAGTGGTAGATGGGGACCAGATGTCAGGGACCAGGATGCCATGCTATGACTTTGCACATTAAATCTGATGAAAAATTTTAATTGGAAAGTTAAAAGTTTGGATTTTTATCTTGGAAAGATCACCTTGGCTTTAAGGGATTGCAGAAGGGATTGGAGTTGGAAAAGATTGGAAGTGTGGCGAGAAAATTAGGTTGTGGTTGTAACAATCCAGTAATGAGATGATAAGGAACTAGTACAGAACAATAATTATTACTTAAAACAAAACAGGTGAAACAAAACTAAACCCCGCCCCCTCCCCCCCAACTAGGGACTCAAAGAAATGAAACAGTGTTAGACACTTTTGCTTCTTTCCTAATTGTTTAATGCTACCTTGTGTGTGATCTCCTGCCTATCTCTCTAGCATCTCTCACCTGAAATTTCTACCTCATCACCACATGTCAAAAATACAGCACAAAAGTATTTTAACATAGAGGTGGCTATTTGAATGATCTCGGGATGAAAGTATCTTAAGAACTGTAGAGAAAATCAAAGGAGACTTGTGAAGGATTTGAATGCCTACATATTTTAAATGTCAAAGATACCATGTGCAAAATTAAAATAACTTCATAGAGTGTTTGACATTAAAGCACAAGAAGAAAATATCGTTAGCGTTCAAACAGTTTATACAAATCAATGGAAAAAGCACTTAAAATTAGGAATATCAATGGCTGAAGGACTTGAACAGAACATTATAGACGAATTAAAAAATAGCCAATAAATATAAGGACAATATTCAACCTTACCAGTGTAACAGAAGTGAAAACAGAAGGAATGATGAAACAATTTTTCTATGGGAAATTCTCATAGCTATTTTACAAGTCTACTGCTTCATCCTGTTGCTGGTGAGGAGGAACCTACTACATCTCCACATGGGCTTGGTGTGGGTTTGGGAGTATTTATTCAACTGTTCTGAAAAGTAGTTCAATTTTCTATTCATATCTCTATATAGCTCTGTTTCTATCTAAATATCTCTATGTCTGCCTATCTGAGTTTTTTTTTAAAGTTATACCTTTTGGGACTTTTAATTTCTTTACTAGGAATTTATCCTTAGGAGATACTAAAGATGCAGTAAATATTTATTCACAACAATGTGCGTTACAACAGTATATATGGTGGCCAAAATCTGAAGCAGTCACAATATCTACCAAGAGAGGGTTGCATAAGTACTTTTGTTAAGAAAACTGTTTCACTATAACGACAAGAAAAGGATACAAAACTGCATAATATGTAATGTTTCTTAAAGTGACTTAGAAAACGTATTTTGCAAAGCCTATTAAACCTAGCTGACATTTCTGATTTGATATCACAAAGTTTTGCTGCTGTCAATGTATTGTGCAAGGAAGTGACTTTTGAAAAGTAAAAATGACTTTATTTCTTTGAAAAAGACAAGTCATTTTCCAGTGACATATAAAAGTTCAATGACACTTGAACAGGTGGCTAAATTTGTCCTGAGGAGACATCTGTGAAATATGTGACTCTTGGCAGAAAAGTGATTGTGGAAAACCCCAAGAACCTTGATTTACAAAGTTGGGGTCTACAGATTATGCATGTTAAGTAAACTGAAACAAAAACATGGAAACATTAACAGTGGAGCCATATGTGTTGGGTGACAGAAAATGTTTTCTAAAATTTTTTGATGTTGAATTTTCTTTGAGGATGCACTGCCTTGAAAATAGGAAAGAAATACAGTGCTGAAGTTATAAAAATTAAAGTCACACTCTACTGATTTTTTCACACCTTCAGAGCTTCTCAAAAGAGAAAAGGGAAATGCAGGGCCACATAATTTTTTTCACAACCTCGTTGGGTTTTACTATCTAGACTGCATCATCAGAAAGCCTGGAATAGATCTCATTTTCAAATTAAAAGAGCTAGGTATGTTATTCTTCCTTCTATTAAAAACTTGCCATTTCCTGCTGCTCCTTCTCCCACTGCCTCTCCAACTGCAAACAACCTCCTATCCCAACCCCTCAATAGGTGGCCAATGATCTCAAGAATCCCCTACTTCCGGGAACAGATTCTATCCTCCAGCTCTCTAAGCAGGGCTGGTCTCACTGCACAGCTCTTCAATTGAACCAGCTCCCAGAGCCTGGTATCTCTGTCTGCAGGCCCTGATTATGCAGCACTTCATGAATAACCTGCACCACGATGTCCTCCCTGCAGTAGCCCAGCCTGGCCTGTGATATTACTTGATCCTACCTCACAGCAAATCTGTAAAAGTTTCAAATTTGCAAGCAATAATCCACCAGCCAGGGTGAACTGAGGACATTCTGACTCCAGGGTGGCTATAAAAAAAACAAAAAACACTCTCCCCATACAAATCAGAGGATCCCTCCCTTGGAAAAGAAAAATAACCCAAAGAAAAATCATCCATGAATTTATATTTACTCAAAGCCTACTACGTGCCAGTAACTAATTACTAGAACATCACTGAATAGAAATGATCACATTTAATTCTCATGACAGAGCAGATACAATTAGGCCTCTGCTTTATTGGTTAAAATACTGAGGTACACAGAGTTTAAATAGCTTAGCCGAGGTCATAGAACCGGGACTTGCAGTCAGGGACCTGGTCACAAAGGCACGTTTGCTCCTTGTAGTGAAATTCTATAGGCAGACAGCAAAGCCTTGAATTAATGAAACACAGAACACTGAGCTTGATTTTTTTAAAAAAGACTTATGCACACATATGTTTATTACACCACTGTTTACAGTAGCAAAGACTTGGAACCAACCCAAATGCCCATCAATGATAGACTGGATAAAGAAATCGTGGCACATATACACCACAGAATACTATGCAACCATGAAAAAGAATGAGTTCATGTCCTTTGCAGGGACATGGATGAAGCTGGAAGACATCATTCTCAGCAAACTAACACAGGAACAGAAAACCAACCACTGCATGTTCTCACTCATAAGTGGGAGCTGAATAGTGAGAACACATGGACACAGGGAGGGGAATATCACACACCAGGCCCTGTCAGGGCTGGGGGACAAGAAGAGGGAGAGCATTAGGACAAATACCAAATGCATGCGGGACTTAAAACCTAGATGACGAGTTGATAGGTGCAGTAAACCACCATGGCACATGTATACCTATGTAACCAACCTGCACATTCTGCACATGTATTCCAGAACTTAGAGTAATATAAATTTTATAAAAAGGACAAACAGCTATTTAGAAAGGACAGCCACTGGTCCTCTGCAGCAGAGGCAAAAAGAGGTGTGAGAATAGAGAAAGGGTCAGGAACACACACAGGGACTGTTAGGCTGATGGACCACTCAGCCAAACACCATGAGACTGATCCTCTGGCTCTGAAGAGTTCAAGTGAGCTTAGGTGAGTCATTTCTCCTGGGTCCCGGTAGCTGTCCTAATGTCAAATTCAAATGGTACAACTGTGTTCCTTTATTCTTCTGGCGGTTGAGTGGGGCTCCTCCTGTAACAAAAGAACCTGTAGACTATTCTATTTTCCAAATATAACCAGATTCTTACTCGTCTTCACCACCTTACTGCTTTCACTCTGATCCAAATCACCGCCCTCTGCCTAGATTGTCACAATGGTTCTTAACTGGCCCCTCTTAGACATGTCCCCTTACTTCTCTAGAGCCCCTTCTCACCAGAAATCAGTGTGATTTTTAATGAAGTCTGTCATATGATGGAATTCCTCCACTTCCATTAGAATAAAAGAGAAAAATCTTCAATAACTTAGAAGATCCTATTTCAGAGGTTGGCAAGCGTTTTTCTGTATAGGATCAAAGAGTACATGTTTTAGGCCTTGTGAGCCATTATGATCTATCACAGCTGCTCAGTTATACAACTGAGGTGTGAAATTGGCCATAGACAATACATAAACAAATGAATATGGGGGTTTTCCAATACAACTTTATTTATAAAAGCAGAATCTAGCCTGTTTTCTTATTCTTGTTCCTGACTTTATTTCCTGGAACTCTTTTCCTTGCTCACTGCACCTCAGCCACACCAGCTTTCTTCTTGTGCCCCAGACATGTCATGTGATCTCCTGCCTCCTGGCCTTCTGTTACCCTAGAACACTCCAGGTGGCCAGGTATCTCCACGACTCACTCTCTCACCTCCAATCTCAGATGAAGATTACCTTCTCAGGGAAGCCTAAGCCAGCCCTCTTTTGTCTCATCACCCCAATGCCTCTTTCTCTGCTCTAGTTTTTTTTTTTTCTTTTTCCACATTTATCACCTTTAAACAAAATATAATTGTTTATTGTATCAATCATACATTACCTTTCTCCGCCACTAGAATGTTGTCTCCACGTGGGCAGGTAGTTGATAGTTTTATTCACTCATATAATCCAACTACATAGAAGAGTATCTGGGGGCATAATAGACACTCAGTACACATTTGTGGAATTCAAAGATGAAAACAAATTTAAAGCTGCAGAAGTTACAAAAACGTACAGAACATCTTGCTGATATCACCTAATCTCTCCCTTGGGTCAAAGAAACAGAACACTAGAAATGCAAATAGATTGCATTAGGCCAAGGATTTGTCCATTAAGGAGAACAACATGACATTTTTCCTCTTCTCATTATGTTTACCCCACAAAAACTAAGTAAGGATTGTTCAAAGAAACTACCAGTAGAAATTAAGGATATGTTTGAGTTTTTGCAAAAATGTACCAATTGACCTCCCCTGGTCCCTTAATCTATGCCCTTTGCAATGTGACTTAGCAGCTTCCATCAAGTGGTGAAACTTACTCTCCAGCCCTTGAATCTTGGCTGGGCTTGTGACTCGTCTTGGCCAGTAGAATCTGATGGAATGCCATTGTGTCAGGTCTCACTTAAACCCTTGCAGATGCCATGTGAATTACTTCAAGCTAGTCTGCTGGAGAATGAGACACACACAACAGAGCTGAACTAGTCCAGTAGTTCCAGTAAGACATGTGGAAAGTCTCAGACAAGATCAGCCAAACCTTTTAGTCCACTGATAGCTGATCACAGACGCATGAAGGAGCTTAACTAATATCAGAAGAAGGGCCTAGCTGCATTTATTCAATATTGCCCACCTGAAGAATTGTGACTTAATTATTTATTTATTTAACCAAAGGTTGGAGTTATTACCTGTCAATAGCCAATTGATACAGGTGTGTCTGCAGGAAAGAGATATTGGCCTTTCACTCATTGGTTGGTTGGTTATAAGCAGAACTGAAGAAATCCAGCAGCCAAGTCAGGTTTTGCTGGTGGAAAAGAGCACATGAGCACATTCTTGGGAAAGTCTGACACACATTCCCGCAATTTAGGGATGAGATGTGGAAACTGGATGAGGAAACTGTGTTCTGTGGCCAATAAAAAACACCAGCCTAGGAGGAGCAGAACATCTGTTAAACGAAAGTGGGACATGAAGATTCCAGCGGTGAGGATTCCCTAGATTATCTGGGAGGTAATCAGTAGATAACATAAAAAGCCCTGGCTGTTGGCACCAGTGTTCATGAAAGAAGGTCCTGGAGGATATAAGAGTAAAGGGGCTGGGTGTGATGGCTGGCATCTGTAATTCCAGTGTTTTGGGAGACTTAAGTAAGAGAATTTCTTGAGTACAGGAGTTTGAGATCAGCCTGAGCAACGTAGTGAAACACCATCTCTACAAAAAAATGAAAGAATTAGCCAAGTGTGATGGTGCATGCCTGTAGTCCTAGCTACTCAGGAAGCTGAGATGGGAGGATTAACTAAGCCCAGGAGTCTGAGGCTACAGTGAGCTATGATCATGCCACTGCACTCCAGCCTGGATGACAGAGGAAGATCCTGTCTCTAAATACTACTACTACTACTAATAATAATAATAATAATGATAATAAGAGTAAATTTGATGGAGAGCCCACGTGAAAGGATCAGTGGTGCATGGTGGAGGGGACATCTGTGTTTGAATCAGAGGTGAGGAAGGGAAGATGTATAGAAAGGCAGGTGATTGTGTGCTTAGGTGCGGAGGGACAAGGAGGATGAGGATGTTTAATGGCTTTAATTATTTTAATAAACTAGGAAGAAGAGCATTTTACATGGGAGCACTGATGATTAACTGAGTCAATAACTTAAAAAAAAAGTAGTGGTGATGCTTCAGAAGAGTTGCTGGGAGTAAAAGTTGACCATAAGCAGTAAAATGATTGACAGGCGAGACTGAGGACTTTGTCCATTGTGTCCTTTTTAGTATCATGCTTTCTGCTGCACTTAGCGTTTTCTTTCACTTGCCCAAGTTTAAGAAGAAGAAACACTGGTGAAAATGTAGACTCCAGGTGCTGCCAGGCAGGTGTGGTAGAACACAGGAATGTGATGAAGTTGAGGTTGTTAAAAACAAAAACAAAACAAAAAAACAGGCCGGGCATGGTGGCTCAAGCCTGTCATCCCAGCACTTTGGGGAGGCAGAGGCAGGCCGATCACAAAGTCAGGAGATCGAGACCATCCTGGCTAACACAGTGAAACCTCGCCTCTACTGAAAATACAAAAAAAAAAAAAAATCAAAAAAATCCAAAAAAATTAGAGAGTGGTGGCAGGTACATGTAATCCCAGCTACTCGGGAAACTGAGGTAGGAGAATCACTTGAATCTGGGAGGAAAAGGTTGCAGTGAGCCAAGGTCGCTTCACTGCATTCCAGCCTGGGCTACAGAGTGAGACTCCATCTCAAAATAAAAAAATAAAATAAAAAAGCAATTTATGTAACCAAAAATGAGTACCAGCTGATGAGGGAATTGCTTGAGATGAGCAGGGCATGATGAACTGATCAAGGTGGGAGCTACTGAAAGGAAGTTGGATCTAAACTTCAATTGAGTTGGGAAGGTCAAGATACCTAAATTCTAAGGTGTTTTGATGGAAGTCTGGTAGAATGACAGGTGGACAAGAGAATGGAAGGGAAGTTATAATGTGCTATTCTTATGACCCTGATAAAACCCTCCCCTCTTGGATTGTAGGCGATGCAATCTAACAGCACTGAGCCCATGGAAAATTTTCTATAGATACATGTCAAATGGCTGCAGGGACCTCCTTTTCCTCTGTTTGGCTTCTCAGTGGCAACAGAGTATAATGAAATAGTCGTCTGGTAAGTTCTGAGGAGGAGAGGAAGAAGGGCTGTGAGAGTCTGGGTGCCTCAAAAGCAAACCTCAGGATAACAACAACAAAAAAAAGGCACAAACACCTTTGGACAGGAGTTTGCCATTTCTGGATAAGCACTGGACAAGCATAAGATTTTCTTCTCTGCCTCTCTCAGCCCTCCAACTGCCTCAGGTCCAAGGAAGCTGCTTAATATAATATACTTTTCTAGACAGAAGAACCCAGGGTGAAGTGGGGGTTTGAGAAAGCAGCTTCCCTCCCCAGTAAAAATAAACATCCACAAAGCACTCTGTGTAGTGTGGAAGCAGAACACTGGTCTGTTTCATGCTGTTTTAAATGCCCAGGCACAAATGATCTAAGCTACCCTCATTTCTGAGATAAGAAAATTGAGAGTCCTAGTTCTGTAATCAGATAGGTTGTGAGTCTCAGCTCTGACACTTCATGGCTATGAGACCTTGGGCAAATCACTTTTTTTTCCTAACGTCATTCTCATCCACAAACTGAAAATAATGCTATTAAACTCAGATGTATATGGAGGATTAAATGAGATAAAGTACAACCCAGCACAGAGTTGGGACTCAACTATTTTTAGCTTTGTATATATGCATATATATTGATATCAACACATCATTAATACTATTGTCATTACATATCATTCCACAGACTGCTAATTGTACAACAAGGATGGGGATAGGAGCTAAACCCTTTACATTCAGGTTGGCTATCCTCCCTCCCAGTCACTGAGAAGTTGGGAATCATTAACATGATTTTCAATGACTGCATAATGTCACATATTTTGTCGTGACAGTGTAAAGGCAAAACAAGCTCAATCTGATGTGAAAGCCTAAATTCATTTTTCCTCCCACATATAAAAAATTCAGTTGCTACAGGGATTTGGCAATATGCTGAAAATTTCTGATTCTGTATGACCAGCAGGCATATGTGATAGAGTTTCATCTTCCTATGCATATTGGTTCGGAGTGCCAGTTATTTCAATATTTGGTGCCTCATGTGAGAACTGTTCCCAAGTCGTGAGATAAAGAAATAGGTACACCATCATCAGTACCAGTATTGAATTCAAGCCCTGATGTATAAGCTGTTATGACAGTAAAGCTCCATTATGGTCATGTTCTTTTGCTAAAGTGACTGTTCTGGCTTTTTTTTTTTTTTTTTTTTTTTTTTTGGCTCTCCTTTTAAAAGCTGATGTAACGTTTTTTAAGAAGTTGTTTAATAGATGATGTCAGTTGAGCTTTTTGTCCATTTTCATGGACTAGGCAGCATCAGAAATACATTAAACTGCAGCATAATCAATGCCCAGGGATTTATTTATTTATTGCCCATTTTATATGGAGGGAAGTGCGAAAGTACAGAGAAAGACGAGATACCCTCGTCAGAATTAGAAATACGGCAACCCATCTCAAATAAAGCTATCACTTTGGCTTCAGGGAAAGGCATTATTACTTAGCTGTGAGGGTTGATCTCAGTGGAGGTAAAATAGATTTTAAATTGACAAATGGTATCTCCCAGAAAAAACATAAGAATTGTTCTAGTGTTTGTACCTAATAGCTTAACATTAAAGGCCCCATAAAATTAATGGAATGTGATTTTGTATCTCCTGGAAAGAACTGCATGACCTTGGTCAAGTCTGGTAAAGTTTCTGAGTCTTAATTTCCTTATTTATAAAATGGGGTTCATAATAACAATTTCGAAAGATCATAAAGGCTTTAAATGACAAAACATTGTCTATCAATGTGCCTGAGACCTGATAGATGTTTTCTTAAATGATAATTTCTTAACTAGAAGTGCAGAGAAATTCACCTAGCAGACTTCCTGCTTCCACATAGACACAGGGCCTAGAAGAACCAAATAATTTTTTAGTGATACCCATGACAATGTGATACACCACTTTGTTTTCCCAGACATAATGGAAGATGAAATGTTCGTAGGGTTAATAGATGAGAATATATATCGGATGTGAATGTTCAATGAAGACTGTTAGACAGTATGTACTAAATTTAATTTACTCTTGTTTTTATTTACTTATTCCTCCAGTAAACACTTTTGAGCTCCTGCTGTGGGCCAGTTACCAGAACAGATGTTGAGGGAGCAAACTCTTGAGCATGATTCTTGCCCTCCTGGAATCAGGGTATAAAACATGAAATGATTGCACAAACAGAAATAAAGTTTTAACTGGGCAAAGTGCAGTGAAATGGAAGAGTGCTATGCTATGGAGTTGGGAGAAGTTGGCCTCATCAGAGAGGCCCAGAAAAATTTCCCAGAAGTGATGTCTGAGATGAAATCTGAAACAGAAGCAGTTTTATGTAGAAAAACAAGGAAGGAAGAGAGAACAAAGAACACACATGATTTATATCAAGGGCAGCAGGCAGGTAAGGGGACTGAGACAATGCTGGTGTTTTTGGTGTCCAAAAATGGTGGAAGATGAGCTTTAGGCAGGAAGCGTTGCCATATAAGTCATGGTATGGAGTTCTCTTGTTATTTTCTAAGTTCTGAGATCTGTCTGAAGTTCTTTAACTGGTCAGTAAAGATACCTGAGCAGATATACGTTTTGAAAAGGTTACTCTGGTTACAGTGGGATTTTTAGGAATGCGTATATCTTGGTAAAGCAGTTAGGAGGCAATTCGTAATAGATGGTAGTAAAGGAGAACCACTAGGATGATTTGTGCAATGTTTAGAAAAACAACGAACAATCCTTCGTGTTGGGTTATCTATAACCACTAGAGAGAGAAGGGTATATCTGGAGGATGTCTAAATTTCTGGCTTTCTTAACTAAGTAGATGATTTAATCTTTTAGTGAAATAAAGAGAAGTAGAAGAAGCCCACATTGGCTGGGGAATAATGAAGTCGTCAGTTTGTCACCTTAGGACTGTGGTGCACTTAGCAAATACAAAAGTAGATGTCAGGTAGACATTTAGATATGTGGGCCTTGATTTGAAAAGGAGGCTGTGAGCTTTGAAATCGATTTATTAGCGAATTACCTGACTATTGCTGGAGGCAAGGGGATGGAGGAATACTAAGGGTGTTAGAGTGAACAACAGTGCCTAAAACTGAATATTGAGAAGCAATTGGTGAAGTAGAGGAAGAAATAACAAGCAAGAAGGCAGAGAAGAGACAGAAAAAAAGTGGTTAGTTACCCCTGAGAATAGCACAAAAACCAAGAAATGAGATGATTTTCCATAGAAGGCACAGTCAACAAGGTCAAATGATGTTGAGGTTAGGTAGATGAAAGACTCTAAAGTGGTACTGTTTTATTTCCTGAAGGTAAATGGTAATCTACATTTGGATATACAAGAACTGAAACCAGAACTAATTTTATTAACCACCCCCCATATAAAACTCCACTTCCATCACATACACACATTAAATGACCCACCATTCATCAAATCATATGGAGAGTACCTAGCAATAGGATCCATAAAACAACATGTCAGATTAAAGATGACAATTCTTTCTGGAACACTGTTGTATTACTCTTATAAGAGTTACTGTATGCCACTAAAATAATCCTTGAGCCAGAATATTTATTGAAAAACTAATCGGTGGAAGAAAAGAGAAGAGGATAGGCACAGGTCAGCACTCATAATCAGCAGTGGATACAACTCCATGCTGAAGAAGACCAGAGCCTTGTTGATGACCAGTTGCCTCCTCAGGTCTCATCCAAGCTCTCTTCCCTTGCTAGTAGACAGAGACATGCTTAAAAATTCAGAGGTATATTTTTCTCATTTCCCTCCACCAAAGCTGCATTGGAAAAACTGCATTTTCTTCTATTTGCTTTATCTGTTTTTCTCTTATTAACTCCTAAATCGTTTTTTTCCTCCTAATTCTTACTAATAATCGTTAAAACTCATTTGACCCTCATATGAGGCATTATCATTGGTAAAACTGCCTCAACACCAGACTTCATAGACTAAGCAGCTGATCTGAATTTGAATTCATATCTCTCAAATATCACTAATTATAATGGAATTACATTCCCCAAGGTGGCAGCTCGTGAAATTTTCACATAATTAAAACTTTCTCATAATTCTTCTGACTTTTAGACTCACAATGTCACAGCTATTATGCATCCAATGGAGCTGCGGTTAGAAAAGAGGAGGAGGAAACCCTGGTGGTTTTGCAGGTACTCTGTCTGTCTTGAGGATCAAAGAAAGCTGGACACTGAAGGAAAATGCTAAGAGAAAAAGATAAAGCACAATGGAAAAAGATCTGTAGGAGATATAAAGATGACAGTAAAGTCCAAAGCAAAATTAAATTCTGCTTTGGGTACCAAAATGAATAGAACTGGCATTGCACAATGTTAAATTAATGTTGGGCAGTAAAAAATGAAAATAATATCTGAAAATAATGAAAATGAAAAAAAGAATAAAATAGAAGAACAAAGAGGTAAAACTTATGGTAAATACAATTAGAAGTTAGGAGAGACAGAAGAGAATCCTGACAAAAAAGGAATATTATCTGAATTTTGGAAGATGCTTTGAGATCAGTTAAAAAATTGAAGTTTTCTAGAGGAAAGAATATCTGAAAATAGAAAGGTAAAAACATCTCATTACATTCTAAGGAAATTCAAAAAACTGAACAATTTTTGGACACATTAAAAATAACTTTTGATGTAGTTTGGATATTTGCCTCTGCCTGAATCTCATTTTGAATTTTAATCCCCAATGCTGGAGGGGGGGCCTCATGGGAGGTGTTTGGGTCATCGAGGTAGATCTCTCAGGTCTTAGTGCTGTCCACATGATAGTGAGTGAGTTCTCACGAAATCTTGTTTAAAAGTATGCGGTACCTCCTCTACCACTGGCTCTCTCTCTCTTGCTCCTACTTTCCCTGCATGAGGTGCCTGCTCCCACTGTGCCTTTCACCAACATTAAAAGCTCCCTGAGGCCTCCCCAGAAACAGATGCTTCTATGCTACCTGTACAGCCTGCAGAACTGTGAGCCAATTGAACTTCTTTTCTTATAAATTACAGTCTTTGGTGTTTCTCTATAGCAATGCAAGAATAGCCTTATATAATTTTAAAAATCAGGAAAAAATTTTTACAACTTTCCAGACAGGGAAATGTAGGTTACTTCTAGAGAAATAAAATCAATGTCTCAGACTTATCATCTGCAATGGTAGAGAATGTTTACAAAAAATGGCCATGAACCGATAATTGTTTATCTTGACAAGTATAAGACAAGCATAAAATATCAGTTTCCCATATGAAGGGGCTAAAACATGGTCCTCTGGACCATTCTTTATTTTAAGCAGTACTCTCAACAACCAAAACAACAAACAAAATTACTAAGCCAAGAAAGAGAAAGTTGTATAAAATGATTGGTGTTCACTTTTTCATTATAAAAAGTATAAAAAGTCAGATATTCAAACATTTACCTCTGCCCAAAATGATGCTTTTATAATAGCATGGAAATAAAAAGAATCTGTCATATTAGGGAAATTTCTAGGAGTAGAATTGAATAGTCATTAAACATAATGTTTTGGAAAAGATTCTAATAACATGGAAACAGGCATATGATGATATTATAAGAAAATATAAATACACAGCATTTAAGCCTTTATAAACAGCTTGACTTTTACAACGGTAAGAAAGAGGAACAGATAAGACAGGAAGCAATATGTTTCTGTGATGCAGTTACAAAAAAAAAAAAAAGCAAGCTAGGTGCGGCGGCTCACACCTGTAATCCTGGCATTTTGGGAAGCCAAGGCAGGTGGATCACTTCAGGTCAGGAGCTAGAGACCAGCCTGGCAAACATGGTGAAACCCCATCTCCACTAAAAATACAAAAATTAGCTGGGCTTGGTGGCACACACCTGTAATCCCAGCTACTCGGGAGGCCAAGGCATGAGTATCATTTGAACATGGGAGGCGGAGGTTGCAGTGAGCCAAGATTGCACCACTGCACTCCAGCCTGGGCAACACAGCAAGAGTCTATCTCAAAAAAATAAAAAATAAAAGAGCATGACAAAGTAGATGAAAAATAGAAAATGAGGTAGAAAAGAGATACCAGGTAAGAGCAAGCAAGGATGAGACTCTTGAGGGAAAGACAGACCAGGCCAACTATTTAGTATTTTCTTCTAAGAAATTATGAGATGAGTTCTAAAGATTTTGCAGAGACAAGCTAAAATTTGATTTTTTAAAATATGCTGATGGTGATGTGAAACATCAGTGGAGAAGGTTATGAATGAGAGAGAAACAATCAGTTACAAGGCAAAAGAAGAGTGGATGGTGGTTTAAAAAGAATGGGAGAGTGAAGACACTGAGAATTATAGCAATGCAAGAGTTATTTGGAAAGTAGAATCATTAATACTTGGCAAATGAGAAAAGAGGAGAAAATGATTGTCAGGTGGACATTGATGATATTTGCTGAAATGAGAAACATCTGAAAGGAAGCAAGTTGGAGTGGGAGTTGACTAGTGCACAAATCTAGAATCAGTCAGGACAGGAGAGCCAAGGTCTGAGTTTTTGGAGAGAGCCAAGATGAGTATCAAATATGGAGGGATCAAAAGTGTCACAGAAGCAGAAGTTCAGACCTGGAAGACACAATTTAACCAACGCAGATTAGGGCTTCTTGCTCTGGTGATATGGTTTGGCTCTGTGTCCCCACCCAAATCTCATCTCAAATTATCTCAAACTGTAATCTCCATGTGTCAAGTGAGAGACCTGTAATCTCTATGTGTCAAGGGAGAGAGGTGATTGGATCATGGGGGTGGTTTCTCCCATGCTGTTCTTGTGATAATGAGTTCTCACTACATCTGATGGTTTTATAAGTGTTTGACAGTTCCTCCTTCACATTCTCTCTATCCTGCTGCCTTGTGTAGAAGACATCTGCTTCCCCTTTGGCCATGATTGTAAGTTTCCCAAGGCCTCCCAGCCATGCAGAACTGTGAGTCAATTAAACTTCTTTCCTTTAAAAATTACCCTGTCTCAGAGAAGTTCTTTATAACAGTGTGAAAATGGACTAATACATCTGGGTAGTATGCACACCTGTTGTATGTCACCTCTCTGTCTCCTTCCAGAGACACCATAAAAATGCTAGCATAAGAATACAGCAAAACAAATAATGATGTTTGAAAGAATCAATAGAAAATAGGTTTAAAAAAATTTCTGGGAAGTACCCAATGGAAGGAAGGTGATTGATGAAACAGGGAAGATAAGCCAAAGCCTGGATTTCAATACATGATTAGGTCTACAGATGAAAAGGGAACCGATATGTAGGACCTTGCAGAACCCCGTGGTGATTTCAGACTTGGAAATATGAAGTACAACAAAGAACAGAAGGGAGAAGAGGGTCTGAAAAGAGGCATTAACTTAAAACCTGTATATGGGACAGTTGCCTGACTCTTCAGTCCCATCCTCAGGCATAGAACACCAAGAAGCCTAGCAAAACAAACAAACCAACAGAGAAAACAAAATCAGAGATTCTCCTCTTAAAAATTAGAATGAGCATTCTGTGGATAATCATGGCAGCAAAAGAGCAAACCAGAATCCCAAAGCTAAACCACACTTATTCTTGTATCTAGTGGTGCCACGCCAGCTTCCTAAAATGAGACCTGTTACTTTACAGGCTGTACCCATTATCACAGAGCTCAAAGTCAGCTTTTCTACTGTTCACTCTTAAATATGAATGTACCACTAGAAGTCAGACACTTGAACCTACGACATCGTGGTGGATAGTGTCCAAAGATGGTCTCCATTGATACCTGTCTTCCTGTGGGCTCATGCTAGTCTTTTAATCAAGAAGTGGAGTCCCATTCCCTTCCCTTTTAATCTGGGCTGGACTTCATGGCCTGTTTGACCAATAGAGTGCCGCAAAAGTGTCATTCTGGTACTTCTGAGTTACAGAGAATATGTGGACCTTTTGCTTGGGGCTCTTGACACACACACTTTGGGGTAAGCCATCCGCCAGGTAAGAAGTTTAATTATTCTGATAATCTAGTCTGCCATGCTGTGAGGGAACTCGAAGTAGCCATGTAGAGGGTCTGTGTGGAGATTAATTCCTGAATTCCTGGCCATAGTCAGGTGTTGCAGCTCTCCCAGCTCAGGACTCAGATATGGGGAGGAAGAAACCAGGCTTAACTTCATAACCAGCAAATTCTTTATAGGACCCCAGCTGTTATAAAATTGCAATTGTATGAAAGTCACCAGGCAATCATTGTGCAAATGAGCCCAGTTAACCCACAGCTCCATAGGAGGAGACGCATTATTTTAAGCTACTAGTTTTAGGGTTGTTTGTTATGTAAAGTACTTATTGTTAACCTTTAGAATCAACATAAAAACAAAGCAAGGAAGGTAGTTACAGACTAGGGTGCAGAAACACCTATTTTTGATTTTGAAACAAGACGATGACATTTGGAATGTGAAAGCAGGAAGACAGCTGAAGGAAAGAAAAGAGGCATTAATATTCTTATCATACAGGTGGGAGTCAAGAGATACATTCATATTTGATGAGTAAGAAAATGAAGTTGCAAATATATTCATAAAGTGACAAAACCAATAGACAAGCTGAAAATTGAGTAGATGGGGTGAGAGAAGTGAAGAGGGGGTTAAACGAACCAGACCAACATCAATCACAGCAGAATATATCTAAAATTTTAAAATTACGAAAGAGCAATACAAAAAACACCCAACTAACTACCTTTGTTCTTCTGAGGGGTGGGCCTAGAAGCAGAAAGGAGTAAGGTAGGGAGTTGCTGCATTTTATTTCTATTTTACTTCTTTTGTCTTCATTTTAAGCCAAATGCATGAAAAATTAAACAAATTCAGCAAGTGGAGATAATTCAGGTTCCATGGGGTCACGGGTATATCTGGGTTGAAGGCAAGGTGGAGGCTGTGAGAGCTGCCCAGTGCTACTGGCTGAAGATGAGGGAAGGGAGAGTACAGTATTCAAGACACCACCTCCGTTGAACAGGGGAGAGGTGAAAGGATACAGAAAGAAGCAAGAATGACAGAGAATGAATAAAATGTACAAGGATTTGGGGTGCTGTTAATATTGAAGCACCCTTTCTTTTGGAACACCTCCGTGGGCCTGTCATTTATGAGTCATGGAAAGAGAAATTTCAAGATCATCAAGGGAGCTCTAGGGTGAGGAAGACAATCCCAAGAAACTCACTGGTTGAGACATGCTTTGTCAATCTGCCAAGGGAATCTAAGTGCTCCCAATACTCCCAGTGCTCCAGAATCTGAAGACGGTAAGGACATACCTTGGCCAGGTTATCTAATTCAGCAACACCAGGGGCAGGTTTGAGCAGGTCACAGTCATGAGTATGTCAATTGGTAAAGCCAACTTTTCCTCCCAATTCTACTGAAACCCAGTCTGTGGCTCTGCCCATAGATATTTCATCTTCAGTGTTTCTCTAGTTCCTCTGATCTTTCTTGGGAAATAGTAAGGTGACCAACTGTCCCAGTTTTCTTGGAACTGTTCTAGTTCCAGCACTGAAAGCCCTGTGTCCAGGGAAATTCCTTAGGTTTAGGAAAATGAGAACAGTTAGCACATGCAGGAAGAACTCGTGAATTCATCATTTGAGAAATAATGTCACATGGCGAACATTTATGTCTTAGAAAGTGCTTTTTGTTCCTTGTGGTTTGACTTGTTCTCCACAAGCCTGTGCAGTAGGCACAGCGTGGTTTATGTGCCTCCCCGTTTGACATGTGACTAATCAAACATGATTAGTCATCTGTGAATAATCAGAGTCAGAAATTAGTTGATACTGCATTTTAATTTTATCATTTGACTCCAGATCCTGTCCTCTGTTCCATGTGTAAAGTTGCTGGGTTGACATTTGTTTCCTCATAAATAATGAGAATAATACCTCATTATCTCATCTCATTAGTAGGTGCTAGTATTACCCTTTTGTTAAAGATTAGAAAATTGAGGATCAGAGAAATTAAGCAACTCACCGGAGAACACACAGCAAGTCAGCAGTAACCACCATTCAAACCCAGATTCCTCTGATACTATGCCCTTGCTGCCCGAGCAGACAATTTGCAGTTCTCCTAATCTTCAGGGATTCCTAATACACCTTCTTAAGAATCCCAGCCTACTTTCACAATTTTATCCCCCACTAGTTCTTTTTCATGGAACATACGTGCTGGCTGAGCTGAACTGCTATCTGGTTCTGGAATATGTTAATGGCTTCTCTCACTCTGGCTTTTGTTCCGGACAAGCTCCTGACTAGACTTTGTTTATCCAGGCTCTCAATGTAGGGTGAAGAAAAAAAAAAAAAAAAACACACAGCTTATGTAATCGGACTTGGACTTCGTTCACAAAAGTGCTACCTTTTCAGCATGGGAGATCTTTGGTGAGTGTCCCAAACTTCCCAGAGTCTTCATTTCATCATCTGTAGATTGAAGATGATCATGTGAAATCATGTTGGGCAGTTAAGAATTCATGAGCATGTGCTCCTAAATTGTCCAGCACTGCACATGGCACACAGTCTGTGTGCTCCACCTCCTAGCTGCGGGCATAACAGAGAAGACCGTTTGCAGTTCTTACCATCGTATACTTTGGGAATGGCATGCCAAGAAAAATTGCACATTCTATTTGCAGATCTGTATTTTGTGTATATGTGTGTGCTTGGCGACAATTATCCGTGCTTTTCGTAAGCAGCCCTCTGCCTCTTAGGCAGTTATGTATGAAGCATTGTGAACCCTTGAATACAGTTATGAATCATTGGCTGTGGACTGAGTAGAGAGTGCCACATGCTATATCCAGTGTGTTTGAAAAGACCTAAGTGTATGTGCGTTTTAGGGGGGATGGTGGTGGTGGGGTGTGTGTGTGTGTGTGTGTGTGTGTGTGTGTGTGTTTTAGGGGATGGTGGTAGAGCCACACATCGCGTGGACAGCAGTGGATAGGCAACCATGCATGTTGAAAACAGTGTTTCATTTGGAACCCATCTGGTGAGAGGAGCTTTAATATCACTCTGGTTGTAAACACATCTTCAATGCCCTGTTGGTTACCAATTTGTCTTCTAAACTCATTCAGTTTTCTCTTTCGGTTTAAAGATATAGCCATGAATTTAAGTTTGGACTTGGGCTCAAAAATCTACTAAAATTCTCCTATTAATCCTTTTTATGTTAGTCTGAACCCTATATATACACAAATGTGTGCATGTGTGTATATAATCTTCCTTTAGGAAACATAGAAATTAAGGTTTTAAATGGTTTATTTTCAAAATCCTTTTCAGTTTAATTTAGCTTCCACTAATTTCTTACTAATCCCCCCTCAGCAGAAATGTCACTTATTAAAAGAAAAAAAAATCCAACAGAGAAGATGGAATCATTAGATCCAAATTAAAATCTTGAATCTCTTAAATATTAAAATATTGAAAAAAGACAATCTCTATAGTGCAGGAGCATTAGCAATGTAGCAGAGACTGAGACATGTCTTTATTTTTTCTTTCTGGGCACAGAGCTAGACTACATTCTTTGTCCTCACTTAGAAATCTAAGCTGGGGCCACATGCCTGAGTTCTGGCCCAAGCCAGGATCCACACTGAGCCAACCACCCAAGATCCATTAGCTCAAGTAATCTTCATGATTCCCCTGTGAGAGGCATATTGGCCCCATTTTGAAAATAAAGAATCAAAGTCTCAAAAAGGCTAAGTAATTTTAAAAGATCTCCAAACCAGTGTCTAGGATATCAAGGAATTTATCTCAGTCTCAATAGATTATTTGATTGTCAATATAGAAAATGTAAAGTATCTACAGATGATCTACTCAATATAACTGGAGAGTCTGGAAATGTTTCTGGAAATAATTTCACTATATACCAAGAACACCAACTAGAGAAAATATACCATTTTCAATAGCAATACGAATTATAAATCTAAAACAGTATTGCAACTTTTGTAGAAAAAAAATGAAAGTATTATTGATATGAACAAAATAAATAATTTTATCTTGGGCAAGACTAACCCCAGTGCCCAAGTTCTTCACTACACATTGAGACAGAGAGAGAAAACAAGAGGCCAAAACAGACACAAAGAGTGGGACGAGGGGACTGAGAGGCAGGCAGAAACATGCTCTCTATACGTTTGTCCAATTTTGATAGTCAGGGAATAGGCCAGTTACTAAAAGGCTCTATCCTCCCACTCTCAGACCAGAAGGGAGAAAGAACAGAGTATAGGATACATTTACCTGTCTGTATATGTTGCTGTTTCTTAGACTGCAAGGGACCTTTTCAGAACCCAATGGGCAAGCAGAGAACAAGTGCAAATAAGTGAATCATAAAAAGGAGGCTTCTGGCCAGGCGCAGTGTCTCATGCCTGTAATCCCAGCACTTTGGGAGGCTGAGGCAGGTGGATCATTTGAGGTCAAGAGTTTGAGAGCAGCCTGGGCAGCATGGCAAAACCTTGACTGCAAAAATATACAAAAATTAACCGAGTGTGGTGGTGCATGCCTGTGGTCCCAGCTACTCAGTAGGCTGAGGTGGGAGGATCCCTTGATCCCAGGAAGTGGAGGCTGTACTCCAGCCTGGGCGACAGAGTGAGATCCTGTCTCAGAAAAAAATAAAAAAGGGAGGCTTGGCAGCCTTGTGCTGGGGCTGAGCACAGAGCCCTTCATTCCTCTCTAGCCAGGACCCTTCAAGGTTGATTGGCACATGGGACAGACCCAAGCCCTAAAATTTCCACAGCCAGCCAGAGGGCAGGCTTCTGACTCCACAGCTATACCTTATACTCATTTCAGGTGCTCTTCCTGGGAAATTAGGTTCACTTTTTAGATAAATCTTAGAAATTCAGCTAACAAAAGTGTCCTCTTTGCCAGTGGGGACTTCTCTGAATGCCCTTTTCAGCTCGGCTCCTCTGAAGCTATGCTCCTACCTTGTTCCATGTGGAAAGGCTCTTCCATTTTGCAGAGAACATGCACACTGGACTTTGCACAGGTGAACTTCATGGGCTCATCTGAGGTCTATTGGGTTGACTCATGAACCTTCTGTGTCCAAGAGCATTATGGTCAAAGACATTCAGAATTGGCAGCCTGGGGAATCCAGTTGCCACTTCGCCTGACGCCTTCATCAGGGTCCTTATTAAGGCTGAGGCACTATGGGACTGCCTACAATGCCCTGCTGTGACCACAGTGGCATTCTCTCATATAGACAAATTCTACTCATGAATTCTTTTGACTTTTTTCTGATTTTCAATAAGAAAATGCTGTGGCCCCATGGACTATCGAAGCCTCTAGGGGCAGAAAACCCTGGATTCACCCTCGGGCTCGGGCTCTGGCTCGGGCTCTGGCTCTGGCTCTCCTAGGTTGGGAGACAAAGGGAAGCTGCCTGATTCTTATAGCATCAATGCCATAATTTCAAAAGGAAATTATTGGTTTTATCTAAAGAGATTGTTGTCATGAGGATGTGAGGTACTATATGTAGAAGGACTGCATTGCACAACTTCGCTCTCTAATCTTCAGACTATTTGCTCATATTTTGACATATTTAATTCTGGATTCTTCAGCATGCCAATTTCTCCTGTCTGAGGCTGGATTTTTCATCTTAAAAAAGGTGATGAAAGTCATGTATGTCATAGTGATTAATGTAAAAATAAATCCAAATCATGCTATATAAACTATACAGAAGTGAAAACAAGTGTCATTGTTATCAGAATTTGATTATTGATTTATTTTTCACAATCTCTTCATGATTACCTAGTCATCTTCTGAACCTATATAAAATAGTTACGAAGACGTAAAGTTGCCCTATTTCCCACCTTGAGTTTTAGCAAGAAAAAAGAAATTGAGGCTTGGAGACTCCAACTTTTAAGAGAAAAGTCTGATATTTTCTAGTTTTCTTAGATGAGATGCAACAAGGTCAGCCTTTAAAAATTAAAGCTTTTCCTCTGGCTTCTTCACAGTGGAGAAACTATAATGAAATCTGACTAAATTGCTTTTTAATTGGCAAAGCAATAAATCAGTGAAAATGTATTCTTTCTGTATTTCAGGACGACTCTATTGGATCTGGAAATAAATCACTTCATGTGGTATTGTTTCATCTTTATTGGTTCTTCTTTTTCACAAATTTATAGAAGTACCAACACTTAAGGGTGAAGAAAAATATAAAGTCACATATGACTCCTGGCATAATGATTTGCCTTTTGGATCAGGTGAGAAAATTATTGAAATTTTTAATTCAATCTAGGAATGAAGCATTTTGGAAGTGTTTTTCAATATCCTAAGATTATTACAGGAACTTATGGTACTTTAGTGATAGTTAAGTGCCTGAAAGGTCCAATCAAGGATTATGGACAGATTTGGTCTGTGCTTGGATTAAGAGACACAAAAATGATGATGGCAAGATGATGTCCTAATTATTCTGTACATTTACAGAGCATGTTCTATGTTAGAAAGCACCTTCTCATTCATTGTCTAATCTGATTTTTCTAACAACCCTGGGAGGTAGACAGGAAAAAGATCTTCATTCTCTTTTCACTCTATTTTTTTTTTTTTTTTTTTTTTTTTGAGATGGAGTCTTGCTCTGTTGCCCAGGCTGGAGTGCAGTGGCACAATCTTGGCTCACTGCAACCTCCGCCCCCCGGGTCCTGGTGATTCTTCTGCCTCAGCCTCCTGAGTAGCTAGGATTATAGCCACTCACCACCACACTTGGCTAATTTTTTTTTTTTTGTATTTTTATTAGAAATGGGGTTTAGCCATGTTGGCCAGGCTGGTCTTGAACGCCTGACCTCTGGTGATCCACCTGCCTCGGCCTCCCAAGGTGCTAGGATTACAGACTTGAGCCACCATGCCTGGCCTCTTACTCTATTTTTTCTGGAAACTGAGGCACAAACAGTTTTAATGACTTAAGTCATTGGCACAATTGAGATTGAAATTAGGCTCTGTCTGATGTCAAAGCCTAAGACAGAAAACTATTACCAAGTTAATAGACTATTCCAAAATGGATGATAATATCAACTTTAAAAGAGTCACGGAGAAGAAGATCATAACAAATGGTCAGAATGCCAGTTTGAACATCAAGCAAAAACAAACAGTTTGGTCCAGCACAAAACACTTCAAGAAAAGTTTGGTTGGGAAGCAGAAACACAACAGTCAGTCATTAAAGCATAGACTTTGCAAGACAACTGCAGAGACTGGCTCGGACACTTACTGCCCAAAGCGATGCTTTGGGCACATCACTTAACTCCTCTGTGATAAACAAAGGATAGTGACTCCTACCTTATCTGTAAAAAGAGGAAAGCAATTTCTCCCTCATGGAGCTGCCGCGAGGATTATAGGTGATAATGTGCGGATGTGTTTGGGACAAGAAGCATTCGCACAAAGTAAGCCGGGATGAGCCGTCTCTTCTCAGCACATAACGGCGGGCGTGTGAAGCCCTTGGCCCAGTCTGCGGGCCCTGCTTCTCAATGTATTCAAGTGACAGAGGGCAGTGGTATCTGCCTACACAAGGGAGAGAATTATAGACTCCAGAGCCTGAGACATCTTACAGGGAATATGGAGAATCCAAATGGCATGTTCAGTTTGTGCTGCATGGTGGAGGTCTTGGTACCAGAGCCAGGAATTTGGGCTCTACTCCGCAGGCAGCAGCAAACCACAGAAGGGGTTGCAGTAAGTGGGTGGCACTCTCCAAGCTGTTCTTCAAAAACATCCATCAGACAGCCACTGTCAGAGGTAGGGGGACAGGTCAGAAACTTGTTTTAGGACTCCACCCTTAGGAAGAGAAGAAGAAGTTAACCATAAAAGAATTACCATTCTCAGGGCAACTAGTGGCCACGGGCCACTCAAGGGCTGGACATATCTCACTTTTAAAATTTTATTTATTTTCTGAAATTTGCAACTCGGCGCATCCGACTGGGTGCTATACACAGTCGTCTGCAGCTTCACACAAGTTTGTGGTTGCTTTTAAATACCAACTTTCAACATTTGCTCTTGTCCTTTGTGCTCATCTCCAGGTGATTAAAATCCTATCTGTTTTTTTCAGGACTCGAACATCAATACCTTATCAACGCCGCTCTCTGCTGGCGTCCCTGGCTCTTCATTGACCTTGTCTTCCTTTTGTGCCTGAAATGCTTTCATGATGGACTGGATCTTCTCTCACCCCTGAGCACTCTGCCTTTTATCCTGAAATCCATGCCGTTAGCCATTTTTTCCACTCCCTTAGCTCAAGACCTGTCTTTTTGTATCCTGTTTGGCTTTCTCGCTATTCCTTGATTTCTTTTCACTCCTCTGTATTCATGCTGACCTTTTTTTTTTTTTCTTGCTTATTTATTGCTTGATGGCATTCATCACCTCTGGGTATAGAATCATTTATCCACTATGTCTCCTTTCTTCCCGCTTGAACTTCACTCAATGTTACCTTTATTTCCCCCTGATTCTACTCTGCTGTAATCTGACTTTCCATTATTATTCTTATCAGCAGTCTGTTATTTATAGAGCGGAGAAATAAGATAAGCTCCTTCTAATATAGATGGGGCACAGGCAATGTAGCTGGGAATAAGAAATGTAAAAAGGAAGGCAGAGCTGCAAAAAGCAGAGCTCCAGGGGCATTGCTGATGGCTGGATGAAAAGGGAACTGCAGAAAGGATTTAGGGTAGAAAAGTGAGATAGCATTGGGAGATATGCCTAATGCTAGATGATGAGTTAGTGGGTGCAGTGCACCAGCATGGCACATGGATACATATGTAACTAACCTGCACAATGTGCACATGTACCCTAAAACTTAAAGTATAATAAAAAAAAAAAAAAAGAAAAGTGAGATCGCAGCAAAGGTAGTTATCTTCCAGGAAAGGCGAAGAGAGAACAGTTGCTGATCATCTGCTTTTTGCTGAGTACTGTGTTAAATCCAGTGAATGCACCTTCTCCTTTAATCTGCACTCTAAACTATGAGGTAGTATTAGTCCTTACTTTATAGGTGAAGAAACTGAGGCTTACAGGGGTTATTTTCCAAGATAATGCAGATACTCTGGAGCAGAGCCTGCACACAATCCCAAATTGTTTAAAGATGGAAAACACTCGTAGATGGGTTACTTGGCTGTATCTCAAAAGTGCTCAGAGTTTGTGTCTTTGAATTCAGTTTTCCTGGGTCTGAGACTCTATTGAAAGAGAATATTCTGAGATCCGGATAAAGATTTAGGCACACACTGCTCATGGTATTCCTACTTGACACTATTATCAGCCGTATGTCTAATAAAAGGGAAATGACAAATTAAATAATAGCATACCCACAAAGAGACATTCTCAAAAAACACTCCAAGTGACATTTTAGTGATTGTAATAAAAATGGAAAACTCCTCATGTAAGAGAAGTATAAAAAATGAACATCCAGAAGTATGTGCAATTGAAAAATATAAAATTATGCAAATTAAATATTTGTATTTTTATCTCATTTTCTTTTTTAAGATATAGTATATAAGATATTATCTCTTATTTTATAGGAACTTGGAAAAGATTTCAAAATAAAAAGGTGAAGAAAAATGATAGCCCTGAACTTTCTGCTGCTTAGCTTTTTTTATCTTCATACTATGAGATAGACAAATGTTTGTATATATACTTATTTGATTTCCTTGTTCTCACTTTAAACATTTTGAACAAGACATACAAAAGAGAAAATAAAGGAAACAAAAAGCTCGTAATTTTGCCAACTAGAAATGACCACCACTAATATTTTAGAGTGTTTCTTTCAGCTTTTCATTGCATTATATTTTCATGGTTGAAATCAGGCTCCGTATACCGTTATTTTAACAACAACATAAAATGTCAACACAAGATTAGTTATAGGAGATACGTTATCTAAAAACACTTGTGATTACCTTCAATAATTACTATTGCCAATGTATTTATCTGTATCACCCACACCCACTAGACTATAAAGTTCCTCATACAGGTATCATATATATTTTGCTCACAGATATAGTCTTAAAGTCTAGAATAATACCTGGCATTTGCAGGCACTCAGAACATGCAGTGAACAAGTGAGTGATACTGGAGAATTTTTTCCTGTCTGCTTTATTTACCTGATTTTTAAAAATGACTTTAATTAATTCAAAGGTGTTTTAGAGTTGCAGAAAATAATATTTTCATTCCCTTGATTATAAAAATGGCCATATGTAGCTCAATGATACCTGCTTTATTTGGTGAGAGAGAAAAGCAAAAATAAAACATAATTTGTCTGACAATTTTTCTGGCAGTGTGTGTCAAACATTTGGTCATAGTTAAATAGAGGAAACAAGCAATATCAATAATGGTTTTAAGTGATATGAAACACATCAAGAGTAAAGCTTGCCTATTAAGAAGGACAGTTGTAAATACTACCAAAAGACAAAAGTAAAACAGGGCCAAGTTTCTTCCCCATGGACAGAGTACTCTGAAAAACATATGGCCTTTATTATTATAGAATTTGGGGTACAAACGAAGAAAGAGAAGACCTAAAAGTTTTTGAAAACCCCAAGTTTTCTATTATAATTTTTCTAGTTTGTATTTGTCTCTCCACCAATTGAAACATATCATTAAGTGATTTTTTGAGGTAATTTAACATATATATGTTAGTATTTGCATATTATTTACTTTTAACTTATTTTCAGATATAAATGACAACTTGGCTGGTATAACATTCTTTGACTACTTTATATTTTTCTTCTGATTTTGAAGTATTCTTCCTTTATCTTTGAACATTTAGTGATACACAGAAGTCTGATAATAACTCTATTATTTCTAGACGTAGCTATTTATTAACAGTTTTTTTGTTTTTTTTTTTTTGAGACGGAGTCTCACTCTGTTGCCCAGGCTAAAGTGCAGTGGCGAGATCTCAGCTCACCACAACCTCCACCTCCCGGGTTCAAGCGATTCTCCTGCCTCAGCCTACCCAGTAGCTGGGACTACAGATGCATGCCACCATGCCTGGCTAATTTTTGTATTTTTAGTAGAGACAGGGTTTCACTATATTGGCCACGCTGATCTCAAACTCAGCCTCCCAAAGTGCTGGGATTACAGGCGTAAGCCACTGTGCCTGGCCTAATAGTTTTCTTAATAGTTGTAAATTTTTTTTTCTGCTTTAAATTCCACTTCACATCTCTCTCAGAATATGCTCAGATGTATTTCCTCTTATTTGTTATTTTTTCTTTGTTTTATTTTTAATGAGTGTTTTAAAGCAATACATTAGGTCCATTTCAACCTCAGGATCTTGGAAAAACAAATATATCATTCAATTTTATTCTTTTCTAAGTATTCTTATACTATCCCAAAACAAACAAAGCAAAACCCCTCAACTTTTAGGTCAGATTTTGATTTTCTAAACTTAGAATTTTATCTCTGTCTTATTGTTATTCTCCATATACAAATAAAACACTTTCATATCCTAGCTATCATTGTTATTAGTCCATTTGCATTGCTATAAAGAAATGTCTGATGCTGGGTAATTCATGAGAAAAGAGGTTTAATTGGCAAACGGTTCTGCAGGCTGTACAGGAAGCATAGAGACATCTGCTTCCGGAGAGGCCTCGGGAGGCTGATAATCATGGCGGAAGGCAAAGGGGGAGCAGGCACCTCACATGGCAAAAGCAGGAGCAAGAGAGAGAGGGGGGAGGTGCCACACACTTTTAAATGTCCAGATCTTGTGTGAACTCAGAGCAGGAGCTCACTTATTATCAAGGGGATGGCACAGGTCATTCATGAGGGGTCACCCCCATGATCTAAACACCTCCCACCAGGTCCCCCACCTCCAGCAATGGGGATTACAATTTAACATAAGATTTAGGCGCGGATAAATATCCATACTATATCAATCATCTTTTCAATGTCATTGTATTGTCTTTTTATCTCTTATGTTTGGCATTCTTTCAGAGAATGCCTTCTTGTAGAAATCTGCTTGACTGAGCTCTAAAAGTAATAACATAAAAATAGTTCCCTTTATAAATAATTTTCAGAAGTGAGTCATCCACAAGCATTAAAGTACCCAGTCTTTTACTTTTGTCTGCAGTACATTTTTCATGACCCTCAAGTTGTTCCAATTATTGCACATTTCACATTTTATTACAATTGCCCATTTATCTGAAAATTGCATTTTACTCATTTTTGAAAGTTGGTGTCTACCCAGAACCAGCATTTGTCAAATGACACACCGTATATCTTGTCTTGGGTTCCATCCCATCCCTGATTGGCTGAAAATCACTTTCCCTTTGTGGATCAAAAGCAGGTCATCTTCTCATCTCATAGCCCAGTGAACAGAAACTAAAGAATTTTCACTTAGAAGGTCTTCTTAGATAATGTGTAATCTTCTTCTACCCTACCTCTCTTCTTATCATAGAATATACCACTGCTGGCCACATGCAAATCCCTATCCCAATCTCTAAATTAGTTGTTTCTCATTTTGCATTTTCTGAATTTGGAGGCACCAATTGGAGAACACGATAAGAAGCCAAGAAAAAGTGACAATAACTCAGTTTTCTATTACAAAACAAATTGTACCTTTGAAATCTAGGAAAAGGTGACAAAAAGTCTTCCTAGCTATTTTAAGGGGCCTGTTATAAAACAATTTTTTCTGCCTGATTTCTGAATCAGTGGATGATTGGCATAGAATCCAGGCATATTGAGATTAAAATTCACTTCATTAATAATAAAATTGGTGGAGAACTTGGATTAAGATCTGCAGCCAAGTGGAATTACTGTTATTGTACCCTGAACTAGATGGACCTACCTTCTCATGTGGAGTAAGACAAGCTCAGGCCTTCACCTGGTGGTACTGTCTGTATGACCTAAGCCTGAAGGAGGAAGAGAGCATGTGTTTCCTACACGGAGGAGTGAATAAGGGGTGTCGACAGTATAACACTCCCAGAAACAGGAAAGGAGGATAAGAGCACCCACCCTAACAAATAATTGCTCCCTTTCTTTTCAGCTGGAACCACTAGAGTAGATGGGCCAACAATTGCAGATTAAATTATGTTAAATAGGATAGATGTTTGATTAAACTTTCTCTTAGATTCTGCGATTGGGTTGGTAAACTTTCAAAACTGTTAATTTTTTTTGGTGCCTTGGAGATTTTAATAAGAATTTAGAATGTTTATTATGAGATAAGCTAGCCTAGCCTACTTTTTTTACTTTTTATTCCTGTCTTTTCCAGATTTTCTACAAAGAACATATTTAGAATCAGAAAACAATAGCAATGAATAAGCAATTAACAAATCAATGTTGACTTTAAGAATAAGGCTCACTGTTAAAAAAAGTGCACTGTGCCAGCCGGGTACAGTGGCTCAGGCCTGTAATCCCAGCACTTTGGGAGGCCAAGGCAGGTGGATCATGAGGTCAAGAGATCAGGACCATCCTGGCTAACACGGTGGAACCCCGTCTCTACTAAAAATACAAAAAATTAGCCAGGCGTCGTGGCGGGCGCCTGTAGTCCCAGCTACTCTGGAGGCTAAGGCAGGAGAATGGCATGAACCCAGGAGGCAGAGCTTGCAGTGAGCTGAGATCACACCACTGCACTCCAGCCGGGTGACAGAGCGAGACTCCATCTCAAAACAAACAAAAGAAGTGCATGGTGCCTCCCTGCTCTCTAAATGCTATTTTGCATGCATTAATCTGCTCAGGCTGCTATAACAAAAACACAGGATGGGTGGTATAAACAACAGACATTTATTTTCTTACAGTTCTGGAGGCTAGAGTTCATGGTGGAGGTGCTGTCAAATTTGGTTTCCACTGAGGGCTTGCTTCTGGCCTTATTGGGAACTATGTTCTCACATGACCTTTCCTCTGTAATAGCATAAAGGAAGACAGATCTCTGGTGTCTGTTCCTTTTCTTATAAAGACGCTCAAGCTTAGGTTAGTTAGGGCCACACCTTTATGACTACATTTAACTTTAGTTCCTCTTCAAAGTTTCTATCTCCAAGTACCATCGCACTGGGGGCAAGGGCTTTGGCTTTAACATATGACTTTTGAAGGAACACACTTCAGTTCATAACACTGCAGTTCTAATTTACTATAATTTACCTTGAGATCAGTATGAAGAAAAAGTTTGATCAAGTAAGGATTCTGCCCAGTATTGTGTAAGTGAGCATAAATTACCCCAAACATAATTTGAATTAATGTTTCTCTTGAGTGCATAAATACCATGACCAAAACCCAATTTGTTCAAAGAGTCAGATACATGGTGGAGAAAATCCTGTGTCCTTCACCAGCTCTGCTCTTCAGAGCAAAAGAATCAGGTTGTCTATACCACCAATGACTGGTGACTATCACTATCAAATATGTCACTAACTTGCATTTAAGTTTGACAAGTATTTTTCAATTAGCTAGGGGCAAACAGTTGCTATAGCACACATAAAAATAGATAAGACATCTTAAAGACTTGAAGACATGATATTGTGGAGCTATAACATTTCTGTAATCAATTTTAACAAAAGCAACTATTATATGTGATACAATAAGGAGTACATGAAGTATTTGGGGAGTTTAGGAATGGTAATTAATTGAGCATCTGGTACCATGATGGTAGGCACTCAATATTTGTACACTGACTAAACAAGGAAGGAGTAAATGGATGATTCAAAAGACAGTAGAATGCAATTTTTAGGGACATGGTCTCTGGAGTTTCACACCTATAAACATCATGACTTCTAAGGAAGCTAGACTTCTGCAATCCCCTTGGACAAAATATTATGTGTACAGACAGGTAGAGAAAAGACCCCTTTCCCAACCACCAACCAAGATGGACTTAACACGACGTTTGTTTTTTTTTAAACTTTTACCTTAAGCTCAAGGGTACATGTACAGGTTTATTCCATAGGTGAACTTTTGTCATGGGAGTTTGTTGTACAGATTATTTCATCATCCAGGTATTAAGCCTAGTCCCCATTAGTTATTTTTCCTGTTCCTCTCCCTCCTCCTACCCTCCACCTTTATGATAGGCCCCACAGTGTGTTGTTTCCCTCTATGTGTCCTTATCATTTAGCTCCAAATTACAAGTGAAAATGTGTGGTATTTGGTTTTCTGATCCTGCATTAATTTGCTAAGAATAATGGACTCCAACTCCATCCACATCCCTGCAAAAGACATGATTTCATTCCTTTTTGTGGCTGCATAGTATCCCATGGTGTATATGTATGATATTTTCATTATACAGTCTATCATTGATAGGCATTTAGGTTGATTACATGTCTTTGCTATTGTGAATAGTGCTACAATGAATATATGTGTGCATGTGTCTTTATAATAGAAAGATTTGTATTCCTTTGTATATACACAGTCATGAGATTGCTGGGTCGAATGTTCCATGTTTAGGTCTTTGAGGAATCTCCACACTGTTTTTCACAATGGTTGAACTAATTTACACTCCCAGCAGCAGTATATGAGCATTCCTTTTTCTCCACAACCTTGCCAGCATCTGTTATTTCTTGACTTTTTATTAATAGCCATTCTGACTGGTGTGAGATGGTATCTCATTGTGGTTTTGATTTGCATTTCCCTAATGACCAGTGATGAGCTTTTTTTCATATAATTGTTGGCCACATGTATGTCTTCTTTTGCAAAGTGTCTGTTCATGTCCTTTGCCCACTTTTTAATGGGATTTTTTTAAAAATTGTGAATTTGTTTAAGTTTCTTACAGATGTTGGTATTAGAACTTTCTTGAATGCATAGTTTGCAAAAATTTTCTCCCATTCTATGGGTTGTCTGTTTACTCTCTTGATAGTTTCCTTGGCTGTTCAGAAGCTCTTTAGTTTTATTAGATCTCATTTGTCAATTTTTGCTTTTGTCGTGATTGCTTTTGGCATCTTCATCATCATGAAATCTTTGCCCTTGCCTGTGTCTTCAATGGTAGTTCCTAGGTTGTCTTCCAGGGTTTTTATAGTTTTGGGTTTTACATGTAAGTCTTTAATCCTTCTTGAGTGGATCAGCACTTTCTATCCATGAGCATGGAATATTTTGCCGTTTGTTTGTGTCATCTCTGATTTTTTGAGCAGTGGTTTGTAGTTCTTCTTGTAAAGAGCTGTGACACAATGCCTCTTTGGAGGTGAAAGGGCCAGGGAAGGAATTAATAATTTTGTTTTCAGTTACTGCTGAATGATCCAGAGGAGGTAATGAGAAATTGGTTGGAAATACGTATCTGTAGCTGAGAAGAGAGTTTTAAAGTTGTAGATTAATGTAATAATAAACACATTGAGGGTAGATAATATGGTCAAATGAGAGAGAAGAATGTGGGAGAGAGAGAGAGAATGAACAGACTAATCTGGGAACATCATGAGAATGAACAAATAAAGAAATAAGTAAACTTGACGGAGATTGAGAAGAAATAATTTCAAATGTATAAGGAGAAGTAGACAAAAGCAGTATCATTAATGCCCCACAAAAGGAATAGCTTTTGAAGGAACTTGTAAAACTGGAAAATAGCTGGCTGAGGCAATTGCTAAAGGATGAAAAAACCTACTGAGGAAAAGTTTCTACAGAATGGATGGGGAAAAAAAAGTCTCATACAAGAGTTTAAAACTGTGTCAGGGGAAGCTGAGGCCATAAATTTATAATGCTTTTCTAAAAACTTTGTTAATTAAGGAAAGGAGCAAGAAAGGAACAAATAGCAAATTTATGACGATGAAAATAATTGCACCCGAGTATGTTGAAGCTTGGCTTTCCCATTAAAAAGCCATTTGTATTTTCTGCATTAGTATTTTCTGATACAATTTGTTGGTATTTTCTTTGAGAAAATTGTCACAAGAGTATAATGAAGGGCAAACTATGTACCCAGTCAAAATAATGAAAAATTGATGCTCTATTTGTAGACTCGATGATTCAGTGAATTCGGTACTCATCAACACAATTACCTGCCAGCAGTTTGACAAATCCACAAAAGGCTCATTTCTTAACAGAGATAAGCCCTTTCCTGTTTTTAATGCATTATTTTTAAAATTTTATTTCCACATTTTCTGCTATGGTCCAATAAGGAGAGTTGGTGCATGTATGGCACAGGGTGACTTCTCTTGGTCTCTCTTTTGAACCAAATTATTTTGAACCATAAAGATTAGAGCTCCATTTTATTTTACTTCCATTTTATTTTAGGGATGAACAAAGAAAATGAGTTTTGTTTGATAGAGAGTAAGGAGATAAGAAACAAACAGAAACAGCCACATTGAGGAGGGATATTAGCCATTTTATTGATCTCTTTTTACATGAGTCTTAGTAGATGTAGCAGAACGATAAAATTGCAGAGTGTGCACCAGAATTTGGAACTCAGAAGTGGAATGATTATGGCTACTGTTTACTGAGCATGTACACTGTAACAGGTGTTTTCCACGCATTCCTTGTCACTGAATATTCTCAGCACCACCATTTTCTTCATTTTGTGGTGAAGTTTAAGTAAAATAATCAAGAAATGAAAGTAGTCATAGAAGAATTAGGATTTGAGGTTTCATTTGTAAAAAACTAATGCCTGTTTATTACATCTTGCTTTTTCTCCAGAAAGGAAACACTTTTTAAAGGGTTTATGGATCATTTAAGCATTTTCCAAAACAGTTGTGGAAATAATTTGTGTTGTGTTAACAAATTTTCCAGGGTATTTTTAGGAGGAGCCATGGAAGAGTTTTATAAAAATAAGAAGTTTCATTATAATTTAAAACATACCTTTAAGCCACAAGGAAAATACTTTCTCAGACCCTTAAGAACTATACAGGACCTATTTCTGAATTGAATATAATAGTATTCTATTATTTTTGTTCATTTAGTTTTGTGATTGCCAAACTTTTTAGCATCTTATATTCAGAAATTGAAAATTCTCAGCAAGTTGTATAAAATAATATTTTATTATCACTCTATTGAAAAGTGGGCAGTGTCCTAACTGATGGTGGCTTTCACATATTGGGAATCTTGTTTAGATGGTATACTTGGTTGGCAAAGAAAAATTAATTTCTTAGCACTCCATTCATATTGTAACTTTTTTCTTGAGTCTGTAGTCTAGTCATGATGTTTATTTAATCCAGTAAAATTCTCTGATTACCATAGTGTAGATTCCTGGAGTTACCCATAACTGCATCTGTCTCAGATCCCAACTCCAGCCTCTCAGGGCCACCTGCACCATGATGCCTGATGGATTGCATGGCAAGTGGGTAATAGATATTCAATAAATGTCTCTGAATAGAAGTGAATTGAAACAATGTAATGTTTAAAGAGCCAACTACGTATAAAAATCCATCCAACAAATAGGTGGCCTTGATGTTAATTTCTGGTTCACTATTTAGAAACACTATTTGTTTTACATCTTTGTCTATGATTTCATGTTTTGCAGTTTCCTTTTACATTTTATTTTTTCCTTTTTAAATTTCTTCCTTCCTTCCTTTTTTCATCTCTTCATTTCACCCTTATGTAATGTAAAATCTTCTACCTTTTATTGAACACCCATTCTATTCATGTTTTCTAATTATCATTATATTTTTGAAATACAGGAATTTCCCACCCTCAATGATGAAGGTAACTTGCTTAAAAATTTAAGTAGCTTTGTCAATATCACACAGCTCATGAGAAGCAGAGTCATGCAAATCTTGGTTCAAATTTGTATTTCCATAGATATAAAACAGCATAAAATTTGCTTCTTCCTTATGAGGCTGGCTAAATTGTGAACTCTGCCAATGTGGGCTCTTGAAGCTTCCATGTGACTTCAGGCCATTCTTTCTTTCTTTTTCTATTTAGTTGAGTGACACCGCTAGGCTATAGATTGAAAATTTCCCTCTGGCTCATTAGGTATGAAAAAGTTTAAGAAGAGATCATGGATGTTTTTATTCCCCTTGGCAAAATACATCAATGCAAACATTATCCTGTAGAAATACCAATGACCGGTAGTTAAATAATCAATAGGAATATTGTTTTGTCTTTTCTTCATCATCATTCTTCTATCAGACATTTCTTGGGTTGAACTGGGTTAATTCTGCAGGCCAAGTGGCAGATATGCTGAACTTTAAGTTGCTCTCTAAGTCTCTGGGATAGAAGTGGGCTTCATGAGTAATTATCTAATATTTATTATGAATAATTAATCCAATAAATATTATGCACTATACTTTTTTTTGTTTTGTTTTTTAGACAGAGTCTCGCTCTGTTGCCCAGGTTGGAGTGCAGTGGTCCAATCTCGGCTCACTGCAATCTCCACCTCCTGGGTTCAAGCGATTCTCCAGCCTCAGCCTCCTGAGTATCTGAGACTACAGGCGCACATGACCATGCCCAGCTAATTTTTTTTTTTTTTGGTATAATTATTAGAGACTGGGTTTCACTGCATTAGCCAGGATGGTCTCAGTCTCCTGACCTCATGATTTGCCCACCTCGGCCTCCCCAGGTGCTGGGATTATAGGCATGAGCCACCGCACCCAGCCCTGCACTGTACAATTTTTGTCTTTTTTTCATTTGATGCCACTAACCCTTTATGGAAGAAGATTAAGCTTTGCCAAGTAATATGTAAATGTATATGTAAAATTTCTGATTCCAATGCCCTCAACTATTTCAATGGTTTTATATGCCTCTAAATCTCTGTATTGTATAATATTTTGTTCAAAATTTATTGAGTGGTATTTTCCTAATACAAATCTGATTACTTGAATATATGGTGTCAGAAATAGGGAGTTTCCTAAGATAATATTTCTTTCTGAGATTTTGGCCTAGTGGATGGCAAGGAAAAGGATGTTATAGGGTGGAAAGACAGTAAGCATGTTACATTGTGACTAAACAATTTGTGTTTCTAAGGAAGAAGTGGTAACACACAATGTTAGTTATATGTGCTGGTAGTTATTGACTCTACCAAGGTATGTAAGAGAGAAATTAATTCAGGAAAGAATCAACAGGTTTTCAAGCATAAACGAAAAGGAATGGTTTAGGCATCTCAGACTTTAAATTGGAAGAAAAGCCAACTTCTAGGCTTAAACCGTAGGGAAGGACATTGAAAAAGACTTTGGGAAGCAAAGGCCAATCAGAATCCAGTATTGCAATAGAGATTGGATTAAGGGTATAGCCTTCTCATTCAATCTTGATAGCTTAAAGTTGCCATTAAGCTAAGAGGAAAAGTGAGAGGTGGGGGAATAGAGCTGTGGGTAGAGTAAGAAAGGTAAAGGCACAAAGAAAAACTATGCCCCGGGAAATAATCTAGGTGTGGTTCCCAACATGTGGAGCCAACTGGAAGCCAATAGATCAGAAGCCTAGTAAGGTATCAAAGGAAAAGTGTTTCTGAAGATAATCCTCTTGACTAGTTGAGACCAAAAGAAACTTTTAGACCTTGGTTTATCATCCAAGGGATCCCTCAAGATAACCCATGTCTTTATTCAATGTGTCCAAGAGAGCTTTCAAAAAGGAAGCAGGCAGAGCCAGAGGAAAGAAAGCATTACAGCCTAGGATGCCCCTCTCCCACCTAGAGGTCAGAAGCAGTGCCTAGCTGAGTGAATATCTCACTCCCAGGACAACCAGTCTTCAATGCATGCCCAGCAAGATTCTATAACTGTGACTGACCTCTGTCTTCTGTGGATCTTTCAGTCTTCTGTTATTTGAAGGAAATATTTTACTGCGGTCACCCTAAACCCATTTAATCTTGTATCTGAGCTATATGTGTTAGTGGGTGTGAGCAGTTAACTTATATTTTTAGTTCATACGTTGCTGGATGCAGGGCAGCCACACCCCAGTCTGATGACAAGGACTACGCTTAAATAAAAAAAATCCTTAACTTTAAACTAAACACAGTGACTGAAGGGAATGTTTGATTTTCTTCACTGGGGAAGAGCTGAGTGTATTCTGTAATTAGAGGAAATATGTTTTGGTTGCTCCCATGGTACTCACCGCCTGATAATAACACCCTTGTATAATCTCCTTCCCTGGCAGGTTGGCAGGACCTGTGACTTGATTCTAGGCAACAGACCAATAGTAATCACCAACCACCAATAGCAAAGGTGATGAAATGTTTCTCCTGTGATTATACTAAATGTGAATAGTGATGGGACGTTGCTTTCGTGATTATGTTACATTACATAAAACCGTCTGCTAGCAGACCCACTCTAAAGTCTCTCTCTGTCCATTGCTGGCTTTGAAAAAGCAAGTTTTTGCGAATCCTACAGCCACACGAAATAAATTCTACTACTAGTGTCCTGAGAGAGAACTAGGAAATGCTCCCACAACCCCTCAACTTGAGCTTGCAGACAAAAATCCAGCCGTGGCCCATGCTTGATTGTAGGTTTGTGAGACTCCTAGTGAATGACCCAGCTAATCCTTGGTTGAATTTCTGATCCTCAGAAAATGTGGTTTTAAAGATCTAAGTATGTTTTAATTTATTATGCATTACAGTAGTCTCCCCTTATCTGTGGAGTCTATGTTCCAAGACTCCCAGTGGATGCCTGAAACCATGAATGGTACACCCTATATATTGTTAGCCTTTAATGCCCTTTTTATCTTAACTGAGAACTGCAGCTGTAACTATTGCAGTTTGATGTATGACAGCAAAACTACCATAAATTAATTTTTCCCTCTTCAGAATTTCAGAGTTAGAAGATCTGTTTTTACCTTAGACCTTGACAACTTCAGCATGTGATTTTTTTCTTTCCTTATTAAGACAAGAACTTTCACCTTTTCAATTAAAGAAAGCACTTTACGGCTGCTCTTTGGCATATTACAATTGCCAATATTGCTATTTTTGCACTTTGGGGTCGTTATTAAGTAAAATAAGGTTCACTTGAACACAAGGACTGATACTTCCACAGATGATCTGATAACTGAGGTCGCTGCAAAGACACTAATGGATGGGTAGCAAATACAGCATAAATACGCAGAATAAAGGGATGATTCTCCTCCAACGCAGGTTGGAATGGGACAGTGTGGGCTTTCAGCACATTCATAGGAACGGTGTGCAATTTAAAACTTAGGAATTATTTCTGGGATTTTGCATTTAATATTTTCAGGCTATGGTTGAGCATAGATAACTGAAACCATGGAAAGCAAAACCACAGGTAAGGGAGGACTACTGTAATAGAAGCCTAATACAGATATGCTTGGATATGTGATGACCAGAAGGATACACAGTGAAAAAGATTGTTTGCAGACCACCAGAAATTATTTGGCTCTTTCCCCATGGTTTAGAATCGCTATTAGGAAAATATCACAGTAAGGAACATATTCCCCTACCCTTTTATCAAGGTAGGGCCATATGACCAGCTCTGGTTAATGTATACTGGAATAATATGTACCACTTCTGAGTGAAGGTTTCTATGTGCCCTGCATGCATGACACATCGTCTCTTTCTATTGGATCATATATACTGAAGATAGTCGAAGCCCATGAAGAAAGAGGCTTGGATCCTTAAAAAATTGCATGGGACAGAAGACCTTCCCCTCCCATGTTTTCATCAATGATTTAAGCTGTAAAATGAAAGAAGGATAAACTCGTACTGTGTTAATTCATCAACACTTGGGATTTTTCATAATATAACTTCACCTATTCTGACTAACACCATAAAAGCAAAGTATTTTTATTGTCATTTTATTTTAATAAAGACCATTTCTTGAATTAATTTTATAATATTTAAATGACAAATGTTAGGTATATATACCAGTGCATTTTATTTCTGAAGTGAAACAAAAAGAAAACTAGCATTGCTTCCAACTAAGTTTATGAATACCTCAATGAAACAAATCAATCAAGCAAGTCATTTTTATATCAGTTTTCTAGAACTATATATGCATATTCCAAGATGAGAGTAATATATCCATTGGCTAATCACAATATGCAATTGAAATTGTGTAAAGATCATGGACTTTGACAAGTTAGAGATTTGAACTTAAAGCCTGGTTTCAAAAAGTACAAGGTGTTTGATCTTGGCAAAGTAATTTAACCGGTTTCTCATTTTTGTCATCTTGTAAATGTGCATAGTATTTATAATATAAAACCGTTAGGAAAACGTAGTGATGAAAAATATCAAGCAAGCACAGTTCTTGTCACTTAGTAGGTGGTCAAACACTGCTAGATCTCTTCTCTTTCCCCCTTTATCTTTGTGTATCATAGGATGTCAAACAGATAATGAATAGCATCAATTATAGCTATGACATCTCCAGGACGTTACTAATGAGAGTCATACATCAAAACATTAGGCTTATGTGTTATGCAACTATTTGCTGAAGCTGTTCCTACTTTAATTTTTAAGACAGTAACTTCAGAGCTTTCTAACATAACAAAATCTATATTTACTTTGAAAGCTATGCAGTGCTTTGAGTATAAAAGCAAACTGACAAAACTGTACATTTGGAATCACTACATCTTTACAAAATCCTCCAAAGCCTTTTATGTCCACATATTTCTAACTAAAAAGTAAAAATTCTGTGAAGTTTAGTAACAGCTGTGTGTGTGTGTCCGTGTGTGTGTGCGCGCACACGCACACATGTATGTATTTGGAACTCGAGAACTAAAGAAGGACTGAAGACACGTTTGTGGTGTGGCAACCTTGGAATTTAGTGAACAATATTTTGCTTCTTACTCACTTTCCTTGTACACATCAGAGCCATTCACCTTTATTCTTTTAATTTTGCTCTCTCCTCTTTTCACTACCAGTGTCCCTCCTCTTATCTCACCCATTCTTCAGAACCCAGCTTAGGTTTCTCCTGTGCTAGAAGCCTCTCCTTAAGATTTGTCTCTTCATTAGCTGATTTGGGTCCTATTTGTTTTTATAGCAGAGGTCACAACTGGCCCAGAAAATGGCACTTGGATTCTGAGGATCCAAGTCCATAGCAGAAAATTCCAATGCTACAGGAGATATTGGTGGGGAGAGGTGATCTAAAATATCAAGGGAAGTGTCTACACACACCAGTTCTGGAGGGGTCAAATGTGAGTTTGAACTTGAAATCCCAAGAGATGACACCATAATAGGTGGAGAAACATGCAGTATCTTTATGTAAGGCTAGATGATGAAAAGTTTCCAAGAGGGCAAATTTCCCCAGACTGTTCTACAGAGGATATCTTACCTTTGTGATCATAAGACTTTATTGTTTATATTCATAGATTAATTAGGATGTCAGCCTACAGGGCCTGAAGTACTATGTCTTGGTAGGTAAATAACAGTGTTCTAGATATGGCTTCACAATTTATTAACTGCATTATCTTAGCTATGGTGCTGAACTGCTCCTGAGTCTTGGTTTAATAAAATACAGGAGGTCAAGTAATGCCCATCTCATGGAAGGATTGGAAATTCAATGAGATAATGCATGGAAAAAATGTGTGCAAATTCGAAGCCTGGAGATATACTAAAGAATGTTTTTATCTTTGGATCTGAGTCCATTTGGTGTTCCTATAACAGAACATCTGAGGCTGGATAATTTATAAAGAAAGAGGTTTATTTGGTTCATGATTTTGGTGACTGAAAGTCCAAGAGCATGGCATTAGCATCTGCTTGGCTTCTAGAGACAGCGTTTTTCTGTGTCACAATGTGGTGAACAGGCAGAAAGAAAAGTAGGTGGGAGCAAAGTGGCCAAACATGAGACGCAACCTCAATTTGCAACAACACACTTTCACCAGGACTAATCCATTCCTCAGAAAACTAATCCAATCTCATAAAAAGACAGTAATCTCTCTTTATGACCTAATCATCTCTGTAGAGTATCACCTCCCAACATTGCCACAATGGAAATTAAGATTCCTGCATGAGCTTTGGTGGGGAACACTCAAACCATAGCACTGTGCGATAAAATTGAGCACTCATTGAATGCTATTTATTAACTCCACTATAGACATAAAATACTCATTTTTTAACTTATAGTGAAAGCTTTTTGATGGGAGAAATCCAAATATCATTATTACTAAGTCATGCTTTAAAGTATAGGTCTAAGAGTACATTTGATATTCAACACGTTTATTTAGTGTTCAGTGAATGATTACTCTTCTCTCTGCACAACACTTTCTAATCTTCTGCTTTCTCTTATGTTTTTTATTACAAAAAGAAATTTACATAAATGATCACTTCTCAGAATTAAATTGACAGTGTAAATGACATGATTTATTACTGCCTAAAATATCTGAATTCAAATCCTGGCTTTGCCACTCACACAATTTTTGAGTAAATTGCTTAGCTTCTCTTTATCTCTTTGTTAATTTAAAACTATTCTTTTCTCCATTACTCATCTGTAGAATGGAGGTACGAATAGTTTTCTCAGGGAGTTTTCAAATGGCCAAATGATTTAAGGTATGTGAAATACATAACACAGTGCTTTGCTTAGCACAAAATAGTTGAACAATAAATTCTTCTTCCCCTTATCTCCCTTCTGCCAATGTTGTCTCTTCCCTTGAAGGATGCGAGAGCATGGATGATCTCACTACCTGATTATTGATGGCCTGCTTTCCTGTAACCATCTCTGAATTTAAGGATTATAGATATAGAGGAGGTATGTCACAATGAGACTAGAAGGTTTTCTTTTTAGAGTTAATATATTGTTATAAAAAATAGGCTTGGTTGTCCCTGCTTGATAATTCCCACAGCATCCTCCTAGCTACAGATAAAAGGACTTTCTACTTCATAACAAGAAGAAGGTTGTTTGATGTCATTTGAAAATTTTTAAAGAAGCCTATGGAAGGAAGTCTACAAATAAAATAACAGTGGCTGACTCTCAGGAGTTTCAGAGTGAAACAATACTTTATTTCTGTTCACAGGAAACTTTACCATTCAAATAAATTCACTTTTCATACAGCAACTCCTCAATTTCAGACCGAATGTTGAAAACTGGCCGCACTAAATCAGAAAGAAAACACTTTTGAAATCATCTTTGCAAAAGTACAATTTTGACACAAAAAGAAGAGAATCAAGAAGGTGAACAAAATTAAAATGGAATTCAGTTCAAGGGAGACAAGTTCTCAGGTGGTTAGTTATTTGTGAAACTTGCAAAGTACCAATCAAAGGGGGAGACTATACCCATCAGCACATATTGTTCCATGATAATGCTGATTCACTCTTTCAAACATTTAGAGTCAAGAAATTATAGGGGCCAAGGATCATATTTTATAGAAAAGGGAGGACACAGAATTGATCGTAGCAAGCATATTTATTAGAAGTCTTTCTTCATTCCTCTCTCTTCTTTCAAATCCTCTTTCTTCTTCATGGCCTCTTTCCACACCCCACTGCATCTACAAAGCATTCCCTGACCACTAGGCCTAACCATGTTTCCTTACTCTTTGAAAATCTGTGAAGACAGATTCTCTGCTCTTTTTAGGGCTGTTTCATGTAGTAAAGTATTGGCTCTGGATGTCAGACTCCCTGGATTGAATCCCCAGCACTTGCTAATTGTAAAAAATCTTAGGTGACATTATTTAAATTGTTTTTTTTTTTAGATTCCTATTATTATTATTATTGTTATTATACTTTAAGTTTTAGGGTACATGTGCACAACCTGCAGGTTTGTTACATATGTATACATGTGCCATGTTGGTGTGCTACACCCATTAACTCGTCGTTTAGCATTAGGTATATCTCCTAATGCTATCCCTCGCGCCTCCCCCCACCCCACAACAGTCCCCAGAGTGTGATGTTCCCCTTCCTGTGTCCATGTGTTCTCATTGTTCAATTCCCACCTATGAGTGAGAACATGCGGTGTTTGGTTTTTTGTCCTTTTGCAATAGTTTGTTGAGAATGATGGTTTCCAGCTTCACCCATGTCCCTACAAAGGACATGAACTCATCAATTTTTATGGCTGCATAGTATTCCATGGTGTGTGTGTGCCACATTTTCTTAATCCAGTCTATCATTGTTGGACATTTGGGTTGGTTCCAAGTCTTTGCTATTGTGAATAGTGCCGCAATAAACATACGTGTGCATGTGTCTTTATAGCAGCATGATTTATAATCCTTTGGGTATATACCCAGTAATGGGATGGCTGGGTCAAATGGTATTTCTAGTTCTAGATCCCTGAGGAATCACCACACCAACTTCCACAATGGTTGAACTAGTTTACAGTCCCACCAACAGTGTAAAAGTGTTCCTATTTCTCCACATCCTCTCCAGCACCTGTTGTTTCCTGACTTTTTAATGATTGATTGCCATTCTAACTGGTGTGAGATGGTATCTCATTGTGGTTTTGATTTGCATTTCTCTGATGGCCAGTGATGATGAGCATTTTTTCATGTGTTTTTTGCCTGCATAAATGTCTTCTTTTGAGAAGTGTCTGTTCATATCCTTCACCCACTTTTTGATGGGGTTGTTTGTTTTTTTCTTGTAAATTTGTTTGAGTTCATTGTAGATTCTGGATATTAGCCCTTTGTCAGATGAGTAGGTTGCAAAAATTTTCTCCCATTCTGTAGGTTGCCTGTTCACTCTGATGGTAGTTTCTTTTGCTGTGCAGAAGCTCTTTAATTAGATCCCATTTGTCAATTTTGGCTTTTGTTGCCATTGCTTTTGGTGTTTTAGACATGAAGTGCTTGCCCATGCCTATGTCCTGAATAGTATTGCCTAGGTTTTCTTCTAGGGTATTTACGGTTTTAGGTCTAACATTTAAGTCTTTAATCCATCTTGAATTAATTTTTGTATAAGGTGTAAGGAAGGGATCCAGTTTCAGCTTTCTACATATGGCTAGCCATTTTCCCAGCACCATTTATTAAATAGGGAATCCTTTCCCCATTGCTTGTTTTTGTCAGTTTTGTCAAAGATCAGATAGTTGTAGATATGTGGCATTATTTCTGAGGGCTCTGTTCTGTTCCTTTGATCTATATCTCTGTTTTGGTACCAGTACCATGCTGTTTTTATTACTGTAGCCTTGTGGTATAGTTTGAAGTCAGGTAGCATGATGCCTCCAGCTTTGTTCTTTTGGCTTAGGATTGACTTGGCAATGTGGGCTCTTTTTTGGTTCCATATGAACTTTAAAGTACTTTTTTCCAATTCTGTGAAGAAAGTCATTGATAGCTTGATGGGGATGGCATTGAATTTATAAATTACCTTGGGCAGTATGGCCATTTTCACGATATTGATTCTTCCTGTCCATGAGCATGGACTTTTCTTCCATTTGTTTGTATCCTCTTTTATTTCCTTGAGCAGTGGTTTGTAGTTCTCCTTGAAGAGGTCCTTCACATCCCTTGTAAGTTGGATTCCTAGGTATTTTATTCTCTTTGAAGCAATTGTGAATGAGAGTTCACTCATGATTTGGCTTTCTGTTTGTCTGTTATTGGTGTATAAGAATGCTTGTGATTTTTGCACATTGATTTTGTATCCTGAGACTTTGCTGAAGTTGCTTATCAGCTTAAGGAGATTTTGGGCTGAGGCAATGGGGTTTTCTAGATATACAATCATGTCATCTGCAAACAGGGACAATTTGACTTCCTCTTTTCCTAATTGAATACCCTTTATTTCCTTCTCCTGCCTGATTGCTGTGGCCAGAACTTCCAACACTATGTTGAATAGGAGTGGTGAGACAGGGCATCCATGTGTTGTGCCAGTTTTCAAAGGGAATGCTTTCAGTTTTTGTCCATTCAGTGTGATATTGGCTGTGGGTTTGTCATAGACAGCTCTTATTATTTTGAAATAGGTCCCATCAATACCTAATTTATTGAGAGTTTTTAGCATGAATGGTTGTTGAATTTTTCAAAGGCCTTTTCTGTGTCTATTGAGATAATCATGTGGTTTTTGTCTTTGGTTCTGTTTATATGCTGGATTACGTTTATTGATTTTCGTATGTTGAACCAGCCTTGCATCCCAGGGATGAAGCCCACTTAATCATGGTGGATAAGCTTTTTGATGTGTTGCTGGATTCGGTTTGCCAGTATTTTATTGAGGATTTTTGCATCAGTGTTCATCAAGGATATTGGTCTAAAATTCTTTTTGGTTGTGTCTCTGCCAGGCTTTGGTATCAGGATGATGCTGGCCTCATAAAATGAATTAGGGAGGATTCCCTCTTTTTCTATTGATTGGAATAGTTTCAGAAGGAATGGTACCAGCTCCTCCATGTACCTCTGGTAGAATTTGGCTGTGAATCCATCTGGTCCTGGACTTTTTTTCATTGGTAAGCTATTAATTATTGCCTCAATTTCGGAGCCTGTTATTGGTGTATTCAGAGATTCAACTTCTTCATGGTTTAGTCTTGGGACAGTGTATGTGTCGAGGAATTTATCCATTTCTTCTAGATTTTCTAGTTTATTTGCGTAGAGGTGTTTATAGTATTCTCTGATGGTAGTTTGTATTTCTGAGGGATTGGTGGTGATATCCCCTTTGTCATTTTTTATTGAGTCTATTTGATTCTTCTCTCTTTTCTTCTTTATTAATCTTGCTAGCGGTCTATCAATTTTATTGATCTTTTCAAAAAACCAGCCCCTGGATTCATTGATTTTTTGAAGGGTTCTTGTGTGTCTCTATTTCCTTCAGTTCTGCTCTGATTTTAGTTATTTCTTGCCTTCTGCTAGCTTTTGAATGTGTTTCCTCTTGCTTCTCTAGTTCTTTTAATTGTGATGTTAGGGTGTCAATTTTAGATCTTTCCTGCTTTCTCTTGTGGGCATTTAGTGCTATAAATTTCCCTCTACACACTGCTTTGAATGTGTCCCAGAGATTCTGGTATGTTGTGTCTTTGTTCTCGTTGGTTTCAAAGAACATCTTTACTTCTGCCTTCATTTCGTTATGTACCCAGTAGTCATTCAGGAGCAGGTTGTTCAGTTTCCATGTAGTTGAGCAGTTTTGAGTGAGTTTCTTAATCCTGAGTTCTAGTATGATTGCACTGTCATCGTACATATATTTTTTCACCTATAGAATGGGAATATTGTTAGTATAATAAATTTAACTGATAAAAGTTAAATGAGTTAAGGATTGCAACACACATCAAAAAGTACCAGAAGTGTGGTTAATAGTACATGCTGCATTAGTTATTTTTAGTTAATATGACCATTCTACGTTCATTGGTTTCAGACCTAGAGCTGTGCAATCTTTCTAAAAGCAAATTTGTCTTAGCCACCTTATGCTGCAACTCCTTCAATGATTTTACTATCTTTAGAAGGAAGCCCAAACTTCTTAACATGATGTTATGGTGAGCAATGCACACCAGCCCCCCCACCCAAAAACCATTCACACCCTAACACTGGAACCTGTGAATATGTCACATTCCGTGGCAACAGGGAATACTTTACTTTGCATGTATACTATGGGTATGAAGCTTGATATTATCCTGGATTATTCAGTACAAGCAAGTGTTTCCTTAAAAGTGGATAATCTTTCCTGCCTATGGTTATGAGAGAGAGACTGATGATGGATAAGTGTCAGAGAGATGGAGGAAATGAGGCCACATACCAAGGAGTATAGGCAGTATCTAAAAGATGCAAAAGGGAAGGAAAGGGATTCTCCCACAGAGCCTCCAGAAGAGAATGTAACCCTGCAGATACCTTGCTTATTAGTCCAGGTAAATCCATGCCAAACTTCTGGTCTAATGTACTGTCAGATAATATATTTGTGTTGTTTTAAGCCATTAAGTTTATGTTAATTTGTTAGAGCAGCTGTAGGAAACCAATACACGTGATATACAAAGCCTTTGAGGTTTCATGTTTGTCTTCTTCTCAGCCTACTTTCAGGGCCCTGGAGAACAAGATGAGAGAGAAGGTCTGCGGCTAATGGCCAAGCTTGTTTGTGTATAGACAGTATTCACATGGGTCTGCTGGTGTATTTCCAGGAAAGAGACAATGTAATTATAAGGATAATGAATACATATCTGGCGCGTAACTTCTCTAAGTCTGAGTCTGCACACATGGCTGTGAGGAGGATTAAATGAGGTGATTCCCATAATAGATTTTTCCTGATTCCTGGTGCACAAAAAGAGTTTGGTCAAAGGTAGAAAGGTAGTTATGATAGGTCTTCTTCCTCGTTTCCCTATCTCCCCTTTCTTTCTGTTGAAACTTCCCAGTATAATTGGAAAAGAGTAGCAGTCAATTCTCTGGGAAGATGAAAAGGAGCAAGTTGCAAAGATTCTTGAATGCAAAGCTAAAAAAATTTACTCTATTCATTAGGCAATAGAAAAATCAGTCACTTACTTTAAGAGTAATTATTTTTTAGTTATTTATTTATAAATTAATAACTAGAAAGGCCTCACTCCGTAGTCCAGGCTTGAGTGTAGTGGCATGATCATAGCTCACTGCATCTTTGAACTCCTGGGCTCAAGTGATCCTCCCACCTTAGCCTCCAGAGTAGCTGGGACTACAGTTATGTGCCACCATACCCAGCTAAAGAGAAATTACTTTGAAGTTTCATTACGTATACTGCAAGAGCTATGTGATCTCTACATGTTTTGTTTTCTCAACTATAACATTAGAAATATATGAAGACCTGCCTACCTCATACACTTGAGTAAATTAATACAAGCAAAGTGCATGGAAAAGTATCTTAGATGGTAAAGATTCAATAAGTGGAATTTCAATATACTTATTTACTTATCCATCATCCAATATTTATTAAGTGCCTACTGGTGTCAGAAAATGTTCTAGGAGTTGAGGATATATTAGGAGAAATAAACAAACTTCATGAATCTGACAATATGGTGGTGGTATTCAAACAATGAATTTAAAAGTTTTTAAAGTGTGTGTGTGTGTTTAGCATGTTAAGTGGTGATAAATGCTCCAGAGAAAAGAAAAAAAATTTTATAAAAGGGAATCAAGAATGTCAGGGCAGGAGCAGGGCAGACAGGCTTCAAGTATAAATGGATTATTCAGGAAGTTCTTACTGGGAGAATGACATTTAACCAAGACTGAATGGAAGAGGGAGCGTGCAAGCTATGAGACTTTCAAGGGGAAGAGCATTGCAGGCAGAGAGAAGAGCTAGAGCTGAAGTTCCAGCTCTAACTAGAAGCCCACCAGACATGTCTAAGGAACGGCAAGGAAGCCAATAGGGCTGAAGTAGATGTGGCCAAAGGAGAAGAAGCCATTGAATTAGAAGGAGAGGTAAGAAAGATTTTGTAGGTACCTCATTGCCACTGTGTTAGAATTTGGGCTCTGAGTATGCTGGATGAGGAGCTGTTCATCATTGCTAAGCAGAGGAGGAGCACAGTCTGGCCTATATTTTGACAGCATCAGGCTGGATGCTGTGCTACATATCGATGCAGGAGGATGAGATCTGAACCATTGAGACAAGTTAAAAGAATTGAGTAGTATATCAAATAGTACTATAAACGTTTAAACTTCAACTACAGGTTTTAAACAAAATGTTTGTTTTGGAAATCAAAATCTGCTTTCCCCAATGAATAATTTAATACATTTTGTATAGCTGAATGTCTTTTTTTTCTCTCTCTCTTGAAATAATACAGGTAATAGATCTTTCTTATTCACAGCTCTTTGTAAATTATCTGAAATTCTGCCAGCATTTAAAGCTGGATTAAAATGCTGGCTGCCTCGTCCTCCGTTAACATTTGCTTTGTTCAGAACGTGACTACTGGATAGATGAAGGATCAGGATGATTCAGAAAAGAAATGTATAGCATTTGCAAAGGACTTGAATGATAAATTACTGAGCATTCCCCAAATGCCAGCATCACATCACAGATCTCCTTACCTAGACCAAGGCAGCCTCCAGGGTTAATCATTTCTTCTTTTGGTGTCTGGGTAGTAGAGTCTGAAATACAGAAATATCCAAGACATCTGTGGCTCTTGAGACCTTCTTTTAGCTGTGAAGTTTAGGGAAGAAGAGATGTGTTACTCTGACTCACTCCATCATTGATGGCAACACCAAAGAAAGTACTTATCATTTCTCTTGTTAAATGTAAACATTTAAACATTAAGCATTTATTGAGACTCTGTTATACATTAAGCACAATGCTAAGCATTGTGGTAATTTGTATTTGAATTTTAATCCTGTTTTTTAAAAGCTATGAGTCCTTAGGAAAACCGTAATTCAGCCTAGCTTCAATTTTCTTATTATTTAAAGTCAGTAGAGGCAATTTCTGACAATATGGCAGAGAAAACTTGAATAGATTCCCCTTCAACAGTCCTGTGATAAATTTATAAAAATTCTGGCAAAATATTTTCAATATTTTGAAAACATTAAACAATTTTAGATTAAAAATATTTTTAAATATAAACCAATTTATATGTAAATATTTGTTTATATCCAAGTTCAAAATAAAGCAAAATATACATGTGAAAAAAATGTAGATAGAACTCAAAGTCATAATAATAAGGACCATCTGATACCATGGCAAAACCTAGAGGTGTTGGTCTCATTTAAAAGACAGAATGAGACAAAGGATTAAGATGGTGGAAGCAGGACTAGCTTGCAGCTCCCACTTGGATGGACAGAGCAGTGTATGGAGACACATAGTGAACTTTTGCTCCAAGAACTACCTCAGGAACATAACAGGAAACCCGAGAGAATTCATAGACCCCTGGAATGAACTAGATCACCACTGCAGGCTTCCTGAGATGCCAAAAATCTGTAAGTCTGCTTTCTTTCTCACTGGGGAGGCTTGTGGTCTAGGGCAAGCTCTCAGCCCTGGTCACTGACTGCCTGGAGATAGACTTGGTGCTCTTGGAGGGGCACGGTTGGAGTGAGACCAGCCTTTAGGACTGCCAGCTGCATGGGAGCAGGGTGAAGCCAGTGACTGCCAGCTTCCCCCCACTTCCCTGGTGATCTGCATGACTCAGCAGAGGCAGCCATAAACCCCCTGGGAATATAACTCCACTGGACTGGGAACCATACCCCTATCCCCCACACCAGCCACAGCAAGCCCCATCCAAGGAGAGGTTGACCTCAGACATGCCTATCCCTGCCCCTACCTGGTGGTCTTTCTCTACGCGCCCTGGCAGCCAAAAACAAAGGTCATAATCTCTTGGGAGCCCTATAGTCCTGCCCACTACCTGAGAATCCTGAATACTATACCAGGTGTCCCTACAGCAAGTTTGCATCCTCCCTGTAGCACCACAGTTTTGATACACTCTTGAAAGCGCCACCTTTTGGCTGGCAGCCAACCAACACAAAAGCAGTGCACTAAACAAAAACACAACCAAGGACCCTCACAGAGTCCATTTCACTCCCCTGTTATCTCTGCTGGAGCAGGTGCCGGTATCCATAGCTGCAAGACCTGAAGACATCACATCGCAGAACTCTTTGCAGACACTCCCCAGTACCAGCCCGGAGGACAGTAGCTCCACTGGGTGGCTAGACCCAGAAGAGCAAAAGCAATTACTACAATTTGGCTCTCAGGAAGCCCCATTCCTAGGAAAAGGGGGAAACTACCACATCAAGGGACCACCCCATGGGACAAAAGAATCTGAACAGTAGTGCTTGAATCCCAGATGATCCTTCTGACATAGTCTACCCAAATGAGAAAGAACCAGAAAAACAATTCTGGTAATATGACAAAATAAGGTTATTTAACACCCCCCAAAAGTTCATACCAGCTCACCAGCAATGGATCCAAACCAAGATAAAATCTCTCTCTGAATTGCCAGAAAAAAGAATTCAGAAGGTCAAATATTAAGGTAATCAAGGAGGCACCAGACAAAGGTGAAGTCCAACTTAAAGAAACCAAAAACATGATATAGGATATGAAACGAACATTTTTCAGTGAAATAGCATAAATAAAAAATAATAACTTATAGAAATCAAGAGCACAGAGAAATGCAAAATGTACCAAAAATCTCAGCAATAGAATCAAACAAGCAGAAGAAAGAACTTCAGAGTTCAAAGACAAGGCTTTTGAATTAACCCAATCCATCGAAAACAAAGAAAAAAGAATTAGAGAAATGAACAAAACCTCCGAGAAGTTTAGGACTATGTTAAATGTCCATATCTAAGAATAATCGGTGCTCTTGAGGAAGAAGAGAAATCTAAAAGTTTGGAAAACGTATTTGGGGGAAAAATCAAGGAAAATTTCCCCAGCCTTGCTACAGATCTAGACATCCAAATACAAGAAGTACAGATCTAGACATCCAAATACAAGAAGCTCAAAAAACACCTGGGAAATTCATTATAAAAGATCCTCATCTAGGCACATAGTCATCAGGTTATTACAGTTCAGCTGTAAGGAAGCCCCAGATTATCTAAAATCAAGACAAAAGAGAGAATTTTAAGAGCTATGAGACAAAAGCATCCAGTAGCCTATAAAGAAAAACCTATCAGATTAACAGCAGATTTCTCAGCAGAAACCATACAAGCTAGAAGGGATTGGGGTCCGATTTTTAACCTCCTTAAACAAAACAATTATCAGCCAATAATTTTATATCCAGTGAAGCTAAGCTTCATAAATGAAGGAAAGATATAGTCTTTTCCACACAACCATGTGCTGAAGGGATTCAACACTATCAAGCCAGAACTACAAGAATTGCTAAAAGGAGCTCTAAATTTTGAAACAAATCATAAAATACATCAAAATAGAATCTCCTTAAAGCATAAATTTCAGAGGACCTATATAACAATAACACAAGGAGGGAAAAACAAGGTATTCTGGCAAAAAAATAGCATGATGAATAGAATAGTACCTCATGTCTCATTACTACCATTGAATGTAAATGGCCTAAAGGCTCCACTTGTAAAAGTACAGAATGGCAGAACGAATAAGAATTCACCAACCAAGTGTCTGTTGTCTTCAGAAGATCCACCTAACACATAAGGACTCCCATAAACTTAAGGTAAAGGGGTAGATAAAGATATTCCATGCAATGGACACCAAAAGCAAGCAGGAGTAGCTATTCTTATATCAGACAAAACTAACTTTAAAGCAATAGCAGTTAAAAAAAAAAGACAGAGACATTAATGATAAAAGGACTAATCTAACAGGAAAATATCACAATTCTAAATATATATGCACCTATCACTGGAGCTCACAAATTTTTAAAGCAATTAGTACTAGACCTAAGGAATGAGATAGATGGCAACACAATAATAGTGGGGGACTTTAATACTCCACTGACAGCACTAGACAGGATCAAGACAGAAAGTCAACAAAGAAACAATGAACTCGGGAGGAGCCAAGATGGCCAACTAGGAACAGCTCCGGTCTATAGCTCCCAGCGTGAGCGACGCAGAAGAAGGGTGATTTCTGCATTTCCATCTGAGGTACCAGGTTCATCTCACTAGGGAGTGCCAGACAGTGGGCGCAGGTCAGTGGGTACACGCACCCTGTGCGAGCTGAAGCAGGGCGAGGCATTGCCTCACTTGGGAAGCGCAAGGGGTCAGGGAGTTCCCTTTCCGAGTCAAAGAAAGGGGTGACGGACGCACCTGGAAAATCGGGTCACTCCCACCCGAATACTGCACTTTTCCGACCGGCTTAAAAAATGGCGCACCACGAGATTATATCCCGCACCTGGCTTGGAGGGTCCTACGCCCGCGGAGTCTCGCTGATTGCTAGCACAGCAGTCTGAGATCAAACTGCAAGGCGGCAGCGAGGCTGGGGGAGGGGCACCCACCATTGCCCAGGCTTGCTTAGGTAAACAAAGCAGCCAGGAAGCTCGAACTGGGTGGAGCCCACCACAGCTCAAGGAGGCCTGCCTGCCTCTGTAGGCTCCACCTCTGGGGGCAGGGCACAGACAAACAAAAAGACAGCAGTAACCTCTGCAGACATGAATGTCCCTGTCTGACAGCTTTGAAGAGAGCAGTGGTTCTCCCAGCACGCAGCTGGAGATCTGAGAACGGGCAGACTGCCTCCTCAAGTGGGTCCCTGACCCCTGACCCCCGAGCAGCCTAACTGGGAGGCACCCCCCCAGCAGGGGCACACTGACACCTCACACGGCAGGGTATTCCAACAGACCTGCAGCTGAGGGTCCTGTCTGTTAGAAGGAAAACTAACAAACAGAAAGGACATCCACACCAAAAACCCATCTGTACATCACCATCATCAAAGACCAAAAGTAGATAATACCACAAAGATGGGGAAGAAACAGAACAGAAAAACTGGAAACTCTAAAAAGCAGAGCACCTCTCCTCCTCCAAAGGAACTCAGTTCCTCACCAGCAATGGAACAAAGCTGGATGGAGAATGACTTTGATGAGCTGAGAGAAGAAGGCTTCAGACGATCAAATTATTCTGAGCTACGGGAGGACATTCAGACCAAAGGCAAAGAAGTTGAAAACTATGAAAAAAATTTAGAAGAATGTATAACTGGAATAACCAATACAGAGAAGTGCTTAAAGGAGCTGATGGAGCTGAAAACCAAGGCTCGAGAACTACGTGAAGAATGCAGAAGCCTCAGGAGCCGATGCGATCAACTGGAAGAAAGGGTATCAGTGATGGAAGATGAAATGAATGAAATGAAGCAAGAAGGGAAGTTTAGAGAAAAAAGAATAAAAAGAAATGAGCAAAGCCTCCAAGAAATATGGGACTATGTGAAAAGACCAAATCTATGTCTGATTGGTGTACCTGAAAGTGATGGGGAGAATGCAACCAAGTTGGAAAACACTCTGCAGGATATTATCCAGGAGAACTTCCCCAATCTAGCAAGGCAGGCCAACGTTCAGATTCAGGAAATACAGAGAATGCCACAAAGATACTCCTCGAGAAGAGCAACTCCAAGACACATAATTGTCAGATTCACCAAAGTAGAAATGAAGGAAAAAATGTTAAGGGCAGCCAGAGAGAAAGGTCGGGTTACCCTCAAAGGTAAGCCCATCAGAATAACAGCGGATCTCTCGGCAGAAACCCTACAAGCCAGAAGAGAGTGGGTGCCAATATTCAACATTCTTAAAGAAAAGAATTTTCAACCCAGAATTTCATATCCAGCCAAACTAAGCTTCATAAGTGAAGGAGAAATAAAATACTTTACAGACAAGCAAATGCTGAGAGATTTTGTCACCACCAGGCCTGCCCTAAAAGAGCTCCTGAAGGAAGAGCTAAACATGGAAAGGAACAACCAGTACCAGCCGCTGCAAAATCATGCCAAAATGTAAAGACCATCAAGACTAGGAAGAAACTGCATCAACTAATGAGCAAAATAATCAGCTAACATCATAATGACAGGATCAGGTTCACACATAACAATATTAACTTTAAATGTAAATGGACTAAATGCTCCAATTAAAAGACAGACTGGCAAATTGGATAAAGAGTCAAGACCCATCAGTGTGCTGTATTCAGGAAACCCATCTCACGTGCAGAGACACACATAGGCTCAAAATAATAGGATGGAGGAAGATCTACCAAGCAAATGGAAAACAAAAAAAGGCAGGGGTTGCAATCCTAGTCTCTGATAAAACAGACTTTAAACCAACAAAGATCAAAAGAGACAAAGAAGGCCATTACATAATGGTAAAGGGATCAATTCAACAAGAAGAGCTAACTATCCTAAATATATATGCACCCAATATAGGAGCACCCAGATTCATAAAGCAAGTCCTGAGTGACCTACAAAGAGACTTAGACTCCCACACATTAATAATGGGAGACTTTAACACCCCACTGTCAACATTAGACAGATCAACGAGACAGAAAGTCAATAAGGATACACAGGAATTGAACTCAGCTCTGCACCAAGCAGACCTAATAGACATCTACAGAACTCTCCACCCCAAATCAACAGGATATACACTTTTTTCAGCACCACACCACACCTATTCCAAAATTGACCACATACTTGGAAGTAAAGCCTCCTCAGCAAATGTAAAAGAACAGAGATTATAAGAAACTATCTCTCAGACCACAGTGCAATCAAACTAGAACTCAGGATTAAGAATCTCACTCAAAACCGCTCAACTACATGGAAACTGAACAACCTGCTCCTGAATGACTACTGGGTACATAACGAAATGAAGGCAGAAATAAAGCTGTTCTTTGAAACCAACGAGAACAAAGACACAACATACCAGAATCTCTGGGACGCATTCAAAGCAGTGTGTAGAGGGAAATTTATAGCACGAAATGCCCACAAGAGAAAGCAGGAAAGATCCAAAATTGACACCCTAACATCACAATTAAAAGAACTAGAGAAGCAAGAGCAAACACATTCAAAAGCTAGCAGAAGGCAAGAAATAACTAAAATCAGAGCAGAACTGAAGGAAATAGAGACACAAAAAACCCTTCAAAAAATTAATGAATCCAGGAGCTGGTTTTTTGAAAGGATCAACAAAATTGATAGATCGCTAGCAAGACTAATAAAGAAAAAAGAGAAGAATCAAATAGACACAATAAAAAATGATAAAGGTGATATCACCACCGATCCCACAGAAATACAAACTACCATCAGAGAATACTACAAACACCTCTACGCAAATAAACTAGAAAATCTAGAAGAAATGGATAAATTCCTGGACACATACACTCTCCCAAGACTAAACCAGGAAGAAGTTGAATCTCTGAATAGACCAATAACAGGATCTGAAATTGTGGCAATAATCAATAGTTTACCAACCAAAAAGAGTCCAGGACCAGATGGATTCACAGCCGAATTCTACCAGAGGTACAAGGAGGAACTGGTACCATTCCTTCTGAAACTATTCCAATCAACAGAAAAAGAGGGAATCCTCCCTAACTCATTTTATGAGGCCAGCATCATTCTGATACCAAAGCCGGGCAGAGACACAAACAAAAAACAGAATTTTAGACCAATACCCTTGATGAACATTGATGCAAAAATCCTCAATAAAATACTGGCGAAACGAATCCAGCAGCACATCAAAAAGCTTATCCACCATGATCAAGTGGGCTTCATCCCTGGGATGCAAGGCTGGTTCAATATACGCAAATCAATAAATGTAATCCAGCATATAAACAGAGCCAAAGACAAAAACCACATGATTATCTCAATAGATGCAGAAAAAGCCTTTGACAAAATTCAGCAACGCTTCATGCTAAAAACTCTCAATAAATTAGGTATTGATGGGACCTATATCAAACTAATAAGAGCTATCTATGAAAAACCCACAGCCAATATCATACTGAATGGGCAAAAACTGGAAGCATTCCCTTAGAAAACTGGCACAAGACAGGGATGCCCTCTGTCACCACTCCTATTCAACATAGTGTTGGAAGTTCTGGCCAGGGCAATTAGGCAGGAGAAGGAAATAAAGGGTATTCAATTAGGAAAAGAGGAAGTCAAATTGTCCCTGTTTGCAGACGACATGATTGTATATCTAGAAAACCCCATTGTCTCAGCCCAAAATCTCCTTAAGCTGATAAGCAACTTCAGCAAAGTCTCAGGATACAAAATCAATGTACAAAAATCACAAGCATTCTTATACACCAACTCAGGATACAAAATCAATGTACAAAAATCACAAGCATTCTTATACACCAACAACAGACAAACAGAGAGCCAAATCATGAGTGAACTCCCATTCACAATTGCTTCAAAGAGAATAAAATACCTATGAATCCAACTTACAAGGGATGTGAAGGACCTCTTCAAGGAGAACTACAAACCACTGCTCAATGAAATAAAAGAGGATACAAACAAATGGAAGGACATTCCATGCTCATGGGTAGGAAGAATCAATATCGTGAAAATGGCCATACTGCCCAAGGTAATTTACAGATTCAATGCCATCCCCGTCAAGCTACCAATGCCTTTCTTCACAGAATTGGAAAAAACTACTTTAAAGTTCATATGGAACCAAAAAAGAGCCCGCATCGCCAAGTCAATCCTAAGCCAAAAGAACAAAGCTGGAGGCATCACACTGCCTGACTTCAAACTACAGTACAAGGCTACAGTAACCAAAACAACATGGTATTGGTACCAAAACAGAGATACAGATCAATGGAACAGAACAGAGCCCTCAGAAATAACGCCGCATATCTACAATTATCTGATCTTTGACAAACCTGAGAAAAACAATCAATTGGGAAAAGATTCCCTGTTTAATACATGGTGCTGGGAAAACTGGCTAGCCACATGTAGAAAGCTGAAACTGGATCCCTTCCTTACACCTTATACAAAAATCAATTCAAGATGGATTAAAGACTTAAACATTAGACCTAAAACCATAAAAACCCTAGAAGAAAACCTAGGCATTACCATTCAGGACATAGGCATGGGCAAGGACTTCATGTCTAAAACACCAAAAGCAATGGCAACAAAAGCCAAAATTGACAAATGGGATCTAATTCAACTAAAGAGCTTCTGAACAGCAAAAGATACTACCATCAGAGTGAACAGGCAACCTACAAAATGGGAGAAAATTTTTGCAACCTACTCACCTGACAAAGGGATAATATCCAGAATCTACAATGAACTCAAACAAATTTACAAGAAAAAAACAAACAACCCCATCAAAAAGTGGTCAAAGGACATGAACAGACACTTCTCAAAAGAAGACATTTATGCAGCCAAAAAACACAGGAAAAAATGCTCATCATCACTGGCCATCAGAGAAATGCAAATCAAAACCACAATGAGATACCATCTCACACCAGTTAGAATGGCAATCATTAAAAAGTCAGGAAACAACAGGTGCTGGAGAGGATGTGGAGAAATAGGAACACTTTTACACTGTTGGTGGGACTGTAAACTAGTTCAACCATTGTGGAAGTCAGTGTGGCGATTCCTCAGGGATCTAGAACTAGAAATACCATTTGACCCAGCCATCCCATTACTGGGTATATACCCAAAGAACTCTAAATCATGCTGCTATAAAGACACATGCACACGTATGTTTATTGCGGCATTATTCACAATAGCAAAGACTTGGAACCAACCCAAATGCCCAACAATGATAGACTGGATTAAGAAAATGTGGCACATATACACCATGGAATACTATGCAGCCATAAAAAATGATGAGTTCATGTCCTTTGTAGGGACATGGATGAAATTGGAAAGCATCATTCTCAGTAAACTATCACAAGAACAAAAAACCAAACACCGCATATTCTCACTCATAGGTGGGAATTGCACAATGAGGTCACATGGACACAGGAAGGGGAATATCACACTCTGGGGACTGTGGTGGGGTGGGGGGAGGGGGAAGGGATAGCATTGGGAGATATACCTAATGCTAGATGACGAGTTAGTGGGTGCAGTGCACCAGCATGGCACATGTATACATATGTAACTAACCTGCACAATGTGCACATGTACCCTAAAACTTAAAGTATAATTAAAAAAAGAAAAAAAAAGAAACAATGAACTCACCGGGCACAGTGGCACAAAGAAACAATGAACTCGTCTGTAATCCCAGCACTTTGAGAGGCCAAGGTGGGGGATCACGAGGTCAGGAGTTTGAGACCAGCCTGACCAACATGTTGAAACCCCATCTCTACTAAAGATAAAAAAATTAGCTGGGCATGGTGGCGGGCACCTGTAATCCCAGCTACTCAGGAGGCTGAGGCAGGAGAATTGCTTGAATCCGGGAGGCGAAGGTTGCAGTGGGTGAAGGTTGCAGTGAGCCGAGATCACACCATTGCACTCCAGCCTGGATGACAGAGCAAGACTCTGTCTCAAAAAAAAAGAAAAAAAAAAAAAAGAAACAATGAACTTAAACTATACCCTACAACAAATGGACTTAACAGATATTTACAGAACATTCTACCCAATAACTGCAGAATATACATTCTACTTATCAGCACAGGGAACATTCCCCAAGATAGGCCATATGATAGGCCCCAAAACAAGTCTCAGTAAATTTAAGAAAATCAAAATTATATCAAGGAAATTAAAATTATGTCACTCTCAGACCACAGTGGAATACAATTGAATACCCACTCCAAAAGGAATTCTCAAAACCATGCAAATACATGGAAATTAAATAACCTGCTCCTGAATGACTGTTGAGTCAACAATGAAATCAAGATGGAAATTTAAAAATTATTTGAACTGAACTATAATCGGGACACAACCCATCAAAACCTCTGGCATATGGCAAAAGCGGGGCTAAGAGGAAAGTTCACAGCATTAAATGTCTACATCAAAAAGTCTAAAAGACCACAAATAAACAATCTCCGGTCACACCTCATGGAACTGGAGAAACAAGAACAATTCAAACCCAAACCCAGCAGAAGAAAAGAAATAAAGATCAGAGAAGAAATAAATGAAACAAAATCTACAAAATATAAATGAAAAAAACAAAGCTGGTTCTTTGTAAAGATAAATAACATTGATAGACCGTTAACAAGATTAACCAAAAAGACAAGAGAGAAGATCCAAATAAGCTCAATTGGATATGAAACGAGGGATATTACAGCTTGAGAACAGAACTACAAAAGATTATTCAAGGCTACTATGAATACCTTTATATGCACAAACTAGAAAACCTAAAGGAGAGGGATAAATAGAAATATACAGCCCCCTAGATTAAACCAGCAAGTTATAGAATCTTTGAACAGATGAATAACAATCAGTGAGTTTGAAATGGTATTAAAAAAAAAGTCAACAGAAAAAAATCCAGGACCAGATGGATTCACAGCTGAATTATATCAGACATTCAAATAAGAATTAGTACCAACCCTATTGACATTATTCCACAGGATAGAGAAAGAGGAAATCCTCCCTAAATCGTTCTATGAAGCCAATATCACCCTAATATCAAAACCAGGAAAAAGACATAACAAAGAAGGAAAACTACAGACCAATATCCCTGATAAATATAGATGCAAAAATCCTCAACAAAATACTAGTGAACCAAATCCAACAGAACATCAAAAAGATTACCTACCATGATCAAGTGGGTTTCATACCAGTGATGCAGGGATGGTTTTACATATGTAAGTCAATAAGTGTGATACAGTACACAAACAAAATTAAAAACAAAAATCACATGTTCATCTCAACAGATGCAGAAAAAGCACTTGACAAAATCCAGAATCCTTTTTTTTGATTAAGACTCCCAGCAAAATCAGCATAGAAGGGACATTCCTTAAGGTAATAAAAGCCGTCTATGACAAACCCACATCCAACATTATACTGAATCGGGAAAAGTTGAAAACACTTCCTCTGAGAACTGGAACAAGACAAGGATGTCCACTTTCACCACTTCTCTTCATTATAGTAGTGGAAGTCCTAGCCAGTTCCGTGAGACAAGAGAAAGAAATAAAGGGCATCCAAATTGGTAAAAAGGAAGTCAAACTGCTACTGTTTGCTGATGATATGATTGTATACTTAGAAAACCCTAAAGAATCATTCAAAAAGCTCCTAGAACTGGTAAATGAATTAAGCAAAGTTTCAGGATACAAAATTGTTGTACATATATCAGTAACTTGTTACACACCAACAGTAACTAAGCTGAGAATCAAATAAAAAACTCAACCCCTTTTACAATAGCTGCAAAAAAAAAAAATACATAGGGATATACTTAACCAAGGACATGAAAAGCTTCTCCAAGGCAAACTACAAAACACTGCTGAAAGAAATTATGGATGACACAAACAAATGGAAACACATCCAATGCTCTTGGATGGGTAGAATCAATATTGCAAAAATGACTATACTGGCAAAAGCAGTCTACAAATTCAATGCAATTTCCAGAAAAATACCACCATCATTCTTCACAGAACTAGAAAAAGCAATCCTAAAATTCATATGGAACCAAAAAAGAGCCCACAGAGCCAAAGCAAGACTATGCAAAAAGAGCGAATATGGAGGCATCACATTGTCCAACTTCAAACTGTAGTATAAGTCATAGACATCAAAACACTATGGTAGTGGTATAAAAATAGGCACATAGACCAATGAAACAGAACAGAGAACCCAGAAATAAAGCCAAATCCAGTCACCTGATCTTCAACGAAGCAAACAGAAACATGAAATAGGAAAAGGACACCCTATTCAAAAAATGGTGCTGGGATAATTGGTAAGTCACATGTAGGAGAATGAAACTGGATCCTCATCTCTCACCTTATGCAAAAATCAACTCAAGATGGATCAAAGACTTAAGTCTGAGATCTGAAGCCATGAAGATTCATCAGAAAAACCCTTCTAGACACTGGCTTGAGCAAGGACTTCATGACCAAGAACCCCACAGCAAATGTAACAAAAATAAAGATAAATAGGTGGGACTTAATTAAACTAAAAAGCTTCTGCACAGCAATAGAAATAATCAGAAGAGTTAACAGAACCCACAACCCACAGAATGGGAGAAAAATCTTCACAGTCTATACATCTAACAAAGTACTAATATCCCAAATCTACAAAGAACACAAACAAATCAGTAAGAAAAAAAAATCTCATCAAAAAGTGGGCTAAAGATATGAATAGACAATTCTCCAAAGAAGGTATACAAATGAAAAAAAGTATATGGAAAAATACTGAATATCACTAATTATCAGGGAAATGCAAATGAAAATCACAATGCAATACCACCTCATTTCTGCAAGAATGGCCGTAATCAAAAAATCAAAAAATAATATGGTAAGGTGAAAAGGGAACACTTTTACACTGTTGGTGGGAGTGTAAACTAGTACAACCACTGTGGAAAACAGTGTGGAGATTCCTTAAAGAACTAAAAGTAGATCTATTGTTTGATTCTGCCATCCCACTACTAGGTATCTACCCAGAGGAAAATAAGTCATTATACCATAAAAATACTTGCACACACGTTTATAGCAGCACAATTTGCAATTGCAAAAATATGGGACCACCCCAAATGCCTATCAGTGAACGAGTGGATACAGAAAATGTGGTATATATGTACCAAGGAATACTACTTAGCCATAAAAAGGAATGAAATAATGGCATTTGCAGCAACCTGGGTGGAATTGGGGACTATTATTCTAAGTGAAATAAGTCAGGAATGAAACGTCAAACATTTTATGTTCTCACTCATATGTGGGAGCTAAACTATGAGGACATAAAAGTATAAGAATGATTCACTGGACTTTTGTGACTTAGGGGAAAGGGTGAGGGGTGGTGAGAAATAAAAGACTACACATTGCATACAGGGTACGCTGCTTGGGTGATGGGTGCACCAAAATCTCAGAAATCACCACTAAAGAGCTTATTCATGTAACCAAACACCACCTGTTCCCCAAAAACCTATTGAAATTTAAAAAAATTAATAATAAACAGAATGGCTGGGAGCCTAGAGTTCTAAAGCCTTCACAGGAGTAAAATCAAAGACCTCTAGCCCACTAGAACCTAGATCCTAAACATTAAAGTAGTACCTCCTCCTCAAATATAGATACTGACAAATGCTTCTACAAGGTTATGGATGCAGTGAAGAATCTTGCCTATGTTCTAGGCTTTGGATAGTTTAAATAAAAAAAGATAAGTCACCATTGAGAAAATGAAATTCTAGGGCTGTGCCACCTGAGATTATGGGATCTGAATTTATTAGCCATATTTGGGGCTAGAAGCCCAAACCAAGAAAATCACAAATAGGAAAGGACCTTTGAAATCCACAGAAACTCTTCAGAGACAACACAAAACTGTTCTATAGGTTAATTCACAGGATTCTTGTGAATCCTGCAAGTTTCCTGGAAATGAGCTCACATTCAAAAAGTACACAAGTGACGGCAACCATGCAAAAGGAAGAGTCAGGCCAGGTGTGGTAGCTCACACCTGTAATCCCAGCACTTCGGGAGGCCGAGGCAGGAGGATTGCTTGAGCCCAAGAGTTTGGGACCAGTCTGAGCAACATAATGAAACCCCATCTACACAAAGAATAAAAATATTATCCAGGCATCGTGGTATGTGCTGGTAGTACTTGTTATTTGGGAGGCTGAGGTTGGAGGGTCACTCTAACTCAGGAATTTGAGGCTACAGTGAGCCATGATCATGCCATTGCACTTTAGCCTGGGCAACAGTGCAAGATGCTGTCTATTAAAAAATAAATAAGAGAGAGAGGGAAAAAAATGAAGAGTCAATGAATAAAAATGAAGATACAATACATAGAATCAGTGCTCTAAGAATTAAGATAATCATATATATATTTGGTTTATATATTTATAATATATATATTTTTATATATAAATGTATTTATATTATATATAAATGTATTTATATTTATATATACATTTATATATATTTATAAATATAAAATGTATTTATATTCATATATAAATACATTTATGTATATAAATACATTTATATATGAATATATTTATATTCATATATAAATACATTTATGTATATAAATACATTTATATATGAATATATTTATATTCATATATAAACCAAATATATTTATATATAAGCCAAATATATATATACCAAATATATTTTGAGGAATAAAATAACCAAAGTTGTAGAGTGAATTTTCAAGTCATGCATTTTTCTAAATTTACCAAATTTCCTGAAAAATATTTGGAAAATCCTTATAGACCAATTAGTCTAAAAGTAATAAGCAAGTTGTCAAAAAGCTATTTCCCACTTCCTGAAAACAATATGGCCAGATAGTTTTACAGGGGAATTCTGCAAAGTTTTATATAATAAAATATTTCAATAATAGTTAAGCAGTTCTACAACATAAACAGAAGCTTCAAAAATTTATTTTATAAAGTTAGCATAAAATTGGTACCAAAACTTAACAAAGATTGCCTTGATTGACTTAATATTTCAATTTAAGTGAGATACTACATGTTAAAATTTTGAGGTAACCATTAAAACAATAACAATGAAATCTATAACTTCCAACTAAACAAAGAACAAACACTCGTTTAAAGATATCTGCTAACAATGATTCTCAGATTAAATGTATGCATTCCAACTTCATGCTATTTATGAGATTTCTCTAAGTTAATGAAATAGAGTGGTTTAAAGTAAAACAGAGAGAAGACTATTTCAATATTGTAATAATAGTAATATCTGATTATATATATTTTAAGATAAAATTTCTATTAAGTATGAATAGTTTATTTTATGATTAAAATTTTCCTTTTATTTATATATACATCTGCAGAGAGAAATAGAATTATAGAAAAAATTTAACTAAAATAGTGGCTATTAAAAATATACCTGCCTCAGAATTTACATATACATTAACAAATGATGATCATATAGATTTTTTTTTTCAACTTTTATGTTCTGAGGTACTTGTGCAGGAGGTGCAGGTTTGTTACACAGGTAAATGTATGCCATGGTGATTTGCAGCACAGATCAACCTACATATTAATCCCAACATCTATTAGCTGTTGTTCCTGATGCTCTCCTTCCCCCCGACACCCTGACAGGCCCTAGTGTGTTTTGTTCCCCTTCATGTGTCCATGTGTTCTCATGGTTCAGCTCCCACTTATAAGTGAGAACATTCAGCATTTGGTTTCTTGTTCTTGCATTAGTTTGATGAGGATAATGGCTTCCAGCTCCATCCATGTTCCTGCAAAGGACATGATCGTGTTCCATTTTATGGCTGCATGGTATCTTATAGACTATTTGAAAGGAGCCGTTAGCAAGAGAAAATTAATGAAGTCATAAAAAACTATCAATCTTTGCAGTCACAGGGTAATTTTAACAAATATTAAATAATTGATCATTTATAGTACACCTTGCCTAAATATAATGCAATTAAGTTAGATATAATACCCCAATAAAACACCTGTCAAAAAAGAGCAGGTTTTGACTAAATCTGTTTTTATTTAGAATATATATTATGAGATAGTCAACTGGGGCCACAAGAGGAGGCAGAGAAAAGGCTCAGGAAGACAAAGTTCATTACACTCAAAGGTCCTAGAGACAAGAGGCACAGCTACTGAAGAGGGTCCGGTGGGCCAGGAGAAACCATTAATACAGAGCCTGGAATGGGGGTTTCACATGCTGTGGTCTGAAAGTTTGTGCTCTTCCAAAATGCATATGTTGAAACCTAACCCCAAAGGTGATGGTATTGCAAGGTGAGGCCTTTGGGAAATGATTAGGTCATGTGTCTGGAGTCCCCGTGAATGGGATTCACACCCTTACAAGGGGCTATGTAGACCAGAGTTCTCTTCTGCCAGGTGAGAACACAGATAAAAAGTGCTATCTATGAACCAGAAAGCCAGCTCTCACCAGACAGGGAACCTGCCAGCACCTTGATCTTGAACGTCCCATCCTCCAGAATTGTATGAAATAAATTTCTGTTGTTTATAAGCCATCCAGGTTACCATAATTTGTTTCAGCAACCCGAATGGATGGAGATATCAAGGGAAAAGCAATGCAGGGTAGGATGAACAGTTTAGAATCGGCTAGTTGGGATAGTTCTAGCATGCTCTGGGGTATGGGGGTGGTCTCTTGTTGCCTGGTATCTGATGCTGGAGGCAGAGGAATATTGCCTGCTGGGGTACATAGGTTTAGTTTACATATCGAAGGCATGCTCCTTGCTGGACCATTTGTTATCTCTGAAAATTGGCTAGGTATAGGGGAAGAGGAGGTAGTCTCTCTCCCATCCCTTCAAAGGTTTTTTTAAGATCATAATATATAGAGAATTTTAAACACACACACATATATAATATTTTTAAATGCTTTGCTTTTAAAAAATGCTTTTGCTATTGTGCTATTGTGCTTAGCAAAAGCAAAACATTTAAAAATAATTCTTGAGTCAAAGAGAAAATAATATAATTGTGAAATATTTAGGAATAAATGGCAATGAAAACACCACATATAAAAAAGTTGAGGAATGCAGTGAATGCTATACATGTAGGGGAGGGCACAGTTAGACAGAATTTGTAGTCATAGATATTCATACAAGAAAAGAAAAATTAAAATTATAAATGGCATTCTCCAACTCAAGAACTTAAAATAATGATAAAACAAAGAACCATGCACATCAAAAAAAAAAAAAGGAGATGAAAGTAATAAAAACAAGAGGATAAATAAAAGAGTGAGCAAAGATACCATTAAAAAGAGCCATGCAACTCCAAAAAGAGCTGATGCCCAATAAGTAGTAGCTTCTGCCTTCACCATCACAATTGCCTACCTTTGGTTTTGTCAGACTGATGGGAACTAGTTTTCTATCACATTCTGCTGTAACATATGAAAGTTTCAGCTGGATGTTAAAAAAGTACAAAGCTGCAGAGTGTGTCATTTTCATACCAACTCAACTGGTGGAAAATGCAGGGAAAGGAGTAGGCTCTGCTTTTGCATCCAAATCTCATTTAATCCTTCCAACATCTTGTATCATTTAACTGTGGTCACAATAATGCTATGTAACAACCATCCTCAAAAATCTCAGAAGCATGTAATGAGCATTTATTTAGCTTATATGTCTCTAGGTCTGTTGGGGATTGGCCAGTCCAACAGGGCTCAGCTGTAGGTAGCTCTGTCTCAGCTGTCTCTCATTCTGAGCTTAGGAGCAGTCATGGTTCTGAGCAAGCTCTTGCCATGGTGATACCAATGATGCCAAAGAGTAAGCCCAAGTATACTAGTTATTTCAGGACTTCTGCTTATGAAGGTGAAAGCAAGTCCTATTTCTGATTCCAAAATTCAGGGTGGAAAAAGTTACTCTGGCTTCCTAATGAGAGGAACAATAAAGTCACATGGAAAAGTGGATGCAGGTAGACACGAAAATTGGGACCACTAATAATACATTCTATACAGTCCAGGATAGTAGATATTGTTGATATGCATCTCAGTAAATTTCTGAAAAAAATAGAAAAAAAAAAGAAAACTTAGAGTGCTGTAGCACTGGGCACCTATAAATTGATTTTCAGAGCCCAGTGGGGGAAATAAGACTTCCATAAATATGAGTGGAAGAAGGTTTCATAGTTTTTGTAGTTCAGTACTTACTATACTAAAGGAACCATGCTAGGCACTAGGGAACGCACTAGTGAGTATAAGCTGACATAGATTCTGTCCTCTGTACTGTCCTACCAGTACATAGCCAGAAAACAAGAAAATATTAGGTAAGTTAATGTATAATGTCATACTTTTTATTGTGATGAGTGGCCTGAAGGAAATGTCCGTGTACTTAATGCATAAAGGAGATGTGACTTAATCTGGGTGTCAGGTAGGATCCCTGAGGAAATCATGATGAAACTGAGACGTGAAGAATTAGCAGACATTTTGAAGCCTTAGACAGGAGGGAAAAGCATTACCAGCAGAAGGAAGATTATTTACCAAAACTCTGTCATGGGGAGGAACGTATGAGTGGCCAGGGTAAAGAGAGTGGAATAAGATGAGGCTGGAGATATGGCCAGAGCTAGAGCCTTTGTGGAGTCATGTGGGACGGGTGGAGGACTTGGGTCTTTATCCCATGAAAAATGGAAAGTCATTAAAAAGCTTTCACAGGGGCATAACATCATCAGGCTTTCACTTTGGAAATATTATTCTGGCTACAACATGTAATAAAATGGGCATAATGCAGGAGTGAATGGGTGGGAGGGCACAGTGAGGAGTTGCTTTCAATGCACCTGCTGATGAGAGATGACAGTAGCTGGAGAAGAATGAACCTGCACAGGAGGTGGAGGAAAAGCTAGAATGTTGGAACAAGCAATTAAGAGGTACTACTTCATTATAGTGGAGAAAATTGTTATTTACCAGAACAGAAAGAAAGAAGGATTGATGAACGATACTCTGAGAGATCAGGTACTGCTGGAGGTCACTGGTAATCTTAACGTGAATTGTTTCAAGGGAGTGGAGGGGAGGTGGCTAAATCTTGACTGCAGTGGGCTGAGGGATGAATGGAAGATCACTTTTGAGAAGTCAATTGTTGAAGGAAAGTGAGAGAGAGCGGGAGTTAGAGGCATGATTCTGATATAATTTTTGAGGTTATTTGTTTATTCTGTTCATGATTAGAGACTTAAGACAGTTTAAATGCAGACATAAAGGATCCAGTTGAGAAGGAGAGATTTAAAATATTTAGGAAATAGGGATCATCAATAATTTAAAATTTAAGGAAATACTTAAGCAAAGATAAAAATAAAGGCAATAAAGCAGTCTAGCCATTTTAACAGAACAAATTGTCAGGCAAGAATAGCAAAAGCCGTAAAAAAGAAAATACAGACTTGTCTAGCACAGAGGCCATTCCCTGAGCCACATTTGCAAATACCATCAAGAATTACTTCATGAAAATGCACAAGTTAATGTGAACCTTCTCTGTATAATTTATAGTATATGCTTATGTGTGTTTACAGTAAAAAATAAAGGGTTCTCATTATAGAATGCACACTCAGTCATTTCTACAAATAACAGTCTTGAGTTTAATAATACTTTTAGCAGTATCATAAATGGGTAGCTACTTTGGATACAGCTACTTGGATATTAGAGAAAAAGTTCATATGCCCAACATTAGTAAGGCCAGATAAAATCCCCAGACTCTATAATAAAAAAAAATTCAGTTTGAGAATGGTGCTCATTTCAGATGAGTGACAAGAAAAATCTAGAATTTAGAATATTACACTGAATAAATCCCTAATGAAGAGAGAAAGCATACACATTTAATTTTATCTTAATCTCATGATTTTATAATGTAGCTCATAACAGTAAGATTTTTGTGCCTACTATTTGCCCTTCCTCCCCAAGCTGATCTGCACAAACCTCCCTTGGCAGTCTCTCATGTTCCATCTCCTTGACAATATAAGTCAGCCTCAGGTGTCAGTGCATTCAGCATGTATTGACTTTTTAAATTTTTACTTTGACATTCTAATGATCTCTCTATAGATTTACACTGAAATCATGTTGCCATTTTCTTGGCACTTTAGAGTGGGTATTTTTGGCTTTGTATTGTTTTTAAGGGATGGGTGTGTGTGTGTTCAGTTTCTAGTGGTCTTCTGTTGGATGGAGAAGAGCAGACTAAAGCTAAAGGAGATCAATTTCACTTTCAGATTATCTGAAATTTTAATAACTCAAAAATATCTTGGACAATTGATAATTTAATGACTTGAGGTTTCCTAAACAATGCAAATAGTAATATTAACAGATATAGACATTTTGGAATGTAATAGAACAATATATGTTACATTTAACATATACAAACTCTTTGACCCAGTAAGTCTACAGTGCCAAGTCTTTTTCTATATGTGTATGCACACACACATATACATATATACATATACACACACACACTATATATAGGCATTATTATGACAAAAGCGTGAACATAAACTAATTGACCTTCAACAGGAAAGTAATTAGAAAAATTATGATATGGCTATACTACATAACACTATACAAACCTTCAAAACAGTGACTTATGTCCCCATGCAAGGACCTGGAGGGGTGTTCACTAACCAAAGGCTAGAACTTCAAATATAAGAAAATAGGAGATGTCTCAATTTAAAATGTGCAATCAATTTGAATAGATATTTCGCAAGAGAAATTTCAATAAACATATGGAAAGCCATTCATTCTCAGAACGTCAGAAATATCTTGATAAAAGTCACAGTTAGATACCACACACCCACTTTCAAAAACACTGACAATATCACTGCTGTTGATGATAAGGAGCTCCTGGAACTCATAGATTGCTGGCAGAAATGAAAATCTAGAATTATAGATTAAAACTGAATATAAAAATACCATAATTCAGCACTTTTCCTCTTAGGTATATGCTAAGCATATATGTGTATATATGTGTTTAAAAGGTCATGTAAAATAACATACATAGCAAGCATTATTCATAGCACCTTCAAACTGTTAACAATCCTCATATTCATAAGCAGAGTGAAGACACAGGTTAGGGTATATTCATACCATGGAATACTATACAGCAATATAAATAAGCCAATTCCTATTGCATACACTGATATGGATAAACATCACAAACATAATTTGGAGTAAAATAAGTCAATGCAAAGGAATATATACTCAATGGATTTATTTACATAAAGTTCAAACACAGGTAGAACTAATTTATGGTGAATGGCATAATTTTTCTAAAACAAAAGGGTAGGTCATTTCAACCCATACCTCAAGGAAAAGTATTCAAACTAGCAATAATAATATTGTAATATTGTTACTGTATAAAAATTGTGTTGAAATACTATAACACATGGCTAAAAGAAGCAAATGTTCTAAATTATAATAAACAGTTTTGTTGTTTTAGTGATAATACAAATGTTAACATAAGAATGTTATAATAGTTACATAAAAAATTTCAAAATCTCGCTCTTATTGAGAGATACAACCGTCTTAAACTAAAAGAATGAGGTTTGCGTTCTCTTACTTTACTTCCTAAAACATCATTTTCCTTGTTTGTAAAATGCATTGCTAAATAATATCTACCTCACAAAGTTGTTATAAAGATTCAATGAAATTGTGTAAGCACATGCATTTCAAAAGCCTAAAAATTACTAATAAATGCAACTTCTTGTTCATATAAATGGCTCTAACAATTTTGGAGCGGTTTTGCATGCTGATGTACAAGTAAACATTTTTCAGATCTTATTTTTGTTTTTTTCTTCTTCCAAGCAAATTGCATACTAAAATTCATCTGCTATAAATATGTGTCATTATAAAGTATTTGCACACAATTTGGTTCTATTTTAAAAGTTTCTACCTCACTTGAGTACCAGTACCTTTCAAAAATAACTTATATTACTACAGTGTCTACGTCAGTGTTTCTCATCTTTTAGGTTTATTATTTTTAATTAACACCAACTAATGAACCTTTCTAGATATCATTTTTCTAATTGATACCCATGAAATTTCCATACTACAGATAAACACTCCATGTTTGTATAGTGTATGTAGATTTGTACTTTGAAAAGAGTAAAATCCCCTCCTCTTCTGCCAAGAACGAATTTTCACTTCTTTGGATGCAGTTGAGAATGTATGAACTAGAATAAAGCTCATTTTAAACTTATATTTCTATTCATATTGCACAAGTCAATATTTGGAAAGTTCTTAGAACAGTGTCTGGTACAAGTTAGGTTTTATCTAGGTGTCTATTCATTAAATTCTGTGGGCAGTTCAGGTAGAAACACACAATTAATGCTAATTACAGTTTGAAATCATGCTCTCTGAGCTTTCTTGTTTGTGAATCCCATAAGAAAAAAAAATTCTTAACATGCACCACAAATGCCTGCATAGTTTGTTAATTGACAAGTTATATACCATATGCTTTGTAAAATAAACATAAAAACAGGAACTACAGAAGAGGTAAAACTTATGTAGAAAGAGAAATTCTAGTATTTTCCTCCCACATCCCAATCACATCTGTATCAGTGAGAGGACTCTGATTTCAACACATAATGCTGTCAATGTTCATGTAAGAACGAACTTTTTTCATGTACCACTTTACATTGTCAAGGCCCTTTTGCATTAAATGTCATACTTGACCCACATGACTGCTCTGTGAGACTGAGATGAGCCAAGCAAGTAATAGTCCCCCTACAGTCAAATGAAGCTGAGAATCAGAGAAGTCAACGTGTCTTGAGCAAGCTGTGTGAGTACACAGTCAGAATCATTGCTGAATGTCATATCTGCCTCTTTGACTGCTAAGAGTTGCCTTAGCATAATTCTTAAGGGTCCTAGGATTTTTGAAATGGTCAGTGAGCCTTGGCCTCAACTTAAAGTCCCCAGCTCCATTAGCCCCTAACAAGAGAGTCAGTCTGTCCTCTGCAGCTTTGAAGGAAGACATTGACTTCTCCTCTGTAGCTATAAAAGTCCTAAATGGCATCTTCTTCCAATAGGACACCATTATGTCTACATCAAAAATCTGTTGTTGAGTGTAGTCACCTTCACCAATAATCGTAGATCGATCTTCTTGATAATTTGCTGCAGCTAGTGCATCAGAACTTTCAGCTTCACCTTGCACTTTTATGTTAAGGATAGTGTCTTTCCTTAAACCTCATGAACCTACCTCTGTTAGTTTCAGACTTTTCTTCTGCAGCTCTCTCACCTTTCTCAGTCTTTACAGAATTAAAGAGAGTTAGGGCCTTGCTCTGCATTAGGCCTTGCATTAAGGAAATATTGTGGCTGGTTTGATCTTCTATATAGACCATATCAGCAATAGGCTTTTTGAATTTCCTTCAAGAACATTTTCTTTTCACTTATAACTTGGCTGTTTGGCACAAGAAGCCCAACTTTCAGCCTATCTCAGCATTCAGCATGCTTCCTGCATATTTAAAGTGAGAGACATGCAACTCTTTCACTTGAATACTTAGAGTCCATTGTAGGATTTGGTTGGCCAAATTTTAATATTCCTTTGTCTCAGGTAATAGGGCAGCCCACGTTGAAAGAAAGAGATGGAAAATGGTCAGTCAGTGAATGGAGCAGTCAGAAAATGTACAATATTTATCCATTAAGCTTGCCATCTTATCTGGGCACCGCTTGTGACATCTCAAAACAATTTCACTAGTAACATCAAAGATCCCTGATCACAGATCACCATAACAGACAAAATAATGATGAAATAATTTGAAATACTGTGAGAATTACCAAACTGACACAGAGACATGAAGTTGGTACATGCTGTTGAAAATACAGGCTTGCTCAACACAGGGTTGCTACAAACCTTCAATTTGAAAGAAAAAAACAACACTATCTGCAAAGTGCAATAAGGCAAAGCACAATAAAACAAGGTATGCTTTATGAGGAGGATGCTTGGGGAAAAGCCACTGAATGTGGTAAATTTTGTGCAGACCTTGATTCACAGAGTGAATCATGTGGATTTCTAAAGGAAGAGCATCCCATGCTAAAAATACATCAACTTGAGGACTGGACTTAATGTGTTCAAGGAAAGTAAGGAGGCCAGTGTGGTTTGAACCATTGGAAAGAGAGCCTTTAATTTCAAAGCAATGGGAGCGGAAAAGGAAGGATGCAGAAAGACACAAGGGGCAGTGAGCCTGCATGCTTTCCCATAATCAAGCTCATTTTCTCTTTTTCTAATGTTGGAAGAGGGATTTAAAAGACTAATCTAAGAGACTGTTCTAAAGCTTCTCAGTTAAACAACCCCAGAGTCGATATTCATATCCAGGCCAGACCAAAACCCCAGAGGATTTCCCACTACTCCTGATGTGCACCCACTTCTCGCTGGCTTTACACAAGAGAGGTGTTTATGGAAACTTTAGCCATGCTTCTAAGCTCTACCTTCTTGCTTCCTGAATTGTTTGCAAGTTTTCCATTCAACAGGACAACACAAACAGACTTTCAGCGACGGATTTACTTTTCTTTGCAAATTTTATTTTAGGTTCGGCAGGTACATGTGCAGGTTTGTTACATGTGTAAATTAAGTGTTTTTGAAGTTTGGTGTACAGATTGTTTTGTCACCTATGTAATAAGAATAGTGCTTGATAGGTGGTTTTTTGAACCTCACCCTCGTCACACCCTCCACCTTTAAGTGGGACTCGGGATCTGTTTTCTTCTTTGCGTACATGTGTACTCAATGTTTAGCTCCCACTTATTAGTGAGAATGTATATATTTGGTTTTTTATTCCTGTATTAATTCACTTAGGAAAATGGCCTTCAATTGCAACCATGCTGCAAAGGACACGATCTTGTTCTTTTTATGGCTGTGTAGTATTCCATGGTGTATATGTACCATGTTGTCTTTGTTGTCATGAGGTATATGTACCATGGTTGTCTCCATGTCTTTGCCATTGTAAATGGGGTGCTGTAATTAACATACACGTGCATGTGCCTTTATGGTAGAACAATTTATATATTCCTTTGGGAACATACCCAAAAATGGGATTGCTGAGTTGAATGGTAGTTCTACTTTAAGTTCTTTGAGAAATCTCCAAACTGCTTTCGACAGTGGCTAAACTAATTTACAATCCCAATAGCAGTGTAAAAGTGTTCCCTTTTTTCTGCAACCTCATCAGCATCTGTTATTTTTTGACTTTTTAATAATAGCCATTCTGACTGGTGTGAGATAGTATGCTATTGTGGTTTTTATTTGCATTTCTCTAATCATTAGTGATGTTGAACATTTTTTTCATATTCTTGTTGGCCATGTGTATGTCTTCTTTGAAGAAGTCTCTGTTCTTGTCCTTTGCCCATTTTTAAAAATGCGGTTGTTTGGTTTTTGCTTGTTAATTTGTTTAAGTTCCCTATAGACTTTGATATTAGACCTTTGTCATATAGTTTGAAAATATTTGCTCTCATTCTGTGTGTTGTCTGTTTACTTTGTTGATAGTTTCTTTTGCTATGCAGAAGCCCTTTAGCTTAATTAAACCCCATTTGTCAATTTTTGTTTTTACTACAATTGCTTTTGGCAATTTCATCATGAAATCTTAGCCAGGGCTTAAGTGCAGAGTGATATTTCCTAGGTTTTCTTCTAGGGCTTTTATAGTTTTAAATTATATATTTAAGTCTTTAATCCAATTTAATATTTTTTTAATATGGTGAAAGAAAGGAGTCCAGTTTCAATCTTCTGCATATGGCTAGCCTGTTATCCCAGCACCATTTATTGAGTATGGAGTCTTTCCCCCTTGCTTATCTTTGTCAACTTTACTGAAAATCAGATGGTTGTAGGTGTGCAGCTTTATTTCTGTGTTCTCTATTCTGTTACATTAGTCTATGTGTCTGTTTTGGTGTCAGAAACATGTTTTGGTTACTGTAGCCCTGTAGTACAGTTTGATATCAGGTAATGTGATTCCTCTGGCTTTTTTTTTTTTTTCCTTAGGATTTCTTAGGCTATTTGAGCTTTATTTTGTTTCCATATAATTTAAAAAAATTTTTTTTTCTAATGCTGTGAAAAATGTCATTGGTAGTTTGATAGGAATAGCACTGAATCCATAAATTGCTTTGGGCAGCATGGCTATTTTAACAATAATAATTCTATCCATGAGCATGGAAAGGTTTTCATTTGTTTGTGTCATCTCTGATTTCTTTCAACAGTGTTTTGTAATTCTCATTGTACAGATCTTTCACCTCCCTGGTTAGCTATACTTATAGGTGTGTAGAAATGCTACTGATTCTTGTACATGTATTTTGTATCCTGAAAGTTTGCTGAAGTTGTTTATCAGATCTAGGAGCTTTGGAGAAGACAGTATGGAGTTTTCTAAGTATAAAATCATATAATCAGCAAAGAGAGATAGTTTGACTTCCTCTCTTCTTATTTGGATGCCTTTTATTTCTTTATTTTGCCTGATTGCTCTGACCAGGACTTCCAGTACAATGGTGAATAAGAGTACAGAGAGTCTTGTTTTGGTCCTCAAGGGGAACACTTTGGGCTTTTGCCAGTTTAGTACAAAGTTGAGTGTGAGTTTTGATTCTTTCTATCCATGAACATGGAAAGTTTTTCCATTTGTTTATGTCATCTCTGATTTCTTTCAGTAGTGTACTTTAATTCTCACTGTAGAGATATTTCACCTTTCTGGTTAGCTGTATTCCTACATAACTTATCAATATAGATGGCTCTTATTATTTTGAGCTATGTTCCTTCAATTCCTAGTTTTTTGATGATTTTCAACATGAAGGGATGTTGAGCCTTATCCAACGTGTTTTCCTCATGTATTGAGATGATCGTATGATTTTTGTTTTTAATTCTGTTGATGTGATGAATCACATTTATTGACGTGTGTATATTGAACCAATCTTGTATCCCAGTAATAAAGCCTACTTGATCATGGTGGATTAGCTTTTTGATGTGTTGCTGGATTCATTTTGCTAGTATATTGCTGATGATTTTTGCATCTATGTTTATCAGGGATATTGACCTGAAGTTTTTTTTCTTTTTTCTTTCTTTTTTGTTTTGTCTCTGCTAGGTTTTGGTATCAGAATTATGCTGAGTTAGGGACGAGTTTCTCCTCTTCAATTTTTTGTAATAGTTGCAGTAGAATTGATACCAGCTTTACTTAGGACATCTGGTAGAATTCAGATGTGAATTTTTCTGGTCCTGGGCTTTTTCTGGTTGGTAGGCTTTTTATTTTTGATTCGGTTTCAGAACTCATTGTTGGTCTGTTCATGGTTTCATTTTTTCCTGGTGCAATCTTGAGAGGTTGTAAGTTTTCTACATTTTATCTATTTATTGTAGGTTTTCTAGTTTGTATGCATAGAGGTGTTCATAATAGTCTCTGAGGATTTTTTGTATTTCTTTGGCATTGGTGGTAATGTTCCCTTTGACTTTTCTGATTGTGTTTCTTTGGATGTTCTCTCTTTTTTCCTTTGTTAGCCTAGCTAGTGCTGTATAAATCTTATTTATTCTTTTAACATACTGACTTTTGGTTTTGGTGACCTTTTGTATGGTTTTTCACAACTCCATTTCACTCTGATTTTGGTGATTTATTTTCTTCTGCTAGCTTTAGGATGTGTTTGCTCTTTTTTTTTTCTATTTTCTCTAGGCTTAATGTTAGATTCTTAATTTGAAATCCTTCTAACTTTTTGATGTGGGCATTTGGTGCTATAAAATTTCTTCTTAACACTGCTTTAGCTGTGCCCCTGAAATTCTGGTATGTTTTATCACTGTTTTCATTACTTTCAAATAATTTGTTAATTTCTCCCTTAACTTGTTTACCCAAAGGTCATTCAGAAGCAGGTTGTTTAATTTTCATGTAATTATATGGTTTAGTGAGATTTTCTTAGTATTGATTTCTATTTTTATTATGCTGTGATCTGACAGTGTGGTTGGTATGAGTTTGGTTTTTATGAATTTGTTGCGAATTGTTTTATGACAGATTGTATGGTTAATTTTAGAGTATGTGCCATATGCAGATGAAAAGAATGTATATTTCGTTGTTGTCGAGTGGAGTGTTCTGTAGATGCCTGTTAGATCCATTTGGTCAAGTGCCGAGTTCAGGTCTTTAATATCATTGTTAGTTTTCTGACTCAGTAATCTGTCTAATACTGTCAATGAGGTCTTGAAGTCTCCCAATATTGTTGTGTGTTTATCTAAGTCTCTTTGTAGTCTTTAAGATCTTGTTTAATCAACTTGGGTAATCCAGTGTTGGGTGCATACATATTCATACATATTGTACTTTTTATCATTATGTAATGCTCTTCCTTGTCTTCTTACACTGTTGATTTAAAGTCTGTTTTGTCTGAAATTAGTATAGCAACCCCTGTTCTTTTTTTTTTTTTGTTTTCCATTTGCTTGGTAGATTTATCTCCATCCATTTACTTTAAGCCTATCAATGTCATTGCATGTGAGATAATCTCTTGAAGACAGAATACAGCTGGGTCTTGCTCCTTTCTCCATTTGACCACTATGTGTGCCTTTTAAGTGGGGCATTTAGCCCAGTTATGTTTAAGGTTAATATTGATATGTGCAGATTTGATCCTGTCATCATGTTGTTAGCTGGTTGCTATGCAGATTTTATTGTATAGCTGATCATAGTGTCAATGATCTATATACTTAAGTGTGTTTTTGTGGTGGCCAGTAACAGTTTTTTATTTCCATGTTTAGCACTCCTTTAAAACATTTTATAAGGCAGGTCTTTCCCCAGTGATAGTAGAATAGATGGGATCAGGGGTGTTAATCAGGTTAAGTTGTTTCAGGTGTGAGATAGTAATAGGGTTGTAGTGCTTGAGTTTAGGTTGAGTACTAGGAATGCAGTAGTTGTTAGAATAAAATAGATGGCTAGGTTAAAAATGGTAATATTTGGGTTGTATATTAGCACTGCTATTATTCAGCCTATGTGAGTGATTGGGGAGTATGCTAGGATTTTACGTAGTTGTGTTTGATTAAGTCCAGCCTGCCATGATAGATAAAATTGAAAGGGTAAGAATAATATTTATGTTTACTAATGGGGAGATTTGATATGTAATTGAAATGGGGTTAGTTTTTGTCATGTGAGGAGGAGTAGGCTGGGTATTAGCGGGGGTTCCTTGAGTAACTTCTGGGACTCAGAAGTGGAAGGGGGCTATTCCTAATTTTATTACAAGGGCTATTATTATTATTAAAGATGAATATTGGTTAGTGGTGTTGATTGTGGTTCACTGTCTGGAAAGCAGGTTATTAGAGAGAATGGCTATTATGATGATTATGGATGCAGTTGCTTGTGCGAGGAAATATTTAATAGTGGCCTCTGTGGAATGGGGGTTTTGGTGGTAATGAATTCCCATAGCATCTGCTTATCTGAAAAGGATCTCATTTCCTCTTTTGCCTATGAAGCTTAGTTTGGCTGGATATGAAATTCTTAGTTGGGAATTCCTTTTTTAAAAGAATGCTGAATATAGGCTCTCAATCTCTTCTGGTTTGTATGGTTTCTGCTGAAACGTCTACTGTTAACCTAAAGATGTTCTCTCTGTAAGCAACCTCCCCCTTCTGTCTAGCTACATTTAATATTGTCTTTCACTTTGCCCTTGGAGAATCTGATGACTATGTTTCTTCAGGATAATCATCTTGTATAGTATCTCACGGGAGTTCTCTGCATTTCCTGAAAATGAATGTTGACCTCTTCAGTGAGGTTGAGAACATTTTCACGGACAATATCTTCAAATATGTTTTCCAAGTTGCTTGTTCTCTCTCCCTCTCTTTCAGGGATGCCAATGAATCATATGTTTGGTCTTTTTACATAATCCTATATTTCTTGGAGGTTTTATTATTTTTTATTCTTTCTGTTTTTTTTTTTAATTTTCTGACTGAGTTGATTTGAAGAACTGGTCTTCAGGCTGTAAGAATTCTTTCCTCAACTTGGTCTATTCTTCTATTGATACTTCCAATTGTATTATAAAATTATTTTAATGAGTTATTTGGCTCTATCAGAACAGTTTTGTTCTTTCTTTAAAAATGGCTGTTTAGTATTTCAGCTCTTGTATTATTTTATTGGATTCCTTAGATTTCTTGGGTTGGATTTTGACTTTTTCCTGAATCTCAATGATCTTGATTCCTATCTAGATTCTGAATCCTATGTCTGTCACTTCAGCTATTTCAGCCTAATTAAGAACCATTTCTGGAAAACTAAGTGTGGTAATTTGAATTTGAAGGTAGGAAAATACTGTGACTTTGAGTCGTCAGAGTTCTTACACTGGTCCTTTCCCATCTGTGTAAGCTGGTGTTCATTTAATCTTTGAAGTTGCTTTCCTTTAGATAAGGTTTTTTTTTTTCTTCTTGTATATTCTTTGATGCACTTGGAGGCTTGACTGTGGCATAAGGTGGGTTTAGTAAACTGGCTTTTTTCTGGATAACTTCAGCAGGACAAGGCTTAGCTCATCACTTCTGGTCTGCATGCTCTCACCCTGGGGGACTGGTATCAGGTGCATGGCTTTGTTCTCTGGCCCCTCAAGGTTCAGGACCTGCTGTGCTGCAGGGCCCAAGGTGTTCCCAGTCCATTTGCAACACCACTGTGATGGGGGATGCTGGTCAAAGTACTTCACATGGACAGCGGTAGTGGGATTTGCTCTCATATACATGTGTCATCAGTGATGGCAGTGCAGCAGGATGTGTGCACATTAGTGAGGGCAAGGCACCAGTGGGGGCTTGACTGTCACTTTTTTTTTTTGTAGATGCAAGGTCTCACTCTGTCACCCAGGCTGGTCTCAAATTCCTGGCCTCAAGCAGTCTTCCTGCCTCCCCAGGTGATGAGATTACAGATGTGAGCCACCACTCCCAGTGCTTCAGCAGACTAATTTTCATTCTTAACTCCTAAACACAGTTTTCACTGTGGAGACACTATCTGGCGACTTTCAAGCAATTTCTTATTAATGGGTAGAATCGAACTAAACTAGAGTTAGTTAAGGTAGTCCGGTTCATAGTCCCCCACCTAGAGGGAGAGGTATGCTATATTCTAAAATCTCAGCTATCCAGAACCAAGCCGAGTATGCCTAAGAGAACAAACACTGGCCTTAAAATTAGAGTTAGAATCCATGTGACAACATTTATTAATTACATTTTTTAAGGAGGTTATCAGGCTCATATTCAAATTCTATTCACTCATTCTTTACCAAGATGTATAACATGCTAGACTGTCAGTGTTGCAGGATGACAGCTTGCAAGTAGAGGGACCAATTGCCCCTAATGTCCCTAATTGAAGGGTTCCACAGGAGTTGGGGACTGTAGAACGAAAACTAGGAAAGCCTGGGGCAAGCAGAAGCCAGCCACCCTATTTCAAACCATCTTCAAGACTAACAGCAGTTGATAGATGTGGACAGAGAAAGATGCTACAACAGAACAAGCCAAAAACTGATCTTCCAGAAAGAGTCAACAAAACAAGTAAAGTTAAGGACATGATAATTTCAAGCACTGCAATTGGGTCATTTAGTGCAAGAGAAAATAAGCTTTCATGCTTCACACCCATGAGGATATCTAAAATTATAGCACAGCACAAAAATGGATATGATTTTAGTTTAAAAAGTAGAGAAATATGAAGTTTATTTATAAAGTTTTCATTTCAATAACTAACCAAATGTAGTTGCTTTATTAAAAGGACAGCTTTTAGTTATTTGCAAAATTGTCTCTTAGGAAATAGCACATTTTCCAGTGTTGTTGGACAAATGAGAGGCAACTGTAATATAATATGCTAGAGGCCATCTGCACCTAAACTGCTATTCTAAGCTTTGAAAAAAGTGGTAATTTGTTCAGGCTTCTACTAATTTGGGCACTAGAGGGATAATTGGTTAAGTAATATCCTTGTAGTAGAAAAAAGAAAGAAAAATATATCTCTGCGCTTTCAAGAATGTCTTATGGGCAATTCAGGTGTCATTTGCTCATCAATAAAATCTACACCAGCATATGACTTAAAAGCAAAAAATGGTGATTCGATCTGGTGAAAGATAGATAGGCACAGATCTTTACTGTGAGAATATGTAATCTGTAGGTTCTAAAATTAGGGCAGAGTCTAATTTTAATTTTTTACAACAAATTTATTTTTGTCAAAATAAATTTTTTAAACATGTCTTAAAGTCTTTAGAATATTTGGAATAAAATATTTTCAGCTCTGTTAATAATTTCACATGTAATAATGACATTCCAATATCAATTTATAATTTAAAAGACACATCAGATACTTCACTTCAAACCCAATAATGCTACAATAGAAATATTAACTCTGTTGTATAAATGCAGACAATTACTCTTAGAAAGAGGAATAAATTATTTAGTACCTACTGCATTTTACAATGCATTATTTTATTTAATCCTTTTAGTAACCTGACACAGAAGGAATCACTAATGCCATTTACAAATGAGGAAACTCACGCTTAGGTAAATTTGTTTCTTGGCTTTTCAAAATCCAAAATCTATATTTCCCCTCTGCATTTCTATATTTCCAAATAACTTGCTAAGAAACACTCAGCAAACCAGTAGATTTCAAACAGCTCCATCACTCAGCCTGGGGTTCTTTCTGATAAATTAAAAAAAACTAACTTAGCTGTTATTACTTTTTAATGATAATAAGCAAGCATTGACTTCTAATGAAACTAAACAAACAATAAAAATCTCGAATTTGGTTCTATACAGTAAAATTTACAGTTGAATAAACTGGCTTATGTAAGCTGTAAATTAATATGTAATAAACAGTTTACCAGAATAGCCTGGTTTCTCAAATGTATCACCCTTAAATTAGTCAAAATGGCTATTAGAGTTGCATTTTATCTGTTATCATGTAATAATATGCAAATATTTATTTTATCCTCTTAATAAATACATATTGAGTATCAACTATATGCCAGGATTATCTAAAACTGAGATTTGAAGGTAAGCAAACATAGCCCAGCGCCGAAAGCTCTCACAATTTAGGTGAGTGTGGTTCCAAATTGCTGGCTCCATCTGTTTATGTTAAGAATCATTGAATTTTAAAAGTGACCACATATGCAGCCCTAGCTAAATACAAATGATGGTCAAACGCAGGGGAGCAGATCTACAATTTGGAGACAGTCATGACAAAATTTAGCTACAGCCAGTTTTATGTGAAACAACAATAATAAAAAAGATGGCTATGTGATAATTCTGCTGGGCACTTTATGCATCATTTCATGGTTGCAAATCTGTAAAAGACATATTATCACCATGTTACAGGAGACAGAGATTGCACAGATGCTAAGTAGTGGAGATAGGTTTTGAATGACAGACATTGACAAGAGATTATTATAATACCATGGGATAAGACTTATGATAAAGTTATGCAAAAATTGGTGTGAGTGTAGAATACAGGATACATGATTAATTCAATAAAAGGCCTATTTCCAGAAGACTTATACTGTCTATGGTAGAGACCAAATTTTGCTCATAGGTCAAATGTGGAGATATGTCAGTGAGCAAATTAGTATAGCCATTGTTAAATCACTGTACTGTTCATTGATAAAACTGTCTGTTACAATGGCAGAATTACCTAAAGTTTAAACTGAGGACATCTCTCTATAGTTCACTGATAAATAATCCCAATCTGGGTTTAGTCCTAAACACCAAACCAGGAGCACATTAGACAATAATTATTAGTACTTAGGTCTTGAGAACTATACTTCATGACTTTGGTCAATATCAAAAATTTACTTTTTCTGTTAAAATAAACTCAGTAAGCTGTGTGTGGTGGTGCACTCCTATAGTCCCAGCTATTCTAGAGGCTGAGGTAAGAAGATTGCTTGAGCCCGGGAGTTAAAGGCTGCAGCAAGCTATGATGGTACCACTGCATTCCAGCCCAGGTGGCATAGCAAACCCTCATCTCTTAAAAAAATTTAAAAGTCTCAAATCAGTACTGACAGTCTTATTAGTTTGAAATAATTCTGAATTATACTTTGAGTCTGGGAAATCTAATTCTAGCCATCCCAGAGATTAAATCAACTCATTGGAATTTGGACTGTGCAGACTGAACACCTAAATTGAGAAGCTAATGCTACTTAGTTGGGGAATTGTGTTTCATTAAAAATGCTATTCCGGTCAATGTTGTTACATAGTGGCCTCTCAAAAATATGGTGCAAATGAATGACTATTAATGTTACTACTTTATGTTACTACTTTTGCTGTAATGTTACTATTTTTCTATGGCTGTGGAAAATTATTCCAGCACCTTGAATTTTTGTTGAAGAGTTTATGATTTGTCAAGCACTTTTTTTTTTTTTTTTTTTTTTTTGAGACGGAGTCTCGCTCTGTCACCCAGGCTGGAGTGCAGTGGCGCAGTCTCGGCTCACTGCAAGCTCCGCCTCCCGGGTTCACGCCATTCTCCTGCCTCAGCCTCTCCGAGTAGCTGGGACTACAGGTGCCCGCCACCACGCCCGGCTAATTTTTTTTGTATTTTTAGTAGAGACGGGGTTTCACCGTGGTCTCACTCTCCTGACTTCGTGATCCACCCGCCTCGGCCTCCCAAAGTGCTGGGATTACATGCGTGAGCCACCGCGCCCGGCCTGATTTGTCAAGTACTTTTAAGTCCCTAAAGCATATATGCTCAATGAAGACAGGGACTTGTACGCTTTGTCAATGCTTATATTTCCAATACCTAGAACACAGAAGGCATTTACTGAATATTTATTACTTACCTAATATAGAACATAGAAAGCACTTACCTAATATTTATTACTGCACTATGCACATAATAGATGCCCCATTAATATTTGCTAAATGAATTACCATATGTCCTTGCAATGCACTTCTTTCAATTTATAAATTTGGGTCAAGTGGATTTTTTTTTCTAATTTCCCTCTCTTTACTAATTATCACAAGAGGACAAGGAGAGAGCTGTGGAAATGTTCATTTTATGAATTCACCTTAAAGGCTAGAACTTTCAGATAAATTTAATCAACACTGTTATTCTTTAAAATAACAATTCTTATTTTCACAAAGTAAATAAAATTTCTCTCCACATTGAGTGTAATATATGAATGAGACATCTGAGAAGAAATGGAAATAACATATTTGCTGAAACCCAGGTTGATTAAAGTTAGGTGAGTGCAAAAGTAATTGCAATTTTTGCATTGTTAGAATTTGCCATTTGATATTGTTGTACATTCTTAAACAAATGTGGTTATGTTATATATCATTTTAATGGGCATTTCTTGTTTTATGTTTTTTTGTGAATGACTTAGTACTTGCTGTTTATGTTTATTTTAGACTATGGAAATGATGTTAGACAAAAAGGAAATTCAAGCGATTTTCTTATTCTGGTTCAAAATGGGTAGTGAAGCAGCTGAGACAACTCACATCAACAACGCATTTGGCCCAGGAACTGCTAACAAATGTACGGTGCAGTGGTGGTTCAAGACATTTTGCAAAGGAGACAACAGCCTCAAAGATGAGGAGTGAGTGGCCGGCCATCGGAAGTTGACAACAACCAATTGAGAGCAATCACAGAAGTTGATCCTCTTACAACTACACGAGAAGTTGCCGAAGAACTCAACAATGACCATTCTGCAGTCGTTCGGCATTTGAAGCAAATTGGAAAGGTTTTGAAAAAGCTCTATAAGTGGGTGCCTCATGAACTGAGCAAAACTAAAAAAAAAAAAAAAAAAAAAAAAACACTTTGAAGTGTCATCTTTTTTTATTCTACACAACACAGAGCCATTTCTCCATCCAGTTGTGATGTGCAGCAAAAAGTGGACTTTATACAACAACTGGCGACTACCAACTCAGTGGTTGGGCCGGGAAGAAGCCCCAAAGCCCTTTCTAAAGCTAAACTTGCACCAAAAAAAAGTGATAGTCACTGTTTGGTGGTCTGCTGCCAGTCCGATCCACTACAGATTTCTGAATCCTGGTGAAACCATTACATCTGAGAAGTATGCTCAGCAAATCGAGGAGATGCACCAAAAACTGCAACACCTGAAGCCAACATTGGTCAACAGAAAGGGCCCAATTCTTCTCCATGGCAACACCTGACCGCACATCAGTTCTTCTTCAAAAGTTGCATGAATTGGGCTACGTAGTTTTGCTTCATCTGTCATATTCACCTGACCTGTCACCAACTGACTACCACTCTTCAAGAATCTCGACAACTTTTTTTTAGGGAAAATGCTTCCACAACCAGCAGGGTGCAGAAAATGCTTTCCAAGAGTTTGTCAAATCCCAGAGCATGGATTTTTACCCTAAAGAATTAAACAAACTTATTTCTCATCAGCAAAAGTATGTTGATTGTAATGGTTCCTATTTTGATTAATGAAGATGTGTTTGAGCCTAGTTATAATGATTTAAAATTCATGGTGTGTAACCACAATTACTTTTGCACCAACCTAATATTACTTTTTTTTAAAGAAGTATTTACTTAGGTGTGATTTTTTTGTTATTTGTTTTGTTTTGTTTTTGACAGCCTCTGTTGCCCACACTGGAATGCAATGCTGTGATGCAAGCTCACCGCAGTCTCGAACTCTTGGACTCAAGCCATCAGCTCGCCTCTGCCTCTTGTGTAGCTAGGACCACAAGCATGAATGAGTACAACTTGCCCCTACATTTATTACTTGAATGATTTTCTCAAGCTAGCCATGCCAACAGGCTTTGTTAGTACCATTTTATAGAAAAACGTGGGATTCAGTGTTTTGCTCAGAGTAATTGATGAAATTGGTGGAAAAGCTACCTGGGCTCAATCTAGCTTAAAGTTCTATGCCCTTTGCATTATGTTCCTATTCTTTCTACAAATAACGTTATGATTCTAAAAAGTTCAGGGAGATGGGCAAATAGGTTTGCCTTAATCTTAAGAACCTGCTACGTGCTGGTGGTCCATCAGTGAACAAAATGGACAAAGGTTGTGCTCTTTTAATCAAGTTATAGATGAAACAAACTTAAAAGCCAGTGCTGGAGATAAGAGATGATTAAGCAAACACAAAAATAAACATATCATTAACCTTGGGTGGATCACAATGGAGGAAATGACCAATGCAAGAATAGAAAACAACACAGGGGCCTGCTTAGACAATGAGCATCCTGTCAGTCATAGTCCCTGTACAACTCTGAACAAGCAAAATGTGAGAATTAAACATTGTATCCACTTCCTGCTCTCAAGTTAGTTACATTTTGAAAAAATTATCAAGATTCTTTCATATTCAGTTTCTTTATCAGAAAGATAGAATTCATCTTTTGAAGATATTTTGAGGTTAGATAATTTTGGTTGTGAAAATGCTACACACTCAGACACACATTAGGGCTTTATTATAAATGGTTAAAACACGACCTACAGAAACTAGGCAAAGTACTCAAAATATAAAGATAAATAAGTTGAAATTCTTACTCTTGGTTAAAGGGTAAAACATATCCATAATTAGAAAATTACATTCTGCCAAGTAAAATATAGATAAACATAGAGGAGAAACATCTAACACATTAAACCTTACTGGAGGATATGACATTCCTCCCTGGAGGATATGACATTCCTCCAACGTGGCAAAAAGATTCCTGGTAGAACAGCAGAGACAGAAAGATGGAGATGGGACACAGCATTGGTTTCTGGAAGTTAAGTGTGGACCAGTGCTGGAAGTACTTGGAAGAAGTAAAAGGGATGGATAATGGACAACTTTTCACGCTTCCCTGTTATCTCATTTAATTTTCTCCACTTATAAGAAGACCAGCTTCACATGTTATCATGGCTATTTCACAGATTAGAAAACTTTTGAGCAACAGTAACAACAATAAAAAAGAACACTAGATTCTAAGAAGATAGATCTGAATACTTCAGATTAAAGAGTAAATAACTGGAGGTGAGGTTGAGAATGGGAAGAAAGCAGAAATACAAAATAATAGAGTGATGATCACATCCCATGGAAAAGGAGAGAGACTGGGCTGATGGCCGGAGAGGTATATGGTCAAGGGAGATATTTTGCTTTATTTCATTTACATATGTCTTTATACTGAAGCTTAAAGCAAGGAGGAAATAGAAGGTACTGAAGAAAAATAATGATTAGGAGAAGAGACTAGAAAATAAGAGAGGTAAGGAGCAGAGGTGAAGTTATTACCCTTAATGCTAATAAGTTCGTCAGTGTGTATTAAGTATTTACTATGTATGAGAATCTGTTGTAAGTGCATTAACATGTTTATGAGGTATATACCATTTTTACACAACTTTAAAAAAGAGAAAACTAATGTACAGTAAAGGTAAAATAATTGTCTCAATATTACTGAGCTGGTTAATGCTGTAAATGGGACTCAATCACACACCACTAAGCTCTATGAAAGTAAAGGAAGAAAAATATTACTCAGTTTGTAATTTGTGACATTGCCATGACCACACACTATATATAATATTCGTTCATCAAATCTAGATACTATAGTGACATAGTTTAGATCTAATTAACAAGAGTGTGTTGAAAGCAAAATCTTATTTCCTAAAGTACAATCCCTGTTAATTTTTGTTTTCCTAGCAGAATGAGACAAAGGAAAAGCTAAGATGATTTTTTAAGCACTTCAGTTCTTTCCTCCCAATATATGACTATTTCTATCAAATACAAAGATGTTACGCAATTTGAAAAATATTTTTCAGTTTTGGCATATATCTGCAAAAAGGATGTTATCTTCAAGAATCATACGTCTTTTGAAAAATGTTTCCAAGTGATTGTTCCTGATGCTGCTCTGATCAAAAATCAGGTTTGGATGAATGAAAAGGTTGGTTTCTTTAAACTCAATAAATGTATCCAAATGTTCTGCTCTCTGTCTCTTACTCATGAGGAATCTCGCTAATTTGAGTCCATCTGAATATTTAGAAACTGGAAGTTATCTGTTAGTGTACTGAATTATTTTCAGAAGACTGCTGAATTAAATTATTTAGTAAACCTGATATTATATCAATTAACTATTCAACTAGAATATTAATCCAATCCTTGCTATTTTATTAGTGAGTGCTTATAATTTATTGATCACTAATAATATTATCATGAAATTGTTTTTAAGCACAATTAGGATAAGTTGAAACATATAGGACCTCTTTTCTGGCCATAATAGAATAACACAGTCCAAATTTTTTCATTTCACATGTTCTGCTAGAAAGTATATAAAACAATCATTTTCAGACATTTTGCAATAGGCAGCAAGGTTCTGTGGTTGCTCAGAGAAGGAAAACAACAAGGTAGTCCTTTAGATCACCTGGCATTCTGACTGGAGGCACACCTTGGACCACAGAGCAATAGGAAATAAGGCAAGCATAGCATTCGGGCCTCACTGAATTTAAAGTTACAGAATTTAAAGTTTAAGGAGACCAAAGTTGCTGAGTGCTGCAGTTTTAGAAACAAAAGAGTTAAACAGAAAAAGAGCTCCAGAAATCTATAGAGAAATACTTGCTTGTTGGACACCAAGGGCAAGATTCCATGAAGTAGGGCAAACAGCATGGAGGAACCGTGAGCAAAGTGGTTTCCATAGTCAATTCAGTGCTAGAAAATGTTTGGGTGTCGACCAGCCTGAGTAACAAGTATTCACTGATTACTCAGGACATTCATGAGAGACTCCAGAAGAACCAGGCCTTTTCAGTGAAAGTAAACAACTTACGGAATAAAGACGAGTGTAGATCTGCTCTGACAATGATTAAAGGTAAGCCTAAAAAGATCACACTAAACTGGAACTAATTAAGAGTCTGCCAGAACAAAGCCCAATCCTCATACAATAAAAACAATAAATTTCAGACAATTCACAACAAAATATCACAATATCCAGAATCCAGTCAAAATTACTAGACATGTAAAGAAGCAAAATTAAGTAAATCACGACAAGGAGAAAAAAAACAATAGAAGCAGACAAGGAACTGAGGAAGAACATGAATTCAGAGATAAAGATTTTTAAATAGCTATAAAGTTTTGTTACTATATTATGTTAATTAAAGAAGAGGGAGGAACAAGAAAACACCAAAAAAAAAAAAAAACCCAAATACAACTGCTAGAAATGAAAATATATAATGTATGAAATAAATAGTGGGATTTAAAAAAGTAAGAAGGGACTAATATGAGATCAGGCATGGCAGAAGAAAATATTAGTAAACTTGAAAAAATAGCAATACAAATTATGTTAAAAAGACCACAGGGAGAGTAAAAGGTTTTAAAATATCAACAGGGCATCTGTTAGCAATAGAATAATATCAAATACCCTTATATACAATAAAACTGGAGTTCGAAAAGAAGGGGATGTGAAATAGAATTATTTTAAAATAAATAGCCAACTATTTTCCTAATTTAATGGAATTTATAAACCTATGCTTCTATGAGAAACTCAATGAACCTCAACTGGGATAAATACAAAGAAAATCATACCAATTCATAGTGATCAAATTGCACAAAATTGTTCACAGAAATAAAATTTTATGAGAAGCCAGATACATAATCTGTATTTGCATAAAATACAAATAAGCAGTCATAAGAAACTATGAAAGCCAGAAAAAATAATAAGATAGCTTTAAATTGGTGTATGAAATATTTTCAAGTTAGAATTCTGTATTCAGTTTGTGTGCTGAAGATTAAAGACCCCCACCCACACCCCAGCACACACATATATTGCTGAGAAGACATCCCCATAAAAAGATTAAATAAAAAATTTCAGAAATAACTGAAATGTATATCGTCAATTTGTTGTTGACAAAAATATCAAGTAGAAAAATGAAATAAGAATGAGACTTTTTTCAATACATGGTGTTGAAACAACTGAATATGCATCCATGTGTAGGGAAAAACACCTACCCATCCACACTCATGTGACATATAAAGAAATCTCAATAGATGCTAGTTATCTTCATTATTTTTTCTAACATGTACAATTGGAATAATGGTATTAGTTCAACTGATCAGTCTAACTTCAGTGATGGCAGGCAGGATGTGGCCAAGTGGGTCAGTGAGGAAGGGGAGAGAATTGTTTATGAGATGAATACTGGGAATGCCATTGTAATGCTGTTTAATTTATTTTTTAATTTAGGAAAGAAGACATATTGATCTACTTTTAGCTCAGAATTCATGCAAGAAATAAGTTTTTGTACTAAAATGGTTTTAAAGTGCCCCTCTCTCTGCTAGAGTGAACAGAGAATGCTGAAAGCCACAAGAAAAGGCATTCACCAAAGAGAACAGAGCCAGGAGAGAGCCTCTGGGAAAGAGAAGGCTTTAGAGACATCGTTTTAACTTGGCAGTAAAGCAAACAAGCAACATAGCCACAGGACTGTTGGAGTGCGACAATGTTTTCTCTAGAAATAAACACTCAAGTCTTAAGGATTTGTTTTGAGCAAATGCATAAGAAATAAAACTTTTATTTGAAAAGTAATATGCATGTGTATGTGTGTATAGAGTGTGCCAGGAGAAAAACAGCATCATGAAACACTCTAAGGGTAAATACAAAAAATAAAAAATGATTTTGTTACTTTTATTATGACATCTGAAACATCACTTTCAAACCTTTCAACATAGGTGATGTATCCATCCTACAGTGTCCATGAGCCTTATTTTATTCCTTAGTAAAATAAATCCATCGGATAAAAGGGTCTCTTTAGTTCATCCTAGATTTAGTGGTCGCTATAGCATCTCCCCTTTACTCTGGAAAAAAAATATATATGATCCATTTTCTTTGGAAAGCTTAACCCAATCTCTACAGCACCCTTGACATGAAAAAGAAATGCTATATTGGTTATTTTTGCTTAAAAAAAGGGTTTGTTTAGCATGGAAAAATCTTTGCAGCTTGTGGGGCGATGATCAAGAGAGACAAAATTTTATAATCTCCCTTACAGAGCTCTTCATGGCTGCTATGATCACATATTAAAAGTCCCCCTTACAAAGGCATCTGCCAGATGTTTCATGTGACCCTGACTTTCCTAAGGAAAGAGTGAGGCCATATGAGCTAGATGCCAACCTCATCTAATTCGTTGAAACATAATTCATTTCCAATCAGGATATTAGATGAGAGAGGAAAGAGTGTTTTTATAGACTGCAGAGAAGTAATAGTGGAGGAAATAACTTGAAATAGACTGAGAATTATTTTTGGTCCTAGGAGACTTGGAAGTGAAATATGAGTTCCTTGAAATTGCCCTCAGGTCTTTAGCCTTCTTTAAAGTGTTCTATGGTTCACCAGAAATCCCACTCCTTTTCTTACAACAACTACTAACAATACTACTAGGGTCAGCTTTAGGGCTTTTAGATGTGTTTATAAACACCTGTTAACTGTTGTTCACATGGGGAAACATGGTTCTTCACTGGCTAGCAATAATACTTGTTCATCAAAAAGGGCACGTATTGCATAAGGCACTGTGGCTACTCATGTGTATTGGTGAACCATCTTCTGGAGCAAAATGCCCTGGTTATCATAGATACCCAGGTAGACTTAGAGCAGTTTACTCCAGACCATGACAACAACTTCTCCCATGTTCCTTTTAATTTCTTCTAAACTGACTGGGTTTCTTCTGCCTTGAAACCTGATCAGACCTCCCACCTTTTGAAAAGTATGAGATTTCTTTAATAGAATTACCCTTCAGGATTTTATTCTGAAAGAAAATTACACTGTGCCAACTTCTCTCATTTTGTATTGTAAAATTAGGTTAACAGACTCTTTGTTATTAGCCTCAAAGAAGAAATAAGTCACAGGTGGATCTTAAAGAGAAAACTAGGGTGGGGAGAGTCAATCCTTTCCCTATATTCCACTCACGGCCCTGGAAATAAATGTGTTTTTACAAGCCACGAGCTTCCAAATGGAGAATAGAGACACTAAAGGGGCATCTAAAGGTTGCTATTCCAATTGAGCTGTGGGCAAATGTCACAGAAGGTCTAGGAATCAGGGTCGGGGGCAGGAATTGAGGGCAACTCAGTTTCTAGATGTCAGGACATAAGCCACGAAGAACCTAGTACAGAAGACAGCAGAGTTAGAGTCATGGATGAAAGTCAAGGTCCAAATCTGGTAATATAAAGAAAGATAAAGTAAGAATCAGGCCTGGAACAGTCAGCCAGTCTTGGCTGGGAAGGAAGAAGTAAATTTTGGTCTAAATTAATTTAGGAAAAAAGTTTCAATTGACAAGGAATTTATTTAAAGGTCCAGGCACCCAGATGCTTGGATAAGCATCAGATTATCTCCAAATGCGCTGTCTCTGGCTCACACTAGATCTGTTACAGGGCTTGCTTTCAGAATCAGTATCTTCCCATCAAGAGGGTGTTTTCCTGACTCATGACTCAGCTCCTCCACTAGTCTTAACTAGCTGTTTTGCAAAGTGAGTATACACAACTACAGAGTTCCTTCCTCATCAACTGATATAATTGTACTCATATCTGCAAATGGTCCATCAATTCACATGCCAGTGTATTCTGTGAATGTCCCTAGCTCAGAGACTTTTAGAAAAATATAGAAACACAACGTGATTTTCACATCTTTGCTCCTACCTGAAGAATGACTGGTAACACAGATAAATCTTCAGATTCCTCACAACTGCATCAGAATGATTTCAAGAAGTGTTTGAGACCTTTTTGCATCTCAGTTCTGTGTTCAGTCATTACAGGAGACATTCAATGCTTTCCCTTAGGTCAGGCCCCTGGGCCCCTCATCTATAACACTGAAGTTAAACAGGAATTTTTCTTGCTAAAGACTTAACATAGATTTTAGTGAGAATGATCTGTGGTTTTTATCACATTTTCTTCCCAGATCAGAGGTTTCCAGAATGTGGATATGGTAAAAAGTAAAGGGTTGTTGGGGGTGGATGAGAATCATGACAAGCTCCTACTCTTTGTTCACTGGCCTCCTATGTTAGACTCTGCTTTCGCAAATCCAATTTCCTCCTCCCTTAGTAAAGTTATATCTGTGCAAATCTCAGATCTCCTACATACAGACTCACAGCAAGAATTGCCAGTGGCAAGCCAAGAGATGCCTCAATTCCAGAATAAATGGAGTTTTATGAAAAAGTATCATAGAACCTATGGCATATAGAATCATTGGTGTTCTCAAGTATCATAATAGACATACAAATATAAATTTTTTTTAAGGTTTGGAAAGGCTGAAGCACTAAATCTTGTTTTCAAAATTCACTTAAAGTCTTAAAATTTCCAAATTTTTATTCATAGAGTAAGCAGCAACAAAATATCTTGAGGCTTTCTGGGACATAGATGTCTTTTCTAAACTGTTTATCTCTCCACACACCAGGGTGGCCTTAAGCTCCCTTAATCCTGTCATAACATTTCCCCTAGAAACCGTTAAATAAATCAAGCATCACTTATTTATTCTATGAAGACATATTCCTTATCTTCCTTTTGTTGAATTTTCAGTTTCATTTATCTATTATACATTTATATATTTATCTACCTATCATCTATTCATCATCTATATTCTGTGCTGGGAAACCCAAAAATGAATCCCAGCACTAATACTGCAGCCTGACACTCATAGTGCCACAAGGTTTTGAGCTCCTGCCATGTACATGTGTTGGTTGGTTCTCACAACATTCTGAGATGGATATTACTATCCTCATTTTGCTATGAGAAAACAGAAGCTCAGAAAGGTTAAGCAACTTGTCCAAGACCACACAGCTTTCAAGAAGCACAGGCAAATTTTGAAGCCAGGTTTGTCTCCAAAGCTAGTGCCTTTTCCATTATTACACTGCCACTTAGCTCTTTGCGCCTCCCTTTACCTTTCCTTGGGGCAAATAATGCTAATATCATAGGATGGTTTTGTGAATTAATTACAAAATGTGAATGTACCTGGTACAAAGTCTTAGGAGCCTTAGGTACATTAGGGCCCAAATACTATCTTCACTTTAATTTATCCCATTGTTTTTAAAGTTTACCTTTTTTTTCAGTTGAAATTAATCTATTAAAGTCTGCAGGGAGCTTATCCTCTAGAAGCGCTTAGGATACTGTGGGGAAAGGGAAAGGCATTGTTGTTTCTCAGAGCCCTCAAAAAGATGCTGAAGGTGATAAAAACAAGGAGGCGGGATTCTGAAGGAAGAACTAAGGAAAAGAGAAGTTTGTAAATGAGACTGAAAAATGTGGACGAAACTAGGAGGAAAAACATTAGATAAAATATTACAAAAACAAGGAAGAAAATATTTTGAAAAAGACCTCAAATCATTTAAAAGCAGTATATCATAGATAATTACAAGAGCTACGATTATATGACTCTTTATGTGCCAGCCCCATTGTGATATATATACACACACACATAATATATAAATATATATTATAAATATAATTAAATTAAATTATATATAATATAGCATTATATAGAATATATATCATTTATGTATTTTATATATAATATTATAATATATATACATGTATTTAAAATCATTACATTGCTCACAACAATGTACAAAATAGATACTATTGTTATTCCCATTTTACAGAATAGGGATTTGAATATTAGAAAGATTGGCACCCAAAGTCATTATATCAGTTTTCTATGCTATGTAACAATATTACTACAATCTTAGCAGCTCAAATAAAACATGATCTTACCATTTTTGAGGGTCAGAAGTTTAGCCATAGCCTAGGTGGATCCTTTGCTTACAGCTTCACCAGGCTATATTCACAGTTTAGGCAGGGCTGTATTCTCATCTGGAGGTTCGAGTGAGGAAGACAGCTTCCCAGCTCACTCAGTTCCTTGATGGTTATTGGCTGTGGGCTGCCTGCAGTTTCTAGAGTCCATCCACAGTTCCTTGCCATATGGACATTCTCAAAATGGTCATTTACTTCATCAAACCCACTAGAATAATCTCTGGAGTGAGTCTGCTAGCAAGCCAGTCTTATACAATGTAATGTCATCTTGGGAGTGACAAATCATAATCTTTGACATATTACATTGGTTAGAAATAAATCACAGGTTCTACTCACACTCAAGAGAAGATTACATAGGGGCATGAATAGCAGAAGGCAGGAATCATTGGTGGTGGCTTGAGGGTCTGCATACTAGTCACCCAGCTATCGAGTGACAAACAGTTTAACTCCAGGGACTTCTCTTAAGCATTTTTCCACTGGGATTAGCAACATGGATATCAATAGAGATTTGAGGGAGAGCAATTTTACTGGAGCTATGAGTGAAAAACCCAACTGCTAGGACAACAGGCATATTTCAATTATTCCTAAATTTTTGCTTCTTTTGTTCCTTCCTTTCTTGTCTTTTCTTTCTTTTCATTTTCACTTCCCTTCCTTTTATTTTTCTTCTTCTTCTTATCCTGATCCTCTTTCTCTTTAGCACTCAATTGCTGATAAATTCAATCACAAATTTGGTTTACTCCAATAACATTTACTCGTAACAGGTACTAAGTCAGGTGTTTAGGGCCCAGTTCTGAATTAGAAGCATATTTATTTGCTCCCAGAGCTTGTCATCTTCCCAAGATTCTGAGACAAACTTTTATCTTGAAAATTACTCAGACTGACCCTCTGAATTATTCAGTAGGCACAATTCATCTCTCTTGTCACTGGTCCTTCTAGTCTGACTTTTTCCCAGAAGTGAAAGAAGTATAACTGGAAATTCATGGGGATTGTGAAGTCAATCCAACCTGTGTTTGAAATTGGCTGGTACCAGGTCACATTCATCAACCTTGCTGCTGAAAATCTTAACTTTTTAGAAATTGTATATAATTCAAAAAGGCAATGTATAAAAGCACTGATTTAAGTCCTGCCATTGTTCTAATTGAGAACGTGATGACTTCTACCTAATGTAAAGTACTTTTACAATGATCTCCAAAAGGTAAATATTTAGTTCTTTTAACCATGTATTTTTACCAAAAATGAGCAAACATAAAAGGGGCCTATAAACTAGGTAAATTTAATTTTGTATTTTTCTGTTTAATCCTTGGACTTATACATAGAATCAATAAAGACATGTAAGAAATGGTCACATTTGTTAAATTATTTTATGAAAAAAGACAGAACGAATAATAGAATGAACCAGCAAAAGAGAAGTGAATGAATAAATAAGTAAATAATGAATCAACTACCTACCTAGTAAGAACAACCTTGTATAGGCCAAAGATGATAAACTAATTTTTGAAGACATATTTCTTTTGTATTTTCCCATTTTGCTTTTTTCCACTTGAGCTGTCCATAGCAAAATATTAAGGAGTGAATGAGGAAGTCTTACTAAACCACAGTGGTGAGAGTTATGTAGAGTAGCCTTAGCCTCAGGAATTTCCATAGTCTGACAGAGGTAACTGGTGATGAGGAAAAACAACAACAGACAGACAAAAAATCATTCTGGGTTTCAGATAACCTCCAGCCAAGATAGCATTTGCTAAAGGAGAAAAGAGACTTGATCCAAAGCCAAGTGTCTAACAACCAGCCAGCCAAGAAGATGCAGGGGTGCTAGCCTTTAGTGAGTTAGAGCCAAAAGAATGCCTTGTGAATTAGGGCTACCACCTCTTAAGTACTTTCTATAAGCCAGAGATGTTGCACGCTGTCTTCTTCAAGCCCCAGCAGTTCTCAGTGCAGGAACAAGGCCATGGGACTTCAATTAAAGTTCCTGAGGCCTGCTGGCTTTCAACATTCAGAAGTATAGGACTCTAGAAAGCATAATACTCTATATATGCTTCATACTATATAACATCCTCAGCTTAATCACATTAATACATCTATATCCAAAAATTGGGAATATTAAGTGTGATAAGGGAAGACTTAAATAGTTGTATGTCAATTCAGAAGAGATTTTACTGCCAAAGGATCTTTCTCAATTAATTAATTTTTTTTAGATTCAGGGCTTTAGAATTTCAGAATTGTGTAAAAGAAATTATGAACATGAATTTGTATAGTCATGTTATAGATAAAGAAACTGAGACCCAGAGAAGTAAAATGACTCGCCAATATTTGCAGAGCTGAGGAGCATGGAATCAGGATGTGAACATCAAAGTGATGCTCAATGTTCCAAGAGAATATAGGCCCAGAGGAAGAAGCTTGAGTCTTGCTGGTCCAAGAGTCTGTTAAACACATCCTTTGTATTTAATGTACAATGAAACTGTGGATATAGGGCCTCTCAGTGACCCAGGCTTTGCTCAATTTTTGAGTCTTCCAGGATATTAAATGATGAAGAAATACTAAGATTCAGTTGTGAAAAATATACATTTTCACTTAATCTTTCACTTTTTAAAAACACACACAGTGATCTTTATTTGGAAGTAACATTTTTAAAAATCTAAAATTAAGACCTTTTATGAGCATGCACTGGTTAAATGAGTCTGTCAGTCCCATTTGCCATAATTTTAGCCCTAGAGAAATGTCAGTGGAACGTATCATATCTCAACAGTCTTAGGATCAAGAGAATTGATTATTGAGAAGGTGCTGTGTGAATTGTAAAACATCATATGCACATGTACAATCATCATTATTCATAAACAACTGTATTATTTGCATCTACCACTTTGGCCATGAAAGCTTCTGAATTTGAATTTCCCTGCCTTTTTTTTCTTGAGGCTATAAGCTATGCTAGACTATGTCTAGGGATATCTAATGCTGTCAACTCAGCAATGTCCATTTTTAATCGCTTTTTTGGGGTATACTTCATACATAAGTACGTACTGTTTTTGGCACAGTGATAAGCACTGAGTATACTTGGGACTAACCAGATAATCTCTTAACATAATAGGAATTTAAATTTAGTTCAAGAGGTGGATAATGAGCAACAATTGCTAGATAAGTGTTTTTAGTTTACAATTATGTAAGTGCTATGAAAAAATAAAATACTATCTGTGAATGTGAAAAAGGAGGACAGAATGAAAGCTGGCCCAGAGCTTGATTTAATCTGAGACCTAACAAGAAGTAGGGGACATCAAATCAACATCATGAAAATGGTCATAGAGCCCAAAGTAATTTACAGATTCAATGATATTCCCATTAAATTACCCTTTGCATTTTTCACAGAATTAGAAAAACTACTTTAAAATTTATATGAAACCAAAAAAGAGCCCACATAGCCAAGACAATACTAAGCAAAAATAAACAAAGCTGGAGGCATCATGCTACCTAACTTCAAACTATGATACAAGGCTACAGTAACCAAAACAGCATGGTACTAGCACAAAACAGATACAGAGACCAATGGAACAGAATAAGAACTCAGAAATAATCCCTCACATCTACAACGATCTGATCTTTGTCAAACCTGACAAAAACAAGCAATGGGGAAAAGATTCCCTGTCTAATAAATGATGCTGGGAGAACTGGTTAGCCACATACAGAAACTTGAAACTGGACCCATTCCTTACACCTTATACAAAAATTAACTCAACATGGATTAAAGACTTAAATGTAAAACCCAACACTATAAAAACCCTAAAAGAAAACCTAGGTAATATTATTCAGGACATAGACAAGGATAAAGATTTCATGAAGGAAACGTCAAACACAATTGCAAAAAAAGCAAAAATTGATAAATGGGATCTAGTTAAATTAAAGAGCTTCTGCACAGCAAAAGAAACTATCATCAGAGTGAACACACAACCTATAGAATGAGAGAAATTTTTTTCAATCTATCCATCTGACGAAAGTCTAATATCCAAAATCTGCAAGGAACTTAAACAAATTTACAAGAAAAAAACAACCCCATCAAAAAGTGAGCCAACTATATGCACAGAAACTTCTCAAAAGAAGACATTTATGTGGCCAACAAACATGAAAAAAAGGCTCAATATCACTTATTATTAGATAAATGCAAATCAAAACCATTTGAGATACCATCTTATGCCAGTCAGAATGGCGATCATTAAAACAAGAAACAAATGTTGGCAAGGCTGTGGAGAAATAGGAACACTTTTACACGGTTGGTGGGAATAGAAATCAATTCAACCATTGCAGAAGACAGTGTGGCAATTCCTCAAAGACCTAGAACCAGAAATACAATTTGGCCCAGCAATCCCATTGCTGGGTATATACCCAAAGTAATATAAATTACTGTATTATAAAGATACATGCACGCATATGTTCATTGCAGCACTATTCACAATAGCAAAAACATGGAATCAACCCAAATGTCCATCAGTGATAGACTGGAAAAAGAAAATATGGTACATATACACCAAGGAATACTATGCAGCCATAAGAAGGAAGATCATATCCTTTACAGGGACATGGATGAAACTGGAAGCCATTATCCTTAGCAAACTAATGCAGGAACAGAAAACCAAACACTGCATGTTTTCACTTATAAGTGGGAGCTGAACAATAAGAACATATGAACACAGGGAGGGGAAAAACACTCACTGTGGCCTGTTTGGGGAGGGTGGCAGGGAGAGCATTAGGGAAAAGAGATAATGCCTGCTGGGCTTAATACCTAAGTGATGGGTTGATAGGTGCGGCAAACCACCATAACACGTGTTTCCCTATGAACAAACTGCACATCCTGCACATGTATCCCGAAACTTAAAATCAAATCAAATCAAATCAATTTTTTTTAAAAAAATAACAATTATAGTAAAAAGAAGTAGGAGACATCCAGTAGAAACCATGGGGTTAATCTGAAATAAGGATGCACAGAGAGGCAGTAGCCAGATCCCAGATGACCCTTGTATGTTGTATTATGGCACACGGTGGGGCACTGCCCAGGGAGACAGTGGTTCAACTCTTTTGGAATTTTCATTGTCACATGTTATGGCAGGGACTGAAATATACAATGCAGCATAAATGATAGATATAGTGTCAGCTCAGTATAATCCCAGGATGATTTGGCTGGCATACCAAGCAACGTAGTTGGTTTGGGGTGTAGAAAAAATAACGAAGGCTAGCCTATGATGTGGGAGATTACGTCTGGATCATGATCCTGAACACTATAATCCTGAGTGTTGAAATCTCAAAAGATAAAAATCCCTAATGTCCAAAACTCTGCAAATCACAATCATAGGATGGTTGCATCATGTTAGGCAGAACTATTACCTTGTTTTTGTTATTATTATTATTGTCTTTATTTGGAATTCAAGTATGCTTTAAGGACATGAACTGAGAATTAAATATGGTTAAGGAGATGTTTTTGGGTGCCAAGTGGACAAGGGGTGGACTTGTGGACTTAAGTTTATGTTTCAACTTGAATGGATTAAGGAATACCTAGAAACCTGGTAAAGCATTATCTGGATATGTCTATGAGGGTGTTTCCATAGATTAGTGTATGAGTCTGAGTAGATTAGGTGGCAAACATCTGCCCTCGATATTGGTGGTCGCCATCCAACTGGCCAAGGGTTCAGAGAGAACAAATACAGAAAGGGAATGGCACTCTATCTGAGGGCTAGGACAGACTTTTCTTCTAGCGGCCTCAGAACACCAGGCTCTCTGGCCTTTAGACTCTAGGATTTACACTATTCTGCCTTCATAAAATGCTCTTTGTCAGAGAATAAAAAGAATTCAACAAGCTCAGTGACCTGTTGAACCAAAGACACTTGCTAACTTCCTTCAGTGTTAGAAAACACATTACATGGTGAAATAATTTGATTAGGGATTTGACTGTTGAAGAAGATAGACTTCCTATATTTACCACTAAATCTAACACAGAAAAACTAGCACATGCTTCAGTTTGGCTAATAGATGGCACTTTCAAAACTCTTTGTACTGTTTATATACAATTCATGACCCTGTTGGATCTGAAAATTCTAGAACTCTACAATTAGAATTCTGGAATTCTACCTTCTCATTTATGTATTAATGAATGGAAAAAGTGAAGCATTTTATAAACACTTATTTGAAGATTTGGTGGACTTTGCAGAAGAAAATGAATTTCAATCAAATCCTCAATCCATAATGACAGATTTGAAATTGGGTATGAACAAAGCTTCTAAAAGTGACTTTCAAGGTATTACCTACCAATAATGTTTGTTTTATCCATTAGGCTCAGTGCATTTGGTGGAAAATTCAGATGAGCGCATTGGTCACCTGATAGGGCAATGACAAAAACTGTAGTTCAAAAATGTGTCATTTGCCCGCATTGGCATTCCTTCCAGCTGATGACATTCCAGGAGTTTTTAAGGAATTAAAGCCACATTTTTCTGAAGAAGCCAGCAAAGCTACTGACTGGTTCAAAAATAATTATGTGCATGGTAGGATAAAAAGACACACAACAATATTGCTGTTTGATCTCCAATCTTGTTTCTGCCAAATTTGTTGCCTGTAAATGTAGGCATGCAGAATGTATTTCTGCATACCCAAAACAACAAATAAATAAATATCTTTCAAATAATTTGAATTATAGCTTTAGAATTATATTTTCAGGATTTTGATCTTTCAGCATTTCAACATTTGGGATGATGGCGTGATTGTGTCTTTCAGGATTATAATCAGCTCCCTGGTAGATTATGTTCACTTTTCTAATACTTCTTACATTGTATTATGGTCATTTTTCACAAGTCTTTCTCCCACTGTAGGCTTGAAACTCAGGGAGTGGGCAAATTTATATCTACCTCTACATCCTGTTTCAAAGATGAAAGCAAACTTTAAAAATAAAAATGAATAGGGCCTATAATTTGAGAAACATACATCTTTCAGTGCAAAGGAATCTGTAGATTTAGCAGTGGGAAAGCATGCTGACAAGGGAACAGTGCCCCTTGCAAAGAGCCTTGTGAAAAACACCCAGGATTAAGGGCTTTATCTTGCCTGTGATGGTGAGTCATCGAAGGCTTTAAAAATGGCATGGTCAAATTTACTTTTGAAAAGATGACTCTGAGTGCACTAGAGACAAATGCGTCTGGCAGCAGGAAGTCCAGTTAGGTGGCTGTGGCAACAATACAGAGGGGAAAAAGGAGACCTAAATCAAGGAAGTGGCGGAAGAGAGGTAGGGGAGAAGGCATATTAGAGAAGCAACCAGGAGGATTTTGCAACTTCAATTGCTCAACTGACTATTATCGGTTATTTACTATTTACTAGGTAGGATAGGGAGAAATAGTCCCCAGCCCTGCTTCTGAGGAACTCAATTATTTTAGGGGGAATGAAAAAAGTCAGGTGTTTTCTATTATAAAATGAGAAGAAATGTACTTTATTGGCAAATATTTGGAAAAATCTAGTGAATACTGCTTATGATAGTACTCTTTAAATTATTTATTTATAGGTATTCTTAAAAGCAAAAATAGTGCCAGGTACTATTCTTTACATTTGTTAATCCATTCAGTCCTCAGAACAGCTCTATGTGGTAGGTTCCAATATTAGCTCCATTTTACAGATGAAGAAACCAAAGTATTGTTGTTATTGAATTACACCAAGTAGCTTATCTGATTATCATAAAAATATGCCATGCCTTTAGAATGCAACCTTAGACAGCAGACAATAAGATGGAGCTAATAACATAGTACAAACTGATTGACCTTTTCCTAAGTTTAGGGGTGTGTGCTGCATGAATGTAGGTGAACAAAGCTGGGCCAAGAGTCACTCTGATCCATTCCTGCAATCCAAATTGCTAAACTAAATGAGTGGTTGGATATATGAAAGCATGGATGAGTGGTTGGCTAGTGGATGAAAGATAGATCCATCTCAGCATGTGATTTTTAAAACAGGTGAAGCCAGTTGATCTCATATAACATATATGTGATAGCTCTTAAAGAGAAGTCAAGGCCAGGCATGGTGGCTCACGCCTGTAATCCCAGCACTTTGGGAGGCCGAAGCGTGTGGATCACCTGAGGTCAGGAGTTTGAGACCAGCCTGGCCAACATGGCAAAACCCCATCTCTACTAAAAATAACAAAAATTCGCTGGACATGGTGGCAGGTGCCTGTAATTCCAGCGGTTTGGGAGGCCGAGGCAGGAGAATCGTTTGAACCCAGGAGGCGGAGGTTGCGGTGAGCCAAGATTGCACCATTGCTCTCCAACCTAGGCAACAAGAGCGAAACTCTCAAGAAAAAGAAAAGAAAAGAAAAAAAAAAGACAAGCCAGACACCTATGGGTATTTGGATGCATTTCCTGACACCTATGGGTATTTGGATACACTTCCTGGGGGACTTCATTATCATGTTGCATTTTCTCCTTTAAACTGATGTTTGATTAAGCCCCTGGCTTTTAAATTTGGTTTCCCTTGCTTAGACCATCTGGGGACATTTGTATTCCTCATTCAGAATTTTGAATTCCCAATCCAGGGGTCAGTGCCCTGTGCTATTTGGCCAATCCTCCACGAACAGGGGAATTCAGACTAGATGGATGGAAGAATGGATATATCATCACCTGGACCTCATAAATTACTAGATTAGAGATCACAGTTGGGCCCAGAAATGTACGCCTTATTCTTCAACACTTTATTTTTGTTTCCACTTTCTACAGCTTGTCTTGGCAGAATAATTTTTAGCAGAATTATTCTTGATTGACTGTCAACTTTATTTTAAGCCAGTATCTTATCCATGCCTAGAGCAAAAGTTATATAATGTTTCGCTAGGATAACTGGGAGTTCAGCTATTGGAATTCAACAATTAATAATGAAAGTATCAAGTCATGAGATTTTCCATTCTCTATAGGGTCTCCTGTTTGTCTGACTTTGAACTTTGAAGATTTTTTAGTAGACACCAGATTTCACACTTGAGTGGGTTCCTGCCCTCAGGTTTAACCAATATGCTTTTTCTCTCAGCTATAGCAGATACTGTTCTATTTTATTTGAATTCAAGTAAAATAGGGTTTGGTTGGGTGTACACATTCATCCTATGGGTCTTTTGTTCTTTTTCTACTATTTTTAAAGGAATATCCATATTTTTGTACGGTTTTATCACAGAGACAACTGCTTAAGAGTAAGGATTAGAGCGTGAATCAAGGGAAAGCCACAGGTTCTATGAAAACTGAACCACCAAACATGATTCTAGGAAATCCTTTGGATTCCAAGCACAATTGCATTTAACTCCTTTACATGCATGATATCTCCAAAAGAGATTTAATTCATCAGAGTTATGGTATGATATAGCAGAAAGTCTATTAGCTTTGTTAGAACAAAAGTAGACAGTTATGAGCTAACCTGAAATTTACTTATTTTAACATCTTCCTTCCTCCCTTTTTTCCTTTGTTTACTTCTCTTCTTCTTCCTTTCCTTAAACATGTATTTACTGTGCACCTGCTATGGAGCAGGCCCTGTGTTCGCATCTGGAGTAAAACCACATATTCTCTATCATGGATTCTATAAACTTAAGACTGACATGTTAATACTTCTGTCCTGGGGCTCACATCTATCCAAAAATCAGGTAAGTTTGCTCGTGAATGTTGAGCTCTGCTGACTAAGTACAAACAAGTGCAGTAGATCTGAAACAGTAGAGGAGGGCTCCTTGGAGAGGAATTTGCTAGGGTAGAGGTTCTGTGGAAAGAATAGGACAGCAGTTGCAGCTGGGGTGCTGAGACTGAGGGGATATGGTGAGAGATAAGTCCTAAAAGGCAAGTCATGGTCAGAGAAGGAAGGACCTATGTCATTCTAAAGAGGAGAAGAGGTATATTTGCAGTGACTAGCCTGGTGTGTTGAAAATACTCTTGTGGTTACAGAGTGAAGAGCAGGTTGAAGAGGGGCATGAACAGATGTGAGCAGATCAGTTAGAAGGATATGGCAGCAAGCCAAAGGTAAGACAATGATAGCTTCTACTTGGATGGGGTGATGGAGATGGAAAGAAATAGACTTATCCTAGACAAAATTGGAGGGAAAAGGCTTTCTTTAAGCTCCTCCAAGCTAAATTCTATTCTTTCAGAAAGCTTCTCTCATTTTTGAGATGAACAGAGTGTGTTTTTAGACTCTTATCTTCTTGTTCCCCTTTATAACCAGATTTGGCTTTATAAAGCTCTTCATTTTACATGTTTGTTTGTTTTTTTGTACAAAGTAATAAATGAAAAGCAGCAATTAAGGCCATTTCAATTGACCTTTATGTGTTTAGTGGTTTAGTGTGAATTCATTCCATCATCATAGAAGAAATCATTCTTGAAAAAGATCTATTGTTAGGGCCTGGGAAATTCAGAAATAAATAAGCCACTCTCCTTATTTGCCCTCAAGAAATCCCCTTTATCAGGGGAGAAGGACATGCAAATAGATCATTGCAAGGATATGATGTGAACAAGATCAAAAGCATGCACCAAATGCAGAAAAGATCTCAGAGAGGAATTGGATGATTCTGATGATAGGTTATAAGAGGATTAAGAAGGTCACAAGTCACCCAATATTTGAGACAGAGCAGTGGTTTTCAAACTAAAACTAAACACATGATTACCAGGCAGAGCTTGGATGAGTAGCTGAATATACAAGGGAAAATAAAGCAGTTTGAAATACTCTAGAAGCATATTGCTTTGGACATGTCTTTGATAGCTATCCTGTTTAACTGGATCTCCAACAGCAATAACTGGCAAGACAGAACAGGAAAGGGAGAAACATTCCCCAGACTCCATGGTGCCAGCATGTTGTTCAACATGAGGGACTTCCTGGGACTTCAGTCTACTTATAAGTCTAGAAGAAAAGAGTGGTGGTGTGGGGGTGGGTCCTGAGAACAATATGTACTGTATTGCAAAACAATAATCTCAAGAGAGGCTGTTAAAATTTCCTCAAGTAAGGCAGGATTCCCTCCTTCAAACAGGAATGAAGAGATGCCTTCTACTAAAGCTGGGAAGGTTGCTTCCACTGGTAAAGGAGACTCATCAGAATTTAGAGGCTCATTATCCCCAGCTTTATTGAGGTCTTCTCACACATCCCTCTTCAAATTTTTGGTATCCTTTTCTTTCGCAATCAATGCCCTCACTTTAACGTTAGACACCCTGTAAGGTGGGAATTCAACTTGCATTGTAACTCAGCCAGTCACTAAATGAGATTCTGGGTTTGGTTTTCAGGAATCTCACCCTGTGGCTGTAGGAGAAAAGGATCTTCTTCAGGGTACACATAGAAGATTTCAGATCATTTATGGGCCACTTGAGTTGGGAATTTGAGTTTCTGAGCTCATTCTTCTTTTCCAACACTTTGTCCAATGACCATAGGAGCAATCATCTAGCCTCGTTACAGTTGTTAGTTTGATTAAAAAAATGTTTAAAAATATCATGTATACCATCATTCACATCCTTGCCTCTCATAAGTGGTTATTAGGAATGTCCAATGGTGATATGTTGCATATTTCTATTGCCAGATGACATCATGGACTATTAGTTTTCTGCTTACTATAAAAATAGAGTAATTTATGTCTTTAAATATAATCACATTAGACAGCCAATTTCAGAAATGGAAAACCAATTCTAAAAACTCATTCTTAAATTTTTTTTTTAAGGATAAGTTTTTCACTCTCAGTATCAAAAATCTATATTTGTCAGATTATCTATCTATCAAAATAGAGAGCAATATTTATTATAAGAAACTGACTCATATGATTATGGAGGCTGGAAAGTCCCAAAATTTGCAGAAGGAGTAGACAAGCTGGAGACCCTACAGAGTTGATGATTTAGTTCCAGTTGAATTTCAAAGTCTGAAAACTAGATTATTTGATAGTGTATTTCCAGTTTGAATCTGAAGACCTGAGAACCAGGACAGCCAATGATGTAGTTCCAGTCTGAAGGCCAGCAGGCTGGAGACCCAGGAAGATTTGATGTTTCAGTTCAAGTTAAAAGGCAGGAGCAAAGTTAATGTTCTAGTTCAAAGACCATCAAGCAGGGAGAATTTCCTCTGAGGAGACAGTTGGTTTTTTATTCTATTCAGACCTTCAGCTGATTAGATGAAGTCCACCCACATTATGGAGGACAATCTGTTTTATTCATTCTACTGATTCAAATGTTAATCTCCTCCAAAAATGCCCTCATGGACATACCCAGAATCAAATATGACCAAATATCTGGACCTCTTTTGACCTAATCAAATTGACATACAAAATTGATCAGCATTTAGGATGTCTTTCTTTACAGCTTAGATAGGATGGTGGGAAACCAGCTCACTTGGAATATATCTGTCTCACATAAACTTATAAGTAAATATATATCATATATAGTAAATAATCTTCATGTAGGCAACTTTACAAAGTTTTGATAAACACACAGCACCCTGTCAATCCCCTGTAATTTTATCTCCAACCTACCATTCATAGCCCATAGATCAGACCATCATCTTCCTCTCCTCATAAAGCAAATTCTTCTTTAATTATCATAAGAGCATGGTTTTAAAATATATAGTTATTTAATGTTTTAAAAAATACAAGTTTGAATGTTTTGGATGCTTGCATCAGAATTGAGGAAAGGGATAAATTGGGAAGTTATGCAGTAACAACACATGCTTTATCCAGTCATGGTGGGGGTGAGTGGCTCTGGAACTAAAATAGGTGTACAAAATTATCCTGAACTTTGATATGGAGGCAGGGCCTTTATAACCCAGCATTGGACCAGTCATTAAGTGTGCTATGTGCCTTGGAAAGAGTTCTGATCGCATGTTAAGTCTATTACTTCAGCCAAGAGGTACATCAGGAGGGATGAGCTACAAGCCATCAATAATCCCTGGAGCTTAGGTGAATGAGCTTTTCAGTCTTGAGTAGGAGTGGGAAAGCTGATAGTATAGCAGCTCATCCTCCACTCCCTATTGCAGTTCTTTGCCAATCATATCAAGATATGAATGGGATGCTAATGTGTGGTTCAGTTCATAATTATGCATCAAATAATCTGGTAGAAGTTCCAACCTGGAGAGCAATGCCACAGTGTTGGCTAAAACAGCCTTGGAGCTGTGATTATGGTCACCTTCTCCTGATGTTTGACTGAAAGAGCTAAAGGAGGCCTGTTTCCATGTAGTCACAAAAACATGACACAGAGTTCAGTGAGAGGGCAGGATAAGGTACGGCTTGGGGAAGAGTCTGAGCTCCATAAAGTCATTCAAGGGTCTAAACGCCTTCCATCTTGTGACTCCATCCTGTTCAAGATCATTAGAGTTTTCTTTTGTCCACTACTGGAAAGAAATAGGTCATCTTAATGAACAGGACTGCACATGGCTTTTATCACTTCTGCTCATATTTTATTGGGCATAAGTAAGTCTCCTGGGCTTACTGAGCTAAATAAGGAAGTCTGTAAAACGTACTCCAGCTGTTTGTTCAGGAAGTAAAGAACACTAATATTGACTGGGCACGGTGGCTCATGCCTGTAACCCCAGCACTTTGGGAGACCAAGGCAGGTGGATCGCAAAGTCAGGAGATCGAGACCTGCCTGGCCAAAATGGTGAAATCCCGTCTCTACTAAAAAAAAAAAAAAAAAAAAAAAAAAAAAAAAAAAAATTAGCTGGGCATGATGGTGCATGCCTGTAGTCCCAACTATCTGGGAGGCTGAGGCAGGGGAATCGCTTGAACTCAGGAGGCAGAAGTTGCAGTGAGGTCAGATCGCACCACTGCACTCCAGCCTGGCAACAGAGCGAGACTCCATCTCAAAAAAAAGAAAGAAAAAAGAACACTAATATTTGCACTCAGCAATGGTCTCTGCCACACAATAGAAAGACCTTAGGCAGAATTATGTTCAAATTCCAGTTGTGCCATCATGTGCCATCACATCCGTAGCTGTGCCTCATGGGGCCAATTGTCAACCTTTCTGACTCATTTTTCTCATCTCTAAAATGTGACTATTATGTGTTTCTGCACGGCTTGTGGAAAAATTCATTGTGGTGAATTTGATTTCACAGAAAGTCTTACATAGTTTTTCTTTCTGTCTTCTTTTTCTAGCTCGTTATAAGTATGATCTTTCTAGTATTTGGAGCTGTCCAAAGAGGTGTGAAATTTGGTGGCCTGAAAGTTAGTCGCCCTGGGAGGAATTTTCATGAAGTGGCAAATGGGCCGTATTGACTTCCAAAGTTCTTCAATCCCATAGAAACAGCTGAGATAGTCATTAAACTCACACCAAGTTAAGCCAGAATCAGACTGGGCATTCACACTGGAACCAATCTGGAAAGTGCTCAGTAACCATAGCTTTTCTTTTCTTCTGGAACTAAGTCTTCTCAGCAGAATATCGACATCTATAAAGCTTTCAGACTCGACTTTTCATTTCTCCTCTTTGCAGAGCTGTGCTTGTCTTGGCCTTTTCATCTCGGCATTTAAGTGAGAAGAATTTCAATTGTTTGCAGTCAATCCCACAGTGCTTTTTCAATTTCCTTTTGTTTTCTTTGGGATTTTCAGAAAACCTCATGTGCCCTATATAATGCAGTTGTGATTCCAAGAGTCTGGTGCCTCAAAGTCACTGACAGATGCTTAAAAATATTTCAACTCCTGTGTATGAGAAGGAGCATTGAATTAGGCATTAGAAGGCCAGTGCCACACTCCAGCCCTGCCATTAATTAGCTGTGTGACCTTCAAGAAGTACTTTTTTTTTTTCCTTTCTAGGTTTTAGTTTTTCAATTGAATAAGGAGAGTAAGTTGAATCCATGGTTTGTAAACCATGTTTTGTGGAATCCTGGGTTTTCTTGGAGATATTTCCAGGACGGTGGGTATTTCCAGGGGTGATGAAATGCAGTCTTTTCCCCATATGACTCAATTTTTTACTTAATGTGTATATTTGGAGTTCTAGTAATGTCTTAATACTTGATGTTTCATTAATTTTTGTTTAAACCACTAAATTCTGATGACCCCTAAGGGCCAATCATGCTTCTACTTTCTCTAGCATGATAAGTTGACCAACATACGTATGTTTTTTCAAATGTAGGATAAAATGAAGAACTGACAAAATACTCAATTTTAGAGGAAATCAAATTAAGTCAGTTGTATCATAAAATAGCACAGAAGTAAGCTCAAATAGAAGCTCTGCCTTCAACTGCCTTTGGGTAAATCATTTGAATTTTTGAGCTTTAAGTTACTCATTGTAAGATGTAGAAGAAAGTGCTCACCTTGCAGATTACGATTGAAGTTAGTGCTGTACAGTGTCAAGCATAGAGGCAGCAAATTTGCACAACTGCTGGTTTTCACTCCCACACCCACTGCCCACCAATTAATGCCAGATTTTCTTCCCACCCTAGATGTGGCTCTGGAATCCTTCCCACACTGGGCAGTAGGCAACCACTACTATAAGAGGAAATCTCCATTTGGGATAAAGTGCAGCTGACATCCTGTTACACTCCCATTTTCTGTCTGTATAATAAGAATAGCTGTAGACTGAATTGTGTCCCCCCCAAAAAAAAATTCATATATAGAAGCAATAACTTCCAATGTGACTATTTGGAGACAGGACCTATATGGCAGTAATTAAGGTTAAATGAGAATTGGGCCCTGATCTAATAGGAATAGTGTTTTGTGAGATACCAGAGAGCTCACTTTCTCTGCTATGTGATGAGACAGTGAGAAGGCAGCTATCACCAAGCCAGAAAGAGGGTCCTCATCAGAACTCAATCTTGTTGTCACCTTGATCTTGAACTTCCAGCCCCCAGAACTGTGTGAAAATAAATTTCTGTTGGTTAAGCCACCCAGCCTATGGTATTTTCTTACAACTTAAAGGAATGCCAATGCCTTTTTAGATATGTATTATGATGATTAAAGAGGGCACCTTGCATCCAATATTATGCATGTCTACTATCCATGGGACTCTATCATAGGTGTAGGGCATTTAAAGGCACATGTACCGTGTATCAATTCTCATGGAAGTGACTGTCTTAAAGAAAGTGCTAACATACTGCCATTGCATAAAATAACCTAGAAAGTGCATGCTACCTTGGAGACATGCATACACAGTTAAAAAAACATAAATGCCAGTTAGATGCAGATTTAGTTGTAAATAATATTAACTGAAGACTTTGTATAATAGTTTAATTTGGAAAGGAACTACAATTTGTTTTTGACTCTGAGCATACCACGTGCCTTTTACCTTTTAACACATTCTCTCCACTAACCACAGTGGCCAGAATAGAATAGGAGATTGTACCTGTTTGTGGAATAAGCACATGAATTAATGTTAATATGTAATATATTATACATAATATATATAACCATATCTCATATCAAAGAGAGGGGAAAGGAAAATATACACTAAATTGTTAGTAGATTATCTTCACTTTTCATGAATCCATGTTTATATATAATAAAAATAAACATTTACATTTCTTTTGTGGTCAAAAAAGGAATTCTATCATTGATGTTTAGCTAGGAAAACAGAAGCCACTCTAGATGACCTGATATCGACTAAATGATTATCCCCCACAAATTCATATTTTGAAGCCCAAACCCCCAGTATGATGGTATTTGCAGGTGGGGTCTTTAGGCAGTAATTAAGGTTAGATAAGGTTATAAAGGTGGGAGACTCCTGATAGAATTAGTGTTGGCTGCTGGTTGTGGCAGACTGTGGCCAGAGTGCCTCCTCAGACCTGACCCTGACTCATCCTTCCTCACTGGGTGGGGCTTCCCTGCAGGAACTCCAAAAACTCCAGCCAGAGGCTCAGGGACAGATCCCAGATCTCCCTGGGCCTGAGGCCCTTAAGGAGTAGAATGGCCACAGACTCTGTGGACCAGCAGACTTAGCCTTTCCCATTGGTTGTTCTGAGGAATCCCGGCAGCCCAGATAAGCGTGTTTCCCCTTAGTGAAGCACACCCCCCTCCACCAAGGAACAAAGTGCTTCGTTAAATGGGTCTTGTTCCCTGTGCCACCCAACTGGTTGAGACCCTCCAACAGGGATTGTCAGACACCCTATACAGGAGCCTCCTTGAGTGACATCTTCAGGCACGGGAGCAAACCAGATGAACAGGGCCTGAAGTGAACCCCCCCAGCAAACTGCAGTAGCCCTACAAAAAAGAAACCTGACCATTGAAAGAAAAACAAACAAAGAGAAAGCAACAACAACAGCATTATCAACAACAAAAACAGTCCCCACAAGAACCATATCCAAGGGTCAGCAGCCTCAAAGATCGAAACTAGACAAAGATTAGAAAGAATCAATGAAAAAAAACACTGAAAACCCAAAAGGCCAGAGTGTCTCTTCTCCTCCACATGATTGCAATGTCTCTCCAACAAAGGTGTAGAACTGGACAAACGAAGAGATGGACAAATTGATAGAAGTAGGCTTCAGAAGATGGGTAATAAAAAACTACACTGAGCTAAAGGAGCATGTTCTAACCCAATGCACAGAAGCTAATAAATTTGATAAGAGGTGAGAGGAGCTGCTAACTAGAATAACCAATTTAGAGAGAAACATAAATGACCTGATGGAGCTGAAAAACACAGCACAAGAACTTCGCAAAGCATACACAAGTATCAATAGCCAAATCGACCAAGTAGAAGAAAGTATATCAGAGTTTGAAGACCACCTTGCTGAAATAAGGCATGCAGATAAGACTAGATGAAAAAGAATAAAAAGGAAAAAACAAAGCCTCCAAGAAATAATAGAGCTTCATAAAAAGACCAAACCTTCGATTGAGTGAAGTACCTGAAAGAGACTAGGAGAATGGAAATGAGCTGGAAAACACACTTCAGGATATTATCCAGGAGAACTGCCTCAACCTAGAAAGACAGACCAACATGCAAATTCAGGAAATACAGAGAACATCACTAAGATACTGCACAAGAAGATCAACCCCAAGACACATAATCATCAGATTGTCCAAGGTCAAAATGAAGGAAAAAATGTTAAGGGCAGCCAGAGGGAAAAGCCAGGTCACCTACAAAGGGAAGCCCATCAAACTACCAGTGGAGCTTTCAGCAGAAACTCTACAAGTCAGAAAAGATTGGGAGCCAATATTCAACATTCTTAGAGAAAAGAATCTTCAACCCAGAATTTCATATCCAGATAAACTAAGCTTCATAAATGAAGAAGAAATAAAATCCTTTCCAGACAAGCAAATGCTGAGGGATTTTGTTACCACCAGGCCTGCCTTGTAAGAGCTTCTGAAAGAAGCATTAATTATGGAAAGAAAAAACCAGTACCAGCCACTGCAAAAACACACCAAAATATAAAGACCAATGACACTATGAAGAAACTGAATCAACTGGTGTGCAAAATAACCTGATAACATAATGACGACAGGATCAAATTCACACATAACAATACTAACCTTAAATATTAATGGGCTAAATGCCCCTACTAAAAGACACAGACTGGCACATTGGATAAAGGCTGAAGTCCCATCGGTGTCCTATTTTCAGGAGATTCATCTCACGTGCAAAGGCACACATAGGATCAAAATAAAGGGATGGAGGAAAACCAAGCAAATGGAAAGCCAAAAAAAGCAGGAGTTGCAATTCTAGTCTCTCATAAAACAGACTTTAAACCAATAAGGATCAAAAAAGACAAAGAAGGGCATTAAATAATGGTAAATGGAACAATTCAACAAGAAGAGCTAACTATACTAAGTATATATGCACCCAATACAGGAACACCCAGATTCATAAAGCAAGTTCTTAGAGACCTACAAAGAGACTTAGACTCCCATACAATAATAGTGAGAGACTTTAACACCTCACTGTCAATATTAGATCAATGAGACAGAAAATTAACAAGGATATTCAGGACTCGAACTCAGCTCTGGATCAAGTAGACCTAATAGGTATCTTCAGAACTCTCCACCTCAGATCAACAGAACATACATTCTTCTCAGCACCACATAGTACTTATTCTAAAATTGACCATATAATTGGAAGTTAAAGACTCCTCAGCAACTGCAAAAGAACTAAAATCTAACAAACAGTCTCTCAGACCACACTGCCATCAAATTAGAGCTCACTCAAAACCACACAATTACGTGGAAATTGAACAACCTGCTGCTGAATGACTTTGGGTAAATAATGAAATTAAGACAGAAATCAAGAAGTTCTTTGAAACCAATGAGAACCAAGAGATACCGTACCAGAATCTCTGGGACACAACTAAAGCAGGGTTAAGAGGGAAACTTGCAGCACTAAGTGCTCACATGAGAAAGCTAGAAAGAACTCAAATTGACACCCTTACATCACAATTAAAAGAGCTAGAGAGAGGCAAGAGCAAATTAATTCAAAAGCTAGCAGAAGACAAGAAATAACTAAGATCAGAGCAGAATTGAAGGAGATAGAGACACAAAAGACCCTCCAAACAACCACTGAATTCAACAGCTGGTTTTTTGAAAAAATTAACAAAATAGATAGACCAATAGCTAGATTAATGAAGAAAAAAAGAGAGAAGAATCAAATAGACACGATAAAAAATGATAAAAGGGATATCACCACTGACCCCACAGAAATACAAATTACCATCAGAGAATACTATAAACACCTCTACGCAAATAAACTAGAAAATCTAAAAGAAATGGATACATTCCTGGACACATACACTCTTCCAAGACTAAACCAGGAAGAAGTCGAATCTCTGAATAGACCAATAGCAGTTCTGAAATTGAGGTAGTAATTAAGAGCCTACCGACCGAAAAAAGCCCAGGACTAGAAGGATTCACAACCGAATTCTACCAGAGGTACAAAGAGGAACTGGTACCATTCTTTCTGAAACTATTCCAAACAACTGAAAAGGAAAGACTCCATCCTAACTCATTTTGTGAAGCCAGCATTATCCTGTTACCAAAACCTGGCAGAGACACACACACAAAAGAAAACCAATATCCCTGATGAACACTGATGCAAAAATCCTCAATAAAATATTGCCAAACCAATTCCAGCATCAAAAAACTTATCCACCATGATCAAGTCGGCTTCAACCTTGGGATGCAAGGCTGGTTCAAAATACACAAATCAATAAACATAATCCATCATATAAACAGAGCCAAAGACAAAAACCACATGATTATCTCAATAGATGCAGAAAAAGCCTTTGATAAAAGTCAACATCTCTTCATGTTAAAAACTCTCAATAAACTGGATATTGATGGACTATATCTCAAAATAATAAAAGTTATTTATGACAAACTCACAGCCAATATCACATTGGGCAAAAACTGGAAGCATTCTCTGTGAAAACTGGCACAAGGCAAGGATGCCCTCTCTCACCTCTTACTCAACATAGTATTGGAAGTTCTGACGAGGGTGATCAGTAAGAGAAAGAAATAAAGAGTATTCAAATAAGAAGAGAGGAAGTCAAATTGTCTCTATTTGCAGACGACATGATTTTATATTTAGAAACCCTCATCATATTTGCCCCAAACCTCCTTAAGCTGCTAAGTAACTTTAGCAAAGTCTCAGGATACAAAATCAATGTGCAAAAATCACAAGCATTCCTTTATACCAACAATAGACAAGGAAAGAGCCAAATCATGAATGAACTCCCATTCACAATCACTACAAAGAGAATAAAATACCTAGGAATACAGCTAACAAGGGATGTGAAGGACCTCTTTAAGAAGAACTACAAACCACTGCTCAAGGAAACAAGAGAAGACACAAACAAATGGAAAAACATTCCATCCTTATGAATAGGAAAAATCAGTATCCTGAAAATAGCCATACCACCCAAAGTAATTTATAGATTCAATGCTATTCCCATCAAACTACCATTGATATTTTTCACAGAATTAGAAAATACTACTTTAAACTTCATATGGAAACAAAGAAGACCCCATATAGCAAAGACAATTGTAAGCAAAAGGAACAAAACCGGAGGGATCACACTACCTGACTTCAAACTATACTACAAGGCTACAGTAACTAAAAGGGCATGGTACTGGTACCAAAATAGATATGTAGACCAATGGAACTGAAGAGAGACCTCAGAAATGACACAACACATCTACAACCATCTGATCTTTGACAAACCTGACAAAAACAACCAATGAGGAAAGGATCTCCTATTCAATAAGTGGTGCTAGGAAAACTGGCTAGCCATATGCAGAAAACTGAAACTAGACCCCTCCTTACACCTTACATAAAAAAAACTAAAGATGTATTTAAAACATAAATGTAAAACCCCAAACCATAAAAACCTTAGAAGAAAACCTGGACAATACCATTCAGGACATAGGCATGGGCAAAGAATTCATAACAAAAATGCCAAAAGCAATTGTAACAAAAGCCAAAGTTGACAGGATCTAATTAAACTAAAGAGCTTCTGCACAGAAAAAGAAACTATCATCAGAGTGAACAGGCAACTTACAGAATGGGAAAAATTTTTGCAATCCACCCATTTGAAAAAGGCCTAATATTCAGAATTTACAAGAAATTCAAACAAATTTACAAGAAAAAAAAACCATCAAAAAGTGAGCAAAGGATATAAACAGATACTTTTCAAAAGAAGACATTTATGCAGCCAAGAAACATATGAAAAAAAAGCTCAACATCACTGACCATTAGAGAAAAGCAAATCAAAACCACAATGAGATACCATCTCATGCCAGTCAGAATGGTGATTATTAAAAAGTCAAGAAACATTAGATGCTGATGAGGCTGGGGAGAAATAGGAATGCTTTTACACTGTTGGTGGGAATGTAAATTAGTTCAACCATTGTGGAAGACAGTACGGCAATTCCTCAAGGATCTAGAACCAGAAATACGATTTGACCCAGCAATCCCATTACTGGGTATATACCCAAAGGAATATAAATCATTCTACTATCAGGCAAGAGAAAGAAATAAAGAGTATTCAAATAGGAAGAGAGGAAGTCAAATTGTCTCTGTTTGCAGACAACATGATTTTATATTTAGAAACCCTCATCATCTTTGCCCCAAAACTCCTTAAGCTGCTAAGCAACTTTAGCAAAGTCTCAGGATACAAAATCAACGTGCTAAAATCACAAGCACTGGGAATGTAAATTAGTTCAAATCATTCTACTATAAAGACACATGCACATGTATGTTTATTGCAGCACTATTTCCAATAGCAAAATCATAGAATCAACCCAAATGCCCATCAGTGATAGGCTGGATAAAGAAAATGTGAATGTGGTATGTGTACATTACAGAATACTATGCAGCCATAAAAAGGAATGAGATCATGTCTTTTGCAGGGACATGGATGAAGCTGGAAGTCATCATCCTCAGCAAACTAGCACAGGAACAAAAAACAAAACACCACATGTTCTCACTCATAAGTGGAGTTAAACAATGAGAGTACATGGACACAGGGAGGGAAACAACACACGCCAGGGGCTATTTGGGGGTGGGAGGTGACAGGAGGTAATTTAGAAGACTGGTCAGTAAGTGCAGCAAACCACCATGGCACACGTATACCTATGTAATAAACCTGCACATTCTGCACATGTATCCCAGAACGTGAAGTAAAATAAAATTAAAAAAAGGACCAACAATTACGTGTGTGTGTGTGCGTGCGTGTGTGTGTGTGTTGTTTAAGGCAAGTCTGGAGTACTTTATCATAGCAGACTGAGAAGACTAATACATTATTCATTAGGAAAGTTTTCAGCATGGAGATTCAGAGGCCCACACACCCTAGTATTTGCTGGAAAGTGAGGTCAGTGGAAGTGAAAAAATTAGAGGATTAGAAGGAGGATACCACAAATAGTCTCATTTGCTAGGTTCACCACCAAATAGGTGTTTCTCAGGAGCCTCCTTAGAAGCTGGTACCAACTTCACATCTGTTCTCTGCCCACACACCATCTACCATTCACAGTTTATTCATCTGGAATGCAGACATCCTATTTTATTCATCTCTTACACACAACACCTAGTAGAATGCCTGAAACATAGAAAACATCTCATAAATGTTTATTGAGTAAACAGGGTCTTCTTCCATCCTCACAACTGATCAGATAATCCCAATGATACAAATTAGGAAGTTTCTGAAATTCATCAAAACTGCCTTAAGATAAAAAGTTATGCAATAGTTTTCAAAATTTTAATGACACGAGAGAATGCTAATAATAAAATATTATCTTTACAAACACAAACACACACACACACACAAACATGCTGAGGTATTAGCAGTGATTATTTCTAAATCGGGGAATGAGGCTTTCCTGTATTCCTCACTACCGAGGTGGGAGGATTGCTTGAGCCCAGAAGTTTGCAATTGCAGTGAGCTATAATAGCACCACTGCACTGCAGCCTATGTGACAGAGTGAGACTTTGTCTCTAAAAAAAAATGAAATTTTGTTGCCATTCCAGTCAGTCCCCACGCCCTTTAGTCACTATTCAAATTTCTATCACCATAAACTAACTTTGCCTTCATATAATAGAATTACACAGTTTGTACCCTTCCATGTCTGGCTTCTTAGCATAATATTTTTGAGATTCATCCATAATGCAGGCATCAGTAAGTTTGCTCCATTTTGTTAAGGAATAGTTTTCCTTTGTATACACATACAACAGTTTGTTTAGTTATTGAAGTACTGACAGGCATTTTAATTGTGGCTAGCATAAGTAAAGCTGCTATAAACATTCTTTCAAAATCTTTGTGTGAAAATAACTTTTCATTTATTTAGGTAAATTACTAGGTGTAGAAATTTCTGGATCTTTAGGTAGATGGATGTTCAAATGCCAAATAGTGTTCCAAATTGGTTGTAGTATTCTACAAACCTCCCCCAAACCTTCAGGACGATATGAGAATCCCACCTGCTACACATCGTCACCAATGTTGTTTTGTCAGCGTTTCTAATTTGAGCTCTTCTGGAGAATGTATGCTCTATTTAAGTTTATAATTTGTATTTCTCTGATGACTAATGATCTTAAGCAGTTTCTTTCAAATTTTTACTGGTCATTTATATATCTTCTCATTGAAGTGTATGTAAAAAAAATTGTCCATTTTTAAATTGAGGAATTAGTCTTGTTATTGATTTGTAAAAGTTTATTACATATTCTGAATGAAGTCCTTACAGATATATTTACTATATATTAATGATATATTATATATTATCAAATATATACACATAAACATTTAAGAAGAGGTTAAAAAAGAAAAAGTAGATATAAAATAGTCTAAAAATGTTTAAAACTCTGAGTCATTGATCAGAGTTGACATATCAGCCTCTTTCAAAACTTACCAATAAGAAATTTAAAAAGACTTACATGTATTTAGCAACACCACTAGGCAAAATACTGTGAAGTTTGCTATATAAAGAAGATTGCATCTCGTTTCACAAGAATGAGAACTTCCTAGGAACATGTGTTACGTGCTTATATTATCATTTGATTTAGCATTAAAACTGGCATATTGAAGATTGTCAAATACATTTGTGGAGAGATGATTGAGATAATAAGTTAATTGGCTAATTGTATCATTTAATTATCATAAAATAGAATCAATCACTAAGCTTTGGGGAAAAATCCAAACCACTGCAAATAAAAGCAATGTGTATGTTATGTATTGATGATGTTTGGCTTCATCCAAGTGAGAAATGAGCACAGTATGAAAACAAGATAAATGGGATGGAGCACCCATCCACAGTTCCTAGATGTCCATAAATCCCATTTAGCCTAAGGCTAAGAATCAAATAATGCACTAATGTTTCTGGACATAATCAATTTCTTTCTCATGTACCATGATTCTTACTTTCTCCTGGATCAATCCTATCAGCATTCACACACGGTTTTTGTCTCCTTTCACTAACCCTCCTTTGACCTCATATACTCCTCAAGGCTTCTCAGAGGTGGAAAAAAAAAGGAAAAAAAATTTTGCAAAAGTTGTTGACACCTGCTGTCTGTGCTTCCCAGTCTCCAATTTATTTTTCCAGTCTTTCCTATCTGGTTTCTGCCAACCACATGCCATGGATATTACTCTTGTTAAGTCCGCAGAATGCAAAATCAATGAGCAGTTCTGTGTCCTAGCCTTACGTGGGCATCTCTGCAGCACTTATCAGGACTGGGTCAATATAACAAAGTGGTTTATGTGGGAGCAGGAAACCACACTGCACGGATTGGGATGTCAGCTCTGCTGCTTATTCAGACATCCTCCTCTGGCGGTCATATTATCTTTGTCATTCCTTGAAAGTTGATTTTTTTCTTCCCCACTTGGAGCCTTTGCATTCGTTCTTTTTGCTTAGAATGTTCCTTTCCATTTTGTCTCAATGAGATGAGCCAGGTACCTCAGTTGGAAATGCAGAAATCACCCACCTTCTGCATTGATCTCACTAGGAGCTGCAGACCACAGCTGTTCCTATGCGGCCAAAAACATGAAAAAAGTAATAAAACTAAAGAGCTTCTGCACAGTAAAAGAAACTATCATCAGAGTGAACAGGCAACCTACAGAATGGGAGAAAATTTCTTCAATCTATCCATCTGACAAAGGGCTAATATCCAGAATCTACAAAGAACTTAAACGAATCTACAAAGAACTTAAACAAATTTACAAGGAAAAACAAACAACTCCATCAAAAAGTGGGCAAAGGATATGAACAGATACTTCTCAAAAGAAGACATTATGCAGCCAACAAACACATGAAAAAATGCTCATCATCACTGGTCATTAGAGAAATATAAATCAAAACCACAATGAGATACCGTCTCATGCCAGATAGAATGGTGATCATTAAAAAGTCAGGAAACAACATGTGCTGGAGAGGATATGAAGAAATATGAACACTTTTACACTGTTGGTGGGACTGTAAACTAGTTCAACCATTGTGGAAGACAGTGTGGCGATTCCTCAAGGATCTGGAACTAGAAATACCATTTGACCCAGCAATCCCATTACTGGATGTATACCCAAAGGATTATAAATCATTCTACTATAAAGACACATGCACATGTATGTTTATTGTAGCACTATTCACAATAGCAAAGACTTGGAACTAACCCAAATACCCATCAATGATAGGCTGGATAAAGAAAATGTGGCACATATACACCATGGAATACTATGAAGCCATAAAAAAGGATGAGTTCATGCCCTTTTTAGGGACATGGATGAAGCTGGAAACCATCATTCTCAGCAAACTAACACAAGAACAGAAAACCAAACACCACATATTCTCACCCAGAAGTGGGAGTTGAACAATGAGAACACATGGACACAGGGAGGGGAACATCACACACTGGGGCCTATCAGGGGAGGGAGGTGAGGGGGCTAAGGGAGGGATAGCATTCAGAGAAATACCTAATGTAGAAGATGGGTTGATGGGTGCAGCAAACCACCATGGCACATGTATACCTACATAACAAACCTCCACATTCTGCACATGTACCCCAGAACTTAAAGTAAAAGAAAAAAAAAACCCACAACCCCCACCAAAAAAAAAAAGAAAAGCTCATCATCACTGGTCATTAGAGAAATGCAAAGCAAAACCGCAATGAGATACCATCTCATGCCAGTTAGAATGGTGATCATTAAAAAGTCAGGAAACAACAGATGCTGGAGAGGATGTGGAGAAATAGGAACACTTTTACACTCTTGGTGGGACTGTAAATTAGTTCGACTATTGTGGAAGACAGCATAGCGATTCCTCAAGGATCTAGAAGCAGAATTACCATTTGACCCTGAAATCCCATTAATGGGTATATAACCAAAGAATTATAAATCATTCTACTATAAAGACACATGCACACGTATGTTTATTGCAGCACTATTCACAATAGCAAAGACTTGGAACCAATCCAAATGCCTATCAATGATAGACTGGATAAAGAAAATGTGGCGCATATACACCATGGAATACTATGCAGCCATAAAAAGGATGAGTTCATGTCCGTCGCAGGACATGGATGAAGCTGGAAACCATCATTCTCAGCAAACTAGCCCAGGAACAGAAACCAAACACCGCATGTTCTCACTCATAAGTGGGAGTTGAACAATGAGAGCATATGGACACAGAGAGGGGAACATCACACACTGGGGCCTGTCGGCGGGTGGGGAGCTAGGGAAGGCATAGTGTTAGGAGAAATACCTAATGTAGATGATGGGTTGATGGTTGCAGCAAACCACCACAGCACCTGTATACCTATGTAACAAACCTGCATGTTCTGCACATGTACCCCAGAACTTAAAGTAAAATAATAATTTTACTTTAAGTATAAAGAAAGCTCCTTTCCCAGGCCCTCCCTATCCTTCATTTCTCTGCTCACGTTAATCCCCTTCAGAGAGGGCTTCCCTGTCCTCCCTTGTACATTAATGTTATTTCCCCCATAATTTCCATATCTGTCTCTGAAGCAAGGCCCATGGGAATAACGGCTTGGCCACACTCTGACTCCATGACCCAGGCCAAGTGTAGAACTTCTTCACACTGCACTTTTCTCTTGTTTTCATTACCATGACGCCCACCGCAACAGACTGCTGTAAGCACCCAGTGAGTTAATGCAGGTAAACTGCTTGCTACAGTGCTTGCCACATAATCAGCTATTGTTATAAGAAAAGTCCACACTCGCTTTTCCCTTCCCAGGTATGACTGAAAAATCTGCTATGGTTAAAATTGCCTACTTGTCTCTTCTAGAGAAAGATCTCCAATAACTGGAACAGATTGCCATACCTGTTGGGAAAATAAACTTATTCTTTTTAGAGATGGTCATTCTAGAGAAAGAAAAAGGGTAAATAGGTCTCAAAACAAAATAGAAATGAGCCTTCCCCATGCCTTTTAATAGAAGTGTTATTTAACTTTTATGGGTGTGTCATAGAGAAGACACTACTTTCTGCATGGCGAACTTACAAACAAAATAAAATAAACAAATAAGGGAGGCAGCGGGCCATTTGATGAACCTCCTCAGAAGACTCACAGTAACTGGAGAATCAAAATTAACCAGCTGTGCCTATTCACTTTTAATTTCTATCTGGGTTGAAGTTTAATTTCTGCCTGAACACATGCTATCTTTTTTATTATGAATTTTTCCCTGAAGAAACATGTGTCCTAGTCTTCTGTCTCCTGCATTTTTTCATAGAACTTGTGATCCCAGCATATGAAGAGGTGTGTGCAAGGCAGTGTGGCATTATGGCTAAGCATAAAGCTGTTATCAGACCATTCTAGACAATCATTTGAACAATGCCTGACTCAGAGAGATTTTCCTAATGTGTTAAGCCTCATTTTGAAACTGAGGAAAGTATTGTCACCCATCCCATAGAGTTGTGGAAAAGTTTAAATTAGATGATTCATGTAAAGCCCTTGAAGCTTACCTGGTCTGGAATAAGCAATGGTTCAATATTTGATTGCTTTCCTCTGCCCCCATATCATTAGGATGAGTCTGACTATGATGTTTACCACTACTAGAGGGAGCATCCAGGAGGGCTCTCTCCTCTCCAGTCTTGTCACTTAGCGTTCCAGTTTCTGACTCTTCCTGAAACTTGGATGACCATACTTCATGGAAGACATCCAGGGAGAGACTGGGCTGCCCTTGTTGGGGAGGTGGAAGAATAGAGAGTGAACCATGTACATATGTTTGAAGGTCTCTTCCACCTTTGCGACTCAAAGACAACAAAAATCTGAACAATGGTGATTAATATATCAGCTGTTTAAAAATCTACTTCATGTCTTGATTTCTTCCTCCTTGCAAATTTCGAACTACTCCTAACTAACCAAATGACTCTAGGTTGGTTGGGAAGAGCTTGGTGTCTTCCCATCATAGAAGGGACATGTGAAGTCAGATTACATCAGCTCTAAAACTCATTAGAGCACCAAGAAACCATGATCCTTCTTCCCTTGCTACAAACAAACAAAGAAACAAAAGAACAAGACAATGTGCTCGTGTATTTTTTTAGTCCTCTAACTAAACTCTTAAACTGTGGTTAATCACACTCTGTTTTTTGTTTTTTTTTTTTTATCCATCATTCTCTGATTATTCCCTTCATGAAAGAGTCCCTCCCTGGTCCCCTCCTCTCAAGAATGAAGGGAGTGAGGCCTCCCTGCAGCCTATCACTCTGCCCATTGAATGCATGAAGTCCCAGGGTCTTTGGTTGATAACTGTCACTTGCAGACCAAGCTGAAGCAAGAGTCTAACCCTATATTACAAGTGAAGACCCTTGTCAGGGATGAGTTCTCTAGGCAGAGCCTTGTTTGAAAAAGAGAAATATCCCTCTTCAACTGATTGAACTCTTTCCTGATTAATACTGGATAAATATGGAGACTATTACTTAGATACCACATGCTGGGAAGCAAATGTGATAATTATATCTGTCAATCTGCAGAACCTCATGCCCACCCCCAAGCCCAGTCTCAACTCCAGTGAAATGCTACCATTTCAATCTCATCTGCGAGAGAGGCAAATGGAGGGAGGACAATGACTTTGGAGAAAGCTGAGAGCACCCCAGCTGTCAAAGCGTGTGTGGGAGGCAGTGGATGGTTTGGGTGTCATCACATTAGCAATCTCTTGAATGAAGGGAAAAATGAAAAGGAAGTCTGGCTGCTTTGCGCCTTGAAAAGGAGCGGCAGTTGAAAGCATTAAAATTAGATGCCATTTTGCTGAAGATCATGATTATTTAAAATGTCAGTTGTTTTCCCTAAAACTATCATTTATGATGGAACACAGTGAAGGATATCAACATAACCAGGGACTGAGTCTTTTCTACATGTCACAGAGTGATGAAAAAATGCACTATTTCAGATGGTACTGAGGGCTCACAATAGTGGCGGGTGTGTGTTCGGATGTGAACATGTACGCATTTCCAATGCTGCTCTGAATTCCCCTCTCCTTATTAGGAGAGCTGGCCTTCAGCCCACCACACAGGCTGGAGAAGACAGGGGGAGACTTTCCATGGGTAGAGAGGAAGGAGAGATTCAGCAAGACACAGTGTAACACCAAAAGACACGGTCCCAAAGGGATACCAGGAGCCCATGTATAAAGGTGATGATGTTGATGGTAATAATAATAGCTAACATTTACATACTGTTGACTGTAGTTCTAATTTCATTTATGTGAATCCACTGCATGCTTATAATAGCCTCATGAGTTAGAAAACTTTTTTTTTTTTTTTTTTGAGAGGGATTTTCGCTCTTGTTGCCCAGGCTGGAGTGCAGTGGCATGATGTTGGCTCACTGCAACTTCTACCTCCTGGGTTCAAGCGATTCTCCTGCCTCAGCCTCCTGAGTAGCTGGGACTACATGCATAAGCCACCACACCCGGCTAATTTTGTATTTTTAGTAGAGGTGGGCTTTCACCATGTTGGTCAGGCTAGTCTTGAACTCCTGACCTCATATGGTCCACCACCTCGGCCTCCCAAAGTGCTGGGATTACAGGTGTGAGCCACTGAGCATGGCCCAGAAAACATTTTTAATCCCCTGTTTACAGATGAGCATCTAAAGATCAGGGAGATAACTAGCCCAAGGTCAAGTGATGGTGGGGACTGGCTCTGGGAGTTGGCTCCAGAGTTTATACCCTTATCTTCCTAGTTGGATGCTTTTCAGAGTAATGGTCTGGATAAGCACAAGGATTTGTGTGAAATAGCAGTTGGCTCATAAACAGGGAACGGTCAGGGCAATTACCACAGAAATACCCAGGTGTAATGAGGGGTGCAGCGTGGGGCTGCAGCATGGAAAAGGCCAGGTGGGCTCTAACAACATGAAACCCAGCAGGCAACTGGGCCAAACTGCATGTGGCCCTGAGGAGCCAGCTAGAGTATGCCTAGCATGTGCACATAGCACAAAGTCCTAGGATGCATCTGTTCATCAAGAATATCTTGTTCATTTTTATTTATTCAACACTGTCATTTCCTTCCAACCACAGGACCTTTGCACATTCTGCAGTCTCCTCCTGGAATGCTTTTACCAGAGGATCTTTCCCTGACCATCCAAAATACTAGTTGAGCAGGCCTTTTCCCCTTCTTAGCGCTCAATAACATGTAAAAGTAATTTATATCTAGTCATTGTCTTTTTTGTCTCTTCCAATAAAATTCAAGCTTCTAGAAAACATGTGCTATATCTATTTTTTTAATATCAATTATCCAAATTCTAGCACAAATAGAATTACTAGTAATAATAGTTGTGAATACTTCTTTACTGCAGCATACTCTGTTCTAAACGTTTATATATATTATGTTTGAAATCCCCACAATAGTTCTATAAGAGAGGTATTTTATGATTTCTCTTTACAGCTGGGAAAACTAAGTCATGAAATTTTTAAGTCCTATTGATATAAGTAGTACAGCCAAAATCTGAATACAAGCATTTAGGCCCCAGTGTCTACTCGTTTAATTTCATTTAAGTAAACTGTCCTTTCTATAAATCCTCAGGTAAAATTTATTAAATGGAGACATGAAGGAATGAATTAATGTCTTCATAATGGGCCAAAATAATGTCATGTGAGGTTCAGTGCCTATGGCAGAACCCAACCTGGGAGAAAAACTCTGAAGAATTCTAAGTGCAGTGACAGTCCATAGAGAAAGGAAACTGACTCTACTCCTTAGGTAGGACTTGGCCTTCGGAGAGTCTGAGGTAAATCTAAACATAAACCAGACAGAAGTCTCAAGGACCACTCTTCAGACAGATCATAGGGTGATTTCACTGCACTGCTTTTTTGTTCCTTTGCAATTTCCAGATGTTTTTCAGCATCTTTTTTTTTTTCTTTTTTGAGACGGAGTCTTGCTCTGTCACCCAGGCTGGAGTGCAGTGGTGTTACCTCAGCTCACTACAACCTCCGCCTCCCGGGTTCAAGCGATTCTCCTGCCTCAGCCTCCTGAGTAGCTGGGATTACAGGTGCCCGCCACCACCACACCTGGCCAATTTTTGTATTTTAAGTAGACACAGGGTTTCACCGTATTGGCCGGGCTGGTCTCGAACTCCTGATATCGTGATCCGCCTGCCTCGGCTTCCCAAAGTGCTAGGATTACAGGCATGAGCCACCGCACCTGGCCTTCAGCATCAATTATTAAGGAACAAATGGAGACCCCTCACATGACTAATACCTGAGTGTGAATATTTTCATCAAATTAAGCAGAGCTGTGATCATTTTGATTAATTCATCCACCCATCAGTCACTGAGAAACCCATCTGTATCAAGCCCTCTGTGAAGCAGACAAGAAGACAGGACTAGATGTATAAAATATTTATTGGGGAAATAAATCTCTTCACAGGAACACCTGTAAAGCAGAAAGGGGAGGGTGAGCAGGAATAAGTTGGAAGAGGATTCAGACTATGATGTAGGGTCTTCACCTTTGAAAAGGAAGGGGAATATCACACTCTGGGGACTGTGGTGGGGTGGGGGAGGGGGGGAGGGATAGCATTGGGAGATATACCTAATGCTAGATGACGAGTTAGTGGGTGCAGCACACCAGCATGGCACATGTGTACATATGTAACTAACCTGCACAATGTGCACATGTACCCTAGAACTTAAAGTATAATAAAAAAAAAAAGAAAGGAGGAAGAAAGAAAATGGGGTACGAAGAGGCTTGGACCACAGAGCAACTCTGAGAAAGTCTCAACCAGGTCTATGGGGAGTCCATGAGCAGGAGTTGCCCATTAGAGGAGTCCCGATGATAGTAGCCCCACTATGCTCCAATAGTCACTGGGAACAGCCTAGGTAAGTGAACACGGCCTCAGGTGACTGCTGCAGTGGGTTTGAAGATAAGGTTCGGCAGCTGGAGGCTGTCAATCCATTGTGCTTTTGGTAGCAGGTCCTCTTGCGGGGAGCTCTGAGTGACACAACTCCATGGCCTCTTAACTGCGTTCTTTAATGCTTCATTCATGTGCCACCCCCTCTTCAAAGCTCTCCCTATTCACCCAACCTGGCAATAAACTCTTCCTCTAAAACTTTTGGCACTTTCATCTTGTGTTTTGCCTTTTCATGTATCATATTAAATTTTAGTTTAATTGTGTATGAGAAAGTTCATGATGGGGCTGGGGCACTCTGACCTGCATGCTTATATTGGCTATTCTCAAATTTCGGAACTCACAATGACCTCTGGACACCCATGGCCTTTGCAAAGAAAATGCAATGAGAACTTTGACAAAGAGATCATTGAAATGCTTTTGGTGCCATCCTAACGAATACTGCTCTTGGTATCCTGAGTAGGCATACTGAGTAAAGGCAAAACATATGCCCCTCCGTGTACGGTGTTCAGGATTGGTTGGGAAGGATATTTTTAAGTGGCACATAGTGTGTGGCCACTTGCTGTCCCTTGAGGGACTTGTTCTTAATCCTTGGCAGACAGGATATCACACTGGAAGGACCAGCTTATCTTTGTGTTCTATAATGAAACAGCTACTTATCAACCAGACCCTCAAAAGCTGACCAAAAGAGCCCACACAGCTTAAGCCTTTCCTGCCTCAAATCTGGATGGATTAAGAACTACCTATATGTATCCTGCTGGATAAAAGTAGAAAAAGCTAGGTGGGAGGCTGAAGGAGTCCTCAGGGATGGGAAAGTCATATGTACTAGCTGGTATTAATCCATAGGCTTCAAGTTCAGCTTTAGGTAGAAAATTTCTCCTTCTAGTCACTGGTTCCCTGCTCAAATATCATGCTCCTGAGAATAAATACCTTTCCTCTCTGCTCTCTTCAGTGATGTGTGCTGTGCTTTCAAATACCAGCTCTGCTGATTTCTCAGTTGTCTCTCATCAGAGAATACAGTGTTGCCTCTGATCAGCTAAAGCATTAGGCTTGCTACCCCCAAAAGACCTTACAGGAACCATCAACTTGTCTTTCTTTATTTCTGAAGGAAATTTCATACCCTCATTCCCTATCACCAGCATATAGCCTCTGACTCTTCCACCCATTTATGGACCTCTGCTCTTTTGGATCATGACTGGCATGAGATGCTTCTTGTGTACCATGTCTATTCCATGGAAGCACTGCTGTCTTTTTACAACAGCCAGTTATAGGGGAAAATTGAATTTTAGGGTGGAAAAGCCTGGTCATAGGATGCTATAATTAACTCTAGAATTGACCACCTTTCCTGTTATGTATTTTCGTATTATCATGCCCAGTCCTTGTAATGCAGTTGTCACAATTTTAATTATTGTTGTAATTACGGAGTAACGCTTCCCTCCACTTTAGTGGCTTCCTAAGATCTTGCTGTCTTGTTCATTGCTGTATTCCCAGCTACTGGCTTAGGCCATGGCACATAAAAATAAGCCATTAATATTTGTTCAATAAATGGATGAATAAGTTAATGAATGAATGTCAAAGGATCTACTGAGTAAGGTTAAACTCACGCTTTGTAATTAGAAATCTCTACTTCTATATAGGTTTTAGTACCAACTTATATACAAATTCTGGAGACTGTTCAGTGTGTCCTGGTAGCCTCTGAGTTCTCCTCTCTAAAAAAGCTTTTGAAATCATCTAGCTATGGCATTTATCACCCCAATAGAGGCTAGGGTTTACTTAGTCTATTGAACCAATTTGTTTTGTGTAAGAGTCTGGTGTGTGTGTGTGTGTGTGCATGTGTGTGTGTGTGCGTGTGTGTCCCTTTCTCATATTTTACAAGTTTGGAAGCAGTTTACAGAAAATGACCTCTAAGTCAGCTAAAATTATGTTTGTATTAGAACTTAGGCTTGCCATGTTTCTGGCTTTGTTCAGGTTTGTTTCTATCCTAGATCATGTTGAATTTGTCCCACACTATAGGTGTGAAAACAACTACTTCTTGTTTTAGAAAGCTATTAGGATAAACATATGTGTTTGCTCAAAATATACGTTTTAAATACTAAGCCTCTATCAGTTAATTTCTTCTTTAAAAAAGCTTTACTTCCTTCTAACATGCTGGTTGTTGATCTATCTGTTAATGAAAATGAAGATAGTGCTACTGCTCACTGCTGTGCTGGTCAGAGAGTTGTGCCTGAGTTCTCTATATAATTAATTGTTTAGCCTTTGTTATGGCATCAGAAGTATTTTAGCTAGCTCCTCAAGTTTTATAAATTTTTTTATTCTGAAATAATTTTAGATGAACATAGAAGTTGCAAGAATAGTGCAGAAAGTTCCCATGTCCACTTCATTTGGTTTTCTCCAATGATAGCATCTTTCATTGCCATGGAAACCATTGGCACTATACCAATAACAAAACTACAGATCATATTCAGAATTCACCAGTTTTCACGTAAACTCATTTGTACGTGTGTATAGTTCTGACATTTTACTGCCTGTATGGATTCATGTAACTGCTAGCACAATGAATACTACCTCTCGATAGTTACATATTCCTCCAACACTTGAAAACCTCCCAATCTGTTCTCCATCTCTATAATTTTGTCATTTTGAGAATGTTGTCATATAATATGCAACCTTTAGAGATTGGTATTTTATTTCTGAGTTTACTGCCCTTGAGAATAGTCCAAGCTGTTTTATATATCAGTAATTCTTTTCCTTTTCACTGCTTACTAGTATTCCATTGTATGAATGTATGTGTTTGTTCAGCCATTCATCCCTTGAAGGGCATTTAGGTTTTTCCAAGTTTGAGGCTAGCACAAATGAAGCTGCGGTTTTTAATTTTTATGAATGAAGCTGGACATTTGTGACAATATTTACGTGCAAAATGTTTTCATTTCTGTATTGTTAATCCCGGGAGTTGAGTTGGTAGCTCATATAAAATGCATTTTTTAACTTTATAAAACACTGCCAAACTTTGTTCCAGGATAGCGATACCATTTTGCATTCTCAACAGCAAAGTCTGAAAGATCCAGTAGCTCTGCATCTTTAATAGCACCTGGTATGGTCAGTATACACATTTTTAATTTTAACTATTTTAGCAGGAATGTACCCTATTTATAAATAGTTATTTTTTGCAAGAATCTGAGATAAAATGCATTTCTCCACTGGATAAAGCCACAACAGACCCAGTGTAATATAGTTAAACATTCCTTCAATAGCTATGGCAGAGCGAGTTAATGTTTTTGCACCAAACGTCAAATGGGTATTACAGAATTCTGTAATTTATAAAATATTATATACATGAATTATTTTCTTGTATTATCACTCATAAGAAACATGTGGGGAGAAATTAGAGGGTAACTGGATTAACTAGACATAAGACTTTTTGAGTGACAGGAAAGATATTTTCCTAACTGTAGAAACTGAGGAGTCATCAGACAAGTAATAAAACCAAAGCTAGTTTTCTGGAAGATCCGTGTAGTTTCACTGTGGTAGTTGGAGTAAATGGAAAGGATGGTAGAGTGGACGCTGAACAAGCAGCCTTAGAGAAACTTCATAAAAATGTATACAAGGCCAGCGGTAGAAAAAATAAGATACAGGAAGAACATGTTGTAAAAGAAAAACTTATGTATCAAGGGAGTCATGAGATTTAGGATGACTCTAGGCTTATTAAAAGAGAAATAAGAAAGTCAGAATTAAAAGCTGGTATAAACAGAGTGTTAGTGATAATCAAATCAACCAGCACTACCAACACCTGGCTGTGCTAAGTGCTTTATCTGGCAATCTTTACCATAGTCCTACAAAACAACAACAATCACCTCCAACTACAGATGAGGAAACTGAACCTCACAGATGTCAATAATTTGTCTGAGATCAAACAATGAATAGATTTCTCTATTTGTGTAATGAGACAGTAGTGCTATCAATATGATTATTGAAATATTAAAATAAGATATCTACAAATTTTAAGGGCCATATAAATATTATCTAGTATTGTTTTGGTAATAATTCTTCTCTAAAGATTGAATGTACCAAAGGTTTCCAGGATTTAAATAATGGGCACATTTTCTCTTCAGAAAAAAGATGTTACCACACAATAAACATTTTCTATTTCAAAGTAAAAGCTCTTTGGGTTTAATTCCAAGATCTCCCATGAGAGACCATAATTTAAAAATGAATATGACAGGGAACTCAGAATTCTTTTAATTTTCCATCAATTATGTATAATATAAATGTGCATATAAGCAAGTATTGCAGTAGAAAAATAATACTTTATCCTCATTTTTCTAGAGTGTCAAAAATGATAAATTTGAATATTTGTGGTAAACACTCAGCGAAAATGTCAGAAACATTACTTCCTCAAGCCAGCATCTCATTGTCAGCTTTTTGTAATCAGTTTAACTTTTATTGAGGAAAAGGAACAATCACAAATCAGCCTTTTTGTGTCCTTTGAATTCTTATGGCTGCAAATGAGGCTTCCAGCTGCGTCAATTTCATTTTGCAAAGGCACCATGTTGAATCATTAATTACCTAAGAAGGTACTGGATCCTTATCTCCTTCTGGTAACAAAATTTTTTATATATTATATGTATATACACAAATCAGATTGGAACCTGGAGCTATAAAGTCATCTTTTCTTAAAATGCCATCTGCCAGATTTCACTTCAGAACATGAGAAATCTTTAAAGGTGAGGGAAGGAGAGACAAGTGAGGGTAGTGAAGCATCAGAGTGCTAGGCTGTCTTGTCATCACAGCCTGTGCTGTTCCCTCCTCCCCAGTCTCTCCAGCTCCAACCCCCCTTGGATTACTGATACAGCCTGCTATCTCATCCCCCCACCATCAGCAGCCCTGTCTGCCCATAAATCTGAGCGGCCAAAACAGTCACTCCATAATGCCTATCCAGCCACGTTTCTTTCCTGCTCATAATCTCCCAAAGGCCTTCCATGCCTGTGATGTCAGGGCTCCTTAAAAGGCCAGCAAGGTGCTTTCTACTCAACCCCCACATATCTTGTCAGCATCCTCTCTCACTATCAACTATCTGATAAACCATGCTCCTGCCATGTGTAATTATGTAAAGTCACTTTAACTCTAGGCTTATTATTTTAGTAATCTCTGCCTGACGCAAAATTCATGGCTCAGTTTATGTTTTACCTCTTCTAAGTCTTCCATAACCTTCTCTCCGACTACCAATCAGCATTTTTTATCCACCTCAATCATGAGACTGAACATGGTGCCCTGCAAATTGGTTTCAGCAAACTTTGATAGTGATTGCATGTTGTTATAATTGTCCTTTGTCTTTTTTCCACCTTCCAATAGTTTGTAAGATGCATGTAACAAGGCACAAAAAAGCAAAGATGATGTCATATTTGACAGCATAAATGTAGTCCCAGTGTTACATATGTAGTTGACAGGGAAACAAATGTCATATATGAAGGTATTTGAAATAAAAGAGAGGAAGAAAGAAAGGAAAGAAGGGAGGGGGGCAAAGAGAAAAGAAGGGAGGGAGGGAAGAAGGAAGGAAGGAAGGAAGGAAGGAAGGAAGGAAGGAAGGAAGGAAAGGTAATAAAAAATTATGGTAAAGACTAAGGTGTAGTGGGTGGGCTGGATGTCCATTCTAGTCCTGATTCTTCTCTCATCAACAAGTTGAGAGTCCTAATAAATGTTTATACTATTTGAGCATAAGTTTTGCATCTTTAAAATAAGATAGAAAGAATTCCTAGGGTTCATTTAAACTTGAAAATTCTGATTCTGTAACTCATTATCAGCATCCTCAAGGTGATTTTAGCAGCAGAAAAAGGCAGGACTTCTGGTGAAGTTGGACATGCCTATCTCACCGTTGGAGCCCAGGAGCTGCCTCATCACACAGTCTTCATTTTGCTCTACCGTGGCACACAAATCTCTCTTTTTTTTTTTTTTTTTGAGATGGAGTCTCACCCTGTTGCCCAGGCTGGAGTGCAGTGGCGTGATCTCGGTTCACTGCAACCTCTGCCTCCCGGGTTCAAGTGATTCTCCTGCCTCAGCCTCCCAAGTAGCTGGGACTACAGGTGCCCACCACCACGCCCAGCTAATTTTTTGTATTTTTAGTAGAGATGGGGTTTCACCGTGTTAGCCAGGATGGTCTCGATCTCTTGAGCTCGTGATCCGCCCATCTCAGCCTCCCAAAGTACTGGGATTACAGGCATGAGCCACCACGCCCAGCCTCTACATATTTATTAAAACAAAAAACAAAAAACAAAAAAACACCTGCACACTAATGCTGGCATTCTGAATGTTCTGCATTTCTCACCATTCTGAAACACGACCAAGCCTTGTGCAGGTCTTTCCAATACTGCAAAAAGTCTGATAACTGGGACTACATCTGTAGAAGACCAAGCCTCTCCTTAGAGTTTGACATTATACCACATTTGTACATTCAACCCATACTTATTAAGGGCTTGTTCTATGACTAATACTATACTAGGCACTAGTGGTATGATTAAAAATTAGACATAATTCTTTCTTTCATAAAGCTTTAAGTCTAGTTGGAAGACTAAACAATGGTATCTATCTTAACAATTTTTGTATTATAAGAGGAAGCCCAACTCAACATGGATAGGAAAAAGAAATGTATTGGCTGTAACTAAAGAGACTGTCTGTGGGTCCAATTCAGACAGAGATTGATCAAGGTTCTCAAATGATAATCACAATGAAAGGACACACACAAACACACATGCACACTCACAAACACACATTTATTTTCCTTTCTCTTTCTTCACTACATGATGGCTACTTCAGCTTCGGCTCCTACATTTTTCCTGATTTATGTCGACAGGAAAGAGAAAGCTACATCCCCAGCAACTTTTTTTATGGCCCAGAATTGAGTTTCACTATGCTACACTGTCCTGATTTGAAGTCAGAGACCCATCCTGGAAGCAGTTACCATGAGCAGAGGGGAGGATGCAATGACTGCTTTGGTCTCAGTCATGTGAGCCCTGGAGCCCTGGGCTGAAGTCAGCTTCATTTAAAGCTTATGGGCTCTCAAAAACTAAATTGTGCTTCTCTTTCCCCAATAAGTAAGAGGGGATATGGGCAGCAAAAACCCAAAATTTGCTTTAATATAACTTAAATGTTGGCAAATGATATGAGAGAAAAGAATAATGAGAAAATTGGAGAAAATGTCTATCTTAGAGAGCATGCCCTGGGAAACTCACCCTGAAGAAGTGATCATTCCACAAAACGGGATCTTTCAAAGGACAATAAGGAAACAGCCATAAGGCCATCCATGGGAACAGTATTTCATACATGGAAAATAGTACAAATGCCTGAGTCTCAGAGGAGGTTGGCCGCTTCTGGGCGGCATGAGATCAGGTGGCTGCATTGTGGTGGGATAGGAAGAAAAGGGTAAGGTGGATGGCGGGGAGGGGTAAGCAATGTCAACTGCATTCTAAATATTATAAGAAGCCACTAATGGATTTATTCCTCTCAGTCCTCAATATCGCTAAGCTAATTATTCAGCAAATCTTCCTGTTATTTATTCAATAAATAAACATATTGCAGGTGTCAAGAAGTAGGCAGGCTTCCAGCTTTCAAGAACCTCACAGTCTAAGGAGTGGGAGGAAGAAAAGACAACAATACCACAGCAAGATAGAAGAACAGCAGCCACACATGAGCATCTGCCAAAGCCGCCTGAAACTGCACTAGGTATGCCGTCTACATGCTCACTAATTCCCCTACAAGCAATTTACCAGATAAGTGTCATTTTGCAGAAAGAGGACACCCACGTATCCCAAGCTTGCCTGATGTCTCACCCATAGATTAATTGGTAGAGATAAGGTTTGAATTTAAACCTGGCTGACTTCCAATAATATTTACAAGACCTTCTTAAATGTAATAACAAAGCAGCCATTTACATTTAGTTTCTGCTAGTTTTCAAAACAGTCCAATATTAGATAATATCCTCTCTCTAATAATAAAAGCAACATGGCCTTAAATAAATAAACCCATTTCCAAGGTCACAGAGCAAGAGCATAGCATGGAAACCAGGATCATCTGGGTCCCAAGCCAGTGTTCTCTGTCCTGCCATGCTGCCTCCAAGACCCTGAAATACGCAGTACTTTGCTGATTCAGAAAAAGGAGGGTGCAAGTCCAGCTGAAGAATTATGGAAGCTTTCTTGTTTGGGCAGCAACTTGCTGCTGAGGCATTGACTGAACCTGGGCAATCAGATTAGGGGAGATTTTAACTATGGGAGCTCTAGCAGTTCCCACCGTCCCTCTCTCCCCATTCAAAGAGCTCCTCAGGAGGTCCTGGAGTAGGGATTAAACACATGTCTCTGACAGGTAAGCCCTTGAGGATGGACCCAGGTTAGCTGGGACCCCCACACTGTTGACAGCCTCCTCTCTTTCCCTCTTGGCTTTCAAAGAAAATTAGCTCCTGACAAGCAGAGGAGACAGTTTTGGCTTCTCTACCTAAAGGCTAACCCAGTTCTCACAGTGTAGTGCTAGGCTGCCCCATCAGCTGGCATCCTCCATGCCAGAGACACCCATGGGTACCCCAGGGGAAAGAAGCTGTGTCAGGACCCATGGTGGCTTGTGTCATCTCTTCTGGATTAGTCCTTGAGGGATGCACATCTTAGTCTTGCTTCCCCATAACATATGTCAGTTAACTTGCTTTCAGTATGCAATATGGTCCAAGCACTGGACTGGTAGGCTCAGTAAGTAACACACTAGTACTTGCCTGGCTTCATGGTGCTTTTAATCATTAAACACATATCTCTGACAGGCAAGCCCTTCAGGATGGGTCCAGGTTGGCTGGGGCCCCCACCTTGTTGCAAACCTCCTCGCCTTCCCTGCTGGCCTCCAGGAAAAATTAACTGAAAATTAGCTGTCGGGCAGAGGAAACACCAGGAATTACAGTTTGGTGCGATTTATGTACTTATTTATTTATTGAAGGAGGTGTATTAGATTCCTCAGTTGCTCCTAGGGGAGTCCAGAACGCACAAGAGCTCTCTCCTGTGGACCATAAGGGCTGCAAATTTAGGCTAAACTCCTGGGCTTTCACTTCCATCTAAACCTCACGGGAAACATGTCTTCCTTTAAGTTTGCTGACAATGCAAATTTCATAAAAATCTTTTCAATACATATTTCTTACTTTGAATTATAAAATAATCTGTTTAAAGGGCACATATTAAGGGATACTGCATTTTGGGAAACAGACAGAGCTGGTGCCTGTCACACAGGCATGCCCCTCTCCCTTGGAAGTCACTCTAGTGTCCGCAGGAAAAACTTCCAACTCCTTGGTCTGGATACAAGACCTTCCGTGTTCTTGAATCTTGGTCTGTATTTCTAGCATCACTTGCCACCATTTGTCCAGGCTTCTGGGCAGCTCCCACACCATCTTCAGTGCTGTTCTCCCTATCACGACTGCCTTATCCTACCCTTCTCAAAAATGGGTTGTTCTATGATCCCACTTAATAGCACCCACTATGTAAACTGTGCCCTGAATCCTTCAGGCAAAATTCGTGGGTCTTGTTCTGATCCTGAATCATCCCTTCATGGTGCTAATAGGACACTTATCACAATACAGCCCAGGTAGGTGCATATGTGCCCATCATCATCTGCGACTCCCCCATCCTCTATAGGGCCTCTACAGGGCCTCGCCTTGCTCATGGAAGGTACATGACTCAATGATTACATTCATCGTAAAATGTAAGATGGTGGATTTCACAGAGCTTAAGTTGCAGGGCAGCAGCTGACAAAAGCACAAGGGAGAGAAAAGAAAAGGGGATTGGTATGGGACATTTGTTTAACTAAATACAATTGTGTTGGAAAATCCCTATAGGAAGCCTCCGGGTCTTTCTTTCCCATCTACACATGGCTGGAGGTCAATTTCTTAGAAAAAAAGTGAACAACAATAGTGAAAAAATAATAATACCAGCCAGCATAAAAATTGAGCTGTATGGTTTTTGTACTAATAACATTTTTATCACAGATGTAACAAATGCCCATTATAGAAAATTTAGAAAACACTAACAAGCAAAGAGAAAAAAAAAGATAGTATTAATTCCACCACAGAGAAAGAGCCACTATTAATTATTTAGCATGTACTTTTCATATTTTTGTTTTCATATGGTATCTAAAATAAATATTCTATTCTTTCTCCCTATCCTTCTGATATGGTTTGGCTGTGTTCCCACCCAAATCTCATCTTGAATTGTAGCTCCCATAATCCCCACGTGTCTGGGAGGGACCTGGTGGAAGGTAACTGAATCATGAGGGTGGGTTTTTCCCATGCTGTTCTCATGATAGTGAATACGTCTCACAAGGGCCCATGGTTTTATACAGGGCAGTATCTCTGCACATGCTCTGTTGCCTGCTGCCATGTAAGACATGCCTTTGCTCCTCCTTCTCCTTCCACCATGATTTTGAGGCCTCCCGAGCTATATGGAACTGTGAGTCCACTGAATTTCTTTTTCTTTACAAATTAGCCAGTCTCAGGTATTTCTTCAAAGCAATATGAAAATGGACAAATATACCTTCCTTCATTTTTCTCTTCTTTCTCTGCTGTTCCTTCTTCTTTTCCTGCCTTCCATCACCTTTTCATTCTTTACCATATTAATATAGGCAGTTATTCAAAATATAAGATTCTAAATAGTGTTTGCAGAATGCCACCTTTTGTGTAAAATCCAGGGAGAATAAGAATATATACATTTGATTTTGCTTATATTTCTATCAAGGTTCTAGAAAGACACATAATAAAGAAATAAAAGTGGTTGCTGATTGGAGTGAGCTGGGGCAAACTAGCTGGATGAGAGCAAAAGTAGAAGGAAGAATTCTTACTTTTCACCAAGTATCATTCTATGGTACAGATGCTCCTTGACTTACACTGGGGTTACACCCTGAGAAACCCATCGTAAGTTGAAAATATAGCTAAGTAAAAAATGCATTTAATACACCTAACCTTCCAAACGTCATAGCTTATCTAACCTACCTTAAATGTACTCACAACACTGTCTGTACTTTGATTTTGCATCAGAAGAACATAATTCCTTGTAAATAAAAATAATAGTGTTGCAGGTCACACATGCTTTCCTGTACTATGCCTTTGCTACTCCCTCAACTAGTGTCCTCTTGAATCTAGGTGGCATCTCAGACTGTTTGTCCAATAGAATGTGGTAGGAGTGGTGCTGTGTCAGTTCTGGATGCCATGGATTGGTCTAGATGCTTTCTGGGAAGCTAGTTACCATACAAGGAGTGTGACTACCTGTGTACCATCATCCTCTGGGAGCCCCAGTTTTGCACAGAGGCCAACAAATATCAAAGCACTAGTCATATGCATAAAGAAACCACCAGGCATTCTGCTCAGTTACTCCTCCAGATGTCACCAGCCTCAGCAACAATCTCACTGCAACCACATCATGAGATACCCCCAACAAGGCCCCATCCAGTCAAACCACAGAAACCTGTGAGTCACAGTAATGTATTTTATTAAATAAAAAAATATTTCAGGGTAGTTTGGCATGCAACAATAGACAACCTGACCAGAAATACTAAAATGTAGGTCGACAAATACTTACCATGTGCCTGCTCTGCAGCATAGGGGTAAAAAACTCAGATTTTAGGTTCAGGTTGCCTGTATTCAAATCCTGGCTCTAACACAACTATCTGCGTGACCTTGACCAACTTTATTCACCTTTCTGTGTCCCAATTTTCCATATAATAGAGGTAATACTACCTACCTCAAAAGAGTGTTATGAGGATTTAATAATATTTAGAATAGAACCTGGCACACAGCAAATGCTCGGTATTAGCTATTATTATTATATACCAAGAGTTATACAGAATTGTCAATATTTTTAATACGAAAATATTCCTCAAGTAAATAATAGGCATTATTCCCGAAAATACTGTGATGGATTTTTTTGTAATTTTTTAAAATTGAACCTCTATGTTCAAATTAAGATTAGACTGGATTTTTTGTTTTTTTTTCTGTCTGTGCTCTTTTATAAGTTATCAAGGTTATGTTTGCCTCATAAAAAGCTCTGATTTTGGAAAGGTTTACATAATATATAACCTACCTTTTTCTTAGAAGTTGGAATCATGTTGGAAAATGCTTGGAAATTTTGACTTTGAATTTGTCACTTTGAAAAGATGCAACAAGTTTGTAATTTATTCTGACTTTACTGGAAAGCACTAGAAGTAGTTTAAAAAGATGGTGTCATGCTTAAACCATTATGAGAACATGATGGTCTTTTGCTACGTGGTGTGGCACTCTGAAGGAGAAGTTGAGCAACAGCTTAACACTTTTTGCCACTATAGGTCTGGCTCCTTTTTATTTGCCTGCCTGAATTACAGATTCTTTTTTATTATTCCTTGTTATTGTGAATGTCACAAAGCTATATCTAAGAATGATAGTCATGAACCTCATGGCATTCGTTTGATTGGTGAGCCTGAGCCTCTCTGATTTGAACATTAATTATTCAACCTTATTTCATTATTTCTTTCATTTCTCATCTATTCTATGTATCATTTATGTTCTCTTTGTTATTTTTCTGTTATTTTTCTTGAACAATGGAATTATATTTGAACCAACTTCTCAAATACTGATGTATTTACTTTTCCTGCAGAATCCAGTTTTATCCACTGTCTCCATAACTTTTTTTCCTTAATTCTAAATTCTTTCAATTCTCTAAAATTTTCTGGCCTTAAATCATTTTATTTCATAAACATCTTGCTTCTTTAATGATTTGAAATTTCCTCAAATCTTGTTGAGAATATGAATGAATATATCCTAAACATATCTCATGGTTTGTTTTTATTTTTTGTCCAGTATTCTTTTTTAGCCCTTCTCTTGAGTTTTTCAACCTACTCTTTTCATAATCTTAGATTACAGAAGATCAATTCACTTACTATTGGGAGGTGGCACTGCTTCTATCAAAAATAGCACATATCTCTGTTCATAAGGCCCTGATCCTGACACTTGAAGTCACAGGTGACAAGGGAAAATGCAGCAGTTGAAACTTTCAAGGCCTGAATTTGTGTAATAGAGGGAAGAGAAATAAAAAGAGAAAAGAAAACAATTTAGAGGAATCTAGGAGGCAAGGAACTGAGGGAATTAAAGAAGGCTCTTGCGGCCGGGTGCTGTGGCTCATGCCTGTAATTCCAGAACTTTGGATCTGCTCCAGTTTTGTGCACATTATATTGAAGTTTTCTGCCAAAGCTCATGTTCTTTTCCTTTTAAAGTTTGTCATGTGATTGTTTCCCTATAAAAATAAATATTGGAGACATGATAGTTTGTAGGAAAGAACATTAGACTAGGAATAAATACCTAAGTTTAAATTATTTTACACTATATTATTTTATGATTGAAAGCAAGAGAACAACTTGGTCAGCATTTAGAAAGATCACTCTGGACACCATTTGGAGAAGAGATTGGAGAGGAAGAAACTTCAGGCATTGAGAGAGCTATGGAAATAATTCAATTCAGCAAATGTAAGATGAGATTTTCCTTTATCTTTGGTAATGCTGAATTCTGTGCCTAGAATTTACTATTCCATATCAGTCCATTTAGACAGATAGATAGATAGATAGATAGATAGATAGATAGATAGATAGATAGATAGATACATACATACATACATACATACATACATACATACATACATACATACATGAATCAGGCACTGTTGGTTGCCTACCCAACAAGAATACCTGATTTTGTTTCACCTCTTCCCCACATGACTCAGAGATCAATCCTGATTTATTTCACTTAAACATGACAATCATTTTGCCATTAAAAATAATGCATTTGAAGGTGTCCTTTGACCCAGTTTTCATCATTGAATTGAGAGGACAGGTTTGCTGGAAGATCTTTCATGAAAGTTCTAGAACTTACATAAACAATAGGAAGAAACAGTGCCTTCTCTTGCACTGAACATGACTAAAAGTGACTATGCAAGAGTCTCAACAAGGACAAAAGTCTAATGAAAGTGGTAAAATTGAAAGATGGAAAGAACTGGGTACTTGTTAACATTTCTGAGACACTGAATGACCAACCCAAAAACACATTATCCCTAGCCATTAATGAAGCTATGATAACATGCTTATTACTACTATTATTATTATTAACTTTTATTTTAGGTTCAGGGGTACATGTGCAGACTTGTAATATAGGTAAACTTGTGTCACGGGGATTTGTTGCACAGATTATTTCATCACCTATATACTAAGCATAGTACCCAATAGTTATTTTTTCTGTTTCTGTCCCTCCTCCCAGCCTCCACCTCCACATAGGCTCCAGTGTCTTCTCCCTTCTTTGTGTCCATGTTTTCTCATCATTTAGCTCCCACTTATAAGTAAGAACATACAGTATTTGGTTTTCTGCTTTTGCATTAGTTTGCTAAGGATGATGGCCTCCAGGCCAATCTATGTTCCTACAAAGGACATGATCTTGTTCTTTTTTTTATGCCCCTTATTTTCGAAGCCAATTAAATTAAGTCTTCTGTTAGTTGCAGCCAAAAGCATTGTAGCTGATGTAAACAACTACTATGAACCAGACACAGTGCTATGGGTAAGAAACCAAAGTGAGGTCATCACAGGCCCTGCGTTCTAGGAGCTTATCGTCTTTCGTAAGAGTTTTCAATCTGTATGTGAAGTGTTGGAAACAATAGTTTTTTTCTAGGCTGTGGTAAAATTCCTCTACATTTTATAAGGCCTACCCAAATTCATTTTTTTCATGGATTCTTAATGCTTCTCTCATAGCACTTATTGTACTTTTTTGTATCTTGCCATTAATATATATCCTCTCCCCAGCACTGTAGGAGAATGAAGCTATCTTGGAGTACTGCACTGCTTCTACTTTATATTATTTAATTGTGAGGCTAAGAATTCAGATGACAAAATCATGTATAGCCCACACATAATTGCATCCCTGACTATAACCATGATCAGATGACTTAATCTTCTGGCCCTGACCACAGGCCTACAAATATCACAAATAAATATTTAATGGAGGAAAATCTAACTACTCACTGAACAATTGACATTTAAGCTCTTGTTTTATTTCTGTCTGATGTCAATGCCACAAGGTCATCTTCAAAACATCCCTTTTATCCCTATGCATGTTTATATGGCACCAGGTCTTTGGTAAATGGAAATGGACACTGTGTAGCCAATTACCAGAAATTTACATTTTATGCTGTCGAGTCATTAGAGAAACAGCATTTGATTACTGGTTACTTTTTGTTTTATCCCCTGGCTTATTCCATCACACATAAATCGACATATTTGAGTTTAAGGAAGACCCATAGGTATGTAATTGTGGAGTATAATCGTGGCATCTGTTGGCATGTAAATCCCTTAGGTTTGGTTCTCATAATGAACTTTGCAGTCCCAAACTACCAAATTAAAATGGAAATCTTTTCTGCTCTTCAGGTACAGAAGCAATTGCTACATCTTAAATTGGGGGCAGATCACCTAGATAAAATAAAATGCTGGGGAAAATAAAATTATATGCAAGTTCTCTACACAAGTAATGGTGGTCTGAACATATATCTTTTTTTCATCAACTTTCAAGTTCCGGGGTACATGTGCAGGATGTGCAGGTTAGTTACATAGGTAAATGTGTGCCATGGTGATTTGCTGCACAGATCAACCCATCACCTAGGTATTAAGCCTAGCATCCATTAGCTATTCAAGACTGAACCAGGAAGAAATTGAATCCCTAAATAGAACAATAACAAGTTCTGAAATTGAGGCAGTAATAAATACCCTACCAACCAAAAAAAAAAAAAAAAAAAAAAGTCCAGGACCAGACAGATTTACAGCTGAAATCTACCAGAAGTACAAAGGGGAGCTGGACCCATTTCTACTGAAACTATTCCAAACAACTGAAAAGGAGGGACTCCTCTCTAACTCATTTTATGAAGCCAGTGTCATCCTGATACTAAAACCTGGCAGAGGTACCACAAAAAAATAAAATTTCATACCAATATCCCTGATGAACACTGAGGCAAAAATTCTGAGTAAAATACTGGCAAACCAAATCCAGCAGCACATCAAAAAGCTTATTCACCACGATCAAGTTGGCTTCATCTCCAGGATGCAAGGTTGGCACTTGAACTTATATCTTCTAAGTAGAGTTTAAATTAGAGATTTTGATATTATACAGTCAACTTGTTCTTTGCAAAGAGGAAGGTTTTAAGTCTGGATGAACTCACTGGTTGTCCTAAGGTGATCGACATAAGCAAAACATTACCTTATTCTCTCTTATTCTGTGGTGCTGATAATCATACAAATCTTACTCCTGTAAGTCACCTAATAATTTTTCTCACACATGATCCTATCCCCTGTGAGCTTAGGAATACGTATTTTTGCAGAAATATATTCTATAGTTTCAAAGGCATATCTTCTAATCAGTAACAGTAGGGTGATCCACTCTGCAAAATGTGTTAAACTTATCCACAATCCTCAATCTTACAACGTTTCTGTGACATTTCCTGCAGCTGAGCCAACACTTGGAGGCCACAGATGATCAATTATCAAAGTCCCTGCATCATTTTCTCTGCATGGAGTCTGAGGCCAGGCCCTCCAAGCTAATTGGATTTTCCCACCTTTCCTCAGTGTCTGTGCTAGGAAGGATGACAGTGAAAACCAGAGAGTGGAGGAAAAATCAGCCCCTAGCCTTTTTTCTCCCAGTTTGAATCTAGTCCCATCCTTTGAAACTGATGTATAATCTTGATCCCCTCAGCTTCATCATGGAAATCTCTAAATACCTTGGCCAGAGTTCCCATTGGATTCCTCCACTCCTGGATTTCTCAGATAGGAGAGATTATCTTCACTCTTGTTTGTGGACACAAACATGGCCTGATTTTCCTGAGGAAAACATTTAAATGGAGAGAGAATTGATAAGAGGCAAAGAAATAAGGTGATGAAAAATTACAACAGGAGGCTTCATCCTGAGGTCATTGGAGGTCATCTTCCTGGGAGTGGATCAGTCAGGCTAGTTATGTGAACAGGCTCTAGTAGACATTAGGATAGCAAAGAGCAGAAGCAGCAGCGACCACTTGTGCAAATGCATCTTAATCCCACTTCTTCTCCGATATCCTAGCCTGTCTGCTTCATACTTCTCTCATGTCCACCACCTGACACAAGCCAAGCTGTGTCTCTAAGTGATGTTAAGGATCTTTTTGGGTTTATGGCCAGATACCCAAACTCTAATTTTTGGAGTGAAGGGGCATAAAGAGCAGGTTGTGTAGTTTTTCCTATCTGTATGTTATATAGATCTAGGGATTGGTTCTTGGGGCCAGAAATGGATTATAAGTCCTACCTAAGGCATCCAAGAAAAAATCTTTACAAAGGGTCAGTTGGAGACAAAGTCCTTAGATTATGTCATGAAAATTAGCAATAGGTATCTAGCCCAAAGAAGAGCATGGCTTGGATTACCTATTGCTGCGTAACAACCCATACCAAGTGTAATGGTTTAAAGCAACACCAGCCACTTATTTTCCTTGTGAATCAGCAATTTGTTAAGAGTCAAGTATTATGGGAGCTAGAGAATAAGCTGCCTCTATAATTGTGTAAGCCATCTTTCAGAAATAACATCTATCCATCAATCTATCTTACCTATATTTAAACGTACCATTGGTTCTGTTTCTCTGAAGAACACTGATTAATACAGCATTTGATTGAGTCACTGTTTAATTCCAGGCCATAAATCATACTTTGGATGTCACTGAATATTCTGCCTATGGGTCAGATGCCCACACATCTTGACATGACTGGCGAGTAAGTGCTGGTGTTACGGGTTTAACTGTATCCCCCCAAAATTCATATGTTGAAGTCCTATCCTCCCCAGTACTTGAAAAAGTGACCTTTGATGATCAAGTTTTTATAGAGGTAATCAAGTTAAAATAAAGTCATTAGGGTAGGTCCTAATCCCATATGTCTGATATCCTTATATGAAGGGAAAATTTGAAAACAGACAAGTCCGGAGGAAAGACTGTGAAGACACAGGAGGAAGATGGCCATTGAGAAGCCAAGGAGCTTCTCAAGCCTGGATCAGATGCTTTCTTCACGGTCCTCACAAGGAGCCAACACTCACCAAGCCTTGATCTCAAACTTCTAGCCTCCAGAACTGTGAGGCAAATTTGTGTTGTCTGACCTACCCAATTTGTGCTACTTTATTTTGGCAGTTGTATCAAACTAGCACAGCTAGCTATTAGCGTCTCTGAACATGGGTCACTCCTAGGGTGACTTTAGCTTCCTCATAGCATGGTGGCTGTGTTTCAAAAATGAGCATTCCAAGAGCAAGGAAATGGAAACTGCCATTTCCTTTCACCTTGAGCCTGGAAACTGGCATGGTGTCATTTCCTTTGTGTTCTATTAGTCAAAAATCAAAAGGCTGGATTCTACGGGAAGGAATATAAAGTGTACTTTTTAACGGAAGAAGCATCAGATAATTTTGAGGACATGGGCAAAAACCGTCTCCAGAATTGAGGCCAAGAGACAAAAGATGGAACACTTTGAATATTCCTCGTAAAAAATAATAACTAACTCTTGTTGAATATTTACCATGCCCAAGGCTCTAGAAGCTTAAGTGCATTATTTCTTTCTACTCTCATCATGATCCTAAATAATCCTGATATAGATATTGTTGTTGTTATTCTCGAGCTGGAATCAGAAAGATTAAGAAACTTACTCAGGGTCACACAGCTAAGTAATCGTCAGAACTGTCATTTGAACCCAAAATATCTGATTTCTGCACCTGCGCTTTTAATGACTGCAATACTGTCATATAGGTCTTGCAGGATTGATAGTGTAGAAGTTTCTGTGTTGGAGATAACTCCTACCTCAGCCCTTTAAACATGCACCTACTGGTTTTTAAGCTTCTCTTCCAAAACATGCTGCCCAGATTATCTAGTTTAAAAAGAAAATGCAACCCTCTTTTCATTTTTAAATAAAGGGTAAGAATAAAATCTAGCAACTTCTATAAAACAGCCATAGATTTAAAAAGGATAGATATAGGCCAGATAAAAAAAGTTTGTTACTCTGAGAATAAACTCAAGTGCATTAAGTTTATAGGCACAAGCAGGAGAATAAATCAATTTAACTCTATATCCCATCATTCTTTACAGGTTTGTAACAAGATGTACTTTGTTAGATTTTAATCTGTCTACATTTGAGACAGCAAAGCTCTCCACAATCATCTTTTAATGGCATTGCAATTTATAGACAGTAACTAATTTCAAACTTCATAGCACTTGGCTTTTATGATTATTTCAAATCATTTAAATGCAAATGAATTTCCAGAGCGAGAAAACATCAAATGCCCTTGAGTGGCACCATGTAATAGAACCATGCACGGAAGCCACTGTAGGAATCTGAAGCAGTTGGATAGGGTTGGGTGGTAAGACTGTATAAAAGTGTTTGCCTAAATCCAATTTACATTTCATTCCACATTATATTCTATTTACCCATTTTGTCATTTTAATACGACTTATTTACTTAATCCTCCTCTGAAATCCTATCCATTCTCCATTGCAAACGTAATATTTGAGTTAGGAAAAAGGAATGGCAATGCAACATTCCAAAACAAAAACTGGGGGCTGGGCGTGGTGGCTCACCCCTGTAATCCCAGCACTTTGGGAGGCTGAGGTGGGTAGATCACCTGAGGTCAGGAGTTCAAGACCAAACTGGCCAACATGGTGAAACCCCGTCTCTACTAAAAAATACAAAAAATTAGCCAAGCATGGTGGCACTCGCCTGTAATCCCAGCTACTTGGGAGGCTGAGGCAGGAGAATCGCTTGAAGCTGGGAGGCAGAGGTTGCAGTGAGCCGAGATCACACCATTGCACTCCAGCCTGGGCAAAAAAAGTGAAACTCAGTCTCAAAAACAAACAAACAAAAACAAAACAAGAATGGACGACTCTCAGATACCTCTTGCTTCTCCACCCCTCTTTGCAGTTAATGATGCCACTGTCTGATGCAGCCCCATGCATAAATGTGTAAATTATACTATTGCTCTTCTTTCAAACAGAGCTTGTGTTTGCCTGAAGACAAAGTAACATTTCCACCACAAAATTGCTAAGCAACAATATATACACAGTATCAGGACAAAGAAGGCTGGCCCCTATATGAACTCATTCTACCCTGATAGTTCACTAAAGCATTGGAAGCATCATGGCAATACACTTAGAGAAAAGCTGTGAGTAGCAATGTGCTCTTTAAAAAGGAGGAAAGATGATCATTCACTCCCTCAACTCTGCCCAGTATATGCCAAGCTCTGGGTTCAGCACTAGGAATACAGGTATCATCCTTGGTCTCTATAAGTTTAAACACAGTAGAAGAGAAAGATGCAGTTGAACAGCCATACACCAAGACTACACGGCACTGCAGGGCAGTGACTATCTCTAAGCATTAAAGAAAGTGGAGGTAAAGGAGACGGTAGGTAGTGTGGCAGATATTTCAGAGAACAGATTGATTGGATTGCCTGTTTTCACTTCCAGTTTTGGGGGCTTTTGCTTCATGATGCTCATCTCATCTAAGTTTTAACCATTTATAATTAGTGGTTCTCTTGTAGAGTAGTGAATCAGCCCTGCAAACCCTGTATCTTGCAGTTTATCACAGGGCCCCACATATAGTAAGAACTTCATACAATTTGTTGAACAAAGGAATCAAAGTTACTGTTTCTTTTCAAACATTTTAATCACCATGGTAAGAATTGGCTTTCGTGCCAGTCACGTGATCACCTATGCACTCACCACTTCTCTACATTTGAAGGTGCTGGACTTTCTGTTGGGGTCACTGCTCCCATTCTTTTCTATGTGGTCCATAAAAGCCTAGTTGAAAACTTTGGTTTTATCATAAGAACTGACCTGACAATGATGTAATGATCTCCCTACCTCTGAATTTGTACAACATGAGTTATCATTTTCATGGATTTCAATGCAAAATTGGTGTGCCATTCTTGGCTACAAGAAGTGTGTGTTTGTGTATCTGTGCAAGTGTATGTGTGTATGATTGGCATGGAATTATTTATGAAACTGTTTAAAATACACACTATGTCTTTTATGCCATGTTCTCCACTGTGTAGCATAGAGTGCAAACCTCAAAGAATAGAATTTCCGAGCCTTTATATTCTAGACGATAATACGATCCCCTGAACATGAGCCATTGTTTTGCATTTTCAGGGGAGCTAAATAAGCACGAAGTACCACGTCCAGCACCAAACAGCAGGTGCACAGAGGAAGACCCAGAATTTGTTTTCCTCACTTCTAGTCTCTTCTTGTTTTCATGCTTCCATGTTGCCATTCTTAAATGCACAATAAAGAGTCATATAAAAGATGAGAATTTGAAGCAATCGAAATCCATAGCTGATACCCTAGCTCTTCAAGATCAGTTCTTTTCCTGATCTGTGCCTCCATCTTCTCCCCTCCAAGATAAAAAGTCTGGATTAGGGGCTTTCTCAATCCTCTTACAACCCAAAAGTTTCAGTATCCATTTTCTGAGTTGATGGTTTTTGCTGCCTGGGAGAATTTGGAAATTGAACATTGTGATATGTATATATAACAAACTTTTATTCCTCATATTACAGTGTAATGACCTTTTTACATCAATTTATGACAAAAAATGAACTAGGCAAGAAATACAGTATGCAGATATCACTCCCAATCTTTCCTAAGAAGCTTAGAATTCAATTAGATAGAATGACAAGTGAAACCAAAATTACAGGGAGAAAATGAGTCACCAATCAAGGAACATAGAGCCCACAGGCAGATTCATTGAGTGCTATGTGAGTATTAGCACAAATCTCTCCATTAATTTGATAAGAATTTCAGAAGAGTTTCCAGCATAATATTTGAAAAAATTGTGAGAGAAAATTAGTTAGATACCAAAAGTGATTCATTTGGGGCCACAGGACATAAAGGGTGGAAAAGAATAACGGTTAAGTGCATCGACTTTGGAGTCATTGAGATCTGAGTTTAAATCTTAACTCTACCACTTTGATGTGAAACTTGGATCAAGTTATTAAACATTTGTAAGCCTCAATACAATTATATGCAGGCAAAGGTAAATAAAAATATTTTTTCTCAAGTTCTTTGTGTCTGGTTTCAATGATGTAATTTGTGTAGCCTCCAGGGAATAGTAAGTGTTCAATAAAGTCAATATCACAGGAGATCAATATTTATTAAATTGAGTTCACACAGTTTTAGGAAGCTATATTGCCAAGGTAATTATGTTAATAAGCCAAGAATATTGGAGATAGAATGAAGCCAGAAAAAAAATTTTGAATAGTAATTGTTATTAATATTTGCAGGGACATGATCGGAGCCAGAGGCCATTATCCTTAGCAAACTAACACAGGAAAAGAAAACCAAACACTCTATGTTCTCACTCATAAGTGGGAGCTAAGTGATGAGAACACATGGACACAGACAGGGAACAACACATACTGGGGCCTTTTGGAGGGTGGAGGGTTGGAGGAGGGAGAGGAGCAGGAAAAATAACTAATGGGTACTAGGCTTCACACCTGGGTGATGAAATAATCTGTACAAAAAACTTCCATGACACAAGTTTACATATGTAACAAACCTGCACTTGTACCCCTGAACTTAAAATAAAAGTTAAAAAAATGCAAAGTGCTTAGGAAACTCTCTTTAGTGCTTATCTCATTGAAAAGTATTAGAAGCTCTTTAAGTGACCAGAGAAGGGCTTGTGCTTCTTACTTTAGAGATGAGGAAATTAAGTAACTTGTTCACAGTCACGTACTTACAGAGAAGTGGAGCTGGTTCTCATATACATAATATTCTAAGTACCCAAATCCCAAAAAAAAAAAAATGCCTCACACTTTGTGTCAGGAGACTTCAAGTAAAAAGCAAGGGTTAGATTTAAATATGAGGCCAATAAGGGTCATATAGAAGACCTAGAAGAGAAGAGATGTTACGTTATTAGATGATAAGCATGGGACAAGTTGACACAAAGTACAGGTCTAAAGTAGAGACTAGAACAGAATGGAAAAGAAAGACATGTTAAGAAGCCCTTCCCATGGAAAGGAACACTTGGTTGTGATCTCAATGTGGGGACTGGAACTTTTTATTCTTTATCTGGAGTATGGCTATACAGATGTTCTGGAGGATGGCTATACATATGTCTGAAGTATGGCTGAATAAATGCTCTGGAGTATGGCTGTACCTATGTTGGAGCACCTGCTTTATCCCTGCTCCAGAATAAAGGTTCTTATCCTGATTTGGGATAGAAAAAGGACAGTCCCAATCCCTTGCCTCCTTCTTATGGGGTATCCTACTACAGGCTAGACACTGACTCAGGAGCTAGAAGTGCAGTAATGACAGGTTAACCCTGTTCAGGTTGTCAGGACACAGTAGAGTCAAATAAGGAAAAAGGCAAATCTAATAAAGTGGCAAAATATTAGAACAGAGGAAAGCACAGGGTTATCTGGGATTGAAATGGAAGGCTTCTGCACAGGGATAGAAGCAGAGAAAACCATCCTTGACCAGTAAGGAAAGAACTGGGTCTCAAGATGAGCACGAGATCAGCATGGGAGGAAAATGAAAGAAGCAGCTGTGAGAAGAAAGGGTGCTCCAGTAAGTAATCCAATAAGTAAGATTGCACAGCCCATGCCAGAGCATCACAGTGTTGAGGGGTGGGCATATCAAGATTATCCACCCATCCCCCTGCCTGTACCAGGAAAGCCACCTAATTAGGGATGTAATTGTTCCCGCTCCACCCTTCCCTTCTTCTAAATATACTTTCTCCATCTGTGGTGAGAAACAGCCACTGTATTTGGTACCACATAGCTTGATCTCAGCTAGCCACAGCCATGTAGACAAGCATGCACATCTGACCCACAGGCAGAATATTCAATGACATCGAAAGTATGACTTATGGCCTGGAATTTTAAAAATTATTCAATCAAATGCTGTATTAATCAGTGTTCTTCAGATAAACAGAACCAATAGTACATTTAAATACAGGTAGGATAGATTGATGGATAGATGTTAATTCTGAAAGATGGCTCACACAATTACAGAGGCAGAGAAGTCCCACCATATGCTGTCTGCACTCTGAAGGTTCAGAAAAGCTGGTGATGTAGTTCCAGTTCAAATCCAAAGCCTGAGAATCAGAGCAGACAGTGATGTCAGTCCCAGTTCAAATCCAAAGCCTGAGAATCAGAGCAGACAGTGATGTCAGTCCCAGTTCAAGTCTGGAGGCCCTGGAACTGGGACACTGGTGTCCAAGGACAGAAGAAGATGGATATCCCAGCTCAAGAAGAAACAGAAGATTTCTCCTTCCTTTATCTTTTTGTTCTATTAGAGCCTTCATTGGATTGAATGATGCCCCTTACATTGGTGAAGGTGGATCTTTTTCACTCAGTTTACTGATTCAAATGCTAATCTCTTCCAGAAACACTCTCACAGACGTACCCAGACATAACGTTCTACCAGTTACCAGAGCATCCCTTAGCCCAGTCAAGTTGACATCTAAAATTAACAACATAGGTGATCCACTTATTAATTATAATGGGAAAAAAGAGACACAAATGTAAACGGTAATATGAGAAAAAGCAAAAAAAAAAAAGACTATCTAGAATTACCAGTAGAAAGCATAAGAGATGTAGGTAGACAAGTAGACAAAGCCATAGGTCAGACATAGTTAGCAGGGAGAAAGGAACACAAACAATTAAAGAAACTAAGCTGGTAGAGAGATGAAAGTAAAAATATAAGCAATGACAGATGTCAAAGCTTCATGCAAGAGAGAAGTCTACTTTCTTGGTCCCTGTTATTGTTTTTTGGCATTATATGCTACTTGAGATGTAGTAAAAAAAAAAAAAAAAAAAAAGGATGATAACAGCAGGTAATTCTGAGTCAGCATTTTTGACAGTCTTCTAATCAGAATCCATATTTTGAATGTAGACTAAACCACCTCAAAAAGGGTATTTATCTAGTGATGTGAAAAAAAAACAAATAAATGAATAGGAAGCAAATAATTTAAGTAAAAAGATTAATATCTAATTTGTCTCCAAACTTTCTGGCAGCCAGAGCAAAAAGAAAAACCATGGTGAGTTACTAAATTTTATTGTCACAGTAAGAAAAGTCTCAATGGCCCAGAGGAGTTGAGACAGGATAGGAAAAGTCTCATTTCAAACTTCAAAATGAATTTCCACATGGGTCATTCTACTAGGGTTACTCTTCAGTACAGCAGCCACTCTCCTCCATGATAATTTCAGAGTAAATTCAAAAATGGTTTTCAAATGATGCATAGTCTTAAGTCATAATTAATTGAAAGAGGCCCTGCAAGGGCCTCATGTGATCTGGCTTTGCAACCCTCTGTGGCCATATCTGGAACCCAGTGCACTCTGAATACCAGGCAAACTCTCACTTCATCTCTTCCATGCTTCCTCTCATTTTCCACAACCCAGGGACATGTGAACAATAGAATATAACTTTCAAGGGTGCAAGACATTTTGTCTGCTTTGTTAACTGCTGAATGACCGTCACCTAGAATAGAACATTGTACATAGTTGGAACTGAGTAGATACGTGTTTATTTAGTGTGGACTGACTCATTTCAATCTCAATCTATAAATTATAATAGGTTCCCTTTACTAAATATGCTATCGAATGTTTTTCACTTGTTGTTGAAACCACATCCTTGAAGCTGGCCTTCCTAGAAGACTATAAACTCATTGAGGGTAGTACTTCTTACTGTCTTATGGTATCCCCAGACTTGGTGCAGGATCCTGCATTTAGAAGATGTTCAGTACATCGATGGTGAATGATTGATGATAGGAAGGAATGACTCATGAGTCATAAGTTGTATCATGTAATGCACGTCTAAATGCAATATTTTTAGGGAACTTAAAGAGGATGGAAGGATTGCAGAATGATTGAAAGTAAGAGGAGAGAAATAGTAAATGATGGAGGAAGAGGGTAACAAGGACAGGTAAAACAGGTTAAGAACCAGAGCATGGCTGCTGATGCTGAGAAGGAGGGTGATCCCATACATATCATCTCATTTGATCTTCCTAACAGGAAGAGTTATAGCTGGAGCTTGTAGGTAAAGAGACTAATAATTTAAGGGTCTAAGTAGGATATATTCAACGGATTAAATTGAAGATATGATTTTAACTATGATTGTTAAACTTTATGCCAAAGAGCCTCTGAGTCTTCCCACTGGTATGGCTAGCTCAGGGCCACCTGGCCCACCCACCCATTCTGCAGATAAGGGAGAAGGTGCAGCGAGATCTCATGAGTTATCCAAATTTGTCCAAATGGCTGTTAAGTGTTGCAAGAAACTGCAAAACAGTGACACTAAAGAGGGCTCCTCAATTTTCTCAAATGAAATCCTTTAAATGTGTGTGGTATCACAGCAGGGACTGATCAGGGTGAGAGTAGGGGAAGCAAAGGAGTTTGCTGTTTCCACTATCCGCACTTTCTCTTCAGAGTGGCCATGCCAATCCTGGGGGACATGCTGAAGCCAAGGGCTTGGTGAGTGTGATTATCCTCTCCCTCTGCTAATTAACCCCTGCAACTGACCCCAAAGAAAAGGCCCGAGGGAAGCCAAGGGTCAGATCAGCCAAAGGCCAAGATAATAAGGCTGACCTTTCAAGAGGCAATCAGACTTGCATAGTGATTTGTAAAGAGGGTAGGCCTGTCTTACAAAGGTCAGCTACCTCTTCTGAGCAGAAATGGCACCCTAAGCATCTAACAACGAGTGAAGGCTGCAGGGGCCCTAACAGGTGGGTCCATGTGACACTGGTGAGCCAGGTGGCTGTCGTACACTGACACCCTGCTGGAGCCCCATACAGGAATCTGACAGAATGAAACTTCCCTCAATAAAAAGACTTAGAAACTTCCTCCAGGTAAATATATACACTGGATTCAAGAAGATAAACACAAAGGTGCTATGCCTAGAAACAGTGGCACCTCCTGAAAAATACAATTATTCTATCACATAGCACACTACTCATTTTCCTAAACGTAGAGTGCAGCAGTCTTGGCTTTCTGTGTGTAATAAAGTTTATTTTCCAAGGAAAAGCTTACTACCAACACCAATCTATCAAACAAAATCTGAGTGCTATTAATTGAAACAGGATGGGGACAAGACATTTCCTTCAAGCCCCTTTTGCCCACAGCTGCCTCAGAAGCACCTCGAATGGACTGAATTTAAAACTAAAAACAAAAACTACTGGTGTAATAAAAAGGATTTCAATTGCATACTTGCTTAAGGGATGATTTGCTTAATGTCTGTCTGTCCCACTGTACTATTACCTTCCCAAGGGCATAAATTGATCTGCTTTTCTCAATGTCGCATTGCCACCACCTAGCACAGAGGTCAAAACAAGGCTTGAGATGGTGTGTGGGAAAGTGCTTTGTAAATTCTAAAAAACTAAAAGGCTACAGCTAGAAAGGAGTAGTCTCAATTCACTCATCAGAATCTATTTCAGGAAGCAATTATGTTCAGTCAAGTTGAAAGTGTTCTCTCAGTAAGTTCACTGGCTCCCAACAAACAAACAGAGAATTATTGTTTGACTGATGCCTGACAGACACTTGAAATGACTCCCAAGCCTATTGTTGCTTGTCATCATTTTAAAAATGCCCATCCCTCTCTCACTAGCTCCATGTCCCACAACTCATTGTTTGCGAGGCATCCATTGTCTCCAAGTTTCTATCTCGAACACCTGCATTAGCTCCTTTCAAATGGCCGCACAACAGCAGAATATAATTGCACTTTCATCTTCCTTAGGTATCATGTCTAAAGAAAAATCTGTGGTGGGCCTATTCTTCTGATTAGATGGGCATGCCAACAAAAAAATAAATTGAACCTCTGTCTTTCTGTGAAATCCAATATTTCACAATATACTATTTGACACAGCTCTGACTGCACTGATCTGAAAGGGAGCATTGTAGCACACGGAGAGAATGTTCACCTTTTACTATGTTACATGGATAAAGAGTGGTTTAAAGGCCCCAAATATAAACAATGTATTGAGCCTTCCTTGCTGATAAGTTGACATACTAGGTGTCAAGTAAATATTAAGAAAATGTTTTGCTCAAAGTTACATAATGAGGATGACCTATAATGCTTGCAAAGTACCTCATAGGTTATGAGTCATGAGGTGTGGACTGGGGAATCCAGCAAACAGGACTCCCTGCGTAGTGGGGAGAACTACACTCCCACCAATTCAGCCTGTGGTCATTCTTTTCCTAGCAGCACCTTCTACCCAGAGATAACAAAGAAGTCTTCATACGGAAGAAAATGCTTAAGGGTAGACTTGCAGGACCAGCTGACTTCACCTGGTAGCACCTGGAAAAGACCTTCCAAGCAGAAGGACTAGCACTCAAATGAGCAAGCACAGACCTCTCTGGCCTCTGGTTTTCCTATAATCCTCCGAAAGGAGCACAAGGATGGAATATTTTACCAAGACCTGTCTACTGCACAAAATCATGGGACTATAGTGGTTGGAACCAGCAGTGCTGGTTTCAACCCTTCACTCTTTTGCTGGTAGATGGAAAGCACATGATCAGCTAAATCCTCAGCTATTTTTTAGTGAACAGCTGCCCAGTCAGGAGTCTCTTCTTGCACTTACGAAATGAGTTTGTAACCTTTTCTCGTGCGCAATTTCACTTTTACTGTTTTTTTGTTTTGGTTTCATTTGGTTTGGTTTTTGCCTCAGCGTCCATACCTCTGAATATTATTTTAATCGCATATCCTTTGTTAATCATATGAGCTACGAATCCCTCCCTATTATGCCTGTTAGCAAACTTCACAAGGAACCTGCTTTTATCTTTGTGTATATCCTTTATAAAAATGTTGGTCAAAAAGAGATCAGGACATTCCCATGATGGTACAGGAGAGGACTCACTTGGGATCATGCAGACTCATTCATTAGAGGTGTCTACATAGGATTGATCTACCATCTTTGATTATGATTTTAATCATTACTCTTTAGTCACAAGATTTTTGCCAACACAATGCAGCACAGTGAAAAAAATCATTGAAGAATGAGACAAGATCTAAATTTGAATTTTTACTCTGTTACTCTCTGTACAAATATAGCATGGCATTTTTCTGCAAGTCTCAGCTTTCTAGTCTCTAAAATGGGGGTAAAAATGCCTTCCTCTGATGAGTGGTCTGAAAATGTAATTCACTGACTCTGAATACCTGGAGTCTAACAGGTCCACAAGCACATAAATGGCTGATGATGCTCATGCTGATGCCCTTAATGGTTCAGGCCTAAAAATAAACATTGCTTCTTTCTATTTCCAGGTTTTGGATAAATGAGAATATTTTCTTCTAGCACTTGCTTATTCCCACTGGGAATTGTCTCAGTGACTCTTTTCACAACATCTTCTATCTTGCAGTAACAGAGGTTCAAGCTCAGCTCCACTTATGAATCATATGCAACCTTGGACAAATTGTTTCCCCTTCTTTAAACTTTATTTTTCTTATCTGGAGAGTGAACATAATATTATCTACTTTGCAGCATGGTTAGGTGTTATTTGTTCATGCTGCTACAACAAAGCACCATAGACTGAGTGGCTTATAACAGAAATGTATTTCTCACGGTTCTGGAGGCTAGAAGTCCAACATCAAGTTTCTAGCATGGCTGGGTTCTGCTGAGGGCCCTCTGCTGACTTCTCCTTTTATACTCACATGGCAGAAAAAAATAGTGAGCTAGCCCTCTGGTCACTTCTTACAAGGATACTAATCTCATTGACCAGGGCTCTACCCTCATGACCTAATTGCCTCTCAAAGGCTCCACCTTCAAACAATATCACATTGGAAATTAAGATTTCAATAAACTTTAAGGGAACATGGACTTTCAGTCCATAACGGGAGGACAACATGAGACAGTCCAGACAGGACACATACAAAGTAGTAGCTTCTATTAAGAAAATGGCCTCTGAACCAATGGCTCTTCTAGTGTCTTCTGCCAAATCAGTGAAGCCCTTTTTAAACATGTAACTAATAAATTGAACTGATTCTTACTGATCATTTGCCGTGTGCAAGGTATTGTAGAGAAAAGCAAAATGGAAACTATGCCCTTAAGGAATAGCTATTCTCCTATATGGTGATGTTTGCCACTGTAAGTATACTTCAGTCAAGGTATGAGAGGTGATTGCCATGAGAGAGGTAAAGGCAAGAGACTGTGAGATTGCAGAGGATGGGAGAGAAGCCCTCTAGTTGGATAAGGCCATGAAGTTTCCTTGTACAGAAAGACTTTAAACCTGCCCTTAAAAAGCAAGCAAGTAAATTAATTCAAATATTGTGGAAGACAGTGTGGAGATTCCTCAAAAATCTAAAGACAAACTACCATTTGACCCAGCAATCCCATTACTGGGTATATAACCAAAAGAATATAAATTATTCTATTATAAAGACACATGCGCACATATGTTCATTGCAGCACTATTCACAATAGCAAAGACATGAAATCAACCTAAATGCTCATTAATGATAGACTGGATTAAAAAATGTGGTACATAGACACTGTGGAATACTATGCAGCCATAAAAAAGAATGAGATCATGTCCTTTAAGAGATATGGATAGAGCTGGAGGCCATTATCCTTGGCAAACTAACACAGGAACAGAAAACCAAATACCACATGTTCTCACTTGCAAGTGGGAGCTAAATGATGAGAACACATGGACACAGAGAGGGGAACAACACACACTGGGGCCTTTCAGTGGAAGGAAGGAGAGGATCAGGAAAAATAACTAATGGGTACTAAGCTTAATACTTGGGAGATGAAATCATCTGTACAACAACCCCTGTGATACATATTTACCCATGTAACAAACCTCACTTGTACACTTGAACTCAAAAATAAAAATACAACATAAATAAGTGAATAAAACTTAAAAAAAAAAAAAAAAGCAAGCAAAGATGGACCTGAGGAGATGGGATTTAAGTTAGATTAAAACTCCTTGGTGGCATGTACCTGAAAGCAGGGAAAATAAAAACATTTTTTAACGGTTCTGTTAAGGAAAAGGTAAGATTTGTTAGAAAGATTCATAAAGCGGAATTTCATTATCAAGCTTGAGGAAATTCAGGAACCAGCACCTCTCTGAAAATGCTAGCAAAAGGAGCATATAACTCTTCTCTCTAGGATGCAACCAAGAAATAACTAATTTTCAGCTGCATTTTACAAATAGACATCTCTGTTCCTTTGTTCAAATTATCAGGAGAGAGAATAAAATTGGCACAGTGTGTATCAGTAAAAAGTGGCCAGTGTAGGGACGGCATAGTCATTGGGAATGCCTTTGTAAGCAGAGCAACTACCCCAATTTGTGTTGATTATAGAACAGAATGAGGAAACGCATTCTAGGGGACAATAGCATGGAGGTCAAAGCGCTCAAGATGTGCACAGACAATAGCAGGCTGCATGGCCAGATTGTACACGGTGTGCAGGAGAGGAACAAGATGAAAGCTGGAACCTGTTTCTGTTCCATCAATGTCTTCAAAATCCCACGAATAAAGGATGAGTGAGAGATGAGAGGTCAGAAAGGAATGAGTGACATTTGGCTAAATTACTGTAGAGAAATTGTACTGTGTAGGATCTGCTGGGTTGTTACTGAACACCAGGACAAAACTTACTCTGGAAACAAATGGCAGAATCAAAGTGTGTTCAGTTTAATTTCACAGACTGCTCAAAATAAAAAACAAAGTACTTCAAATAGATTGAAAAATATTACTGGAACCGAATTAAATTTATCGTAACCTGGAAAATCTTGTTTTGATTTTGCTATCTAAATTGATTATCCTCTCTATTGGGAGTTTCCAAATTATGTCTAAGTCTCACTCATTCGTTCAACTAATTCTTTGGAGAATCTGAACATTCATTTATTTCTCAATAGGTAAATTCTGCCTGGTTGAATATGGAGACTCAATTCCTAAAACATAGGGACTGAGTTCTTAATGTCTCTCCTGAAACCCCACCTCATGTCTCTACAAACACCCCACCAAAATAAAATTCAAGAAGTACAAAAAGGAATACATTTATATGAGAAAACAGAGAAATATTTTTTAAAGAAGAAAGAAAAAAGGAAAGAAAAATAAAATGTGAAAAACGTTTCCAGAGCATAGAGCAAAAACACAAATAAACATAAAATTAAGGCAATAGAAAACAAATATGAATGCTCATTACATAAATGTCTTGGTGGGGGGTACTAGTATGATAAGAGGAGAAGAAATTAAGAAAAATCGAAGTAATTCAGAATAATCTCAGACTTAATGAACAACCGCTCAAATTAAAACAGCTAATAAATAAGCACAATTAATTAAACAAAAAGGCCCACATATTAACATGTCTTCATACGTGCACAACATCAATGATTACTTTTCTAAAGAAAAGGGTAATTCACATACAAAAGAACCAAAATGAGAGCATCACCATTCTAGCATCAACACCAAGCATCAGAAAACTTCAGAACAATAGACTCAAAGTTCTGGAGGAAAAATTTTCAACTCTTTAATCTCAAAAAAAAAAAATTAAAAGATAGCCTTTGTCCTTTAAAATGGGAACATAACTAGTATATTTTATAATGATTACATTTGTTTTATTTTATTTCTGCCATTTTAGTTTTCTTTGCTCTTAAACTTTTTTTCATGATTTCTGTTAGACTATATTTTCTTATTTTATTTTCTTATATTGGCTCCTGCATGAAGAGCCCCTATCCATTTATATTCCAAGAGCCATTTTTAAGAATACTCTTATCCTCTCTCTAACATCCTCACTAGGTAGCCTCAGGTTTTTGGCCACATTTTTGACAAGCTGACAGTAAAAAAAAAAAATCAATTTATTGACTACTAACTAAAAAAGATTCATGCTAATCACTGTGTTTATTTTTGGTAAGTGGTTCGCATATCTTTTCCATTTCTAATTTGTTTATTTCTTCAATACTGAATTACAAGTATTACATATTGTAGATACTAATTATTTTATATTATTTTAAATATTTTTTTCTCATGATATTACTTGTTTTTTAACATTGTGCTTCATGGTACTTGAATAATAGAAGTTTTTAATTTTTTTTTTTTTTTTTTTTTTGAGATAGAGTCTCACCCTGTTGCCCAGGCTGGAGTGCAGTGGCACGATGTCAGCTCACTGCAACCTTCACCTCCCGGGTTCAAGAGATTCTCATGCTTCAGCCTCCCAAGTAGCTGAGATTACAGGTGAGTGCCACTACACCTGGCTAATTTTTGTATTTTTCGTAGAGACGGGGTTTCACCATGTTGGCCACGCTGGTCTCGAACTCCTGACCTCAGGTGATCCACCTGCCTTGGCCTCACAATATGTTGGGATTATAGGCGCGAGCCACCGTGCCCTGCAGAAATTTTTAATTTTTAAGAGATCTCACTTATAATGCTGTTTGTTATTGTTTGTCTTTGAAGACTTTACAATCCCAAAATTATAAACATATTACCCTATATGTTTGTAATATTTTTGTCTTAATAGTTATTTTTATCATACTCTAAGATATCTGAGGATGTATAGTCCTGAGTTAATTTTTAATATTAACCAAATTTTCTAAAGTCATATATAAACAAGTCCATCTTTTCACTAGTGAGTTGCAATGATTTTTTTTTAATTCTCCAACACATCTGAATGAAATAATTTTATCACACATGGATTTCCATATATATACATGAGTGTGGATTCTCTATTCTGTCTCATTGATGTATTTATCTATTGTATGCAAATACCATATTGTATTTATTATTACAGTTTTGTGTATGTGTTTTAATCTCTGGTTGAACAATTGCTTTTTCTTAAGTTATCATTTACAGATTAATTTTAGAAACACCTTATTTCAGATATTATCCTAGAAGGTACTGTGCCACAGGATAGAAGGTCAATACACAAAAATTAATCACAATTTTCATACTGTCAGTAATCTATCAAAAACAAAAATTTAAGGTACATACCATTTACGATCACTTGAAAAAAAAATACGTAGATATAAATCTAACAAAACACAAAAACAGGTTCTACATGTAGAAAAACTGTAAAGTCTTGTTGAAAGAAAGCAAAGAATGTCTAGATAAATGGAGATAAATACCATGTAGGTGGATTACAAGGCTTTACATAGTAAACACATCAATGCCACCAAAATTGATACATAGATTAAAAACAATATCAAAACTTCACCAAAATTTTTGTAGTTATAAACAAGATCACTGTAAATTTTATATGGAAAGGCAAAGAATGGCTGAAATTATTTTGAAGAGAAAGAGTGAAGTGGATGGAGTTACATTAGCCAATTTTTTTTTTCTTTTTTTTGAGACAGAGTCTCGCTCTGTCGCCCAGGCTGGAATGCAGTGGCGCGATCTCGGCTCACTGCAAGCTCCGCCTCCCGGGTTCACGCCATTCTCCTTCCTCAACCGGGACTGCAGGCGCCCGCCACCACGCCCGGCTAATTTTTTGTATTTTTTTTTTTTTTTTTTTTTAGTAGAGACAGGGTTTCACCGTGTTGGCCAGGATGGTCTCAACCTCCTGTCTTACAATATAACTGCAGTATTTAAAACAATGTGTATTGGTGGAAGTATCAACACAGAGAACAATGCCACGGAATAAGAAACCCAGAAAAATATCTACAAATATATATTCAACCGATTTTTGGCAAAAGTGCAAAGACAATTCAACGGAGAAAGGATAGTATTTTTAAACAAATGATGTTGAAACAATTGCATATGCATAGGTCAAAAAAAAACAAAAAAAACCTCAACCTAAACCTCAGGCCTTCTAAAAAATTAATTCAAAGTGAATCAGAAATCTAAAAGTAAACTGATAAAAACAATATATATATTGTACATTTTAAAATATAAGAGAGATTTAGAATGTTCCCAACATAAAGAAATGATACATTTTTGAGATGATGGATATCTTAATTACCCACATTTGGATCGTTGCACATTGTATGCTTGTATCAAAATTTCACATGTACTCTTAAATATATACAACCATTATGTATCCATAATTTAAAAAAAAATCTTCTTTGAAACAGTTAGAGCCTTTATGTTCACAAAACATAATTAATTCCAGATAGTAATGGAAGATGAAGCTAAAATTACAAGAGCCTACTTTAGAATTAAAAATCATGTAGACACATAAGACCATATATGTTATAATTTCATTCATATGAAATATCCAGAACAGGTGAATTCTTAGAAACTGAGAGCAAATTAGTACTAGCCAGGGGATATGGGGAGAGAGGCATGAGTAATGACTGTTTAAGTTGTATGAGATTTCCTTTGGAGTGATGAACATGTTCTGAAAGTAGACAGGGGTGGTGTTTACATAACATTGTAAATGTACTAAATGTCATTGATGCTAAATTTTGGGTTCAGTGTTTAAAATGTTTAAAATATTTAGAAATAAAAGTACACCTAGGCAGAAAATAAATAAAAGTAAAAAAAAAACCATAAAACTATAAACCTTCTGGAAGAAAGCTTTAAAAAAGAGAATTTTTGGGCAAATAATCTTTAAACATAAAGTTCTATAAAAGATCTTTGAAAAAGTAGATAAATTGAATTAATCAAAATTTTAAAAAAGGTTTTCTTCGTGAAAGACCCCTGTTAAGAAGACAAAAAGACAAGCCACCAAGTTGGAGGGCAGGGAGGATCCTGTTTGCTAAGCACATATATGACAAAGGACTTTCCTCCAGAATATTTAAAAATACTCTAAGCTCAATAATAAGAAAACACAGAATTCAATTAGAAAATGAGAAAAATACTTAAACAGGCACTTTGCTAAAGAAGATAAATGAATGGTGAATAAGTATGTAAAAGGATGCTGCAAATCACTAGCTATGAAAGAAAAACAAAATCATGAAGATACGTCATTAAAAACCTATCAAAATGGCTGAAATAATACTGTTAGTACCAAATGCTGGAGAAGATATGAAGAGACTGGGTATCTTACATGTGCTATCGGGAATGTGAAATGGTACAGCTACTCTGGGAAACAGTTTAGCACTTTCTTTTGACGTTAAACATACATTCGCCATGTGACCCAGCAATGCCACTCCAAGAAAACTGAAATGTATGTTTACACTAAAACCTATACACAAATGCTCACAGCAGCTTCGCAGCTACATTTATAATAATCTCAAACTGGATACAATCTAAATATCCCTCAATGCGTGAAAAGTAAAATAAACTGTAGTACATCTATACTACTCACCAATATGACTCAACAAATTATTTGATGGTTAGATCTCAATAGCATTGTGCTGGATATTTTTAAAGCCAGTTTCAAACAGACGCATATTCCATTATTCCATTTATTTATTTATTTATTTTAAATCATATATATATATATAAAGAGAGAGAGAGAGATGGAGTCTCGCTCTGTCACCCAGGCTGGAGGGCAGTGGTGTGATCTCAGCTCATTGCAACCTCCACCTCCAGGGTTTAAGCAATTCTCGTGCCTCAGCCTCCTGCGTAGCTGGGATTACAGGCGTGGGCCACTACGCCCAGTTAATTTTTGTACTTTTAGTAATGATAGGGTTTCACCACTTTAGCCAGGCTGGTCTTGAACTCCTGACTTCAAGTGATCTGCCCATCTCAGCCTCCCAAAGTTCTGGGATTACAGGCATGAGCCACCGCACCCGGCCTGATTCCATTTATGTAGCATCCTCAAAATGACAAAATTGTATAGATGGAGACTAGATTAGTGATGATCATGGTTTAGAAGAAGAGTGACTCAAGTTTACCTATGTAACAAACCTGCACTTGTATCCCTGAACTTAACAGTTTTTTAAAGAGTGTGATTATAAAAGAATAACATGCAATTTCCATGTAGTGAAGAAATAATTCTGTATCTTTATCATGGTGGTAGTTATATAAATTTATACATGTGATAAAATGTCATAGAATTTATATGTATAACCCATAGACACACCAAAAACATGAGTGTATGTAAAACCTGATGACGTCTGATTAAGTTACAGTCTATTTAGTTGTATTATACCAATGTCAATTTCCTAGCTTTATTAAAAAATTACTATACATTAGTAATTATGTAAGATGCTACTATTGAAGGGACCCAAGTAATAGGTACATTGGATCTCACAGTACTCTTTTGAAACTTTTTGTCAGTTTATATCAAAATAAGCTAAAAATGTACATAAAGGGAATCGTATTATATGTATTCTTTTGTGACTTTTTTGGGGTCCTCTCAACATCATTTATAAACTTCATCTAGAAGATTACCCATAATTCTTACTTATTTTCACTGCTGTACAGTAGTTTTATTATGAGTACTCTATACTTTTTATCCTCCCTATGATATACATTTAGGTTGTTTCTAATCTAATTGTTGTTGTTTTTGTTGTTTTGTTAGTGACAACAGCAATGTTATGAACAACCTGGCGCCCAGAGGAGATTATTTTTGGGAGGCATATACCTAGGAGGAAAAGCCCTAGATTGTACAGGGTGGACATTATGAAATTTACAGAAAAGCTCATTGCTCTCCAAAGTAGTTATACCAGTGTGCACTACAACAGGTAGTTATAAGCAATCTCTTTTTCAGCCACTGGTATTTGTCAGACTTTTAAATTTTGCCAGTCTGATGATGGTATTTGATATCTCACTGCTGTTTTCTTTTGCATTGCTCTCATTATGAGTGTCGTTTCTAATATTTGGTGATTGTCTCTGCCTCCCTCCTCAAAGTCATCCCCTACCACCCAACCCCATTACTGATTGTGCCTCAGCAACCCTGTCCTTCTTTAATCTCCTTGTTGAGTCATAGACGGTTCCTGCCTTAGGGTTTTTTTATTTTATATTCCCTCTACTCACCCTCTCTGTTTGAATTAGTCTGTCCTCCAGCAGTCAGAGAACTGGCCTTTCTTATCCTTTGGGTTTCACTATATCCTCAAAGAGGCATTTTATAATTGTCTTCATGTCACCTTTTTACACTTTTAAAATATGGTTTATTTCTCTCTGAAACAGCAGAAAAAATCTTGATGATTTTGTGTTTAATAACCTTGTTGAGTCACTCCCCTTCTACAATATTATAATCTCCATGAGAGGAGCGGTTTTGTCTTTATCACAGTCTTCGCTACACCTGGAATAGTGAAGAGGTAACAGGATGTTGTGGAAAGGTTCTGAGGCTTGGAGCAAGTTGGAATGTTTCAAGAATGGAGCACGTAAGACCTTGTAGGCCACACTAAAGAGTGTGAATTTATTTTTAAACATGATGATAACATTTAAGGAACATGAAAAGGGAACAGGGCAATCCTACTTATATAGTAAAATTTATGTAATTCTCCTGCACAAGCCATAAACACTAGCCTTATCATAAACCTGTTCTCCAGGTTGGTTGACCTGTAGAGATGTTGCACAGTGGCATTCTGAGACTCCCTAATTTGAAATCTCCATGAGATTCAACATAATCGTCTATGTTGTTTTATTTCTTATTTTTCTGAAGTTTGTTTTCATGCAACTTCTGTGAAAATAAAAATTTTCAGACTCCTTGCATGTACAGTGTGCTCTAAATTGATAGTTTGGCAAGGTATCAAATAATAAGCTAAATTTGTTTTTAATAGAAAATCAAAGTAAAAAGCTATTGATATTTGAATCAAAAAGACAACCTTAAATACTAAATTGTTGAGATGGTCTTCAATTCATGTATTAGGTAACAGGAAAGAGAATTAATGGTCCAACTCTCCAATATACTAGAAGAATAAGACAATAAATAACAGAAGTAGAAATATATGGATAAAACCAGAAACTCTTAAAATTTAAAATACACATGGATACATAAAAACAAAAAAAGGACATAAAATATAAGTTGAATTTGTTTTTAAGTCAAAAAGTCTAACCATGTAAGAAAGAGAAAAAAACACCAAATAAATATTTGGATAGGCAAGAAGTGTTCTAACTACCAAGAAAAATATTTTTAAATTGCTTAAAATACAAATAATCAGATTGATTGAAAACAGTGTATAAATTTTAACATTAAAACTTGAATATATTTTTAAAAGACTGTAGAATAATTATAAAAATCTATTACTTATAAGCTACAATGAAACTATTAATTCAAATAAAAAGAAATTATGTTATATTCCCTAATGATTATGTTGTAAACTTGTTATATATAGATATACATAATAAATTAGACATATATATGACAAGACATATATATTGATAGAGAATTTTTAAAACATATTTTCTAAATAACACACCTAAAACCATATACAACTTTATACCAGTTAATTTTGAAATCTAGATGACACAGATAGTTTTCCTAAAACAACTAAATATTTCTGAAAATTCTTAGAAGAAAATAAACTCAAAAATCTTTAAACAGCTCAGACTAGTCAATTGTATGAAAGCTTTAAATTTCTCAGTGTCACAGTCTGAGATCTCCAGAATCTGGCACCCTTATGAGACAAAACAAAGGAAGTTTCATTGTGTACTTCAAAGTGACACTTTTAAAGATTCGGTTTGTAAATAACCAATCCCTTTGGATTGTTTTCAGCCAAGAATATAAGTCTGTCCATTCTCCTTCACTTCTTTGTGTTATAGGGCAAGCCATTCTTCCTTACTTTTTATACTTCATTCTGTTTGCACAAATGAATAGGAAAGCCTGTATAATTTGGAGTTTAATGAATCCCACTTTCTCACAGATGCATGCCACTATTTCAAATATCACCTTTATCAAGAATAAAAATAATATTTTGATTGTTCATCTCCTTTACTTTCCTTGTTTCATTTTAATATAAAGGCACAAAACTTGAAGAGAAAAGAGAGATGTTGTTTATTGAGGTCTTTGGAATCCTCAACACTGGCTCCAGCCATAAAAGCAAAAAAGGAGGAGCTGTCAATTCCCCTCTGTCTATAAAAGGTAATTGCATCTTTAAGGCCCCCAGGTTGAGAAAGGCCAGTACACCAGGCTTCTGCCCATGGATTATCTACCCACAAGGGATTAAAATGGGAGCAAAACCAGGTGAACTGGTATCTTAAAAAAAGAGTAGTTTTTCTATTTATTTAACTCACTGGACTTTTAAAATTATATATACCAGAAACTAAATCTCAGTCCTGACAAATGTGTTCCATGAATTAAATAATTTTTTGTTGAGAATTACAATGTAGTAAAGGTGTAAAGAATTCCCAGAATTTCTTGTAGAAAGCCAGGGAAGCAGTTGTGTAGATTATTTTATGACAGGTACGTGAAAAAGTATTTGATTATATTTATGATAATGTTGATATTTAAAAGCATATAGAGCTTTTAAGAGAACATGAAAAGTTTTTAAAAAGCTTAAAAAACGCAATTTTAAGAAAGATGATCCAGCAAATAGGGTACAATGCCACTTCTCTGAGGGAGACAATGAAAAAGTATTTTAGCAAATGAAAGGTTCCATTTCTGAAATAATTAGCACTTCTCAATGTCAAGTTTGCTCATCTTATGAACAGTTCTATTATTAACATACAGAAAGCTAATATGAAAAGCACATTCTTATGTTAATTATCTAATTAACTAATCCAGGCACAATTAAGCCACTAAATTCACACAGTATTAATTTTTCTTATGTTGGTCTCATGGATACTAAATTTCTTGACAAGTTAACATTTCTGCTGGTCTTCCTGACACTTTGATGTTTGATAAGTCCACTCCAGTGGACTTCTTAGAATGCATGAACTCAAGAAAAGTTAGAGGTCTCTCATTTAGTTTCACACGTCTGTTTTCTAGAGAATTTTGCCCAACTTCACCTGAAGAACTCAAAAAATATTACCCAGCAAGTAACGTTTCACTTCAAATGACAGTATTAAGTCCTTCCTTTTTTAGCAATTAATCATGTGATGACGAGAGGAGAAGGAAGTAGAATGTGTTGAGTGCATGGGGATATGAGGAAGCCCTGGTTTGAAGATTGAAAATTTTAAAGCAGAAGAGACAAGTGTCCCTGTTTTTTTTCCTGTAGCCATTGAGAGTGGGAAGACCACTGTTCTATCCCACATAGCCAAGATGCTGGACATGGGATTATGATCTGACTGGACACAACTATTTCTTGAGGCAGCCCACATCGTCTTCTCCTGAGTTTCCCTAGAAGCCTAGAGGAGATAAAAAAGATGACAGTGGCTAAGCATGAGAGCTTTTATCTCTGCCAGAGAATTACCCCAGGAAGGAAACAGAGTTAGAGAGAGCTAAAATCTCAGAGTAGCAGCAGCTGCAGCCATATCAAAGGTGAGAATTGGGCCAACAAAGGAAAAGCAGCCAAATACTCCAGTGAGTGTCAGAGGATACCGTAGAACATTCTGATGTCAAGGGCAGAATTATGCTTTTTGATGGACACTTCCCATCAGCAACCTTGGCTGCTATAACCCATGATCTATGAATCACATAATGGACAACATACTACGATGCCTACTGGGAAATTTGAGTCAAAACTGAGTTTTAAAATAACAAGTGATTGAATTAAAGGCTCATATGAGTTGGAGAACAACTGGATTGGTCTGACAGTTTTCCAGAGTTGGTGAGGCTTAATTGGATTCTAACAGAGCTACAATCTCAGCTTATATTGATTCTGATGTTATCCACATCTATTGAGCTAAGATAATAAAATATATTCCACTACTCAGAAGAGAGAGTGCCCATGAAGAGTCTAGATTTTGCAAATAGGGAAACGTGGGTGTAAATTCAATCTCTGCCACTAGGCTGGCTGAGTACACCTCAGCAAGCTTTTCCCTTCCTTAAGACTCACTGCCTTTTGCCTATGTCAGGTTGGAGGCTAATAAAATACCAGACAGCATTGGTGCGAGCATAGGTGTGTGACTGACTCAGAAGCAAGTCTCCTCTGAAATCCTTTGAATAACTGAGTCTCTCATCCCACATCCTCTGCAAAATCCTTCACCAGAGTTCTGGAAATTCCTGAGAGTTTGTGTCTCTCCCAGTCACCTTTAGCTTTAATGCCTATCTTCCACTAAAATTTCAGTCTTTACTTTGCATTTTGTGGCTATCTGCTCATTGAAAATCCAAATTTAAAATGTGTCCTTCTCTTGGTTTCTCAGCTGCCTCAAGTAGATTGTTATTATTCTTTTAGGGGCTCCACACTGCAATAACACATGATAAATACATTTATACTGAGTATTTAGGAACCATATTTTTAAGGCCCTTTTCTGATTCCAGCAAGTCAATTTTAGTAGCCTCCCCTCTATTTTCCTCAGCTCTCTCTTTATTTTCTCTACCCTTCTTTCTTCTCTGAGCTCTGCACTCACACATCTCCCTTTTACTCCATTACTTCTAAATGACCTATATGTGTAATGTTTTACTTATTTATATATGTATGTTTTATATATATACATGTTATATATATATGTTGTATGTATTTTTATATATGATGTAAAATTCTAGAAATTAAAGAAACAATCACCATAACAATTGTATTACCTAGAACCATTCATGTTTGTAATTGAAAACTATCCAGGTTAGCATCCAGACTTTACCTATGTTGGCTTGGGTAATTCTCCAAACCTGCCTATGTCTCCATTCCATCATCTCAACAGTGAGGAGAATAATGGTAGTTGCCTCTTAGTGTGGTTGGTTATGAGACGTAGTGAAGTATCACGTGCACAGTGCTCAGGAGACTTCCTGCATTCAGTAAACACTCAGTAAGAGGTGCTGGACTGCTCTTAGTATAATTCTTTGGCATTATAATTTCAGCCATCAATTTATCATATACAGAGTGAGAAAGGTAAAGACAAATGAATAGATAGAAATAATGTCTAAAGGAAGAAATCATTCTGGCAAGTATTTTTATTAATTGTTAAATTTTTTCTGTATGGTATTTTAATCAACAAATAAAATTGAAATTGTTAACTATCTGGTAAGAATTTTTCACAAATATTAAATATTATTATTTCTCTACAGTTAATAAAAATGATTGTGCAAACAGCATTATAAGGTTAGACTCATTACTTCCTTAACAACACTCTTTAATTTCAGAGGGTTTAAATTTATTATTTACTATAAAAGAGGCGAGATCAGGTAGTCAAACTACCCTGTCTCCAATTTCTCAACTCTCTCCTTTTCCCACTTCTAATTTGTGTAAGGTAAATTATGATGTTTATATTACTAAGAATTATAATATTTATGTACTCTTTTATGTATAATTACCCAAGTCTTAACTATATATCAAATAAATGCAATATTCAACCCAGATTTTTACATAGCTTTTTTTTTTAATTTTAAAATTTTGTGTGTTCTTCTTTAATTGGCCATTTTGTTTGTTTTGTTGTAAGAAAGGCATATGGTTATTGTATTTTTTTAATATTCTGTATCTGACAATATAGATGTTCCTTAACTTATGATGAGGTTACGTCCAGATAAACCCATCATAACTTGAAAATATTGTAAGTAGAAATACATTTAATATACCTAACCTAGCAAACACCATAATTTAGTCTAAGCCACATTTAAGGTGCTTAGAATATTTACTTTAGCCAAATCATCTAACCCAAAGCCTATTTTATAATAAAGTATTGAATATCTCATGTAATTGATTGAATACTATACTGAAAGTGAATAACAGAAAGGTTCTATAGGTACTTGAAGTATGGTTTCTCCTGAAGGCATTATTGCTTTCATACCATTTTAAAGCCAAGCAATTGTAAATCAAACCATTGTAAATCAGGGACTGCTGTGGTCTGGATATTTTCCCCTCCAAAGCTCAGATTGAAATTTGACCCCAAATGTTGGAGGTGGGACCTAATGGGAGATGTTTTGGTCCTGGAGTCAGATGCCTCATGTTTGTGCCATCCTCGCAATAATGTGTGAGTTCTCATTCTCTTAATTATCCCACGAGGTGGTGGTTTAAAAGAGTCTGGCACCTCCCTCTCTCTTGCTTCCACTCTTGCCATGTGACCTCCACACTCCAGCTCCCCTTTGCCTGCCACCAAGAGTGGAAGCAGCCTGAGGCTCTCACCAGAATCCCACCAGATTCCAACACCATGCTTCTTGAGCAGTCTACTGAACCATGAGCCAAATAAACCTTTTTTTCTTTATAAGTTACCCAGCCTCAGGTATTCCTTGATAGCAACACAAATGGAGTAAGAAAGGAACCATCTGTACTATAACCTCTATCCGTGCCACCAGAACTGCACTGAAATTTATCCACCATTTCTTGGCATTAAGTATTACTGTCAAGAAGTAGAAGTCCAGACAACTCTTTCCCCATGTAGGTGGCTCACTATTTCTGCAAGGGTATCAGAAATATGCTTTTCTATTTCTACCAAACAATCGGTAATTTTATTAGGACATGACCCAATGTAGATCAATCAGAATTTTATTTCTAACTATGAATTTACTTCTTTCTTGCTTTCAGGAAACTTTCCTGTATTATACCTTTAAATATGTTTTGTTCTGCACATTGAATTTACTAATAAGGACACCATTTATCCTTATGTTTTCTACCCTTTACATTTACCCTCTCCTATTTGCTTAATCTCTTCATCTTTTTTTCTGTGCATTCTTTTGTGATTATCCCAAAACTCTGTTCCATGACAAAAGAAAAAAATTTTCAGCCATTTTATCTCTCACTCTTTGTCATTTATTATTTGTCCTGTGGTGTCTGCTTTAATAATTGACAAATGTATTATCATCTTTCGTTCTGACTTTCCGTTTCCCATCACACCCCGTCTCACCCCTCCGCCTTTCATATTGGAGTTGAATGAGTCTCTCCCAGAACTGCCTCTGATCATGATCATGCTCATCGCCCACATTTCTAACCCCTGGCTCAAAAAATCTTCAAGGATACCCTGACTCTTCCACTATCTCTCTGAGACCTGAGAAAGTTGCTGCCATCAGAGTCCTAGTATCCTCACGTTTGTTTTTATGGATTTCAAAGGAGAAACTTAAAGGAGAAACTTTCATAACAATGATGATGATGATAATGACCATGACAATAGATGATACATATTGAGTCCTTGCTATCTGCTAAGAAGTGTTCCAGCTAATTTTTAATAATTGCCTCATTTAATCTATGTAACAGCTCCATAAGGAGGGTGCTAGTACTATTCTTATTCTCATTTTGTCAATGAGGCACAATGAGAAAATGAAGGCACAGAGCAATTAAGGAAATCACCCTGAATCAGACAGCAATTTAAAAGTGGTTGCTTCACTGCAAAGTGTTTTCCAATACTTTTTAGAATTAGTGTGTCTTTAGGAGTAAAAAAAAAAAAGTCATCTGCCTAACAAAAAGGTGCTCCCCAACCTACCCTGTGTTTTAAATTGCTTTAGTAGCAAAAAACATCATTCATTTTACAGTCCTGATTCAAGTCAACTCCTGCCTGACTGTCATAGTCTCTAACTGGTCTCCTGTGTCCAGCCACACCACCTACCAATCCATTCTGCTCACATTTGCCCATGTGGTTTCTTCAGAATACAGACTTAAGCCCACTATCCTTCAAGGGTCTCCTGGGTGTTAGAATAAGTCCCTAACGCTTTCATGTGATTCCTAAGATTCTCTATAATCCGGCCTTTACCAAATCCCTTTCTGGACTCATCTGCTGCTGCTCCCCTTCCTGAATTTTTTATTGCAGGACCACGGACTCTATTCTTTTAAAGTAATATTGGTATAAATGTATGAGTTACAAGCACGATTTTGTTACACACATAGGTTACATAGTGATGAAGTCAGGGCATCCATCATCCAAATAATGTATGTTGTACCCATTGCTCTATGGCTTCTTGAACCTTTGCTCTTCCTCTCAAATCCCGATTTCTGACTCTCTGCATTGAGTAAATGTCACACATTTTACTTGTCTCAACTTTACCATTGTTTTACACAGGCTTTTGCTGACCCTATACAGGTGTCATTTCATATAGTCCCATAACTTTAAATATTCATCAACCACATTTCATTGAGATTAATTTATACATAGGTTTGTTCACTTTGGTTTCCCCGGCACTTAACCCTGCATCCAGAAACGAGTAGGCTTGAAGTAAATATAGGTTTGTGGATGAATAAATAAATGCCATTGGAGAAAATAAAAACTGAGAAGGCACCCTAAATGTGGACTCCTGCTCTGAGGGAGAAATTAGATTAAGAGATGAAAATTGTGCTTAATAATTTTTCTGTGCCCTGGAAATATACTGAATATTATTTATTTGGGGGACCATTTTCCTCACTAGGTTGTGGGCTCCATGAGGAGAGGGACCCCATGTTATTTATGTCATATACCCACTGAATAGAAACATATTTGGCCCAGGGATTGATCATACTTTTTTTTCCCCGGGCATGGTGGCTCATACCTGTAATCTCGGCACTTTGGGAGGCTGAGGCAGGCAGATCACTTGAGATCAGCAGTTCAAGACCAGCCTGGCCAACATGGCAAAACCCTGTCTCTACTAAAAATACAAAAATTAGCCGGGTGTGGTGGTACACACCTGTAGTCCCAGCTACGTGGGATCCTGAGGCAGGAGGATCCCTTGAACCCAGGAGGCAGAGGTTGCAGTGAGCTGAGATCATGCCACTGTACTCTAGCTTGGGTGATGGAATAAGATTCTGTTTCAACAATAAAAATAATAACTATAATTTTTGTTTCCTTAAGTGTCAGTGTATACTCACTACCCACAGAAAACTACCAAACTAATCACACAGTCAACCGGATGTTATTGTCTTTTCAAAAGGAAAAGTCACACTGATTTTTCAGTGAGACACACATCACACAAAGTGAGACCTACGTGCATGCCTCTGTTTAAGGTTGGTTGAGTTATTTTCCATTTCCAAGGCAGTTGAGTTTCAACCACTTTTAAAGAGCAACATTCTTTCTGTAGTTTGGAGTATTCTTTGTTTGCTAATAAAGTTCCCCTTAAAGAAGGTGATAATCAGGTTTCCTTCCATTATGCATAGCACAAAGCACATGATTTATAAAGCCCATGGTACCATAACAATGTAAAAACGTCCTGTCAGATCTCTGGGAAGAAACTCTATATCCCAGTTCAATAACAAAGACACTGGAAATGCAACCAGCCCCTGGTTCTTCTGTGCACAGTAGCCTCTCAAAGAAAGAGAGAGAACAATAGACCTACAAGTTGAATTCTCAAAGCCAGCCACTCAGACAACCCACTGGGATGATGAATGAGCTGTCAAGTACATAAATAAACAGTAACTCTGCCATCGCATTCAATACTTTATTTTGATCAAATAAATGTCATTATAGAGATACATCATTTGAGAATCATTGTGTTGGAGAGGACCTTAGACATGTTATTAATAAGAGTATCTAATATTCATTCACTATTATCTGGGGGTAGGCAATTTATATGGATTACCATATATAGCCCTCAGAACAACCCTATACGATAGTTAAATTAGTCCCATTGCTACAGATGGGATTCTTGATGGATAGAGAAAAGAAGTAACTCTCCCAAATTCTTGTAACTATAAAATGGGAGAACAAGGATTTGAATTGGGACTATGCAGTTCCAGAACCTGTGACCTAAACTATAGCTAATCCCTTTGTCATAGAGATGAAGACAACAAACAGTGTAAGCAAAGCTACAATGTATTAAATCGTTAACATGAGTATTTCTCTGAGAAACCCTATACATTAATTGTGTTATTTACTAATGAAAATAACACTATAAATCTGAACATATTGTCCCCATTTTACTAGTGAAGAAAGGGAGGTTCAGAAACATTTAATGACTTCCCCAAGGTCGCACAAATAGTAAGTGCAAGGTCCATGATTCAAACTAAGGTGTGTAGACCTTGAAACTGAATCATGACTCATTATTAGTCTGCGTGGCTTCAAAAGATAATGAAGGCAATTAGTGCAAAACTATAAGTGATAACTCAAAAATGATACAGTGGTAAGAAGGGTACTGGGACAAAAGATAGTTGGGTTCAAATTGTAGTACCATCACATTTACTTTGTGATCTTAGGAAAGTTATCTCCTCCCTTCTACTCCTTTTGAATTTCCATTTTCTCAAGTTTAAAATTAAATAAAAATCTCTTAATGAAATATTACTGACAAAGTTAAATAAAGCAATGTAGGCAAGGGGGCTGACATATGATAGAAATTCAAAAAATATTAGTATATACCAATTAAACATGGCAGCAGATGTGTGTATTTGTCTCTCCCTTCCCACACAATGCTGAAATAAAAGTAAAGAAGTATAAGGGTAGGATCCCTCAAACACACACAAAAAAGAGGAAATAAATATGGATGATAGATTTCAATAGATTTTTGAAGGATGGGAAGCCAGCAGAGGAAGTTAAAACCTAAACACCTGCGAGGTGAGTAATTATTAGAAACAATTCAGTTAAATCCAAAGAATCTCAGAAATGTTCAAAATTGTTGGTACTATGAACTATGAAAGGTGTGGATGATACGTAGAATTTAAATGCAGATTTGATTCTCGTCTTCCCTCTTTCACCCAATGAAGAGGTAGCTGGCTATATTTTCCTGCTGCTGTAGGAAACTAGAGTTTATTCTTTGGAGAAACAAAAAACAAAGAGGTCCTGAAAGCAGATTCACCATGTCTGGAAGTTGTTAGAAGTGACACACTAAAATACATGGAAGCCTGCAGAGTGAACGAGGCAAGCCCAAGTGTCATCCTTTATTTCCAAACACCAGCAGGAGGGAAGGTATGAGATGGCTTCAGTCACATGTCTGCTACCTTCCTCAGATTGGCTTGAAAGCTGAACTTAGCAGGAGCCTTCTTTTTCTCCATGTTCTTTTGGGGCCTCTTCACATCTGTGTTGTTTAATAGTGTGGATCCTGTGCTCCAAAAGACTAGGGTGGAAGCCTTGCAGTCTTCCTAAATGCCAGGCCCAGAAAATCACAGCATCATTTTCTCTCTGTTCCATTAGCCAATGCAGTTACAGGTCGGCCCTTGTTCAAGAGGACAGAAACAGCATACTCCTCTCGAAGCGAGGAGTGTCATAGAATCTGCAGCCATCTTTAATCAACCACAGTTCACCGTTTCATCATAAATTATTTGCACTCCACATAAATCTAAAATATACTCACTCTCTTCGAAGGTTTCCTGAGTAGCATCCCATTTCATTGCAACATTAGCTCACAACCAGGAGTGGTGGAGGCTCTTCAGATATGGTTCCTTCAGTAAAGTTCCTCTTAATCTAAAAACCTGGAACTGAAGACATAGCTATGTGGACTCTTCACATCCAATATGTAATGCTGGAACAAAGACAGGGTACTACCATTGACAGTCCTGTTTCAAAAGGGAGAAATGAAGAGCTATATTGCTGTTGGTAGTGTAGAGAAATTTAGAAGTCTTGCCAGATATATGTTGCCAATTCCTTTATTTCATTCCAGTCCTACTTTTTGGAAAAATTTTCTGTGGCTCTAACCTCTGCCCTCTGGGTTTTGGGTTCTGCCATGAATCACCTTTCCTTTTCCATAGTAAATGAACTGGATAGCCCATATTTCAGCCCAATTCCTATTGAGAGTTTGGAGGTCTTGAGAGCTCTCATGCCAGCTGGTGGCATATATGCCAATCAACTTATTTTTAAAGCTTCATGGATTTCATTTGGATCTTATTGAGGTTCACTATAATAAACCATATTTATACCCATAATAACATTTTCCCACAAAATAAAATATTTGTATTTCATCTTCACAACATTTGTGTCATTTCATTGAGCAGGCATTATTATTGTCTTCATTTTCCAGAAGAAGATATGCCTTTCTGACAAAGGCTCTTCTCTGTCTTAGTTTGGCTGGGAGTTTGCTGTGGGGCAGCTTATAAGATTCTTCAAAGTTCTCTTGTCTAGCAATGACAGGCAACAAATATGCCTTTAAATCTTTCTGAGATATTAATAAATTGTCTTGTAGCCACATCCCACTTTTTTGCCCTGAAATTATGCATTGTTGCCATGGATTTGATCTTTGCCCTGTGACATTTCTTTGAGTATCTTTTGGTTGATGGACATACCTACATTATTTAGGTTTTTAAAAATAGATGCCAGATTCTATTTCAGCTGTATATCGCTATATAACAATCTTCCCCTAAATTTAGTGTAATAAAAAAACAAATGTTTTGTAATAATTTGTGATTTTGTGGGTCAGGGATTCAGGCAGGAATAGGCTGTGTTATTCTTCTGACATTGTATAATTTAGTAGCATTCAGCTAATAGCTAGGCTGGTCTAGGGGATCCAAGATGGCTTCCCCCAGGAAGCCCAGTACCTTGGTGGAGATGGCAGGAAGGCTGAAGTCAGCTGCCTTCCTGCTCCCCCATGCAATCTGAAGGTCTCTTTGCATGATCTTGTCAGCAAAGGAGCTGTAGTTCTTAAATGGTGGCTCAGGACTGAAAAATGATAAAGGCAGAAGCTACCAGTTCTCCTAAATTCTCAACCTAGAACTGGCACAGTATCACTTATGCCACACTCCAGTGACCAAAGCAGTCGCATTCTAGCCCATGTTCAAGGGCTGGAGAGCAGATACCACCTCTCAATGAAAGGCATGTCACAGAACTTGCAGCCTTCTTCAATCCACCACAGTTATTTCAGAGAATGCAGGAAGAGAATAGAGCTCTAGGTGTAAGAGAGCTAAATGTTAAATTACTATAATACAGAGTCAATAGATAATATTTATAATTATTATCAAGACCAAGAAGTACAAACATATTACTTACAGCTTTTCAGATAAATTCTGGAAATAATGGCTTTAAGAAAAGAAAGTAGGTACCTCTTGGGGAGGACTTGTTGGCAGAAAGGGATAAACAAAGCTCTTCTTACATTTTATTTGTAGCCTTTGAAATAATATTTGATTCATTTCACTATGCACATGAATTACTTGACAAAAATTAAAATTAATTTCCAAAGGGTAGTTTCTCATTATTTTTTTCAAGTGTGATAATTGTACCCCACTAGCCTAAGATGAAGTTGAATGAATTTTGCAATGTTATTATTCTGAAATAAGCAACTAAAGAATTATTCAGAAGTTCCTCTCTGTCTCTGACTCAGGATAAGCTCAATAAGTCAAATAATAATAACATTTCAGGAGAGCCAATACCATAGTTCCTACAAGAAAAAGGACTGAGACTACAAGTTTACAAATCTTTTAAATAAATCCAATGTTTGTTACACTTTAAAAGTGTGTTAAAGGCCGGGTGTGGTGGCTCACATCTGTAATCCCAGCATTTTGGGAGGCTGAGGCGGGTGGATCACAGCTCAGGAGTTTAAGACCAGCCTGGCCAAGATAGTGGAACCCCATCTCTATTAAAAATACAAAAAATTAGTCGGGCGTGGTGGCAGCTGCCTGTAATATCAACTACTTGGGAGGCTGAAGCAGGAGAATCACTTGAGGGAGGAGGTTGCCGGGAAGCCAAGATCACACCACTGCACTCTAGCCTGGGCAACAGAATGAGACTCTGTCTCAAAAAACAAAAGTGTGTTAAAATGCATGCCAATTTTATAATCAAACTCCAAAATAAAACCATTGGTAATATTTGTGTAGCGTTGTGCCTTTGATAGAGGATTTTCCTATACATATGTTTTTATTTCATGTCCACAACACTTCTGTTGTTTTATTGAGCAAGGATTACTATTGTCTTCCTTGTCCAAAGGAAGAAAGTGAGGTCTTCAGATATGGTTCCTTCAGTACAGTTCCTCTTAATCTAAAACCCTGGAACTGAAGACACAGCTATGAGGCCTCCTCACATCCAATATGTAATGCTGGAACAAAGATAGGGTACTACCATTGACAGTCCTGTTTAAAAAGGGAGAAGACCTTGAAACTTAATCATGACTCATTATTAGCCTGAATGGTGATGACGACGGTTTGACTCTGAGTCTCTACCCAAACCTCATCTTGAATTGTGATCCCCACATGTCAAGGGAGGGCCCTGTAATCTCCACCTGTCGAAAGAGGGAAGTGATTGGATCATGGGGGTGGTTTCCCCCATGCTTTTCTCTTGATAGTGAGTGAGTTCTCATGAGATCTGATGGTTTTATGAGTGTCTGGCATTTCCTCTGCTTGCACTTCTCTCTGCCACCATATGAAGAAAGTTCTTGCTTCCCCTTCATTTCCACTATGATTTAAGTTTCCTGAGGCCTCCCCAGGCATTCGGAACTGTGAGTCAATTAAACCTCTTTCCTTTATAAATTTAAATTACCCAGTCTCGGGTATTTCTTTATAGCAGTGAGAAAACAAACTAACACAAATGAGCTAAGTACATTATCAAAGCTGATTTTTCTTTTCCAAACCCTGAGCTCTTTCACTACACTTAGTAATGGTCTGCCAAACCCTTATAAGACTATGACCAGAGTGTGTAAGGGAAACAGAACTGTGAATGTTCATCTGAATCTGAAAAATACTACTACACTCGAACATTCCACAAGAATGAGTATAATCTTGACATGTGTAGTAGTGGTAGTATATTTATGGATTATTGCAACATCAAGAAGCAAACAGTGTCTTTCTTGATGCAAACAATGAAGAGAAAAGGATTCCAACTCAGTAACATTTCAGTGATAATGTTGAAAACTTTCCTCTATTAAGATAGAGACATTATCCAGAACACTTCCTTCTGGACAGTGCCAAAATGTATGTAACTTGAACAACCAACCAACCATTTAAAGTCCGGTTTGCAGAAATTCTGGTGTGATTTTTAATAGGAAGGAAAATGTGTGACTGGCATGAAGAGGTTTCACAGCTACATTTCACAACACGGGGTACTCAGCTGCTCCTCTTGAATGGACTAGCATGACAATGCACACTTATTCTGTAAACAGGTTTCACTTAGGGACCTGCCGCTGTGGCTTTGAAGGATAGAGCTGCCATCTTGTATAGTGTGATGAGCCACTGCGAGGTGTGGTTTTCCACTTGGCTAAGAATTGTTGTGTGACCAAGGGCACATAATACCTGAGTCTCAGTACTCTTATTTAAGTGTAAATAAATAGCGTTTTACAAAGTGTTGTGCCCATACCACTGACAGCACACATGTCAGTCTTAGTTGGGACAGAGCTGAAAGCTTTAAATTGTGATCATAACTTGTTTATTTTAATAGGGATTAGAATAACAATAAAGTATCTTACCTTCTCTAAGACTTTATCAACATTATTGCTTGGTTTGAGACTAGAGTAGGTATTAAAATTGTTGAAGGTAGTCAAATTAAAGGAAAAAAACAATTAAATAATAATAAAAGTATATGTGTGGGGAAGCAACTAAAAAGCACTGGACCAGAAGAATCCTTTCTGCTTGAAAAATGTTGTGATTTTTTTTCCTTAAAAGACAGGAACATCAACAAGAAGTAGTATTTTTTTCTATATTAATAAGAACACTGTTAATGATAACTACTGCTAACAGCTATAATATGAAGAAACTGTTATTTTCCCTGTTAAATAAGGAAACAACAGTTCAAGGAGACTAATTTGTAAAGAACCACACATCTAACTTGTGGCAGTGCCAGGATTCAAAGCAGTTTCACAATAATTGCAAAGTCCATACTTTTCCATGGACTATGGAAGAACATAATAGCTGGAGTAAAGTGGCTGAGGCTCTGGAATCAGACTGCTCAAACTGGCAACTTGGCTCCACCATTTTCTCTTTTATTAACTTTTATTTTAGGTTCAGGGGTACATGTGCTGGTTTGTTATACAGGTAAACTGTGTGTGATGGTGGTTTGGTGTATAGATTATTTTGCCATCCAGGTAATAGGCAACTTCCCAAGACTGAGCCAGAAAGAAATTGAATACCTTAATAGATCAATAATGAGTTCTGACATTTAATCAGTAATAAAAAGCCTACCAAGAACAGCAACAACAAAAAAATGACCAAGAAACAGAAGGATTCACAGCCAAATTCTACCAGATGTATAAAGAACAGCTGGTACCATTCCTACTGAAACTACTCTAAAAACTTGAGGAGAAGGGATTCCTCCATAACTCACTCTCTAAAGCCAGCATCATTCTGATATTAAAATCTGGCAGAGACACAGCAAAAAAAAAGAAAACTTCAGTCTGATATCCTCAATGAGCGTAGATGCAAAAATAGTCAACAAAAACCGAATCCGGCAGCACATCAAAAAGCTTGTCCACCATGATCAAATAGACTTTATCACTGGGCTGAAAGATTAGTTCAACATACATAAATCAATAAGTGTGATTCATCAAACCAGAACTAAAGACAAAAACCACATGATTATTTCAATAGATGCAGAAAAGGGTTTCGATAAAATTCAACACCACTTCATGTTTAAAAACCTTAAGAAATCAGGCATTGAAACCATATACTTCAAAATAATAAGAGCCACCTAAGAAAAACCCATAGCCAACATCACAGTGAATGAGGAAAAGCTGGAAGCATTTCTCATGAAAGCAGCACAAGACAAGGACACCCTCTCTCACCACTACTATTCAACACAGTATTGGAAGTCCTCGCCAGAGCAATCAGTCAAGAGAAAGAAATAAAAGCCATTCAAATAGGAAGAGGGGAAGTCAAACTATCCCTGTTTGTAAACAATATGATTCTATACCTAGAAAGCTCCATAGTCTCTGCCCAACAGCTCTTTGATCTGATAAACAACTTCAGCGAAATTTCAGGATACAAAATCAATGCACAAAAATCAATAGTATTCCTATACACCAACAACATTTAAGCTAAAGGCCAAATCAAGAATGCAATTCCATTCACAATAGCCATAAAAAGAGTGAAATACAGCTAACTAGGGAAGTGAAAGATCTCTACGATTAAAATTATAAAACACTGCTCAAATAAATCAGATGACACAAACAAATGAAATAGCATTCTATGCTCATGGATAGGAAGAATTATTAAAATGCCCATACTGCCAAAAGCAATTTACAGATTCAATGATATTCCTATCAAACTATCAATGACATTCTTCACAGAATTAATTTATAGAAAACTATTCTGAAATTCATACTGAACTCACAAAAGGGCCTGAATAGCCAAGGAAATGCTAAGCAAAAAGAGCAAAGCTGGAGGTACCATGCTATCCCACTTCAAACTATACTACAGTATAGTGACTTGCCCACTCTTTTGCAGATGGATTGTGGCAGAACCAGTATTCACCCCTATTTCCATGCAATTCTGTAATGCACAACCTCGACGGGTCACTTAACATTTACTATGACTTGAATTTCTGCTGGTCTTGGACCTTCCAAGGGTTTGCTCAGAAGCTGTCAAGTTCATTTATGGATGATTCCCATACTACCTTTTTTTTTTTTTTTTTTTTTTTTTTTTTTTTGCTGAAGACATTTTTAGTTTGGGGCTCAAGAAACATGACTCCCATATTTACACAAATCTGGAAGAGTGTCCTCCCAGGACATCATCTGGAAGACAAAAAAAAAAAATTTGTTTGCCTTGTTTAAAAGTGATGTCCTTAGTCAAGATGAACACATACTCTTTTTGAGGAGTTTAATCATTTTTCTAATTCAGACGAAATGTTTGGAATTGTTTGGTATCTACTGGCTTATTGTGATGGTCACAAATTGTCAACAAGGACCTTGAAAACTCTCTGAATCTTCATCCACAATGCTCATTTCAGCCATCCCCAACACTTTGGAGGAGGATTCACTTTATAGGAACTAAAATTTTTAATGTATCTTGTAGTGTTAAGGCTCTAAAAGAAACTTGGTACATTGGGGTAGCATCAATCCCTGGAACAAAATATTTGATTTCATATGGCCTTTCTTAGGCTCTTATGGTTCAGCTCAGTGAAGGAAATTTCCAGGCAAAGGAGAATTCTGAATTATATTTGTTTCTATTATGGTTTTGCTGGTGATTGGCTTTTCTTAGTTTGCCAATGGCACTAATGACCATAGTGAGTTTGAGCCTTAAAATATCAATATTTCTTACAAATAACACATGTGGGCTATTGATACTATGTCTTACAGTAAAAGATCTATCACTAAAGCAGCATCTACCTGAAAACTCAGTCTCTTTTATTCCTCTCTCTCTCTGAGTCTTCTGCTTTTGTAAACTTTTCTCATATGCCTCATTCATGTGTGAACAGCCAGTGATATCTGCAATGAGGGAAAAGGATAGACTATAATTGAAATTGAGAGACAGATATAGGAAAAGAGGAGACGGAGGGATATTGGGAACATATCACTTATGCGCCTGCATTGTTTTGAATTCTTGTGTAGATTCAATATGCATCATTATTTAGTCCTCACATTAACTTTATATTTATTTATCTCTGTATCTATCTCAATATGGAGCCATCAGACCACCCTATCTGGGCTCAAACACAGAGGGAAGCCTGAGATGAGGTTTAGCTAACACAAATGCTGATCCTTACTGGGTGTGAACATTTGGATAATTGTACTCTTATTTTCTCTTTTTACATCTTCTTGTTGCATGAATGTTTTTAATTTAAAAAAATGCATTTTTTTCAAGGTTCTTAGTATTAACAAAAATAATAAATACCCAAAGAGTCCTGTCCCAGCTTGGGCTCTCTAGAAATAGACTCTGAGACAGAGTTTAGTGTGCAGGGGGTCCCTTGGGAGCAACACCCATGGAGGAGGTGGTGAAGCAGAACTGGGTGAAGTAAGCTCATAAACTGTGACGCAGACCCGAGAGCCTCAGTGGACCCACAAGAAGGTCTGGAGTTGAAATGGCCCATCAAGCTGTTGCACATGGGGCTAAAAGGAGCAGTCCTTTTTCTCCATGCCAATCAGCTGGATATGATCCTCCCTAAAGTTCCTGTCCAAAGTTGGGTGACCTTGAGCAAGCTGGCTTTACTGAAGCTAGTCCTTATGGGCTGATAGCTGAAGGCTGATCCCTAACAGCATTTCTTGAAGCTGAAGCAACAAATTCTTCCATTGAAGGGGGAATCTGAATGGCACCTGCTTCACTGGCACATGATCTCTGTCATCACACATGGTCCTGGGCTTAGAGGGGATCATGTTTGGTTCAATGCTCTGCTGTTGCTGCTGTCCTCAAATTTAAATTTTAAAATAAGAGTTCCTGTATTTTCATTTTGCACTGAGCCCTATAAATTAGGCAGCCAATGTGTTCTGGGTACACAGCTCAATATCCTACTCCCTATGGGAAGTAGGAAACATAGTTCCTACTCCCTATGATTCTGATGTATCCTTATAGAGTAAGCTAGCCTTGAAAAATGAACTTCCAGAGTAAAACAAGATTAGTACATGCTACCCCTCAGCTGTGCTGATGCAGAATAAAAACCTTGAGATCTTCTGAAATGGAATTAAACATCTACATAATTTAGCTAGTTAGGTCTAAGTAAATGCCATTAGAGGTCCCTAAATGAAATTAGGCAACTGAGTTAAAATAAAGAATAATAAATCTTTTTCATCCATTTTGTTGCAACTTTTAAAAAATGTTTTATTACAGTGGTGAGTGTTGCATATCTGGAAACTGAATATAACATACCCAGAGATGTGAACTTTCAACTTTCAAAAAAATTCAGAGGGCAAAACTGATTTTGTTTCATAGACAAAATGTGTTTATGGGAGGTTGATGGTTTGAAACAAAGCCAAGAAGCAAAACTATGTCAAGTATCATTGTTATTGGGGTTAGTTGAAAATTAAAATATTTGGGCCAAATATTCTTTTCTAAAAGCAAAAATAATTCTGGAACAATGGAATGTAATCTTGGATAGGGACTAGAAGTGCTCATAGAGCTTTGACTATTCAATAAAAAGTCACAGTGAACTCTGTCTCTAGCATTTCAAATCGCCAGCAAACTCAGGTAATTTGGTGTATTGTTTTCCTGGTATGTTAAACTTGAGTTTGTCCATGCATTTTATCTTGACTGCTGCAGCTACCTCTGTTTGCCTCCATCTTAAACTAGGAGAAATAGAAAGAAAACTAATTTCTGCCTATCATCAGCATTCTTGCAAAATAAGAATTAGATCAATTAGATTCATGGATAAATCACAGTGGGTATTTCTTAGTCACCTTCCCTATGTCCTTTCCACTTTTTTACTTTTGAGAATTCATCCTCATCCAATTTTAGCCAATGCATTTAAGGTGGATTGAATTTATTTCAAGAAATCAATGCCTATTGGCCTGAACCAATCAGCCTATCTCATGTCTGATTCAGACATGGATTTATGACCAGGTTAGAGACTCTGAAACGCTGTGGCTACTCCAAGAAAACAGTTCTTCTCTCTTCCAGTCCTAGCGGTAATAGGATACAAGGCTTGGAGCCATCTCACCACCATTAGATGAGGCAAGTTTTGAGGAAACCAGTATAAAAGGAGGCAGAAGGCAAACATGATAAAATAAGCACTAATAACATAGTCTGAGCCGTCTAGATCAAGCCATGCCTTTGCCCTTGTCTGTTACTTTATTCCCCAAATTCCCCATTTGATTTGAGTTATGTGCTTATCCTTATGGCATAAAAAATAAAGATCATTAAATTATCCATCCCATTACACTTTGCATAAACCCAACCTGCACACCATATTATCCCAGTAATAATTCAGAATGTCCTGGCCTCAGGACTTGACCCCATCTTGAGATATTTGTCCAGACTTTGCCTACCCAGCCCTTCCACACTGTTGTTCTTTTTTCTTCCTCTACACACATCCCCTCTTCAATAACCACCATGATTACTGACCACAGAGTTCACTACTTACCCCGAGACCCCAAGCTGTGACAATCCATTTGGGTGTGCCTCTCCAAGATCACACCAACAAATTCCCCTTGGGCACAGTGTCAGGATGGGGACTTTGTAAACACACTACACGGCTGGATGGAAGGGGGACTCACAATTTCTTCTCATGCTCAATGAGAGCTAGCTGAGAAGATTGGATACCTCTGGCTCCTAGCCTCCCTAAAGAAGGAAGAATTAGATCACACTGATGGATGTGTTGCTGTGATTGAAGGTCAGTCCTGGAAAGAGCATGGTAAGGAGAGAACATATTTCTTTCCAATAAAAAGAAAGTGATAAGCAAAGTGGGAAGTGGAACTCACCTGAAAGCAAAAAACAGAGTTGCAGGCTGGGCGCAGTGGCTCACGCCTGTAATCCCAGCACTTTGGGAGGCTGAGGCAGGTGGATCACAAGGTCAGGAGATCGAGACCATCCTGGTGAACACAGTGAAACCCCGTCTCTGTTAAAAAAACAAAAAAATTAGCCGGGCGTGGTGGCGGGCACCTGTAGTCCCAGCTACTCGGGAGGCTGAGGCCGGAGAATGGCGTGAACCCGGGAGGCGGAGCTTGCAGTGAGCCAAGTTTGAGCCACTGCACTCCAGAGCCTGGGCGACAGAGCGAGACTCCATCTCAAAAAACAAACAAACAAACAAACAAAAAAAAAAAACAGAGTTGTTTCTGTGGTGGTTTTTCCCAACTGCATCATCTTTCCCTAAAAAGAGAGGTCTTTAGCTTAGAAATCTTGGCTACCATAAAGTTAATGTCTTCAAAATTTGTGAAACTCTAAGTTGTTTGGGGTGGGAGGTAAAATCTTCAATTCTCCCTACTCTACTCTCTGGGGAAAAAAACAAATAAATAGACAAAACTTAGTAAGACACTTAGAAAACAGGAGAGCAGCGCTCATCTGCTCATTCCATTAACTGACATAGAACCCTTGCCTTGGAGAGTGTGGAGGAACTTCAGAAGCAGACTCCAACTCCCACCTTAGAAAATGACAAAGCTGAGGCTCGGGAGCCTCCTTACTCTTGCCTGAGATTAGGCTAAGACTTAGCCTAGCGCCAGATGGAGCCAAAATAGCCTGGTTTCCACCCAGTGTTCCTGCATTGCAAATACTAAGTCATTCATAGTACAGTAACCATCCATGTGCCAAAACCTGACTGAATATTTGCTATGTGTAGGACACTATGCTAGTCACTCTCAATGTAAATCAATAAGTCAATTCCGTATCTGAAGGACATCAACTTGCTTCACTAGCAACATAAATAAAATTCATTGCATTCCAGGCTAAAAGGGTTGCAATTTCACAACTTTACAAGGCAGAATCTAGTATGAGGGGTTTCCAAATACAATGTTTGGGGAGGTCCAAGACTATTGTTTAATACCTCCATGTAGAATAAATTGCAATTACTTATCTATAATCATAGTTTATCTTCATAGATGGATGTATTGATATTAAAAGCTGCACTTGTTTTCCTCTTCAGAGCTGTACTAAAGGTGATTTAGAAGCAATGGTGGGCATAAAGTTTACAATTTAAATTCAGGACTTTTTCTTCAATTGATCCATCCTGGAACTTGTCAGCTTATCAAGCTAAACTCTCACTATGATCTGTGATTTCAACTCTCTTTCATATTTTTGTGATTTCCAAATCTATATCTACATCAAAGGCCCCCTTCCTAGCTTTAAACCCTTATTGTCCAAACATATATCAGATTCATCCAGCTGGATGTCACACTGAGGCAACTCAACAGTTCCAAACCAGAATCCTTCATCTTTCTTGCAAAGTTTTTGCTTCCCTCTCCCTGTGTAATTAATGATGTGTAGTTGCTTAAGACAGAAATAACATATTTATCTGTAGCTTCCCCAAATCCCTTGCCCTTATACCCAGTTGGTTACTAAGGCTTATCAAGTTTTTCTTCATTGTAATATTAATTCGCTTCCTCATTTCAATTCTCACTGCTCTACTTGAGACATTTATTGCTTCCTCATTGAACTTCCACTTGACTGTCCTTTAATTCACCCACAACTTCACCATCACGATTCTATTTCTTCATATTAGAAGATCAACGATGATGTTTCTCTACCTAAAATATTTTAACACTTAACCATTGCCTACTGAATAAATTTCAAATTCCTAAGTTTGATATTCTAACTTCTCTACAGATTCCAGCTTACATTTATAACTTGATGTCGGCCACTCATCTTAAAGTACAATATTATGTGATGAAACCAAATACTAGCCATTCCTGTAAGATGATATATACTTTCACTGGTGTCTTTTACTAGACTCTCTTTCCCCAAATCTTTATCTGTCAAAATTTTATCCATCAATGTCCACTGAAGTCTAACATTTACTGTCATCTCCTCTGCCAAGTCTTTTCCTACCATCCTTCCAAATGGAACTAAGTCCAGTTTCTATTTCAGTAAAATAGTTTTTTCTTGATAACTATTCTATAGCATTTTTCACGTTATACTATCATTTATTACATACCTGTTCATATCCTTAATTAATATGCATAATCTAAGAAAGCTGAAGTCATGCTTTTTATCCTCTCTGTTATTCCAAATGTCTACCAAGTTCCCCTGCATAGAAAAGGCAGTTTGATAACTATTAAGTAAAGGAACCCATAAATAAAACTCATGAATAATGAAAGAGAAGTTTTGTAATTAGAAACACACATGTTAGCTCTGCATATGTTTAGTCAAACTGCCTGTGGTCTCAACTACTTGGGAGGCTAAGGCAGGAGTATTGCTTGAACCCAGGAGGTCCAGGCTGCAGTGACCCATATTTGTACCATTGCACTTCAGCCTTGCTAACAGAGCGAGATCCTATCACACAAAAAAACTAAATTTTAAATTAAAGTTGATAAAAATGGAGGCCCAGAATATCAGGATCTGATAAAAAAAAGAAAAGAAAGGAAAGGAAAGGAAAGGAAAGGAAAGGAAAGGAAAGGAAAGGAAAGGAAAGGAAAGGAAAGAGGACTCCCATAGTTAGCTGGGAGTAGAGGAGACACAATAGTTAGAGAGTAGTACTCTAACTTCTAGTAAAGATCTCTCCACTCAGCTAATTTTTTTCTATAGCTTTGAGTCCCCCAAAATTATGATTATACCATTCAAACAACTGATTTTGGATACATGTGAAACCAATATTGACTTTAATTGTCAGTAAAAAATAAGAAAATTTTTACTTGCTTGAGATTCAGTATAACTAGGTCCTAATGCTAGGTTCTGGTCCTAGGAGCTAGAAAAGAACCATGCAATATTGGAAAAAGTATGCTAGAAGCTGGAAATTAACATTTGCTGGTAAATTTCCCATGATGAAGTGGGCGTGATAAGGGCAGAAATTTTTATACTATTCACCTCTGCATTCACAGTGCTTGGAATAATACCCAGTTGCACAGTAAGACCTTGGGGAAACATTTAGTTTATACAATAATATATAAATTTCTATATGCTATAAATTTTATTTTGTATTTTATATGCACTACTTCACTTAAATTTTATAATCAACCTATAGAATAATAAGTCTTATTAGCTCCACTTTCCAGATTTTAACACCAAGGCTCAGAGAGTAAAAATGTTGTTAAGAAACTCAGAATTATTTAGTGCTAGAGCAGGTACTAACACTCGGGTGTGTATATCTCATTGTTCTTTTTCCATCTGTAAAATCATAATGTTGGAAAAGTTTAAAGGCAAAAAATATATTATATATACACATACATATGTACATACATACATACATACATACATATGGTGAGGGAAGAAATACATTAATACTTTCCAGATCAAAAGGCATATTATTGGTTTAATATTTAAAATTACATCATGCATTGCTTAGTTTGCTGATAAAATTGTCACGACTGACATATTTAGATTTTTATGGATGAGAAAAATAATAGAACATTTCTGGAATTTAGGAATGCTGAGTTATTTTAAAAGAATGTTTGTTCAACAAACCTGCACGTTGTGCACATGTACTCCAGAACTTAAAGTATAATTTTTTTAAATAAAGAATTTTTGTACCCTTCCCCCTATCCCCTAGAATAACCAAAAAGTCCTTAAGATATATTTTCAAAATAACCCCACATTTTTCCTTCTGGGCTTTTACATCCCTAGGACTAGGTTACTACCAAGGTCTAATCAAGTAATAAGCATTTTATTATTGTAATAAAGTGCAGAATGGAATATTCAAAAGCCAAAAATGTATGCTTCAGAGACCAAGTATGAAGAAGAGTGGAAGACAAAAGATAATTATGGCCTGAAGTCCTAGAGGCAGGCCTCATGGAAGACTGGAGAATGAGGGAGACGAGCTATATCTTTATGATGGATATCTGGGTGGATTTTCTCATTTTGCTTTGTTTTGCTTTTGCCTTCTCAGTATCCGTTTCCTAATTCTGTTTTTCTTTTTGGAACTTGCCCCAATCCCACTTTGTTCATTTGGTTTGGAGGGAAACTAACCCCCCACCTACTACCCCAACCCATGGGGTGAGTTCTGGTCTGAGGTTTGGCCAACCAGAATTACATTGGTTTGTTCAAGGTGTATAATAAGTTCAGGTCAATAAAAGAAAATATGAGACTTTTGCTAAATGATTTAGCGAAAAGAAATCCTCTTTCTATTGGAGGAGGTAAGCTGGTAGGATGAAGTCTAGATCTGTGATGATCATTTAGGCAATTCATGGGAGAAGCCTAGGGATGGAGACCCAAGACGCAAATTCCTGGTGTGGTTTCATGAGGTCTTGAATTCATGCCTGAAAGAACTAGGCATCTCCACAGACTTTTTGCCTTCACTATTCATAAATTCCTTTTTATGAATCAAGCCAGTTTGAAGTGTTTATATCCCATGCAGCCAAGAGCATCCAAACTAATAAAAGCATGGATATGACTTGGATTAGGATGGGTAGAGAAAAACAATAAAAGTGTTTCCAATGAACCATTCTCTCATGAACAAAGGTCAGATGTAGGAACAGGTGATAAAATGGAAAGAAGACTAGAGATAATATATTGGGGCAGACCATGACATAAATGCTTTTACTGGTCAGTTGGGGACAATGGATGCAAGACTTTAAACACATTGATGGAAGTTCTTATACTAATGATGTCAAAGAATCACTGAAGGTTTTTGAGTAGTAGCCATAGTGATAAGATTAATTTATGTCTGAATAGCACTTTACAGCTTTCAGAGTGATTATTCTTCTATTATCTTACTTGACCATATTTCAAAGACATTAATATTATACATTTTTATAATAATAAATGTTGTTTTACATATAGTGAAACTAGGATTTAGAGAGGTGATATAAAACAAGCATTCTATCAAACCCTTCAGTGTTTTCTCATTGTTCTTAGAATAAATTCAAACTGTTTACCACAAACTTATAATTTCCTACACGGTCTGGCCTCTCATTTTCTCTTTAGTTTTATCCCATTACATTCCCTGCCATGTTTACAGTGCACCAAGATATTGTCTTGACTTTCATTTCTTCAAAAGCACCCAGCTTTTCAGGACTTAGGGCCTTAACACATGACGTTCCTCTGCCTGGAATTATCTCTCTGATTTTATTCCTTCAACTAATACTGCATGTGCCTCAGTTCCTCGCTTTGCCTAGGAGGGCTTTTCCTGACTAACCCTACTCCACATAAAGCAGGAGCCTTTGTTATACTTTCTAGTAAAACCATGAGTATTTCTTTCAAAGTAATTTAATAATTTCTAATTATGCATTAATTAGTATTATTTGTAATGTTTGTTATTCTATTAGACTATAGTTCCGTGAAGTATGAGAACTAGAGTCATTTCTTTTTGGTTCCTGTCTATCAAGGACTGAGGACATTAATTTCCTCAGTATTCAGTATCCATTTCCTAATTCTGTTTCTCTCTTTGGAATTTGCCCCAACTGCTTTGTTCATTTGTTTTGGAGGGGAACGAACTCCACCTAGTACCCCCAATCCATGGGGTGAGTTCTGGTCTGAGGTTTGGCCAACCAGAATTACAAAGGTTTGTTCAAGGTGTATAGTAAGTTTAGGTCAATAGAACAAAACGTGAGATTTTTGCTAATTTCCTCAGTGGCCCTGAATCAGAATTGTTGAGTGAATTAAAGAATAAATGAATGAATAACTTTCTACTTTCTGAACTGTAAAATATGAATACAAATAAAAATGTTTATGGCTTAGTTTATAAGATTCTGTAACAATTAAATTAGATAATGCTTGTTAAAAGTGGGTGATGTTTTCACCCAAGCACCTGCATTGGCCCCTTTAAATTGGGTTTTGCTATAGCCAAGTGTTGTGGAGAAAGGATATTTGCTAAATCCCTTTATCTCTATGTTCTAATCAAAGAAGGGGTCTCCCATAATGTAGAGAAAATCATCTTTCTACTCAAGGCAGACAGTGAGGCCACGAGGTTTACTGCTTAATGATAGAAAACAAAACCAAGATTAGCATCATTATTGTCATTATTACCACTACCATTATCTTAGTGCTTATAATGTGTCACTCATGCTTTGACTCCATCTATTGGGTTAATTGTCACAATAACCCTGTAGCAGAAGTGGATATTATTGTCTACATTTTCAGATGAAGAGGTAGATGCAGAGATGGTAATAAATATGCCCTATATCACATGGTCAGAGGCTCAGCCAGGACCAATCCAAGCAATCTAGTTTCTGAAGCTGTGTACTTAACCATTGCAAATACTGCCAATTTCATCACCATTTGGCTACACTGGTAGGGGCAGCACAGAAAGACTTGCTCTGTATCTCTGCCTTCTGGGCACAGCCACCTCCAGGTATCAGACAGGGCAGAGTAGTCACACAGAGGGACATCAGCTGTATAGTTCCTTGAGCCTCCCTTATTCCTCAAGGGGCCTATGCCAAGGGAAGATCCAGTGGCTATCAAGGTTCCTGTCAGGAAAGGTGACAGAGATCCATCAACAGAGTGGTGGACAGGACCCCCAGGCCAGTGAGCTGCATGGGGATGGTGCAAAGAGTCAGGATTTGCAGCCAGTGGGTACCAAAGTGAGGCCAAATAAGCCAGAAACCCCCTCAGACTTCCAGCCAGAGACAAAGTCGAGATTAGCATCTGTAAGAGTCACAAGCTTCAGCCACTACAGGGATCTTGTATGGCTCATTAAATTGCATCTGTTTTCTTTCTTTCTTTTCTTTTCTTTTTTGAATACTAAACCAAATTATAAATAACACAAAAGAATCAGTGATTAAAAAAAAAAACATACTTTAGCTTCTATTGTTCTACAACTAGCACTAGATTGCAGGCACGGATCAGTGTGAGAAATCAAAATGAGCCTGCTAAAAATCTTCCTTGATGGATATTTAAGTCACTGACTCTCACTGATTTATCCAATGAAGAAATGTGAAGAAAAAGGTAGTCATTTCCCAACCTGGCAATTCTCTCCTGCAGAGTGAAGAGTTGAAATTGAGAAGAGAAACACTGAGAACACCTCAGGAGTGGGACAGAAACATCAGATGAATAGATACATAGTTTTACATTTTCTCATAGCCACATTAAATAAAAGTAAAAAGAAACAATGAAGTTAATTTAAACAATATGTTTTAACCTATATTGTCAAAATACTATTTCAACATGCAATGAATATAACAATTACTACATTTATGTTCTTTTTTCATACACAGTCATTGAAATCTGATGTGTATTTTGTATTTACAGCCTATGTCAATTTTGATTAGCCAAATTTTAAAAGTCCTTAAAGAGGAGTATGTGTCTAGTGGCTATATTATTGGACAGCTCAGATTAAAAGTACTGAGTTGGCTAAATTTAGACTGCGCTAAATAATATTTTATTTTCTAGGAACCAGTGCATGAAGCTTAACAGGAAAGCTAGAACAAACACGGAAAAAATAAACTACATTCTGACTGCCTAGCTGAGTTTCCTTGTGAGTTAGGATTTCAACCTCTTCAACCTTTCAGCATTTATAAATCACTTAACGTAGTGTCTGACACAATGCAAGAGTACAGGAGTGTGAACTGTTTTTATTAGCGGCATTATTAATAGCAGGGACAGAACGAATGACCAGGTCTCCTGACTTCTAACCAAACGCCCTTTCCAGAATCTCAGGGGCCTCTCATGTTGGCAATACATTTGTGCTAAGAAGACAAAGTCATGATTGGCCATCAACGTTATTAAAACTTGTACACTGGATTCCTGGTGCTGTAAGATCTGAGATACTTCAAATGAACTGCTTGCAAAACAAAGTACTGAAAAACAAATCTTCTCATTTTCCTGAACTGACCTTTAAATCCACACATACTGCCTCTGCCATGCAGCCCTGGCTGCTAAGCACCCTGATGTTCTTATTAAAGATGCAAGATCCAGCTTGCTAGCAGGAAGCACCAGAGGCCTGTCATGGTTGAAAGTCAGTGTTGGGAGGCTGTGTTTTTATGTGAATATATTCTCATCAGTGAAAAAACTTACTGAGGCCACACTTGAACTACATTCTTACTAATGAATCAACTAAGAAAATGAAAGTTAAAAATGCTTCATAACTATCTTTTTGCAACATCCTCAGAACTGACAATGAAAGAAAATGCATTTTCTTAAGACAGCAGCTCTTGGGGACAACCATAGCAACCAAATCAAAGCCAGAGTATTACACAGAGGAGAGAAGCCAACTGTGAATGGGTAAGTACCAAATTAAGTCCCTTTTCTAGAAATGTATCCTCAGGATCCATTTGTTGTTCCTAGTCACTAAACATTTTGTAAAGGTTACCTAGTCTCTTAGGAAACTTGTCCTTATATTAATACTTTTTTAAACCCCGAGGGACAGATTAAAATGCTTATGACCACAAGTGTGAAAGAATCACACACAGCCAAAGGAGGAACCTCAACTACACCCCCTTTACAGGTAATATGGAAAAATCAAGCTTCCTCACTCTGAGTGGCAAATGTTTAGGGAGTGGATCAGAGAGCTGTCTGCAGCAGCAGAATATGGTGATCACACTTATTCCTTTTTCACTCTGTCGTCGTTCATCTACCATGGGCAGGTACCGTGCTAGGTCCTGAGGATAGACAAGAAATGTAGTTCTGCCTTGATGGAACCCACAGTCTCGTGGAGGGGAAGAAAAACATTAATTAACAAATTATGTAGACACTTAATAATTTAAATTGATTGAACATTTTGTACCAGGACCTGTAATCAATATTAAATATATATTATTTCTAGGAATCATCGTACTGCAAATGAACATCAAGCTACAAGTAAAGTATATGCTACAAAGAAGGGGAGCATGGGGTTATGGTATCACAAAATAGGAGGCTTGACCCAATCTGAGAGACTAGGAAATGACAAATGAGCAAGAGTATGTTGGTAAATGGTTAACAACAAGTTCTCCAGAGTAAAAGTGTGATGTGTAGTGTTTGCTGATTTCCAGAGTGTAAATAGTTCTGCAATGTCTGATTTTATGCTACTACTGTGATGTCACTGAAGGTGGAATAGGAAAAAGATGTGCACGATCAGATCTTTTCATGAGCAGAGGTAGTCTTGCTCCAACTAGATATTAGGACAATAAGCTATTGTCTGGAGAAGAAAAGATAGGCAGCAAGTTGAGTGGGTCTTGAATTCATCTGCTAGGACTGCCATAACAAAATGAAACAACCTGGGTGAATTAAACAACAGAAATTTATTTTCTAGTTTTTTTTTAAATTTTACTTTAAGTTCTAGGGTACATGTGCACAACGCGCAGGTTTGTTACATAGGTATACATGTGCCATGTTGATTTGTTGCATCCATTAACTCGTCATTTACATTAGGTATTTCTCCTAATGCTATCCCTCCCCCAGCCCCCCAACCCCCAAAATGTCCATCAATGATAGACTGGATTAAGAAAATGTGTCACATATATACCATGGAATACTATGCAGCCATAAAAAAGGATGAGTTCATGTCCTTTGCAGGGACATGGATGAAGCTGGAAACCATCATTCTCAGCAAACTATCACAAGGACAGAAAACCAGACACCGCATGTTCTCACTCATAGGTGGGAATTGAACAATGAGAACACTTGGACACAGGGCAGGGAACATTTTCTCAGTTTTGGAGGCTTGGCATCTAAGATCAAGATGCCAGCAAGGTTGGTTTTGCCTGAGGGCACTTTTCCTGGTGTGTAGACAACCACATTTTCACTGTGTCCTCTCATGACATTACCTCTATGTTTGCAGGGAGGAAAAGATATATGGTATCTCTTCCTTTTCTTATAAAGACACCAATCCTTAGGTTGTTTATGGCCCCATCTTTATGACCTCATTTAACCTTATTAACATCCCTAACAGCCCTGTCTCCAAAAACCATCACATTGGGGGTGATATTAACTATAGGCTTTGTGTCCCTACCCAAATCTCATCTTGAATTTTAATCCCCTTAACTCCCATGTTTGGTCAAGGGAGAGAACAGGTGGAGGTGATTGGATCATGGAGGCGGTTTCCCCCATGGTAGTTTCGTGATAGTGAGTGAGTTCTCCTGAGATCTGATGGTTTTTTAAGGGGCTCTTCCCCTTTGCTCAGCACTTCTCCTTCCCACTGCCTTGTGAAGAAGATTTCTTGCTTCCCCTTCACCTTCCACCATGATTGTAAGTTTCCTGAGGCTTCCCCAGCCATGCTGAACTGTGAGTCAATTAAACCTCTTTCCTTTATAAATGACCAAGTCTCAGGTGATTATTTACAGTGGTATGAAAATGGATTAATACAGAGGGTTAGGGCTTCAACATTTACATTTTGTGGGTTCATAATTCAGTCTATAACAGTTCCTACCCTCTCCGTTTGCACAGTGAATGCATATGTCATTTCTCTGACTCTGGGGTTTCCAAACTGCAAGCTACAGGTAGGAATACGGTGTCCTTAGAGCCATGATAAGGGATTTAGGCAGGCATAAATGCATACCCAGAATCTGCCTGTAGAATGAGTAGATATCTTACCTATATAAATAAACTGAAATTCTCATAAGCAATTACATATTCTTTTTTTTTTTTTTTTAAATTGAGAGGGAGTCTCGCTCTGTCTCCCAGGCTGGAGTGCAGTGGCGCCATGTCGGGTCACTGCAAGCTCCGCCTCCCAGGTTCAAGCCATTCTCCTGCCTCAGCCTCTCGAGTAGCTGGGACTACAGATGCTCGTCACCACGCCCGGCTAAATTTTTTGTATTTTTAGTAGAGATGGGGTTTCACCGTGTTGGCCAGGATGGTCTCGATCTCCTGACCTCGTGATCCACCCACCTCAGCCTCCCAAAGTGCTGGGATTACAGGCGTGAGCCACCGTGCCCAGTAGCAATTACATATTCTTATGATAAATAAAATAATAATGCACTAAAGATATTGGTAAGTTCCTTGTAGCTTTTTTTCATATAGTATTTTATCAGTAAGAAAACACGACTGATTTAAATCTGGAAAATGAGTTACTGAAGCTGGATGTTAAAAATAATTAAGGGTTTACCCAGTTGTAAAGGACAGAAGACATGCCAGAGGTAGGTTCTATCTGGAGCAGACTCAGAATGGTCCATGGTGTGGGTAGGTAGAGCACAATATTATTGGAGAAGACACTGAGGTGACAGTAAAAGACTAGGAGCAGATGTGGAGGGTTATTTTACTTTGCTAGGTAGTGTGGGCATCCCCCTGGTTATACTGGGCTTTTCACAAAGAGCTTTAATGCGGAATACAATTTGAGAAGACCTGCGTTGCAGAGGAATCTTTTGTTAATATGGAAGATGGATTGCAGAAGCCAGGATCTGGGAGCATGAAGATCAGATACAAGGCTGTGGCAGTAGTTCTGAAACATGAAGAGGGCTGTGTCAGAGGAGGTTCAAAACACAGGATGGCACTGATGCAGTTCTTACCATACTTTTCCTCCACACACATGTGGACTCTATCTTTTCTCATCAGACTACTGATGACACAAAGATGATGAACGTCAAACAGATATACTAATTTTCTACCAACAAAAATTGGTTAATTAAATAATAAATCAATGTTTATAAGCACACATTATAATTAAGATTCTATTTACAATTTTTACCAAATAGTCTTTGGAGGAACCTATACATTGTTTCACTTATTTATGCCAGAGAGCTTCAATGTAATGTCTTTGGTTTAGAGAACTACAAGGGAGAAAATCCTGTGTGTAAATGACGGATTTAAAACAGATAGATTTTGTCATACCCTCAAGGTGAACAAGGTTTTCTCATTTCTAGAAGTTTAGAATTGGTTTTCTTAATAGTTCGGATTTAAATCTTGACAGCTAGAAATAAAGTCAAAAGAGTAGAGTAAATTCAGATTGTTGAGATCCTAATTGATTTCGGTGTTTGATTTTTGCATAATGTTTAGCACACCTAGGAAAAGTCAAGCCCTGGTTAGACAGAATTATTAAAGAGACTCGCTTACATAATTTTGTCCTCACCAGGCACTGTGGCATACTTCTCTTTTTATGCCCATATATTTAATGTAGAGCATTATGAAAATGGTGGGAGGTTTCTCTGAGAATGATTGGGCCCACACAGACAAAAAAAATACATAGCTCTTAAGTGCTTACATACATTACTTTATTAAATTCTTTTTTTTTTTTTTTAGACAGTCTTGCTCTGTCGGCCAGGCTGGTGGCTGGAGTACAGTGGCACGATCTCAGCTCACTGCAACCTCCGTCTCCCCAGCTCAAGCAATTCTCCTGCCTCGCCTCCCGAGTAGCTAGGATTACAGGTGTGTGCCACCATGCCTGGCTAATTTTTGTATTTTTAGTAGAGACGGGGTTTCACCATGTTGGCCAGGCTGGTCTCGAACTCCTGACCTCAGGTAATCTGCCCGCTTCAGCCTCCCAAAGTGCTGGGCCACTTTGTACAGGCATGAGCCACCATGCCCGGCCTACTTTATTAAATTCTTTCATCAGCTTTACAAAGTGCTGTTATCATTCCATTCCACAGACCACGGAGCTGAAGCTTTACTTGCCTAAATACACAAAACTCAAAAGTAGATGCCACCTTTTCTGTCTGACTGCAGGGGCTGGGCTTTAACCATGCCACCACACACATTTTCTTCTTCATTGCTCTCTGTATCCAGTCAAATCCCAGGTACTGCTGAGTCTTTCCTGGATTGTTCTCGAATATTTGCTCCTGTCCCACCCCTTCATCAGACCTACCATCCAGCTTGTACCAAGACATGGCAAGCACCACCTAACCCTCTGGCTCCAAACCAGACTTTTCAAATACAAATCTGATTGGACCATTGCCCAGGCTTTAAACCCTTTAATAGTATCCCACTACCCTCATGATAAAATCAAGAATAATGAAATTAGAAATCCATATTAGACTTAGGAGACTTGATGTGAGCATAGCCCTACGTGATTCTACAGCCCCTACTTCACAATCTATGTTCTAAGTACAGAAACTACCTATATCTAATCATCTAACAGATATGCAGCGCTCTTTCGTACCTCTGGCACTTACGTATGATGTTTTCTCAAGGACCCCAGAGAACTGAAAGGCCCTGAGCTCAAGCTGGAGCCCAGCTTTTCAACCCAACATAACAACACTGGCAAATAACCATCCTGAGATATATTTGTATAATGTGAAAAAGACAGGGAGCCCACTCTTTTGTAAAGCAGACCGGTTCTTTGCAAAAGTTAGTTATATATATAGCTACAGGTACCAGCATCTTGTGTCTCATGATTCCCATCCATTGCCCTCTAAGTTCTGCCCTCTGGAGTTACTTAAGAGCAATCTAATTCTTTTGTACACAATGTTATATTGCCAAATATTAAAGTCAATTCTCATGTATTTTTATTCTAATGTTTATACTTAGACATAATTTTGTGTATGCGTGTATATGCTATTTTCTTTTCGTTTATTTTCTTTCCTTTTCTTTTGAGACAGAGTCTTGCTCTGTATCCCAGGCTGGAGTGCAGTGGCATGATCCTAACTCACTGTAATGTCCACCTCCTGGGTTCAAGATATTCTTGTGCCTTAGCCTCCTGAGTAGCTGGGATTACAGGCATGCACCACCATGCCCAGCTAATTTTTGTATTTTTAGTAGAGATGGGGTTTTGCCTTGTTGGCCAGGCTGGTCTTGAACTCCTGGCTTCAAGTGATCTGCCTGCCTTGGCTTCCCAAAGTGCTGAGGTTGCAAGTGTGAGCCACCATGCCCAGCTGTGTATGCTGACTTCATAAGACGACAAGAGAGTGCATAAAACACAAGGGAGACAAAGGTGAGAATAAGTCGTCAATCCTATACTCCTTAGATATATCTTCTAAAACAATAGTTCCCAAGCTTCTTGTATTGTTACCCCATCAAAAAAGTGCATTTCACATTATGGTCCACTATACGCATGCACACACCCACACGCATTTAGTCATGTGCCATATAAAGACGTTTCAGCCAACCATGGACTGCACTTATGATGATGTTGTAGCCTAGGAGCAACAGGCTGTACCATATAGCCTGGGTGTGTAGCAGACTATACCAGTGAGATTCGTCTAAGAAGCTCTATGATGTTCATACACTGACAAAATCACCTGACAACATCAGAATATATCCCCATTGTTAAGTGATGCATGACTATGTATCATAGACATTTGACCCTTGAGCAACTCATGGTTTAGGGGCACTAACCTCCATGTAGTCACAACTTTTGAGTTCCCAATAACTTAACTACTAATGGCCTGCTCTTGACCAAAACCTTACCAATAACATATAGTTGATTAACACATGTTTTGTATGTTATATGTATTATATACAATATTCTTACAATAAAGGATGGTAGAGAAAAGAAAATATTATTAAAAATCATACGGAAGAAAAATATGTTTCGAGTACTGTACCGTATTTATTGATTCTGTAAGTTTACAAGATGAACAGTCGGTCTAAGATGGCAGCAACTGCAGCTGCAGACCTCAATCAATGGTCCATATCAAGCAATTCAACTTTTTCTTATATATCACGTCATGAATTTTCCCTGCTTCTTGGGGAAACTTCCAGCATGACTAGTGGTGCTGCCTTTGTATAAGTCCCATGTCACTTGGTATTGCACTAAACACAATGAAAAACACATAAGAGCTATAAGAAATTACTTTTCACTGTGATACAAAATTTACTGGAGACATGAACTGCTCATGTAGAGATGATTAGCATCACTCGGCATTTTAAATGTATATTCCCAAAACTTGAGCTCACCAGAATGGCAACAGAAGGTGACTACAAAATTATTACAGTGGTACAGTATTATTACAGTTAATTGTATGCAGTTATAATTTAATATTGCATCTTTGCATTTGTTTACATTTGTCTCAACTGTGAGGGGCACCATAATAGATTTATGTATATTTAAGGTGGCAAATGATAAAATAGACTAGTATCTACTATTCTAGATCTACTATCTACTACTCTCTACTAGTAGCTACTATTTTAGATCTACTATTTTAGAATAGTATCTACTATTTTATGAATTTGTCATATACTTTTTTTTACTTTTTTGGTATTTCTAGGATACTCAGTTCATCTGCTAGTTTTCCAAATTGTAGCAAGTCTCAAAAGTTCTTTCAATATATTTTTTGAAAACAATCCACATCTAAACAGACCTGCACAGCAAGAGTCAACTGTATACATACTAACCATCTACACACAAACACACACACACACACACACACACACACACATCATTTATTCTGTCCAATGGACTCTCATTTTATTTTCTATTTTTCTTTTTTAGATTCTGGTCATGACTCACACATTTATTTCAGAATCTGCTAATGTACAACAACCAGCAATTTGAAAGACATTGTTCTAGATGAACTCTATCTCAAACATGGTCCTCTTAACACATAGATTCATGAACTAAATCAAAGATTCCCACACACTCTATTGCTAATAAAAAATGTTAATTCCATGTGTTCAAGTACTATATGACAAAATTCTAAAGCACAATGAAGTTGCCAAAATATCACAAATATCAGCACAGGGGGCCAGGATTTGGCTGCATGAGAACAAAGTCAACAGCTTGGCCAGCAAGGATTTAGGAGTCATAGTAGACTGAACAGTTAAGCCTCTGAAAATAGATAAAAGGATGTGTTATCAAAAATGACCTAAGAAATATTCTCCGTGCCTCCTTTCCATGTAGTAAAAAGAAGAACCCAAAGGAGAATGTCTCAATTCCTTATGCCTGGACTCTAGGCCTATATCTTCCAGGAGTGAACTAAGAGATATTGAATACGTCCTTTTATTTCAATAGGCCTTAATCTAGTTTTAATATTTAGGAGTTTGCCTTAGAGTAGATTAATGGTCCTCAGCCCTGGCTATTAGCTAGGGAGCTACTACAAATTCTAGAACAGGGGCCTTCTTCCAGCAATCCTAGTTTAATCGATCTACAAAAGTACCTGGGAATGGGGTAATTCTAATGGTGAGCTACTGATGGGCATTGTTGCCTCAGGTAATTTCTAAGGTCCTTATAGCACATTCTGCAATTCTACAGCAGAAAAAAAGAAAGCTGTGTGTCCTAAGTGGAGACAAATTTCCAAGCGGCAATATGGCAGGCTGTGCACAGCAAAGGCTCTGGGGTCAAGTCAACATCCTTCATTTCCTAGCCTCAGTTCTCTCATAGGTAAAATAGAGACAGAAGTAGTCCCTGTCTTAGGAAGTAGGTACAGGGATTAAAGAAGAGCATAAGGATAGTGTCATTTGCATATCACTGTACACACACATGTGCACATATAAATATAAAGCTTTAGGTAAATGTGAGCAATCACAGTTATCAATGTATTGATTAAATAACTGAGGTCACTTAAAAAGATAATTGAAAGTGAGCTATGTTTACTCTCCTACCCAAAGTTTAAAATAAATTTTTGTTGGCCCAAATAAAAGTAAACGTTTGTAGTATGCTGAAGTAGGGGTGAAATGACATGATGTCTGAATTGCTTTGAAATTCATCAGACAGCAAAAAGAAAAGAAAAATGGGTATAACGTAAATATGACAAAGTCTTGGCAACTGTAAAATATAGTGAATATATAAAGGTTTGTTGTACTATTTTTTCCACTTTCTGGCATTTTAAAAAGATTTCATGCTAAAATGTTTTTTCTTTTAATCCAAAAACAAAAGAAATAAAGTCTTGGCTGTGGTATGCTCAGATCTGTAGACAACATACCTCCCCCAACAAAAGAAGAAGACTAGTTCCATGATAATCCAGAAACCTTTCAGAAGAGTTAAGAGAAGGATGCGTGCACAGAAGTCACGACAAGGGAAAAAACGAAGACACTAAGTACATTCAGTTTTTGTCTGCTTTGTTTTGCTCTACAGTTGGTATTTTCTTGAAAAAGAATGCAAGCCAAAGTATCCAATTCTTAAACCTATTATATAACACGATGTGAAAAATAGTGATGCAGAATTCTGTACTTGTGGAAATTAGTTTGTCTGGAAACATCTGAGGTCCTTGTATGTAAATGAACATTCAGAAAAATCTCTGTATTAGATCTGAACTCTTACGAGAGGTTTTAGTTTCCCAGAAAAGTGGCCTCCTAGAACCACAGGGAAGTTTCAGACCTGTTGATTCAATGGTCTCTTTACTGTGCCCCAAAGAATCCATAAAAGAGTCTTATTCATTCAACAAGCATATAATGAGTACCTGCTATGTGGCAGACACTGTTCTAGTACTCAGTGATAAAAACAAACAATTCTTACCTTGCCCTAGAATGGAAAAGGTAGGTTGCTGGTGATCTAATTGTTAAGTGCCTGCTGTAAGATTTGCTTCATGAGTTAATGGTCTGTTGTGAGACTTCTTTAAAAGAAAAGGTTTTAATAAAAATGAACTAACGCTATTTAAAAATAGCTAGTCTACTCTAAACCTTCATTTTATATTAAAATTTTATGGCCCAAAAAGGGAAACCAAATCTCCTGAGGTAGTGTGGAGCTGGTGGCAGGGCCAGGACTAGCACACCACATTCTAGGCTCCAAGTGAAGGCTTTTCCCTCTCTCTCCCACACTGTTTTTTGGCTCTTCTCCCACCCCACCCCACTTGACAGACTAGTCTAGTAGGAGCTCACAGATATGGAATAAAAAGGTTAGAGTCTAAATCCCAGATAAATCAATTACATTTTCCTGGAACTCAGTTTTCCTGGATCTTAAAGGATACATGTGGTTTGGGGAATCAAATCAGCCCAAATATTTTGTACATAATCTGTAAACTGTAAAATACTATACAGATGTTAGTAATTATAGTCTGAGTTCCTGTGTCTTCTCATTGGTACTCCTCAAAGCAAAATAATTGAAAGATGGAGTAATAATAGTGAAATGAAAGGAAAATAAAATGTGTCCACTGGCCAAATTGTTATAGTTAAAACAAAAAAAAATGAAATCTAAACAATCTTAGTTAGATGCTGGCCCTGCTGCTTCCTATGCAATGTCAGTCAGTGCAGGGAGGCCCTGTGGGCAATGGTGAGGCTTGAGCACTAGAAAGTCAGACAGGCTCTGAAGTAATCTCCCTGTCTCCAATTTGTCAACTGTAAAGTGGAGAAGATGACACTAGTGCCTATTTCATTTGGCTGCTCTTTGAGATGGTGCTTTAAAAGCCTTTAGCATAATATTTAGGACACACTCAATGCTCAGTGATGATTATCTATTATTTTTAATTCTAAAATATGGACAATAACTCCTACCTCATAGGATATTTATGAGGATTGAATGAACGAAAGTAAACTGTACATCCAATAAGTGAGTGATGTCTCTGAAAGGTTAAAAATATGTTCTTTACCTTTTCCTTCATTTTTTACTGATTTATGAAATTGGTTGCAAAAAAATATACTTACTGGAGGATTGTAATTTAAGGGGCATGTGATAAGCCAATTTCTCTGTCAGTAGCTCCAAAATTTTAGTATATGTCAGAATTTTATGCCAAACCAGGAAGGCAATCCCATTCACAATTGCCACAAAAAATAATAAAATAAGGAATTCAGCCAACTAGGGAGGTAAAAGATCTCTACAATGAGAACTACAAAACACTGCTCAAAGAAATCACGGTTGATACAGACAAATGGAAAAACATGCCATGCTCATAAATAAGAAGAGTAAATATCATTAAAAATGGCCATACTGCCCAAAGCAATTTATAGATTCAATGCAATTTGTATCAAACTTCCAACAACATGTGTCACAGAACTAGAAAAAGCTACTTTGAAATACATATGGAACCAAAAAAGATCCCAAATAACCAAGGGAATTCAAGTAAACAGAACAAAGCTGGAAGCCTCATGCCACCCAATTTCAAACTATACTGCAGGGCCGTGGTAATCAAAACAGCATGGTACTGGTATGAAAAAAGATATTCATTTTTTTAAAAAGGCAGCAGTATCCATGGACCCTCCTCCTATGGAGAGGGAGCTCAGAAATCTGATTTTTAACAAATAATTTCAACACTATAACACAAACGATGGTGATATGGTTTGGATGTGTCCCCACCCAAATCTCATCTTGAATTGTAGCTCCCACAATTTCCACTTGTCACGGGAGGGAACTGGTGGGAGGTAGTGAAATTGTTGAGTGCATGTCTTTCCTGTGCTGTTCTCATGATAGCGAATAAGTATCAAGAGATCTAATGTTTTTTTAAAGGGGAGTTTCCCTGCACAAGCTCTCTTCTCTTGTCTGCCACCATGTGAGACATGCCTTTCACCTTCCACCGTGATTGTGAGGCCTCCCCAGCTATGTGGAACTGTGAGTCCATTAAACCTCTTTCTTTTGTAAACTGCCCAGTCTCAAGTAGGTCTTTATCAGCAGCAAGAAAACAGACTAACATGGATGGGTAAACACTTCTTGAGTGGTGTAAGCCCTTGTTACTCAAACTGTGTGTTCTGGCAGCAAAAGCAACTCCCTGGGGATTTGCTAGAATCACAGAATCTCAGCTGCACCCTGACCTGCTAAATCAGAGACAGCATTTTAACAAGATCCCTGGGTGACGTGTGTGTGTGTGTGTGTGTGTGTGTGTGTGTGTGTGTGTGTGTGTGTGTGTCTAAGCTCTGTCTCTTGGGAGTTAGGTAACTGACTGTCTTCCTGGATCTCATAGCTTCTTTTTCTGTTAAAAAAAAAAAAGTCATTGCTCTTCCTTATAAATGGGAGCTTTATAAAAGCTTAATAGAAAAAAAGAACATATTAAGATATCTCAATATTTCTGCTGAATTATTATCAGAAGTTTTTCCCATTATATTGGTCAGTGTCTTTCATTTAAAAGGCTGTATGATAAATGGATTTTAGAAAGACAAAATCTCTTTTAAAATATTTATCTTCTGACCATTTTTATTTTATTTTTAAAAAGGGAATGAAAATCATTTGGAAGTTTTTCATTGGCTACTACCTCAAAGTTAAATTTGATATTCAGTTACAGTAACTTTAATAGCCCAGGTTTGGATATGTTAATCCCCCTCCCTATTTGTAGAGCTTTTTGCTGTTCTACTGCTTCTTAAAGATTTTTTAAACATAGATACAATTAATATACTATAGGCCAGGTGCTATGGCTCATGCTTGTAATCCCAGCATTTTGGGAGGCTGAGGTAGGTGGATCACTTGAGGTCAGGAGTTTGAGACCAGCCTGGCCAACACGGTGAAACCCCATCTCTACTAAAAATATAAAAATTAGCTGCGTGTGGTGGTGCATGCCTGTAATCCCAGCTACGTGGTGGCTTGAGGTGGGACAATCATTTGAACCCAGGAGGCAGAAGTTGCAGTGAGCTGAGATTGCACCACTGTACTCCAGCCTGGGTGACAGAGTGAGACTCCATCTCAAATAATAATAATAATAATAATAATAATAATAATAATAATAATAAATATACTCTAAAGCTCAAAGCCAGATTATTTTCACATATCCATGCACCCATGTAAAAATAGTTACATTGCACCCCTTCCCAGTCAATAGCTCCCAATTCCACCCCAACTATTCCAACTTCTATCACTATAGATTAGTTTTGGCCATTCTTGAACTTCATATAAATGAAATCATAGAGTATATAATCCTCTGTGTCTGCTTTCTCTTACTTAAGATCTTCAAAATACATCCATGTTATTGTATGTGCTAGCAGTTCATCCTTTTTATTGCTGTGTAGTATTCCATTGTATGAATACATTGCAACTTTTTATCCATGCTTCTGTTGTGGGCATATGAGTAATTTCCAGTTGGGAGTATTACAAATAAAACTGATGTGAAGATTCATGTCTAATTATTTTGGTGGCTATCAACACTTATTTATATTGGGTATGTACTTAGGAATGAGTTGCCCTTTTAACAGTTTTCTGCGTACATGAATAAATTCTTTCTGGTTATCAGTAGTTTATAGATTAGGGCTGAATGGAAAGAAAAAAAGTGTAAAAGGGAAAAAAAGAAACAAGCATAAGAGAAAATGGAATATAGAGAAAACATAACAGCACTTCAAGATCAGAGGTGGACCCTCCTATGAGGGAAAATGCTGGTTGAGCAACCCAGAACCCTGGAATTCTTTAGGTAAATCATTTATTCTTGTTAGTGGTTAGTTTACTTATCCAAAAGTTGTGGATAGACTAGATGTCCTGAATGATCCTTTCCAGCTTGATAATCTAGAAATTTAACAAGTGAATTATGCAGTCACTTGAAAAGGAAATGCATTGAAGAGTCCTTTCTGATTAATAGGTTGTGGAGAGGAAATTTCTACCACTTTTCTCTCATGCTAGGCTCACCTCTCTCTACTTCTTCCTGAATCCCTCTCTCAGAAGGAGGCATCATTAAGCTTACTGAACAGAGCCCAAGCATTCATTGGGCCACATTTCCTGGAGGGCAGGCCACTGTGTCTTGTTGGGCAGGAACTCAGGTTGCCCCGTCGCTTTATCACCCTGTCTCCTGGTACAATAAACTCTCCTGGGCAGACCCTGAGCTCTAGGGAAGGTTGATCCTCCTGTTAGCTTCCCTCTTCCCACCCATGTGTTCATCAGGGTGAATATGCTCAGAAAACATGGCACCCATCTAAATGTTCCTTCCTGTATATGCACGTTTTAGTCCCTGAGCCCCAATATTTGAGTTTGAAGAAGACAAGACACCACACTTCATCCAGACTTTATCACACACTAACTCAAAATTCTCAGAGATCTATATATTAGTGGGTATTGGAATCTTGGTTGACTACTGATAAAGCATTTTCTTCCAGTTGAGGATTTGTTTTTATTCCCTTTGTGCATTGTACTCCCTTAGTCCAAAACCTCAGAAGGGAAAGATGGCCGAATTATTCAGACTCCCTTAAAGCCTTCTGAGACATTGCAGAAATCCTACACCCAGGGCAGCCAAAGGCGGTATCAAGAAAAGTACATCGTTAAAACAAGGAGCCAGGGTGCCATGCCACACAAACATCCAAACCACAAACCTGCAGCCACAGATCATGAGGGTTGCTTGTATTAGGAGGACAAAGAAAATTAGACATAAAGGAGACGTAGGAGCTCTGGGAACACAAGCTACCTGCAAAAGGACTGGAGCATATTGTGGGAATGCTGATCTGAGCAGCTGTCATGTGCCCAACCTGAGCTTGTCTCTTTATAGAACGTATTTACTGCTCCCCAACAGCTTTTGTTATCATAGGGGTTTATATGCCCATTCCAGATGTGAAATACAGATGTTTAGAAGAATTAAGTCACCTGTCCTAGAACACACATCATGTGGCAAAACCAACTTTAAACTTTGTCTGCCTGCAAAACCCATGATATTTTTGCCATGACCAGCTATCTCCATCTATCATTCTAAACTGAAGAAGTTGTAGCCCAGATGACCTTTGCAAATTAGTTGTCAGAGTCAGGACAGGAGACTGAGACTTCTGACTCATTACTGGGTCAACTCCAGTCATACTGTCCTGTCTGTTAATGCCAAAACAAAGTGAAGCCCTATTTGGCTTTCAAAACATTGTCTGAAATGTCATGATGGGATTGTTTTGCCATCTCACTTTTAAAGACATGAGCCCTGGAGTCCTACTGACTTGATTTAAAGCATAGCTCTATTATTTGTACTGTGCTACTGGCAAGCTACTTAGCCTTTCTGTGCTTTAGAGTTTGTTATCTATGAAATGGGTAAAATAATAGTGCCTTCCTATCAGGTCTTAGGAAGACTAAATGAGATAATCCATGTAATTAGTTTACCATCATATTAGACATGATGACTACTACAGAAGTAATAATAATGGCTACTATATATGGTGCGGTGATTTATCAGTGCACCATAGACGTAGGTTGTTTTCCTGGAGCTCCTGCTTCTTTTTCATGTCTAATTATTATTTCTGTGCTATTTCTCACTCATTAGCAATAAATGCGGTTTCCCTGAAGACCAGAGGCTTGAGGATAAGGAGAGTGATTATTTTGTCTTCACGATATTCACGGGTCTGTGAAGATACACTTTCCCAGGGCCTTGGATCAGACCTATGTCTTAGATCAAAGCAAAGGACCAGCCTGTGTCTCATGTTCATGATTATTCAACAGATTAGTTCAATATAATATGCCAGGCCCTAGGCTGGGCTCCAAGACTCCAAGGATGAAAATAACAGAGTTCCTTCCTCACAGTTCAGCCAGGGAAAAAAACATCAACAAATGAGGACAATATAGTGGAACAGGTTCTGCTACATTGAGAAAGGGATAAGAGGTAATCTGTTTGCTGATTTAGGGTCCGTGCACAGCCAGAGCAGCTCACCAGAAAGCCTCCTGGCTTGAGGACCTGATGAATCTTCTGGGGGAAACAGAAGAGAATGCTCTGGAGCTGAAAATCAGCCTGGAACACTGGGAATAGGACTGAGAAACAGGAAGAGGTTTCCCTGGCTCTGAGCAAGTCTCTCTTCTTCTCTGAGCCTCTGATCCCTCAACTCCCTCAATGGGTAGATTTAACTCTATATATATATATAGTAGATTTAACTATATATATATATATAGTAGATTTAACTATATATAGTAGATTTAACTATATATATAGTAGATTTAACTATATATATATACATATATATATATATATATATATATATATATACATATATATATATATATATTTTTTTTTTTTTTGAGACAGAGTCTCACTCTGTCGCCTAGGCTGGAGTGCAGTGGTGCAATCGCAGCTCACTGCAAGCTCCACCTCCCGGGTTCACGCCATTCTCCCGCCTCAGCCTCCCGAGTAGCTGGGACTACAGGTGCCCACCACCACGCCTGGCTAATTTTTTTTTGTATTTTTGGTAGAGACAGGGTTTCACTGTGGTCTCGATCTCCTGATCTCGTGATCCACCCACCTCGGCCTCCCAAAGTGCTGAGATTACAGGTGTGAGCCACTAAGCCTGGCTGATTTAACTATTAATGTTACTATAAACATTAAACAGGAACAATTTTTGTCATGTAGCAAGTACATAATAAATCGTAATTTGATGAGGATAATGATGATAACAATATAGTTCAGGGTACAAAAAAAAGAGTAATTTCATTAAAATATTATCTGAATCAGGTCTGGGTTAGTTTCAAGACTCTGATTTTGCTTAAAATCCATTTAAAAAAATGAAAGGTAAATCAGAGAAAAAGAGCAGAAAAGCCTTCCAGACACAGGTTTACAGGACCCAGAGCACACCCTCTTCCTCTTCAGAGTTCAGTAATCCTGTGTTGAGAAAACTAAAGAGAGTTCTAACCCCAGGAAAATGACCCCTTCCCACTCCAAAAAGAGCTGCAGGGCTGTAATAGGAGTCACAGTCCAGGGCCTTGGCTGTATCCAGCGCAGAATCAGCAGCTCTGGCTATGGCCACAAGGCAGACAGCAGAAATCAGTCCTGGAATTACCAGCAGAACATTTTACTAATCACTAGAGAGAATACGTGAATCTTCAGGGACCCTGAAAGGGGAAGGAGGAAAGTAAAGGGATTGGAGTTATAGGAATTATTCTGAGTGTGAGCACAGATTAAAAGGCAACTTTCCCTTATTGTTCTAACATCATCCTTCCCCCTCCCTGGGGTGGCTTATAGAAGTAGCTGTGCATGTGTATGTATGTAAAGAACATATAAGATAAAGCATCAGGAGTAAGAATGGTAAAAAGATGTGCTCAGCTACAGGAGGCAGGGGTGGGATGGGAGTGAAATGAGGGAAGACTTTACAAGAGAGTCACTTTGGACCTGCAAACACCAGCAGACCAGAGGCCACGTAGAGCTGATCCATGGATGTATCTCCAGCACCTAGTACAATGATTGGCACCAGCAGGCAGTCAGTGAATATTAACTGAAAAGCAGATCTCTGAAAAAGAGCAGAAAAGCATTCCAGACACAGGTGTACAAGACCCAGGACATCACCCTCCTCTTCTCCTGTGTCTAACTAACAGACAGGAGAATCAATTACCTAAAATGAGATGAAATTATCTGCTTTTTGCTTTTTGAATGCTCAGAAAGAATCCAAACATTTGCAAAGGCAAGTCTCTTGACTGAAAAACATGTTGGAATATTTTACCTCATATCTCACCTGTGACTTTTAACCCAGTCACAGGTGGGCTGCCTCCTCAGGGGAAGCACTAGCCTTGTTGTATGGACCACAAGTGATAAGGCAAAAAAGGGGAAGCTTCTCTCTCTCTCTTTTTTCTCTTCTCTTCTCTTCTCCTCTCTTCTCCTCTCCTCTCCTCCCCTCCCCTCCTTTCCCTTTCCCTTTCCCTCTTTCTTTCTTTCCTTCCTTCCTTCCTTCCTTTCTTTCTTTCTTTTCTTTCTTTCTTTCTCTTTCCCTTCCTTCCTTCTTTCCTTCCTCTTTTCTTTTCAGACAGAGTCTCACTCTGTCACCAGGCTAAGGGAGGCTTCTCTTTTCAGGGATACAGGTACAAGAGAACAGTGACCCTTTACTTGGGAATCCCACATACAAGCGACAAGTCCAAGGGATGCTCAGCTTTGTCCAAGAATATGGTCACTTCTTTTGGGGGTAGAAACTAGCAAGAAGGTAGTGAAAAAGAGGGACATCTTTTACTCCAGGATGGGCCAAAGCAGAAATATGGAAGGTGGGGCAGGATCCCTTTCCACAGGCTGAACTTGGGCAAAGACACAGGAGAGAGGAAGGTAAAGTAGCTTGGCACAATGGAGCACAGGGGATGTGTGAATGGGGATTGTTGACATGAACCTCAAAGACAGGCATGGGCTGGACCATACTATGCTAACAAATCTGGAATTTATTCTGTAGATCAGGGGATGCAATAGGAGGTCTCAGAAGCTAGAGAGGGGCACAATCAAATTTGATGCTAGAAGGCAAATTTTCATTCAGATTCTTATGTGTGGTAGATGGCAAAAATGGCCACGAATTCTTCCCATTCCTGCATACATACATCTTGCTATGTGGTATGGTATAATCTTCCCCCTCAACTCCCTTGAATGGGGGCTTGGCCATTTTATTTTCTTTGGCCAATGGACCATTAGCAAACATGATGCAAACAAAGATTGACAAGTGCTTGCACATTCAGGCTTTATCTTTCTTGATGCTCTGAGAATCCTGAGATTACTGTGGAAAGGAGCCTGAACTGCTAGAGGATGAGAAGTCATGCAAGGGAGACTGTGGCACTGATGTGAATAGTCTACCAACGTCACCCATGTGAATGTGATCATCCCATATCATCCAGCTACCAGCTAACCTACCAGCTGACCACAGGTGTATAGTCAGGCCCAGAAGTGATCAGCAAGGTGATCCAGACTGGAAGAGCTTCCCAGCCAATACAGAAGCAATGATTTTATTTTTAGGGTTGCCACTAAGCAGTGACAGCTCACTGGTACAGAATGTTCCTTGAATGTGTCAGCTCCTTTGTCTTCATACCAATATAGTGTTGGATGGCAATAAACAGAGAAAAGTAACAAATAACTCAGAAATCAATCTCAGTATTTATTTAAAAAGCAATATATGGCATAGGTGGTCTTTCAAAATATTGGAAAAGGATGTACAACCAGCACAATTGCTTATGCTTCCAAAGAAAATAAGGCTGGATTCCTATCTCACACTAAATGTAAAAAAAAAAGTAAATAGATAAACTATAAAACAGAGAAAATCAAATAAAAAAATCAAGGAACCTTATACAGGCACAGCCTAGGGGTTGAGGAGACCCCAATGAACACAGAAAACCCAGGTGCGATAAAAAAAATAATATTGATATAATTGACCATTGTGATGGTTAACTTTATGTGTCTACTTGACTGGATCACTACATGCTTGAATATTTGGTTAAACATCATTCTGGGTGCAAATGTGAGGCATTTTTTATGAGATTAACATTTGGATCCATAGACTGAGTGCAGCAGATTGCTCTCCCTAATGAAGGAGGACCTCATCCCATCAATTAAAGACCTGAATAGAAAAGAAAGAAGAAAAGAAAAAAAAGGAAAGGAAAGAAGGGAAGGGAAGGGAAGGGAAGGGAAGGGAAGGGAAGGGAAGGGAAGGGAAGGGAAGGGAAGGGAAGGGAAGTGGAGGGGAGGGGAGGGGAGGGGAGGGGAGGGAGGGGAGGGAAGGGAAGGGAAGGGAAGGGAAGGGAAGGCAAGGGAAGGGAAGGGAAAGAAAAGAAAAAAGAAAAGAAAAAAAGAAAAGGGCTAACTCTACCAAGAGGAAAAGGATGCTTCTCCTACCTGACTGCTTGAGCTGTTGATCTTTGGACTGAGACTGAAACATTGACCCTTCCTAGTTCTTGAGAGTGCTGGCTTTTGGACAGGAACTTACGTCATTGGTTCTTCAGGGTCTCCCACTTGGTGACCACAGATATTGAGACATTTCAGCCTCCACAATCATGGGAGCCCATTCCTTACAGCAAATCTCTCTCTCTCTCTCTCTCTCTCTCTATATATATATATATATATATATGTGTGTGTGTGTGTGTGTGTGTGTGTGTGTATTATAGACATAGTCTACATATATGTATACATACATACATATATACATGTGTGTATATATATATATAGTACGTGTGTGTGTGTGTGTGTGGAGAGAGGTGTATACAGAACATATATGTATACACACACACCACATCCTGTTGGTTTTCTCTGAAGAGCTTTGATTAATATAGCCATCAAAAATAAAAAATACTTGCTTGGTGTGGTGATATGTACATATAGTCCTAATTACTGGAAAGTTTGAGGCAGGAAGATGCGTGAGTCCATGAGTTTGAGGTTACAGTGAGCTATAATCACACCACTGCCTTCCGGCCTGGGTAACAGAGGAAGGCCCTGGAGATAGGAAGGAAGGAAGGAAGGAAGGAAGGAAGGAAGGAAGGAAGGAAGGAAGGAAGGAAGGAAGGAAGGAAGGAAGGATGGGAGGGAGGGAGGGAGGAAGGGAGGAGGGGGATTGGAGGGGAGGGAAAGAATGGGGTAGTATAGGAAGGAGGCAAAGAGGGAGGAAGGAAAGAAAGAAAAAAAAGTATATGCCAAAATATAACATAAAGCTAATAAAAAAATAAGATTGGGGAAAATAGCAATGAAGATAACAGATAAAAGACTAGTATCTACAATATGTAGGGTGATAATAGGTTATCACAAATAAAATAATGAGGTCTATATATGTGTACGTTACAGAAGAGAAAATTCATGTGGACGGCAAACATATGAAAAGATGTTCAAGTTCACTTATAAACAGGGAACAACAAGGTATTACCTTATATGCCCATCTGCTGGCAAGAGTTAAAAAGGGCAAAACACTGATTGCTGGCAATGATGGGGGATGTGGTCGCATATATCACTGGTAGAAATGTTGCCTATTATAACCATTTTGGAATCAAAAAGGGCAAAACCTATTCAAATAAAAAAAAAATGGACTTTTGTCCCAGGAAATCAAAACGGGCAAAACCTATTCAAATAAAAAAAATGCACTTTTGTCCCAGGAATCTCTTCCAACCTAGAAATCTCACTTTTGTAAATCTACCCTACAGAAACAAAAGAAAAATTATATAAGGTGTATTTTGCAGCATTGTTTCACCAGGGCAAGAAAATCGGAAACCAAAGTCATATGCAATGGTACGATATGATGGAATAAATATTAGTGCATCCACCTCATAGAATACTGAGCATTCATTAAAAATGAGTTTGAGGAATAACAGTTAACTTGATATAATTTCTATTAAATATTGATAAGAACACTAAGATACAGAGAATTATATAAAAATTTATGATATAATGATGTTTTTCTAAAGTAAACAATTAACTCTCTATGTATTTAGAGATGAATACATCTCTATTTGTTTGTAAATTGTTATATAAGCATTAGTAAAGTATGTATAAAAAGATGCCCTTCTGTTTATTAGCATAGCTTGAGGCAGGGGGCACATGTTTAGCAACAAAAACAGCAGAAATTGGAAATAGAAATAGAAGAAAATGGAAAAACAGATGGCACTTAATAAAATAGCATATATAGTCTAATTCAATTTATGTAAAATTATCTGTTTATCTATAAAATTAGAACAAAACATACATACACACACACATGTGTTTATACATAAATATCTATGTGTGTGTCTGTCTGCTGATTTGTAGGAATATCCCTCCATCAACTGACTATTTTTCCTTGAGGACCTACTAGATGCCAGGTATTTTTCTGAGGGTATAGCAGTAAAAGGAATAGGTACAAAGTCCCAGCAATCATGGAGTAGACAGAGTAATGAAAACATTCTATTTTACTATGTACTTATAATAATTATTCTATACAGATATAATTACTAATATAAATCAATAAAGGCTATGGAGAAAAATCAGTCTTGGAAAAGGGGTACAGAATGTCATGGGTACAGATTATTTTGCAGTTATAAATAGAGTATCTAGAAAGATGCTGTCTGAGAAGGTGATATATGAAAAAAGACTTGAAAGAGCTGCATAAAGGAGGAAGCAGGGAGGTCAGTGAAGAGGCTGTAGCAACAAGGCGAGTGAGAAAACATAGTGGCTTAAACCAGAATGGAGATAGGAAAGGAGGTCAGAAGTGACTGGACTCTGAATATGGTCTGAAGAAAGAGCAAAAGGGATTTGAAAGATTCAGTGTGGCATAACAGAGAAAGAGAGGATTCACAAGATTTTAGAAGGCTGAGCCAGAGGAATGATGGCATTTTCATAAACTAAGATGAGGCAGAGTCCAGGGATAGCCGGCTTGGTGGGGACAGGAGTGGTGAGAACACTAGGAGCTCCACGGTGAACAGGTTAACTTTTAAAAATCTATGAGACAGGCAAAGATTAACAATGATTAGGCAGTTGAATATACAAGTCTGAAATTCAGGCAAAGGTCCTGTTGGGAGGTAGAAATTTGGAATCAGCAATCTAGAGATTTCTAACGTCTTGGTACTAAATGATATCATGAAGAGAATAAGTGCACTAAGGAAAACAAAGAGTCCGAAAACTAAATGCCGGATAATATCCATGATCTGTGTGCTATATTCACATTGCCAAATGAAAAATTCAGGTTTCAAAGTAATATGTGTAATATTCCATTTGGTTAAAAAGTAATTAGACTAAACCCTTACATTATTTCATGTTGGCATATGAATATCAGAACAAGGGGGAAAATGGGAGAGTGCACATGAGGCTATTAACATTGGCTACGCCAAAGGTTTGGAAGTGGAGCAGTCACTATGGAGAGGGTCATTAACTGCGCCTTTATATATCTTCACTTTCTTGTTTATTTTTGCTTGTCACAGCAGGAAATTAATGTAGTTTGTAAAACCTCAAATGAAGAACAAAAATATCAGTTTGCTGCACCCCAAAATAGTAATTTCTGACTTCTCTGCAAGTAGGAGGAATAATAACACAAGTTCTCTGTAAAGTACTGTACAAACACTAAGGCCATATGGGAAGGGTAGAATGGCCTCTTGTGGCTCTGCAGATAAGCAGCATATGAGCCAGAGATTCTGAGGGGGAAACGCATTGAACATTCGCCTTGAGCAACAGCGCAGCTCCAGGGAAAGGTTCAGCTGTCTTTGGCTGTGGTTCACTGAGCTGTAGAAAAGCAGCATCGTCCTGAGATGAAAATTGGGGAATATATACCCATAGGGGCAGGAAGTTTCAAATGGAAAACCTGTGAAGGAGGCAGCAGCAAAAGAAGGTCCCCACATGCTAGAATGTAACTGGAGAAATAATCTATATTTATATTGGCTTCAGGAACAATTACCTCATTGAAAACCGATACCAACTACACAGGATATTGGAAGAAACCATTGGCTCTGGGCTCAACACTGACTTTTTTCTGTTCTGGCTCTGCCAGTTCATTGTCTCACCTATGACAAGTTGCTATACTTCTTTACTTCTCAGTCTCCTCATATGAAACAGTATGATAATAATTATGGTGATAACAGGACTTGCTTTATAGGAGTGTTGTGATTAAATAAGACAATAGTTAACTCAATGCCTGGTGAATAGCAAGCACATAATAAATATCTGCTGTTATTATATTACTACAAATATCTTAGTAAAATTAATTTGATTAATGCTGTGGGTTGAATTGTGTCTGAAGACATGTTGAAGTTAGAATCCTCAGGCTCTGTGAGTATGGCCTTATTTGAAAGTAGAATCTTTGCAGATATAATCAAGTTAAGAGAAGGTCATACTAGATTAAGGTGAGCCTTAAACCAATGGCTGGTGTCCTTGTAAGAAGAGGGAAATTTGGACACAGACACACAGGAAGAAAGTCATGGGAAGACAAAGGTAGATATTGGAATAATGCAGCTACATGCCAAAGGAGTCTAGCAACCCCAGAAGCTAGGAGAGGGACAGGAAACATACTCTCCCTTGGAGTTCCCAGAAGGAACCAACCCTGTCAGCACTTTGATTTCAGATTTATAGCCTCTAGAACTGTTAAACAGTAAGTTTATCTTGCTTAAGCTATCAAATTTGTAATAATTTGTTATGGCAGCCATAGGACATTAATACAGTTAAATATATGAGAACACTTGATGAGCTTTTCGAGCAGTAACTCTGACACCACAGAAACCACTTTGGTCTGAGGATTGATCAGTCTCATGGATTTGGACAAGCTGATGACTGAACAAAAAGTGGAATATTCCTTCATCCTTTCTATTCAGTGGAGCCTTAGATAGCTTAGTGTATTTCATAATAGGTTAAAGAAGACAGAGACTGCCACAGTCCTAACTGGGAAACAAACTCTTCAGATGCATAAGCATTAAATAAACTTCAATGGGACCAAATGAACTGCATTGAATACCAACATAGAGCAGGGTTTTATTGGAGTTCACTATTCTCTATTCTAAACAGTTTGCATTTCTTAACCTATTAATTCATATTACAATTCTTTTCAATAGGAAGAAAGAGCAGTTGATATTATAGTTTTGTTTACTTGTAGTAAAATGGTATTATGTCATGAACTTTGGAAAGTTTCCAACACACAAACAGATCACAAAAATCAAAGAGCCACGTTCCCTTTCTATGATATAGAGCTGTTGTTGGGAAGTAGTTGCCAAGCCAGGGATTATGTTTCCCAACTCCTTTGCATCTAATCCAAGTGAGGTCTTGTTTCTGGCCATTGAAATATGAATAAAACTGACATGTGTCAAAGCGGGACCAAGGAATTTACATATATAGTAAACTTTTACCATGTTCTCTCTTTGCCTTCTTCATGAACTCTAGAAGATGGGCGATGTGTATGGAACATCACAAGCTGGAAGCCTGTATCTCTGAATTATTTGCTACAGTTAGCCCCAGAAGGGCTGCCCCACAGAAAGAAACATTCCTAAACCATCCTGGGATTCTTTTTTACAGCTTTTGGCCTACTCTTGTTATCATTGTTTTTGCCATCATTATAATTATTGTCATGTAACTTTCATATTTAAGAAAAAAGGAACGAACACTGGAAACTCCACTGTTATACTGAAGCCATCCCCTAAAAATACTTCACAGATTGGAAACTCATTACAACGTGTCTAATGTTTGAAGTTTGGGTCAAGAGAAAAATCTTTTTTAAAGCATTTGTTCATTTTCTTTCCAGGCCGCCTCCAAGTAAAGTGACTATTTTTCCCAAAGTGCTTGAAAATGATGTTTTTGTTGAAGATTACTGGGTTTCAGATTATGACTTCAAGCTGTAGAGAGAGAGATAAGGATGGCAGCTAGACCTGGTTGATCAAGCTCACCCAGCCCTTCTGTCTGGGCAACTAATGAGTCATAAACCATTTGGGGGAAATGTCTACATTACTGAGTGGCTAAGCAAATGAAAAATCTGTCTTCCTCAAAACCACAATTTTCTCTAAAAGAGAGAAATAGAGAAATTATTAGTCACAGTGTTGGGTACCATTTTGAAGCTGATCCTTAAAAGCCAATCATTCCTCTCCTAATTTTAACTGATTGAAGCTGATAAGGTAATATTTCCTCAACATTTCACACTCCATTTTCTCCAAGGTAATATCTTGGCTCATATTCGAATAAGTTTTTTTTTCCATGAATCTATCAGCTCGCCATTTGTAGACTCAATATTTGCATCTAAGTCTAGAGAGTTGGAGCAAAGCACTCAGCACAATTCATTGCATGATTAACTGTAACTACTCTATAAAGATTGTTGCCTTTTCTCCTTATCAATTACCATCCACTGTCACAATTACTTAGTTCTGCCACTGGAACATGACAACAGCCATGGGCAACTTGTAAATGAACAGGCATTGTTATGTTGCAATAAAACTTTATTTACAAAACAGGCATTCTGAACAGCATTTCAAAGATAGAGAAAAGCAAGTGCCACAAGCTGAAGGCATTAATGTGTGTGGCATTGGCATGTTCAGAGAAAAGAAAGACCAGCTGACCAAAGATTAGTGAGCAAGAAGGAAAAGAAGTGTATACTAAGAAGTCCAAGAGATATCAGGAACCAGGTAAAGCAGGGATCTGTAGGCAATGATCTAGCTTTAAGTCTACATGTTTTTGATGGATTAGATATACAGTGAGGGAAAGTGATAAATCAAAGCAGATTACTAAATATTTTACTTGACAAACAGGATCACCTATGGTGGGGAACAGAGAATTTGGGAAATTGAACTCAAAAATTATATTTTGGACACCGCATGGTAGGCAAACCATTTTTCCTACAAAATGCTGCAATGGCAATTAGTGATGCATTTGTTTAGTCTTAAATTCTGGGTCTCATCGTTCTTGGCCTATATCACAGCTTGGTGCCATAGAAGAGTGGACTTTTAGGGAAGACAGAATTGGGTTGAAATGTCGCCTCTCACAAGGTCTGGCTGTGTGAACCAGGAAAGTCATCCTCTCTGAGCCTCTGTTTCAACATCTGGGATATAAGTTTACTATTGTCCACCTCAGAGTTATTTTGAAGAAAAGATTTTAATTAAGAATACGGCATAAAAAACCGGGCATGGTGACAGGTGCCTGTAGTCCCAGCTACTTGGAAGCCTGAGGCAGGAGAATCACTTTGGAGGTTGCAGTGAGCCGAGATTGCACCATTGCACTCCAGTCTGGACAAAAAGAACAAAACTCTGTCTCATAAATAAATAAATAAATAAATAAATAAATAAATAAATAAATAAATAGAAGACTGTGGCATAAAGTACATGCTCCATAAAAATTGTTTCCCTTCCTTTATTTATTCATTCAGCACATTTTTATTTTATTTCATTTCATTGTGAGACAGGGTATCACTCTGTCACCTAGGCTGGAGTGCAGTGGCATGGTCATGGCTCACTGCAACCTGGACCTTCTGGGTTCAAGCGATACTCCCATCTAAGCTTCCCAAGTAGCTCGGACCGCAAGTGCACACCACCATGCCTGGGAAATTTTTTGATTTTTTTGTAGAAATGAGGTCTTGTTATGTTGCCCAGTCTGGTATCAAACTCCTGGGCTCAAGTGATCCTCCTGCCTCAGCCTCCCAAAGTTCTGGGATTACAAGGTGAGCCACTGCGCCCAGCCTATCTATTGCATTTTGTGCTAAGTATATATCTGAGCACTGGTATAAGATGTGAGCAAGACTAACAAATCTTAGTCCTCATAAACCACAGATACAGATCTGTGAATAGATCTGGATATGGGTGTGGATATGGATGGATATAGATATAGACCATTAGTTCTCAACTAGGGATGGGTTTCCTCCCACGAGGACATTTGACAATGTCTGGGATGATTTTTAGTTGTTACACTAGCAGGAAAATCCTATTGGCATCTAGTAGGTAAAGGCCGAGGATGCTGCTAAACTTGCTGCTAAGTACTGAACAGCCCCATCCACAACAAATGATTATTAAGTTCAAAATGTCAATAACATGTTAAGAATCTGATATTGTGTGTGTGTGTGTGTGTGTGTGTGTGTATGAGACAGAGAGAGAGACAGAAAGAGAGTTAAAAACTATAAAGAAAAGTACAAAAAACAAAGTAATAGAGTACTATGGGGGCTACTTTATGTACAAATATCAGGTAAGTTTTCCTTGAAGAGGTAAGCCCTGAATAAAATGAAGGTTCTCTTTGTAATATCTCAGACAAGATTTTTCCAGAGAGAAACTAGGGCTTGTAAACTGTCTCTCATGATAAGTCTTAAAAAAAAAAAAAAAAAAAGAATAGTCTGGATTCCAGCCATAAATGTGAATTAAGTTTATCATTAATTTTTGCTTTAATCTCCAAGGATTTATGTGGTTCTTTATTTCTCATACTGTGAGCTATAATGATAAAGACAAGGATATTACAGCTGAATAGACTTAGGACCAAAAGAACAATCCTAGGTTCATAATTTTTTTAATTTTAATTTTTTTGAAACAGGATCTTGGTCTTTCACCCAGACTGGAGTACAATGGCATTATCATAGCTCACTGCAGCCTTGACATCCTGGGCTTAAGAGATCCTCCCACCTCAGCCTCCTTAATAGCTGGAACTACAGGTGGACATCACCACACTCAGATGATTTTTATTTTTATTTTTAATGTTTTTTATTTTTATGTTTCCCAGGCTGGTCTTAAACTCTTGAGCTCAAGTGATCCTCCTGCCTTGGTCTCTCAAAGTGCTGAGATTATAGGCATGAGCCACCACACCCAGCCCATAATTCATTTTATAACCTTAAAAACTCTCACTTAATATCTTGCAACCCTGGTTTCTTTACCTGGAAAAAAAAGAACTGATAACAGAAAACACATAAAACATGGTTGCTTTGAAAACTAAATAAAATAGCCCATGAAAAGCACCTATGTCATTGTCTGACACACAGGAATTCAATAAACAACCATCCTTCTACCCAATTGTCTTGAGAATGGAGACATTTTGTCTCTTTTAATTACCACTTGTAAGTACGTGAGCCGAAAATCTCAGAATCATTTTTGACTTTTCTCTTTTTTTGAGAAAAGTCCCCTCTAACATTCTCCCTTTGAATTAGTTCCAAAGTCATACAGATTTAGCCTTCTTGGTAAAAGTAGATCAGTTTGGAATTTGACAATTTAGGCCTACCAGGAGCTCACCCAGGGAGCTGTCCAGCAGGGAGTTAGAAATCCAGGATAAGAATATTGAAGACAAGCTAATTCCCATGTCAGCATTATAGGAAGCATCCACCTTGCAGCAATATTGGAAAGGACAAAATCTTCAAGGAGAGTAAAGATGATTGAACCTTAGGGAAAGATTTCATGTGAAGGAGAATGCCTATCAAGTTGGTGGGATAACCCAGCCAATGAAGCTTCACAAAAGCCAAAAGAATGTAGGTAGTCAGCAGAATGAGATGTGTCGGAGGGGGATAAGGATAGAATAAAAACCACTAGATTTCCTTATTGCAAAGGCACTTCCAACTCTCTAGTTAGCCAGTTTAATAGAGCTGTGTGAATGGAATCCAGATTACAAGGGAATCCATTGGAACATAATGTCATATAGGCCATATATATCTATATGATGTTTTCAAGATGCTCATAGCAAAAGTAAGTAGAGAGAGGGGAAACATCTTAAAAAAGAGGTGGAATGGTGACCTAAAGCAGAAGTGAAAGTATTCGTTTGGGCAAGCAGTGGAGGAGGAGCAATGGAAGAGAAGTGGAGATATGGACGAACTATGAGAACTCTCACCATATCTCATCTTCTTTTTCCAATGAGGCAGCAGATGAAGATGATCAATGATTAGCAAGCAGCTGAAGAGTTTGGATGGCAATTTAAAAGATATGCAATGGTTGCTTTGAGAATATGTCAGAACCCTTCAGAGATCAATCAAGGGTTGCTAAGCTGTGGGCAGAGCCTAGCTGAGCTTACAGAGAATCAACTTGTCATGAATTTGACTACCACACTGTAGCTATCATCAGCAGCAGTGGTTGGCACAGAGCATAGCAGAAGCCAGTATACCAGAGAGTGGATGACCTGGATTAGTACATTGAAAGAAAGAATGTAAATTAAGAAGGTTAAAGTTGAAAGGGAAAATATCAAAATGGTAGCAGGCCACAGAGTTGGTCTGCTCTTTACTGTTCGGGTTGACTGGGAAGGCATGAGCAAAGAAAAGAATTAAAGGAGGAGGGTAAACTTTAGTCAGTTACTCACCAAACACATTTTACATCTACCATATATGGGCTGTAAGTGAGGCAAGGCATTTGGGGCCACAACTTTGAGTAGAACACAATCTCTGCCTTTTACAGATCTCTCTGTAAATAGAAAAGAGTACTAATCATGACGTGGGCTATCTTAGAGAGCATCCAATTCCAAGGGAAAGAAAGCCTTTGAAAACTCAGTAGGGGATTTGTTATCAGGATAATGATACATTTCATAGAACCAAAGGGCTGGGAGTACAATTGGTCTTCAGTAAGAATTAGATACTTCCTAGGAAGTTCCAAGGAATCAGAGCATCTACCCTTTCAATTTCTATTTTGAGTCTTATTATCTCTCGTGTCTTTGAATCTTCTTTACCTGGAGATCTGAAGTCTGGCTTTCTCTACTGTCTTGTATCTTCTTAATGCTGCTTTAGCAATCAATGCTTTACCAAGTTAAGCACCCAACCAAAAGAGTATATGCATATGTACTAATACATATGTTTATGTATTAGTATATGGGTCACCATATACTAACATCAGATTCTAGGGAGCCAACATGATTGCTCAACCTTACCAAGAAAGTGTCTCCCTCTGAGTCAGATGTTCACCCTTCACTGAGCTATGCAAGGGTGACAGGATTACCTTGTTCAAAACATGAGAGAATGTAGATGGGGCAGAGGCTCAAGAGAAAAAGAAACATTCAACAGGTCAGACACTCAGAGGGGAAATGTTGAAACTTTTACTTTTTCTCAATACAGAACAGCAAAGGCATCAAAAAAAGTATTACACCTGCCAGGTATTAGAGATGTATTACATGCCAAGCAGTAATGTGCTTTAATGAGGTAAAGGCTCAGCCTGAGGTTCTTGGAATTGGAGACTAAGGCAAAGGCTTGCATGGAGAGTTCATTTAGGAATGTGATCCTAGGCAGGAAGAGTGAGGTTGGGACATAAAATAAGGAAGGAAAAGCCAACTGGCCATCAATCCTGAGAGACATTTGAATGATCCTCATGACATAGTTCTCAAAACTGTCTGCTTGGAGAATAAATGGGTAGAGCACTTATTCACCTGTTCCTGCCCTCATTAGTCAAAAATTGCCCCACATTGTTACTCTCCTGAAACTTCCAGGTAACACATGCACAGTGCATCCCAATCTTCAGCGTCAGAGAAAATACAGGGCAGGAAGAGGGAAGTATTCAGTGCAGGGCTGGATGAGATGCTGTCAGGTTGCACCTGGTGAAATGGGTCCAACCTGCATAAAACTGTGTTCTGTCTAGAAGTGGTTACATAAAAGATAGGGCCAAGAGAATAAGCAGCTGTTTGCAAGTGGATTCCTGGATAAGTAATGTCGAAATGTAAACAGAATATGAGATCAGGCTGCCCTTGTCATCTGTACTGGATCTTTCATCAACGGTTTCCTCATATGCTGACCACTTATGAAGCAGGGTGCTGGAAAGTAGGTGTGGGAGAGAGGGATAGAAAGAGGGAGAGGGAGAGGGAAAGGGAGAGGGGGAGAGAGAGGAGGGGAGAGAGAGAGAGAGGGAGAGAGAGAGAGAGAGACAGAGACTGACCAACCAAAAGGGAAGAAAACAACTATTTACTGATTCTCTATTTGATAGCACACAAATTTTATGCTGAATCACATTCATTTCTCCAAACAGTGAACAGCTCTTGGATTTAAATATTCAAATCTCCAATTAAAGATAAACAGAATGACACTCAGGTTAGTTGAGTAATGTGTACAAGGTCACACAACTATAATTAAAATCTAGGTGAACTCCTCCATGATTTTTCGTCCAAGGTTAGTTAGACACAGTCTCTACCTTCAGGAAGCTTGCATTCCCATAGAAGGGAAAACAACATGCAGATGTTAGCAGTCACAACGTCCTGCAGGATCATTGACCACTGACCAGGAGAAAGCCAGTACCTAGACTTAGAGTTTTCAAAGATTGGATAGATGTGCTTCAAAATAATGATTATGCCTTAATGCTAGATGACTTTAGGAAATCTAGGGTACAAAGCACACCAGACATATATAACTTTGTTTTCCTTTTTTTGCTACTATAGAACATATTTATTAATATTTTGAACAGGTTCAGCTACCGGTAATTTTAGAAAGGGAAGTGAGGAGGAGAGCACATGTTCACCTGATGAGCCCAGCTAAGTTGCTGCCAGGCCGGAAACCTTGGCAGAGTGTCCAGATTAGGACCCTGGAGGCAATGAAAACAGCAGAGAACTTAGGACAGAGAGTTCTGTGTCTGTTAATAGGGCACTTAGTCACTTGCAAGGTTAAAATAGCCTACTGGGATTCTCTGTTTTCATCTAGAAATTTAATATTTGTAACACACTTTTCATGTTATTAATAGTAAAATAGCTTCTTACTATATTGTCTTCAGAGGATACACAAATGAAAACTATTGGGGCCACTCAGGACTGTAACTATTGCTGGTTTTTCAGGTGGAGTCATGCCAAAGCAACGTGAATTATGATAAAGCCCAGGGATACTCTGCTGTGTCAGAGCTCACAGTTGAGGTTAGAGAGTATTGCCCCATCATGGACCCAACCATCATATTGTGTGATCTTCTCCGGCAATAGAGTCTGGCAAGGAGCAAAGCAGAAACTAGTAAACTTGAAAAAGAAAGATGCTGGGCAAGATCATTGGGAAGTTAGGTTGAAGAATCCAATCTGAGCCTTCGTGGCCATACGTGGTTCCATAACTATATGGTGAGATCTATTTGTCAAACACTTTCATTTCCCTCCATTCCTCCAACTATAAACACATGTATATGCATACACACACACACAGGGATGAACACATTTAAATAACACTGCTGGTGGGAATGTAAATTCATTCAGCCACTGTGGAAAGCCACCAACATTTGTCTGGTGTTTTCTGAAAGAAGTTAAGACAGAATTGCCATTCAACCCAGCAATCCCATTATTGACTATATACCCAAATGAATATAAATCATTCTACTGTAAAGATACATGCATATGTTCACCACAGCAGTATTCCCATTAGCAAAGCTAAAGAATCAACCTAAATGCCATCAGTGATGGACCAGATAAAGAAAATGTGGTACGTGTATGCCATGGAATACTACGCAGCCATATAAAGGAACAAGATCATGTTTTTTGCAGCAACATGGGTGGAGCTGGAGGCCATTATCCTAAGTGAGTTAACACAAGAACAGAAACCCAAATACCACATGTCCTCACTTATAGGTAGGAGCTAAACAACAAGCACATACGAACACAAAGCAAGGAACAGTAGACACTGGGGCCCACTTGAGGGTGGAGGGTGGGAGGAGGGAGAGAATCAAAAAACTACCCATCAGGTACTATGTTTATTACCTGAGTGGTAAAATAATCTGTACTCCAAAACCCAGCAACATGCAATTTACCCATGTAGCAAAGCTGCACATGTACCCCTGAATTTAAAAGTTTTTAAAAAATCCATATTTATGTTATAAAATAATTATTCATTAAACTCCCATTTTAAGAGAAGAAAAAAGAATGTAGGAAAACATAAAAGATCAGAACAATAGGAGATGGAAATCCTCAGTTGGAAGTCATTTCTTGTTCCGGAGACAGCTCCTTGAGGCTAACTATGAGAGCTACCATTTATTCTTTGCTAAGATGAACCAGGTTTCTCCTCTTTAATGTTCAAAATAGCTCTTTGAGGTGAATATTTATTATGCTTATTTTACAGATGAAGAAACTCCAGCACAGGGAGATTAAATAACTTGCCCAAAGTCTTTAGCTGGTGAATGATGAGGCTGAGATTCAATTCCATGTTTCCCTGATTAGGAATTCAGATCTCCCTCATGTATACACAGTGCAATCCCCATTCTTGCCAAATCTTAAGATTCTTTTACTGAAGAGATTTAAAACTGCCCTACCCTTCCTCTCTGTTCTGTGTCACCAGACATTGGTAAAAAAAACGCTACTTCAAACACTAACACTGGATCGAGACTAAGAAGCAGATCTTTACATATTTTCCACCGACTTTTTACTTCCTTGTATTTTTACGTATTTATGGCTTATCGATAAAGGATTGCAAGTTGAGTTTTTGAACGATGGGCCATAAACCCTCAGCCCTAAAATTTTTATTCATTTATCCCACAAACAATTATTGTAGCAAACATTGTGCCAGATACTTGATATACACAATGAATGGGTTCCTGGCTTCAAAGAATTGAAAACACAACTTATATGAAAAGAAAAGGAGACATAGACAGAGGTGAAAACTAGGAAGAGTGAGGTAAATATCGCATTGAGAGTCCACACAGTGTACTGTGAGGGCACAAAAATCTGTGCCAACACCAAATAAGATATCCTGGTGGTGTGACTAGGAAATGTTTTTAGACTTTGCAAATGGAAGAAAGGATTTGTCATCATTTGAGATGGGGGGTGGAGGAGTGGAGCAGGTTGTGATGGTGGGTAGGGTGGGAGGTTAATGAAAGGTCCAATTTGAATTGTCTATTAGACTCCCAAATAGAGAGGCAACATAAAATAGTTGAATGTTGAATCTGGAGTTTGGCAGAGAGGTCTGGACCCTTCGGCATATTGATAGTGTTTAAAGCCTGATGCTGGGTAAGATCATCAAAGGGATGAATTTGTAAGGGAAGAGATGGAGAACAAGCACTGAGCCTAGGGAGACTCCAGATGAAAAGATCAGGAAGCCAAGACACCAATACACGAAAATGAGAAAGAACCACCAGTAAAATAGAAATAAAATCAAGACACGTTACGTTATTTTGCTGTTGTTGTTTTTGTGGTAAAAGCCACATAACATAATGTTTATCATTTTAATTATTGATAAGTGTACTATTCAGTGGCATTAAATATATTTACAACATTGTGCAACTATCACACTGTCTACACTCAAACTTTCAAAATCATCCTCAATAAGAAAGCTGCACCCAATTAAAAGTAATTACCCTTTTCCCTACTTCTCACAACCTCTGGTATACTCCATTCTACATTTTGTCTCTGAATTTGCCTATTCTCAGTGCCTCATATAAGTAGAATCATATAACATTTTTTTCTACTGTACCTAGCTTATTTATCTAAGGATGTTTTCAAGGTCTATTCATGTCATGGCACATACAAAAATTTTATTTTTTGTCTGAATAATATTCCATTGTATGTATATATCACATCTTTTTTATTCTTTCCTCTCTTGATGAAAGCTTGGGTTGTCTCTACCTTTCAGATATTGTGAATAATGGAACTATGAACATTGGTGTGCAAGTATGTGTTCAGGTCCCTGCTTTTAATTATTTTGGATATATGAGTGAAATTTCTGCATCATATGGTAATTCTATGTTTAACCCTATGAGAACCCACAAATCTGTTTTCTGCAGTAGCTCCACCATTTTACACTCCCACCAGAAATACAAAAGTTTTTCAATTTCTCTGCATCCTCATTAACACTTTTTATTGCCTTTTTTCTTTTTAAAATTATAGTTATCCTAGTTGGTATAAAATGGTTTTGGTTTATGTTTCTCTACTAATTAATGATGTTAAATATCTTTTCATATGCTTATTGCTCCTTTGTATATCTTCTTCGGAGAAATGACTATTCTAGTCTTTTGCCTATTTTTGAATTGGATTGTTTCATTTTTGTTCTTGAAAGGTGCCAAGACCATTCTACGGGGAAAAAGACAGTCTTTTCAACAAACAGTGCTGGAAAACTGGATATCTACATGCAAAAGTATGAAAGCAAATTATGTAACCACATACACTAACTCAAAATGGATAAAATGCCTAAACTTAAGGGCTAAAGCTATAAAACTTCTTTTTTTTTTTTTGAGATGGAGTCTTACTCTGTCTCCAGCCAGGCTGGGGTGCAGCTATAAAACTCTTAGAAAATACTGGGGGGAAATCTACTGATATGCTTTGGATATCTGTCCCCTCAAAATCTCACATTAAAATGACTCCCAGTGTCAGAGGTGTGGCCTGGTGGGAGGCAATGGAATCATGGGAGTCAATCCCTCATGCATGGTTTAGAACCATCCCCTTGAGAGTGATAAGTGAGTTCTTGCTCAGTTAGTCACGTGGGATCTGGTTGTTTAAAAGTCTGGGACCTCCCCCTCCTCACTCCCTTTCTCACCATGTGACACCACCTGTTCTCCCTTCACCTTCCGCCATGATTGTAAGCTTCCTGAGTCCCTCCCCAGAGCCACATGCTGGAGCCCTGCTTGAAGAGCCTGCAGAACTGTAATACAAGTAAACTTCTCTATTTTTAATAAATTATCTAAGCTCAGGTATTTATAGTGATGCAAGTACAAACCAACACATCTATGTAACATTAGATTTCACAATGATTTCATAGGTATGATACCAAAAGCACAGACAACAAAAGAAAAAGAAAATCAAAGTGAACAAAATTTCATAAAAATTAAGAATTATTGTACAACAAAGGATCCTGTCAAGAAAGTGAAAAGACACCCTACCAAATTGAAGAAATGCATTTGTGAATTGTGTATCTGGGTTTAATAGCCAGAATATATTAAGAGGCTTTAGAGTCCTGCAAATCTTAAAGAAAGAATACCAAATGCTGCTGATAAATCAAGTAAGATCAGGACCAAGAACTGACCACTGGATTTTGCAATTTGGAGGTCAGTGGAGACCTTGAAGTGAGTAGTCTCCACAGAGGTATACGGAAGAAAGCCTACTTAGAGTGGTTTTAAAGGAAAAGAGGAGAGAAACTGGAAACAGAATAGACAGGTCTTTCAAGGTTTGCAGTAAAAGGAAGCATATGAATGGATAAAGACTCACAGGAAGAGGGGGTTCTAGAGGTTATTTCTAAGACAGAAATAGCACATGATTGAATGCTGATTACAATGACCTAACAGAGAGAAATGTCTATTGAGGATGTAAGAGAGAGGGAAGAATTGGTAAAGCAAAGTCCCCAGTGGAAGATAACTATATAGGGGAATGATACAAAGATTTTGCTTATTTTACTAAATGTGGGGAGGCAAGCTAGTTTATTTGGTGTCTGCCATATACTAGGCACCATGCTTTGAATTCCCTATTCTACATAATTTCTCAAAAAATGTCTTTTCCCAACAGCTCTTTTAGGCTGCTCCCAAGGCTCAAAAAGATAAAATACCTTGAGCTAGTGAACAGCAGAGCCGGAGCTTTAATCTTCACCTACCTCCGTCCAAAGACCATCCTCCTACCTCAACAAATGCTACCTTCTCTAAAGGAGGAACAAACAAACAACAATAAGCTTCTAGCAGGTGTGAAAGATGGGACAAATTAGGAGGCAGGAAGCCAATTAGGAAGCTCCTTTAATCATCAGAATGAGCAGTGGTGACTGCAAGGGCCTTAGCTGAGATCAGGCAGTGGTACTGAGTGGGAAACCCAGTAGGGAGAACTTTATGAGGTGGGCTTCTCTGATATAGGGAGATGTAAGGGGTGAAAGTGAAGTCAGGAGAGGTATGGAGGAGGGGAATAATCTAAGACACCTCCCAGCTTTCTCATGAGAGTAGACAACAGAGGAGAACAGGTAATTCTAAGGTTAATAAATGAGGATAGGAAATAAAGAATTCTCAAGGTGGGGCGCAGTGGCTCATGCCTGTAATCCCAGCACTTTGGGAGGCCAAGGCAGATGGATCACCTGAGGTAAGGAGCTCAAGACCAGCCTGATCAATATGGTGAAACCCCAACTCTACTAAAAATACAAACACTAGACGGGCATGGTGGTGTGTGCCTGTAATCCCAGCTACTCAGGAGGCTGAGATAGGAGAATTGCTTAAACCCAGGAGGTGGAGGTTACAGTGAACCGAGATCATGCCATTGCCCTCCAGCCTGGGTGACAGAGTGAGACTCCATCTCAGAAAAAAAAAAAAAAAAGAAAGAAAGAAAGAATTCTCAAAGGAAAAGAACATATTAATGTGTGTGGATTCACGGTTTTTCTTCCATCCTTGTGTGTGCCACAATTCTGCACTAAAAAACCTTAGACAAATTAAATGTAACACTTTAAATGAGGAAAAAGCAATTTAAGCGTCGGCAGCCCCCAAACCATAATAGGTTGAGAGAGACTCCAGGACAGCTGCTTGGTGGAAGAAAATTTATGGGCAGAGAACGTGATGTGCAGAGAATGGAAGTGAAGTAAAAAAATAGCTGGATTTGTTCCAGCATGGTATTTGCTTATTTGAACATGGTTTGAACAGTTGGCCTTCCTTGACTAACCAAAACGTGGTGATCGGCACCAGAGTAGGTTACAGTCTATTTGTACATCCAGTTAGGTTTCAGTTCACTGTGCATGAAGAAACTTTTAGACTGAACTGAAAATATGGACAGGGGATGCTTTAGGCTAAACTTAACAACTCTCTCCTCTGTCTTCCATCTCCCACTTTCGCCCCCTACTCACTGAGGAAGCATAAAGGTCCCCTCAGGAAAAAAAGTGATAACAGGAGAAGGACTATGTTATCATAAGGCTTAAGGTGCTGAGAAGAGGGGCAACTCTGAGAACAGGGCAGCAGAACAAGAGGAATGACAGAGGTGAATGTGCACAGCCCCTAGGAAACTGGCAGAGAAGAGAAAAGGCAAGGTTTTACAAAACATTAGTCATCTTTAATATGTATTGACCATTTATCATATGCAAAATACTATTCTGTGTGCATGTGTGTATATGTGTGTGTGCATGTGCATATGTATGTGAGTGTGTGTGTTGGGAGAGACCATCTTTAATCCTCCCAGTGTGGTAGGTGATTTCATTAGGCCCATTCTACCCTTGAAGATACCATGGGAGGCTGAAAAACTAGCTTTCCAAAAGACGATCATATTTTAATTTCTAGAACTTGTGAATGTTACTTTATGTGGCAAAAAAGTTTTTTACAGATGTGATTAAGTTAAGGACCTTGGGGAGAATTATCCTCGATTATCCAGGTGAGTACTAAATGCAATAAATCATATGTTTTCTTTTTCTTTTTTTTTTTTAATTAACTTTAAGTTTTAGGGTACATGTGCACATTGTGCAGGTTAGTTACATATGTATACATGTGCCATGCTGGTGCGCTGCACCCACTAACTCGTCATCTAGCATTAGGTATATCTCCCGATGCTATCCCTCCCCCCTCCCCCCACCCCACCACAGTCCCCAGAGTGTGATATTCCCCTTCCTGTGTCCATGTGATCTCATTGTGCAATTCCCACCTATGAGTGAGAATATGCGGTGTTTGGTTTTTTGTTCTTGCGATAGTTTACTGAGAATGATGATTTCCAACTTCAACCACGTCCCTACAAAGGACATGAACTCATCATTTTTTATGGCTGCATACTATTCCATGGTGTATATGTGCCACATTTTCTTCATCCAGTCTATCATTGTTGGACATTTGGGTTGGTTCCAAGTCTTTGCTATTGTGAATTGTGCCGCAATAAACATACGTGTGCATGTGTCTTTATAGCAGCATGATTTATAGTCCTTTGGGTATATACCCAGTAATGGGATGGCTGGGTCAAATGGTATTTCTAGTTCTAGATCCCTGAGGAATCGCCACACTGACTTCCACAATGGTTGAACTAGTTTACAGTCCCACCAACAGTGTAAAAGTGTTCCTATTTCTCCACATCCTCTCCAGCACCTGTTGTTTCCTGACTTTTTAATGATTGCCATTCTAACTGGTGTGAGATGGTATCTCACTGTGGTTTTGACTTGCATTTCTCTGATGGTCAGTGATGATGAGCATTTTTTCATGTGTTTTTTGGCTGCATAAATGTCTTCTTTTGAGAAGTGTCTGTTCATGTCCTTCGCCCACTTTTTGATGGGGTTGTTTGTTTTTTTCTTGTAAATTTGTTTGAGTTCATTGTAGATTCTGGATATTAGCCCTTTGTCAGATGAGTAGGTTGCGAAAATTTTCTCCCATTTTGTAGGTTGCCTGTTCACTCTCATGGTAGTTTCTTTTGCTGTGCAGAAGCTCTTTAGTTTATTTAGATCCCATTTGTCAATTTTGTCTTTTGTTGCCACTGCTTTTGGTGTTTTAGACATGAAGTCCTTGCCCATGCCTATGTCCTGAATGGTAATGCCTAGGTTTTCTTCTAGGGTTTTTATGGTTTTAGGTCTAACGTTTAAGTCTTTAATCCATCTTGAATTGATTTTTGTATAAGGTGTAAGGAAGGGATCCAGTTTCAGCTTTCTACATATGCCTAGCCAGTTTTCCCAGCACCATTTATTAAATAGGGAATCCTTTCCCCATTGCTTGTTTTTCTCAGGTTTGTCAAAGATCAGATAGTTGTAGATATGTGGCGTTATTTCTGAGGGCTCTGTTCTGTTCCATTGATCTATATCTCTGTTTTGGTACCAGTACCATGCTGTTTTGGTTACTGTAGCCTTGTAGTATAGTTTGAAGTCAGGTAGTGTGATGCCTCCAGCTTTGTTCTTTTGTCTTAGGATTGACTTGGCGATGCGGGCTCTTTTTTGGTTTCATATGAACTTTAAAGTAGTTTCTTCCAATTCTGTGAAGAAAGGCATTGGTAGCTTGATGGGGATGGCATTGAATCTGTAAATTACCTTGGGCAGTATGGCCATTTTCACGATATTGATTCTTCCTACCCATGAGCATGGAATGTTCTTCCATTTGTTTGTATCCTCTTTTATTTCCTTGAGCAGTGGTTTGTAGTTCTCCTTGAAGAGGTCCTTCACATCCCTTGTAAGTTGGATTCCTAGGTATTTTATTCTCTTTGAAGCAATTGTGAATGGGAGTTCACTCATGATTTGGCTCTCTGCTTGTCTGTTGTTGGTGTATAAGAATGCTTGTGATTTTTGTACATTGATTTTGTATCCTGAGACTTTGCTGAAGTTGCTTATCAGCTTAAGGAGATTTTGGGCTGAGACAATGGGGTTTTCTAGATATACAATCATGTCATCTGCAAACAGGGACAATGTGACTTCCTCTTTTCCTAATTGAATACCCTTTATTTCCTTCTCCTGCCTAATTGCCCTGGCCAGAACTTCCAACACTATGTTGAATAGGAGTGGTGAGAGAGGGCATCCCTGTCTTGTGCCAGTTTTCAAAGGGAATGCTTCCAGTTTTTGCCCATTCAGTATGATATTGGCTGTGGGTTTGTCATAGATAGCTCTTATTATTTTGAAATACGTCCCATCAATACCTAATTTATTGAGAGTTTTTAGCAAGAAGAGTTGTTGAATTTTGTCAAAGGCTTTTTCTGCATCTATTGAGATAATCATGTGGTTTTTGTCTTTGGCTCTGTTTATATGCTGGATTACATTTATTGATTTGCGTATATTGAACCAGCCTTGCATCCCAGGGATGAAGCCCACTTGATCATGGTGGATAAGCTTTTTGATGTGCTGCTGGATTCCTTTTGCCAGTATTTTATTGAGGATTTTTGCATCAATGTTCATCAAGGATATTGGTCTAAAATTCTCTTTTTTTGTTGTGTCTCTGCCTGGCTTTGGTATCAGAATGATGCTGGCCTCATAAAATGAGTTAGGGAGGATTCCCTCTTTTTCTGTTGATTGGAATAGTTTCAGAAGGAATGGTACCAGTTCCTCCTTGTACCTCTGGTAGAATTCGGCTGTGAATCCATCTGGTCCTGGACTCTTTTTGGTTGGTAAACTATTGATTATTGCCACAATTTCAGCTCCTGTTATTGATCTATTCAGAGATTCAACTTCTTCCTGGTTTAGTCTTGGGAGAGTGTATGTGTCCAGGAATTTATCCATTTCTTCTAGATTTTCTAGTTTATTTGTGTAGAGGTGTTTGTAGTATTCTCTGATGGTAGTTTGTATTTCTGTGGGATCAGTGGTGATATCCCCTTTATCATTTTTTATTGCATCTATTGGATTCTTCTCTCTTTTTTTCTTTACTAGTCTTGCTAGTGGTCTATCAATTTTGTTGATCCTTTCAAAAAACCAGCTCCTGGATTCATTAATTTTTTGAAGGGGTTTTGTCTCTCTATTTCCTTCAGTTCTGCTCTGAAATTAGTTATTTCTTGCCTTCTGCTAGCTTTTGAATGTGTTTGCTCTTGCTTTTCTAGTTCTTTTAATTGTGATGTTAGGGTGTCAATTTTGGATCTTTCCTGCTTTCTCTTGTGGGCATTTAGTGCTATAAATTTCCCTCTACACACTGCTTTGAATGCATCCCAGAGATTCTGGTATGTTGTGTCTTTGTTCTCATTGGTTTCAAAGAAGATCTTTATTTCTGCCTTCATTTCGTTATGTACCCAGTAGTCATTCAGGAGCAGGTTGTTCAGTTTCCATGTATTTGAGTGGTTTTGAGTGAGATTCTTAATCCTGAGTTCTAGTTTGATTGCACTGTGGTCTGAGAGATAGTTTGTTATAATTTCTGTTCTTTTACATTTGCTGAGGAAAGCTTTACTTCCAAGTGTGTGGTCAATTTTGGAATAGGTGTGGTGTGGTGCTGAAAAAAATGTATATCCTATTGATTTGGGGTGGAGAGTTCTGTAGATGTCTATTAGGTCTGCTTGGTGCAGAGCTGAGTTCAATTCCTGGGTATCCTTGTTGACTTTCTGTCTCATTGATCTGTCTAATGTTGACAGTGGGGTGTTAAAGTCTCCCATTATTAATGTGTAGGAGTCTAAGTCTCTTTGTAGGTCACTCAGGACTTGCTTTATGAATCTGGGTGCTCCTGTATTGGGTGCATATATATTTAGGATAGTCAGCTCTTCTTGTTGAATTGATCCCTTTACCATTATGTAATGGCCTTCTTTGTCTCTTTTGATCTTTGTTGGTTTAAAGTCTGTTTTATCAGAGACTAGGATTGCAACCCCTGCCTTTTTTTGTTTTCCATTTGCTTGGTAGATCTTCCTCCATCCTTTTATTTTGAGCCTATGTGTGTCTCTGCACGTGAGATGGGTTTCCTGAATACAGCACACTGATGGGTCTTGACTCTTTATCCAATTTGCCAGTCTGTGTCTTTTAATTGGAGCATTTAGTCCATTTACATTTAAAGTTAATATTGTTATGTGTGAATTTGATCCTGTCATTATGATGTTAGCTGGTTATTTTGCTCATTAGTTGATGCAGTTTCTTCCTAGTCTCCATGGTCTTTACATTTTGGCATGATTTTGCAGCGGCTGGTACCGGTTGTTCCTTTCCATGTTCAATGCTTCCTTCAGGAGCTCTTCTAAGGCAGGCCTTGTGGTGACAAAATCTCTCAGCATTTGCTTGTCTGTAAAGGATTTTATTTCTCCTTCACTTATGAAGCTTAGTTTGGCTGGATATGAGATTCTGGGTTGAAAATTCTTTTCTTTAAGAATGTTGAATATTGGCCCCCACTGTCTTCTGGCTTGTAGGGTTTCTGCCGAGAGATCCGCTGTTAGTCTGATGGGCTTCCCTTTGAGGGTAACCCGACCTTTCTCTCTGGCTGCCCTTAACATTTTTTCCTTCATTTCAACTTTGGTGAATCTGACAATTATGTGTCTTGGAGTTGCTCTTCTCGAGGAGTATCTTTGTGGCATTCTCTTATTTCCTGAATCTGAATGTTGCCCTGCCTTGCTAGATTGGGGAAGTTCTCCTGGATAATATCCTGCAGAGTGTTTTCCAACTTGGTTCCATTCTCCCCATCACTTTCAGGTACACCAATCAGACGTAGATTTGGTCTTTTCACATAGTCCCATATTTCTTGGAGGCTTTGCTCATTTCTGTTTATTCTTTTTTCTCTAAACTTCCCTTCTTGCTTCATTTCACTCATTTCATCTTCCATTGCTGATACCCTTTCTTCCAGTTGATTGCATCGGCTCCTGAGGCTTCTGCATTCTTCATGTAATTCTCGAGCTTTGGTTTTCAGCTCCATCAGCTCCTTTAAGCACTTCTCTGTACTGGTTATTCTAGTTATACATTCTTCTAAATTTTTTTCAAAGTTTTCAACTTCTTTGCCTTTGGTTTGAATGTCCTCCCATAGCTCAGAGTAATTTGATCGTCTGAAGCCTTCTTCTCTCAGCTCGTCAAAGTCATTCTCCATCCAGCTTTGTTCCGTTGCTGGTGAGGGACTGCGTTCCTTTGGAGGAGGAGAGGCGCTCTGCTTTTTAGAGTTTCCAGTTTTTCTGTTCTGTTTTTTCCCCATCTTTGTGGTTTTATCTACTTTTGGTCTTTGATGATGGTGATGTACAGATGGGTTTTTGGTGTGGATGTCCTTTCTGTTTGTTAGTTTTCCTTCTAACAGAAAGGACCCTCAGCTGCAGGTGTGTTGGAATACCCTGCCGTGTGAGGTGTCAGTGTGCCCCTGCTGGGGGGTGCCTCCCAGTTAGGCTGCTCGGGGGTCAGGGGTCAGGGACCCACTTGAGGAGGCAGTCTGCCGGTTCTCAGATCTCCAGCTGCGTGCTGGGAGAACCACTGCTCTCTTCAAAGCTGTCAGACAGGGACATTTAAGTCTGCAGAGGTTACTGCTGTCTTTTTGTTTGTCTGTGCCCTGCTCCCAGAGGTGGAGCCTACAGAGGCAGGCAGGCCTCCTTGAGCTGTGGTGGGCTCCACCCAGTTCGAGCTTCCAGGCTGCTTTGTTTACCTAATCAAGCCTGGGCAATGGCGGGCGCCCCTCCCCCAGCCTCGCTGCCGCCTTGCAGTTTGATCTCAGACTGCTGTGCTAGCAATCAGCGAGACTCTGTGGGCGTAGGACCCTCTGAGCCAGATGCGGGATATAATCTCGTGGTGCGCCGTTTTTTAAGCCCATCGGAAAAGCGCAGTATTTGGGTGGGAGTGACCCGATTTTCCAGGTGCCATCCATCACCCCTTTCTTTGACTCAGAAAGGGAACTCCCTGACCCCTTGCGCTTCCCAAGTGAGGCAATGCCTTGCCCTGCTTCGGCTCGCGCACGGTGCACGCACCCACTGACCTGCGCCCACTGTCTGGCACTCTCTAGTGAGATGAACCCGGTACCTCAGATGGAAATGCAGAAATCACCCGTCTTCTGCGTCGCTCACACTGGGAGCTGTAGACCGGAGCTGTTCCTATTCGGCTATCTTGGCTCCTCCCCCATATCATATGTTTTCTTACGAGAGAGGCGGAGAGACATTTTCTTATACATCAAGGAGAAGGTGATGTGAAAATAGAGCAGACAGAGGATTGAAGATGCTGGCCTTGAAAATGGGAATGATGTGACCACAAGCCAAAGAATGCTGGCAGCCTCCAGAATCTGGAAGAGGCACAGATTCTCCTGTGGAGCATCTGGAGGAAGATGGCCCTGCCGACATCTTGATTTTCCCCTAGTGATATTAATTTCAGATTTCTGGCCTCTAGAACTGTGGGAGAATACATTTCAGTTGTTTTAAGCCACCAAGTTTGTCATAATTTGTTGCAGCAGCCACAGGAGACTAATATAGATGCCAAAAGAGTTTAAGTAATTGGCCCAGTAAATTGCCAAGCTCTCTTCAAACCCAGGCAGTCTGACCTGGGCGGCCTTGAACAACTCCTCTGTCATCCTTCCTGGATGCTGGCCTCCTTCAAGTGTTTGCAAGAAACAAGTATAAGGATTGGAATTCCTGTTGGTCTTAATTCTTTAACAATAATACCATTCTGCCACTCATCTTGGGGGCCCCTGCTTGATAGCCATCACACACAACAGGCACATGGCCAAGTTCAGGCCAGTGTGGGAAGTTAGTGGGGCAGCCAGAATAAGAGCCCACAACTCCAGAGCCCAACAGAGTTTGTTTATTTTTGAACCCAATCTTCAAGAACTGCCTTGGAGCAGCTTTTAAACGGAGTCTCTGGGAGACTGGGGTGAATAATGCCTGTGAAGTCTGGAACCTTCCTATTTGCACAGCCTCAGATCTCCAGTCACCCCCCTAGAAGGAGCAAGCCCACCCCCAGGGCTGCTATGGGTCTCACCTTTACCTAAGGGCAGACGGTCCCATAAGGTTTTTTTGAGAGTTTCGCTCTTGTCACCCAGGCTGGAGTACAATGGCATGATCTCAGCTCACTGCAACCTCCACCTCCCAGGTTCAAGCAACTCTCCTGCCTCAGCCTCCCAAGTAGCTAGTATTACAGGCGCTTGCCACCACGCCCAGCTAATGTTTTTGTATTTTTAGTAGAGACGTGGGTTTTCACCATGTTGGCCAGGCTGGTCTCAAACTCCTGACCTCAGGTGATCCACCCACCTCAGCCTCCCAGAGTGTTGGGATTACAGATGTGAGGCACCGTGCCTGGCTGGTCCCATAAGATTTTAATGCTGTATTTTTATTGTGCCTTTTCTATGTTTAGACATATTTAGATACACCATTACTAACCATTGTGTTACAATTGTCTATAGCACTCAGTACAGTAGCATGCTGCACAAGTTTGTAACCTAGGAGCCACAGGCTATACTACAGGTGTGTCGTAGACTACATCACATAGCCATCTAGGTTTCTGTAAGTAAACTCTATGATGTTTGCACAGTGATGAAATCACCTAACAATGCATTTCTCAGAATATATTCCCGTTGTTAAGCTATGCATGACTATAAATAGAGTTTCCTTGGCTCCTCCCCTTCCCTGAACTGGAGACCTTCTTTAGTCAGGCTTTAGAATACAATTAAAACCCTTTTTAAAAGGTTTCACATTTCCATGAAACATCTCTTCTGTCACTGGAGATATGCCAAGTGTCTTGCTGTGAGATGTTTTCTCCTCTGCATTCCTAATCTCTTGATGGGCACTGGGGGGTGACACCACCACCACAGTATTAGCCCTGTCCACCCCATTTCCTAGCACACCCTCCTCCACTAATGCACATTTTGTTCCCATCACCAGGATCTCCTCAGCACCTCCTCTGTACAAACTGTTCCTCCTTCTCACAACAGTCTCTCTGTGTCCTCTAGGACACATGTACCCACCCCCGTCTTCCCTGAATGATTTGGTTGTACTCGCAGGGGCCACTCTGTTGCCACTTCCTCTGAGAAGCTCTCCTTGATCAAACTCCCACTAGGTCTGAGTGTGGTCCCCTCCCCATACTCCCATAGATCCTGTGTACATCCTGGTAATAACTTGTAGTGCCTGAAGGTGTAATAGTCTATGGATTGTCCACAAGCTCCTCAAGCAAGAATGTTGATTCACTTACCTGTCTTTTTTTTTTTTTTTTAATCCGGAATCCTGGCACATGCTAGGGGTTCACTAAGGATTTGTAAATCACTGGATGAAAGTACAAACAAGTGAATGGGTGGCTTTGGGTTTGCTTGTCTCTGAAGCCCTTTGTCCCTTGGCAGACAGTATAATGTGGCAATAATGTATCCTACTCATCTCTCTGTCCTTTATAGGGCCTTGCCCAGAGCAAGTGTTCAATATTATATTATTGATTGATTCACATCAAAAATTAATCTTGATTGAAGAAATTTCAGATGTTACTGATGGTATTAACCTGAGGGCTCTGAATTCTAATAACCTAGACCCAGAATTTATTTTCAAAACCTTATTCCTCACGATTTCCTCCAGTAAATCATTTCACTGCTTTCCAACAGGGCATACTCTTGAATATCCCTGTGTTTTTATCTATGCTTTTGTTTCTACCTAGAATTCACTCTGATGTCCAGCTAGAAAACTTCTTATGTTCCAAGGTGCAGCCAGACTGGAAAGAACTGCTCCTTTCCCCAGCCAGATTTCTACACTTTGCACCCACTTCTATTACAGTATTTTCTACATTTAAATCAATGTAGTTGTTTAAGTGTTGGTCCCATTGTGCTGTGAGATTTTTGAAAATACAACAGTATCTTATTGAGCTTTGTACTGCTGTGTCTAGAGCCTACTGAGGTGCTCTATAAGTGCTTGATGACTGAATGAATGAATGAATGTGTGATACCAGCTTGACCAAAACAGAGCTCAGAAGGTCACCCATAATGACTGTAACTTCAAGTTTTTACTGTCAGAGCCATTTCTCAGAAAAATAAATAAACTGAAACACACAAAAGGCAAGCAGCCAAGCTCAAAAGTATACAGTAAGTTAGTGGGGTAGCTAGAACAAGAACCCAAGCCTTGAGAGTCTAGCCGGATGCCTTTGTCACTGGTCAGCCCTGAGAGGCTACAGCTTGGTGTTCTGCCCACTTTCCTGTATTATCGGCCACAAGAGCAGCATTTTGGGTCCACCCAGGGGCTGAGTTAAGGTCCTGGTTGCCTGAAGTCCTTACACTCCTTTGACTCAGAAAAGAAAGGAACTCATTGTTCCAGCCAGATGTGTCCTCCCTAGGGAAGCTGCAGACAAACTTGATTAGCTCCCTCTTAATTGTCTATGAAATGCAAATGTGTCCCACTCACACGCCAGTGACATCCTTTGTCTGCTTCTGTGCAAGGGCCGATAATGCCAATTAAATGCCAAGGCTCACTTAACAGGTGTGCTGATTGCCACTGTGGGATGATTTACTGGAGGAACACTCCGGATATGAAACAGACAATAAAGAACATTCTGTCTCCTCCTGCGCTCCATCTTGGTTATTAGCTTTGAAATTTGGTCTTTGCTTTCAAGAATTAACTTTTTCCACCTAAAACAATGTCAGAATCATGTTTCACATGTGCCAGAAATGCAGCAACATTTCTGATCTGTAATCTCCCCATCACGACTGCACCTCTTCAGTGCAGTCTCTCCCAGTCTTTGCCCACCTCTACCCCCATATCTAACCACCCTACTCACAGCTTCCTCAGTGATCTTCCTGAGAAGGCACAGCTCTGTCTGTCATTTTCCTACTCAAAAGGCTTCAGTGACTTCCCTCTACCAGAGGAAAGAGCTTGTTTAATTATAAGGTCTGATGTCTGTGGCCCTTGATTTAGCCTAAATAGCTGATTAAACCAGTTACCCAGGAACCCATCTATTCAATCAAGTGCATATTCTTCAGCCAGGCCCTCAAAATCCTCTGTATGTTGGGCCCATCCTATTTCTACAGATAATCTCCCACTGCACCATCAGCCCAACATGAACCTCATACTCTACTTTTCACGTCTGATTAGAAGTAAACTTCTAAGTTGTTGCCTTTACTGCCTTCTTGTCCAGTAGCATAACCCTTCCTCCAGAGCCATCTCTTACCAATAACAAAACAAATCAAAACAAAAAACAAACAAACCAACCTTTTCTAATCCCCCTTGATCAGAGCTTCTTTCTGTTTCCCCTACCATCCCAAAGTTATTGGTGTAGAATTATCAGTCTTTGAGCATTTACTGTACAATACAGATGCATGCCTGTTGCTTTCTTTGCACAACTTCATTTCATCTTTACAAAGTGAATTATTGTTAATCTCATTTTATGGATGGGAAAACTGAGTCTCTGAGTGATGAAATAACTTGCCCAGATCCACAGAGTTAATAAGAGGCATAACCTAGCATTAAACCCAGATACGAAGTAATTCCAAGGCACCAGCCCTTACTTATCCTGCATGTATGTGTTGGGACTCTGGGTAAAGTATTTATTACTGAGTATCATGTACCTGACAATTATTCATGTCTGTGACTACCTCTATCATCAAGTTACGAATCCAGACAGAAGAGAAAACATGTGATTTTCACTTATGTACCACTCCTACTGAAATGGAGAAGCTCCAAAGTAGATGTTGTTAAAATATTTTAAAGCAATCCAATCTGTCTTTGGAGAAAGATGTCTGTTTCTGCACTACTTTTACCTAAAGGATGTCTATAGATGTGTTGCATGAAAATGTGGATTTAAATTCTGCTGGCATAGAGGCTGGGATCATTTGTCATATTTATATCAAAGGTCTATATGGTTGGGAGTCACAGGGTGGTGGGGGTGAAATTATGTAATGTATATTGGCTGAAAATCAAATGCCATCACCCCAGACCCCTTAGAGCACAGTATTCCCATTGCTTTGGGTTTCTGCTCTCCACCACTGCAGGGTCCTACCTAGAGAAAACCACTACCCATTCCTGCTCCTTCCAAACTTTAACTTCCTTCCCCCAAGTCCAGAGAGCCATGATGACAGGCCCTGCTGCTCTCAGACAGAGCTGCAGAGAAGCCTGCCCATAGACAATTTTCATTTCAAAGCTCAAACATGAAAAGCACTCCCTTGCTGGGTAAATGAACCCACTGTTTTCTTGCTAAATCAAGCTCTGTTGAAGGGAAGCTGGAGAATGAAATTGGCAAAAGAATTGAGGAGATGGGAAGTGGAAAATAAAACTTTGATCGTTTCTTTTTTTTTTCTTTTTCATTTTCTCAGCTAAGCTTAACTTGACTGAATAAATAAACTGTGTTTTCCTAAAATGCATTGAGAAAGGCGACTATCAGAAAGGGCTTATTCAAAGATGAGGTCTGATGTTGGTGGCCCTTGATCTAACCTAAGTGGCTAATTAAAGCGCTTACCCCTGCATCCACACCCCTGTGACAGTTTGAACTTCATTTGCGGGGGAGGGTCATAAACATCCATCTTCCTTTTGTACAGAGGTGGAAGTTCAGTTTCCTGGAACCTGATATTCATGCAGTAGCAGTTTCTTTGCTACCTCTGGAAAATTACCAAAAAAAAAAAAAAAAGGAGCTGCAAGTTTTTCATAGTGGGCAGGGGGTAGATTTTACCTTCCTTATAATCCCTCAGGCTGCCTTTGAGTCTTTGAGTCTGAGCCATCTCCCTCTATAACAAGGGGAAATAAGGCTAATGATTGAATTATTTGTACAGCTCAGCTACCTAGTTTCCTAGCAAAAGAAGAGAATGGTGGTTAGCAGGGGCTGGGGGGCAGGGGGGTTGGGAGATGTTGGTCAAAGGATACAAAATATCACTTAGTAATGAGGAATACTTTCAGGAGATCTATCATACAACATGGTAATTATACTTAATAATAATGTATGGTATACTTGGAAATTGCTAAAAGAGTTGATTCTAAATGTTCTCACCACATAAAAAATAAGTATACCAAGTAATAAATATGTTAATTAGCTTGATTTAATCACTCCACAATGCATACATATATCAAAACATCATGCTATATACCACAAACATATGCAGTTCACCATAAATATATGCAATTCTAAATGTGTCAATTAAAAAATAAATAAAAATAGAAAAGAGCAGTCTTTTTCTCTCTTAGAAGAAATTCATTTTCCAAGAGTTGTAAGAGGACTCCACATAGAGCCAGGAGAGGGGAAGGGAATAGGTGCAGATACATGGCACAGTTGGTTATCACAATGCCTGGAAACGAGAGAGAGAGAATATTCACTTTCACAGATGATCCCTGAGAACCTGACCAGGTTTATTCCATGTGATTTTTAGGACACACACTTATTATTCCTCATGTTAAAAAAAAAAAACAGCAACAACTGAAAAACCCTTCCACCATCACTTGGCTCCTTTTCCTAATGTAACTAATGAAACACTGCCAATCAGTTCTTGTACAGCCACCTTTGGGTTGTCTATCCTTCTTTCTTACTGACTGAACCCACTTGTCCAAGGGTTGTGAGGGAGATAAAAGAACACACAAACATGCACAGACATACACACACATACACACACACAAGTTGGGTAGGGTTGAACCGTGGCTGAGGCTGAAGTGTAGCTAAAACTAACAATACCCAATGCTGTAAACTGGGATCTGGCACCGGACCACAGGGAACGCTCATCTTCACTAAGTGAGACATAATGCTCCATTAGTTTTCCAGCTGTTTTACTTCTCTAAGTGCCTAAACTCCAGTTTCAAATGTTAAAACACTATGGATTATTGCAAAAAAGGAGCAGAGAGAACAAAGTTTCCTTGCATCCAGAGTTTTACTTTGACCCTTTATGCTTTAGCAGTACAGAAGAGAAAGCCTGACCCATGTATCCTTCCTAAAACACTCTGTGATTCCATCTTCCAGTGAACAAGGCCAATCAGTGATTTGAATATAACTAGTAACAATACTGTTCCTCTCTTTAGGGACATGATACAAGAGAGACTGAAAGTACCATATAGAAGAGAGACAATATTCTGGATATAACTGTGACACAGTATTACGTAGTGTATTAGTCCATTCTCAGGCTGCCAACAGACATACTCAAGACTGGGTAATATATAAAGGAAAGAGGTTTAATTGACTCACAGCTCAGCATTGCTGGGGAGGCCTCAGGAAACTTACAATTATAGGAGAAGGGGAAGCAAACATGTCCTTCTTCAAATGGCGGCAGGAGGAAGAAGTGCTGAGCAAAGGGGGAAAAGCTCCTTATAAAACCACCAGATCTTGTGAGAACTCACTCAGTATCACAAGAACACGCATGGGGGTAACCACCCTCATGATTCAATTACCCCTCAACAGATCCCTCCCACCAGATGTAGGGATTATGAGAACTACAACTCAAGATGAGATTTGGGTGGGGGCACAGCCAAACCATATCATGTAGAGAGAAATAGAAAAATTGAAGGGACAAGAACAGTAGAAGAAATGTGTCTGAATGTTCAGGATACAATTTGAAATCAGGCAGGACACATACTGTTTCAAATATCACAGCCCCAGAGAGAGTGTGAAATAGTGGAAAAGCATAGCCTTTCGAGTAAAAAATGACTTCTGGCTCTGAATGCGTGATAAATGTATTCCATTTTGCTCTTTCTGATAATCACAATTTAAAAATCCCTGGACAAAATGCATAAGTCATCTAGTAGAAAACTCTGGGAGATGGAGAAAAGGACACCATGCTAGGGACCTTGGGACTTGAGTAAGGACAAAATACCATTTCTAGGTGCAGCCTAAGACAGAGTTCTAACTTCCACCCCAACCCTGCAGTGATAGGCATTGCCCTTCCTCCTGCACTGTGGACACTGTGGTATGGGAGTCCTGTCATCCAAGTAACACTCAAGTTGAGCAAACTGTAATAGCACTTCAGAAACGCTAAACACAACTTGGCATTTAAATCATAAAAGGGAGCCAGGATATGAATTCCGAACCTAAATAGGTTCCAAAGTTCTTTGAAATGCTCTAAAGAACACTTCAAAGTCTGTACTTTTTTCTATGAACTTAACTTGTGTCCTCATTTTCACCAGCTCGAGGACAGAGATTGTGTGTCTAATTCTGGATATTTAGTGACATCTGGGAGTTAATGAACATTGACTACTTACATGTCACCATATCAGGTTGACCACCTGATAAAATAAAAGACTTAAATCAGGACTAGAGTCTCATAACTTAATACTCAAAATTTCTAGGATAGAGTCCAAATTACTAATTATACCAAGAAAAAGGAATGTCTCAACTTAAATGATAAGGGACAATCGACAGATACCAACACCAAAGTGACACAAATGTTGAAATTATCAGATGACAGAAAGGCAACTAAAACGAAAATGTTCCAATGATCAATTATAAACACTCTTGAAACAACAACAACAACAAAATCTCAGCAAGAAAATATAAGACATAAAGAAGAATCATATAAAATTTTAGTTTGGAAAAACAAAATAATTGGAACAAGAACAGCATAGGGGTAACCATCCTCATGATTCAATTACCCCTGAACAGATCCCTCCCACCAGATGTAGAAATTATGAGAACTATAATTCAAAGTAACAAATACCTGAATTTAATGCAGCTAATTAATAATCTTGTTATTCTGCTAAAATGACCTCTTAGAATTGTATCTGCATGAATTCCTCTCTGTGGGCTTGAGTTCAAATCCTGTATAAATGAGTATTTTATACAATATTTCTTAGAGCTATTGAAAAAAATTAAATGCTATTAAATATCAAAAACAAAACATGTATTGGTTGATTGCTACCTAACAAACTACCCCAAACTTAGTGACTTAAAATAACAAAAACAGTTAATTTGCTCTTGAATCTGTAATCTTGTAGAGCCTTTTTTTGTTGGCTTCACCTACAGTAGCTAGAAGGTTGGGAACTAGAATTATCTAGAACATCTGAAAGCTCTCTCATGCACATGACTGGCCCCTGGGCTACAAAGAATCAATGAGGGAGGGCCAGGGATCTATATAGTTTTTCCATGTGAGTATCTGGCATGGCAGTTTCAGATTAGCAGGACATTTTGTATGTAATCTCAGAGCTCCCAAGATGTATGCTCCAAGCAAGTCAAGGGGAAGCTGCCTAATCTTTCATGATTTAGTATTAGAGGTCATGCAGCAACACATCTACTGTAGTTCCAGACCCACCCAAATTCAAGGGGAAGAAGTATAGACACCCCGCCCCCATCCCCATGTTTATTTACAAAACACAGTAATAGGAGAATATGACACAGAATACATTGGTGTGGCCCCATGGAAAATTCAATCTGCTACAGCACGTGTAAGTCCTTTGTCTAATATTGTAAACCATAAATTAGCAAACTACAGCCTGCAGGCTAATTCAGTCTTCTGCCTATTTTCATAAATAAAGTTTTATTGGCGTGCATTCATGCCCATGTATTTACATATTGTCTATAGCTGTTTTTGTGCTACAACAGCAGAGTTGAGTAGTTGTGACAAAGACCATCTGGCTGCAGAACCCCAAATATTTACTACCTGGCTGTTTGCAGAAAAAGTTTACTGAGCCCTATTGTACATAGTTGTTACATCCTCCTAGAGACTGCTCCCTGCCCCTCAGAGCTTCCATAGCACTTGCTCCATATTCTATTGGGTTCAGAATTATTTCCATAAACATCCAAGCTGGTTTTCAGCATGAAAGCTTTGCCTTTGATGTTTTCTCTGCTAAAAGTATTTTCATGTAGCTCTTGTAATGGGTGGTTCCTTCTCAGCACTGAGGTTTCAGAGCCTTGTCATCTCTTCAGAGAGGGTGTCCTTGTACATTAAATCTGAAGTAGCTCCCTGTTCTCCATCCGCAATTATTCTATCCCACTTTGGTGTTTTATTTTCTTCATTAAACATGTCACCACTGACAATCGTTGCGTTTAGTACCACCATGCTCTTCACTAGGGTAGAATTTGCACGATGGTAGATAATACATCAGGTTTTTTGCTTGTTTTGTTTTTTAACAGCACTCCTAGGACACTAGGCTTTCAATTAATACCAGTATAATTAAGCAAACATGTCAGTTTTGTTCCAACAAACTGAGTAGAGTGTTTTAAAGCAAATATTTATTACTTTTTATATGTTGGGTACTCAGCAGAGTAAAGGAAACATAATGAGTACGGTACAAATAGCTCCCAAGTACATGTCAAAATGACAGATCCCTTGAAGTCTACAACACAGTGAATTCTAAAGAACATTTCAAAGTCTGTAGCTTTTTCTCTGAACTTAACTTGTGCCCTCATTTGTCACAAGCTCCTTGAGGACAGAGACTGTGTGTCTACTTCTGGATATTTAGTGACATCTGGGAGTTAATGAGCATTGAGTACCTACCTGTCACCATATACAGATGACGACTGTAGCAAGACAATGGCCAGTGAACAAGGTTCAACCACAGTGAAAGGAGCAGCCCAAGTGAGGAATGAGCTTAGAAAAAGACCAAGAACAACTTCCTGGAGACCTCAGCAAGGTTTGGAAAATGTCAAGAGTCTTGAGTAAGAAAGAAGAAATTGACGAATAAAGGTCATGCGAACATGTTATAGCTCACATTTTATTATATATCAAATATTATGTTTAGGATTTTAACATATTATCCCATTTATTTCTCACATCAATCAGGTAATAATTATATCCTGCCTTAAGGAAGAGAAAACAAAATTCGAGAGAGAATTCTAACCTAGGTCAGTCTTATGATGATGATGATAGTAACTAATAATTATATAACAATTACTATGTACAAGACACTGCTCTGCACAATTTTTATGTATCATTTAACCACATAAGAAAAATACTATTATTAATCCTAGTTCTTCAAATAAGAAAATTAATGCACAGAGGGCAAGTAAATTTCTCAAGTTTGTTCAGCTCATACATTCCAGAGCCAAGACTCAAACCCAAATAGTCTGGTTCCAGAGGCCATGTTCCACCACACTTACTTACTCCCTAGGGCTCCAACATTTTTTCCTGCCTTTCACTTTGTTCTTACTAATATATTTACAGTCTTTATCATCATAGCCAACATCTGCATATGTGTCTAGTTTGGCTTAACCATAAAATATAGGTTGTAGGGGTGATACTGTGTGAGGACAGGTGAGTCTGGACAAGTAAGATAGGTTTATAATACAAAGGAACTCAAGTGCCACACCTGGAATTATTTTGAGATTTACCCAAAGGAAGTATAGAGCTATCAAACAATTTTTAGTAGCAGCCAAGGAGCCCAGAAGATAAACTTTTAATTGTTCGTTGCTTGATGAAAATGGTATTAAAGTGTTAGTGATAGACCAACCTAGATGTGTGGCTAGACTTGGTCACATGCAATGGACAGGTTCAGATTTTATTAAAGTGAATGATAATGTGTTTTTTGGAGAAGCCACCTAAGTCTGACTTTGAATCTCTGGTTCCATTAATTCCCTAGTCATGTAACTTTGGAAAAGTTGCTTAAACCTTCTAACCCCAATTTAAACATCTATAGAATGGAGTTAATAGTAGTTTCCAGCATCTAGGGCTAGCAAGATAAGTAAATGACTTTAAGCCAAATCACATTTACCTTTGATTGAACCTATTACCAAAATGGAAGTATCTTAAGAGATATCCTACAGATAGTAGGCAGTATAAATAAGTAAACTGAATAAAGACTGCATAAGTATTCTACCTGGTGTACATCATCTACCCAGTGGGAATATACCTCACATTTTTATGTTAAGATCACAAGAAAGTTTATTGGTTATTTGGCAAAGAAGGAGAAAACCATCTGGAAGAGAATGGCTCTTTTAAAAATATAAAAATGACAAATAATAAGAATAAAAGGGCAGAGAGGGGCCATTTTATTATCTGTTTTAAGTGAAAATTGGAAGTGAGACCCCCAGCTTCCAGAGCCACATCCTTTTCTCATCCCCTGTATTAGAGGAACTGGCAGAGTGGTCGTTCTGACTACATAATTAGGTCATGAATGATAATTAATCTTGGACCCTGAGTCAGTTCCCTGCCGGGACACTTCCTTTCTCAGTTCCAGTTTTCCATAACCCAGCCTGCCTCAGAATCCCAAACCTAAAACCATTCATTTTAGTTTGGCTTAATTAATTTCCCCTCCAAAATCTTGCCTCTTGCCTTTGCTCTTTGTTATGCTTCTACTGAATTTCCCCACTGATTATATTTATTTCCTCAGAGCCTGAAGGAAGGACAATAAAAGTGCAATGCTTCACTCTTCCCAACAATGCTAAAGGACATGGTGGAAGGCCCCCCTCCTTTTCTATTTGTGCTTAAAGTCTGCATGAAATTGACATTATGCATATGCAATGCACAATTTGGAAAAGACTGCCAAGAACAAAGACCAACAAATTGGCTGTGGTTTTATTTTAAGCTCGATTTTGGGTAAACAAGGTTGAACATGCTCCAGTGGTTCCCACTGCCACCAACCACATCTAAATCATTCTTGGTCAAGCCTTGCCGACTTCTGTGTTTAATGTAAAGGAGGTAGAAACAACAAGGTTTGGAGACTGACTGGAGAAGAACTGAAGATAAACCAGGTTTCTGCCTTTGTGCCGGGATGAACAATGCAGGCATTCTCTCAGAAGGGCAATGTTGGAAGAGAAGCTAATTTGAGAAGACAATGTTAATAGGTTCAATTTGGGGAATGTTGAGTGTGAGTTGCCTGTTGGACTCTAATAATCTTGACCCCAGTTCCCTCTCTTTAAAGAAAAACGTCTTGAAACAGATATTTATACTTAACTGTCTTAGGTCTGGGGTTCACGGAAGGAGACCCCAAGAGGAGGATGTGTGCTAAAGTGACTTAGGAAGTGTTTTTCTCAGGCAGATTCCCACAGAGGATACCTTTACTCAATCCCCCAAGGATCTAGAGAGGCAGCATAAATCACAACTGAAGAGGAGGGGGCAACGAAGCCTAGGGACTCTAAATTTGCACTTTCCTGCTTGGAAGTGTCTTTCCTTAGATTTTTGCAGATCTAGCTTCTTAAGATTTGGGTCTCTACTCACATATCATCTTCTATGGAGGCCTTCACTAACTACCTAATTGAAAATGGCTTTTTAGCCCCATAATGTCCATTACCATCGCCTCCCCCTAGAGCCACCATGATCACCACCAGCCACTGCTTTTGCTCTCCTAGCTTGCTTTAATGTTTTCCCCAGGACCTTGCATGGCTTGACATATATAACATTATATATCATAGACTTGTTTAGGGCAACTTGCCCCTCATGAATATAGGTTCCTGGAGATCAAAGACTAATGTGCGGTTACATCAGCAGTGTCTAGAACATGTCTGCCACATGGCAGGCATAGAAATGTATAGAATGGTTGCCTGTTAAAAGAATGACTAGTGAGGAATTGGAGAGAGATGGAGTCACTATAAAGGAACCATCTGGAGGAAGTAAGAAGGAAATTTAGGTAAGAACCCAGGAAAGAACTAAAGTTGCCCAGGGAGAGGGAAACCTCTCATTCTGATGCTGAAAATAAGAAAGTGGGGGTGGGAGTAGGCAAAGGAGAGATTTTTGAGAGATTTTAGACCTGACAGTTTCCCTTTTCTCTGTGAAACTGCAGTTACCTTAGACCTTCTGCCTGCCTCAGCCCCTGGTAAGCTCATTAAACATACTCTCAGGGAATTTTTACATTCTCTAATGATTCCATTTAAGAATCTTATTTTATAAGCCTATCAATTATTCCACCGTGTACCATTTATGCTTGATATTAAATGCCTTTATACCATTTTTCTGTGTTTGTTACTAGAGATTCAAAGGGGGCATGAGATCTGGAGTGGAGTCACGGAGCCGCTCATGTCATGGCCTGACTGCAGCAAGCCCTGCCAGAAGGCAGCCTAGTGTAAGGAAAGGAGTCAGAGGAAAGGCCCTCAATGCCTCACATTCTGACATCAACACTGGCACAGCTGTTTCTTGCTCATCACATTTGACCCCACAAGAAACAATATGCTTTAGAGGAAAGAATTTTAGAAACGAACGCAGAAGCCCCACTCCTGATGTCTGAGTGAACTCAGACAGTGATTCCTTCTCTTTTTTTTTTTCAACTTTTATTTTAGGTTCAGGGGACACATGTGCAGGTTTGTTACATGGGTAAATTGCATGTCTCTGCGGTTGGTGTGCAAATGATCCCGTTATCTAGGTAGTGAGACTAGTATCCAATAGGTAGTTCTTATTTGTTCTGATCAGCAGTTCTTCTGACTCTAAATGCCTGGTGGGGTAACCTGACCTCCATGGCCCCTTTGACTATGGGATCCTCACAACTCTATGACATGGTCAAACTTGTACTGTCAGATACTTTTTACAAAAAAGGAAACTGAGGCTCACAGATGTGAGACAACTTGCCCAAAAACCACACAGCTCCAGAGCAGCAGAGTTGACCCAAAAGCTCAGCTCAGTCCAGTTCCAAAGCTGGGCCTTTCACCCACTCTGCCGTCCTTCCCTCCATCCTCTCAGAAGTCCTGGGTGCTCTGAGCAGCAGAGTTCACAAGGGTGCTGCTGACTATCCGACAGAGCCAGTGGGGAGGCCTGTGGCAGAGGGGAGGACTGTCCTCTCTTACCTAGTCTGGGCATCTGCATCAACTGTCTCAATTCCTCCTCCTTGGCTCTGCAGATTTCTCATTCCACCAAGGCATGCCCTGCTCCATGCCACCGCCACTGGGGCAGTGCTTGTGTAAATCCTGTTATATGATCTGGATCTACATAACAAACCTGTTACATATGGACCCAAAAAGAGAGACGCTGGGAAGGAGAGAGAGGGAAAATGAAAATGACTTCATTAGCACACGGTGGGTTGAGATTCAAGGCCTCTGGGAAGCCCTGCAACCTTCACTGGGAATGGAGATTGGGGTGGAGGCTGGGAAAGCCTGGCCGTGGCCTGCCAGCACAGCGGGCTACACTCCAGTCTGCTACTTCATGTGTGAGTGGGCAAAATACTTCCTTCTCTGAGCCTCAGTTTCCTGTCTGTAAATAGGAAAAACAGTACCCACTTCACAGAATTGTAATATGAACCAGAGAAAAAAGCTTGCACAAGGCTAGCAGTGTGTAACATACTGTAGGTGTCTGATAAACGGTCTGTGCTTCAACTCATAAGAGAGGGCTCATTTGAAATGGCAATGGCAAGGGTGGGATGAGCTATTTGCTGTCTTTAGAAGAGGGAACATCTTCAGAGAGATGGCAACCCCTTCTTGGGGTACAGCATCTCTTCCCAGCATCTGCCACCCTGGCTGGACAAGACACCACTCCACAACCCAGGCAGGCAATGCCGTTTCCATGGTGATGGAGTCCCATGCTCAGTTCTGCTCTGGCCAGCCAGGACGCACAGAACACAGGTGGACAGCTCGCTGTCTGGAACAGAGATCAGGCTGCTAATGAGGAGGGAGGTGTGGGCCAGCCCACAGTCTCAGGACTCTCACTAACTCAGTGCATCTGGAAGTAACTACTTTACTTCAGTAGACCCCAGTGTCTTCATTGGTAAAATAAAAATACTAAAACCTGTCTCGAAGACTTATTTTAAAGATTAAACTAGGTTATGCATGTAAAATCACCAAGGGTGGTTCCTGACTGGTCCTTATCAAATGCTAGCTCTTTTCTTCCTTTCTTGTTATATTTTTAGTGGAATGAGAAGGAAGCGAAGAGCAGGAGAAAGAGAAAGAGAATGGTAAAGAAGGATGAGGGACAGGAAAAGAAGACAGAAAGTATGATAAAGGAGAAGAAAAACAACAATAACCAGAACAGCAAGAACAATAGCATTCAGTGTACCTCATGCATTTGGTGCTCCAGGGCACCAGTTTTTGTAATTAACAATCCTCATTGTATCTGTTTACTATTGCTGTAATTGTAACCAATTACCACAAAGGTGGTGGCTTCAAACAGCACAAATTAATTATCTTACAGTTCTAGAGATCAGAGGTCTAAAATGGGTCAGTAGGGCTGTGTTCCTTTGGAAGGTTCTAGGGGAGAATTCATTTCCTTGCCTTTTTCAGCTTTTAGAGGCTGCTCTCATTCCCTGGCTTGTAGCCACACCACTCCCTTCATCACTCTGAACTTTTCTTCTTTTGTATCTCCCTTCTGACTTTAACTCTCCTGCCTGACCTTTTTTATGTATAAGAGCCCTTATGAATATACTGAATCCACATAGACAATCCAGGAGAATCTCTCCATCTCTGTATCCTTAGCTTAACTCAATCTCATCTGCAAAGTTGTTTTGTTTTGTTTTGTTTGCTGTGGAATGAAATATATGCACAGGTTCTGAGGATTAGCATGTGGACTTTTTTGGGAAGGTCATTATTCTGCCTACTATATCCACACCAGCTACTAGATGGGTATTATCAACATTTCTACTTTCAAGGTTAAAATATATAATAATAAAAATATGACTCAGAAAAAGTAGGAAGCTCTCCAAAGGTCACACATATGTAAGGATTCAAACCACATTCTGTTCAACTCTGCACCATATGTTCTTTCTGTAGAATATACATGAAGATACTCAGAAAATGTTGCCTCTAATCCAAAAGGATTGGGTTGAATCATCTTTGAAATTCACCTTCTGTCTGATACTCTATGATTCTCTATTCAGGGGGGAAAAAAAAAGTCTTCATTATAGCCAGTCTTAACCATGATTATTCCTTCTCCTCTGGCTCTAGACTCTAAATCGAAGAGTCCTAAGGCATCACTAGAATGGAAGAGAACGATGGGAGTGAGCTTTTCCTAGGCAAGAACTTTGAGAAATGCATGACAAACCCTGCTCCTGCATATACTACCTTGGAATAATAAATACAAAATCTGCTTAAGATCCTGAACTATTTCCCATTGGGCTTCTCTCCTGGAAGCCCAACCACCAAAATCAATGACAATCATGTTGGCATTTTGCTAATTGAACCAAACAGGAGGTAACTGGTCTTGAAAACCTATAATGAAGTAATTAGTTACTCTATCAGTAAACGGAAATAATAGTCATAGATTGTTGAAGCTAGAAACAAACTTTTTGATTATAGATGGGGACCTGAAGCCCAACATGTCTGAACCACCTGACATAGCTGTGATGGGCAGGGCTGGGACTCACAGCAGGTCTCCTAGCTGCTGGCCTAGGATTCTTTCCACAGGACCACCATTTCTGGAAGTTTGAACATGACTAGGTGGTTTCTCCTAAAAACTGGAGCATCAGGGATGAAATGACAGAGACTGTGTAGGCATCACAGCCTTTGCCCCAGATAAGGGAAGGATTGCTGAAGAGTCTGGAATCTGTCTGCATCTGCGTTTGGGCTGGTCCTTGGGTCACATGTACTCATCCACACATTGTTTGATGGGCTTACCAGCTGGCTTGGCTTTCCAGGATCATTTTTTAAATTTTTCTTTTCAACTATAAAAATGCTGGGTTATGACAAACAATCATTTGGAAACCCTATGTTAAAAGTTAAAATAAAAGTAAATCATTCACCAAGATATCCACATGTTAATTACTCCTAATATTATGAAGAGTATATAGAATTTCTGGCATTTTTTCCTTCTGTGTCTACTCAACAGCTCTTTGGAGAAAAGAAACCTCCCCCATCACATAACAATACTAAAATATTTTTACGGCCTCATAATGGGCCTCACACTGTTAGCCTGGCCTCTAGTTGAGCACAGTGATTTGCTCTTTGCCTTGGCCACAGTGATCTGTTCAAGGATGGCCACGTGAATGAAGCCAAGCCAATAGAAGACCTCTCTAGGACTTTCCTAAAGCTACTGGATACTGGAAATAATGTTCTTATTCTAAAGCATGAAGTCTCTTTACTGGGTTGACTTCAGACTCATGTTATCATGTAGGGAAAGTCGGCCCAAATAAATCCAAGCTGAAACAAGCAGAGCCTGGATAGATATGGCGATAAAGAGAGAGAAGAAGAAAGGAAGAGGGTGGGGGGAAGAAAAAGGAGGGAGAAGAGGGGGAAGAAAAAGGAGGGAGAAGGAGGGGAAGAATATCACTACATCATTCTATTTGGATGACTAAACTTAAATATATGTAAAGCCAGCTCTTCCTAGTAGATTTTCTATTTATTTATTTTATTTATTTATTTTTTTTTTAATTTTTTTTTTTTTATTATACTTTAAGTTTTAGGGTACATGTGCACATTGTGCAGGTTAGTTACATATGTATACATGTGCCATGCTGGTGCGCTGCACCCACTAACGTGTCATCTAGCATTAGGTATATCTCCCAATGCTATCCCTCCCCCCTCCCCCGACCCCACCACAGTCCCCAGAGTGTGATATTCCCCTTCCTGTGTCCATGTGATCTCATTGTTCAATTCCCACCTATGCGTGAGAATATGCGGTGTTTGGTTTTTTGTTCTTGCGATAGTTTACTGAGAATGGTGGTTTCCAATTTCATCCATGTCCCTACAAAGGACATGAACTCATCATTTTTTATGGCTGCATAGTATTCCATGGTATTTTATTTATTTATTTATTTATTCATTCATTTTTGTGACAGAGTCTCGCTCTGTTGCTCAGGCTGGAGTGTAGTGGCACAATCTCGGCTTACTGCAAATTCCGCCTTCCAGATTCGAGCAATTCTCCTGCCGCAACCTCCTGAGTACTGGGATTACAGGCACCTACCACCACGCCCAGAAATATATATATAAATATTTTTTAGTAGAGACAGGATTTCGCCATGTTGGCCAGACTTGTCTCAAACTCCTGACCTCAAGTTATCTGCCTCCCTTGGCCTCCCAAAGTGCTGGGATTCCAGCTGTGAGCCGCTGAGCCAGGCAGAGTTTCTCATTCTTATGAGACAATAAATTGTCTTCTTGATTAAGTCAGTTTGCATATTTGTGACTTACAATTGAAAGAACACTGATTGATACCAAAATCAGTATCCAGTTGGTGTATCGCAGGTGGCAGATGCTAATATGTGAAATTGGCTGAGTTGAGGGAGGTTGTGAAGTGGTGAGAGGGCAAGAGTGCCCCAGCTCTGATGCAGAGATTGAAAGTCCTGTGCTAATGTGGACTTTATTTTATCTTGTCACTTCATGCTATACATATGAGTTTGTGCCATGCTTTTTTTTTCACCTACCACAATTATGGAGATAATGGCAAAGGTTTCTATTAATTGAACATTGAGCATTGTGTGCTGTGCATTATCCATGCATTCTCTCATTTTATCACCCCTGCCCTTTCTATTAGATGTGTGCTATGATAATCAACACTCATAATTATAAAGAAGTTAGAAAACTTGCTTAAGTTCCAACAGCTTAAAAGAATTCAAATGGTATAGTTCTAATCCAGAACAAGAGTTCTTATCTACTGGTATTTCTTCATAACCTTGTTTCTCTGGATTATTTATTCCTTGTAAACCTTTTTAACAGCAAAACACTGTCCCAGTGGAAACATTTAACAATTATTTCTCTCTTTTGAGTTGGGAAATAGAAGATTAAGAGATGATAAGACGTGGATCAAGGCTTCAAAGACAAGGGTTGGATCTTGGTGACAAAAAAGTACATCTTCCTAAAAGTCTTCATGGGGAATTCCCCCCATGCTCCTTCCAACTGGGTCCTGGTAATTTGTACCAATTTTCTTCATACTCATTCCCATTGAACCTGCACAAATAACGAAATGAGTTGTAACGGGAAAAGGGGTCTTCTATGGCTGGAGGTAGGGACGGGGTTTAGCCACTCAATAAAGTATGTTAATGCCTCCTGTATGTGGTTGGGGCTCTAGCACTGACCCAAGCCACAAAAACCCTCATCCTTATAAAGCTTACATTTTCACTCTAGTTCAAGTCACTCTTTTATCTCTTAATTTGAACCCCTGCTTCTACATTTGCCCTCCCATAGTCACTTCTCATACACAGACCAGAGGGGTCCTCTGGGCAAGCCTTTAGTGAGGAGGTGACATTTGAGTGGACACAAGGCTATGAGGGGCTAAGCCATGTCAGTGTGTAGGGAAAGAGCATTCCATAAATGTGTTCTGGCAAACATAAAGTCTCTGAGGTGAGGGACTGTCCTGTTTCTGAGGAAGAACCAGGAGCCCAGTATGGCAGGAGTAGAGCAGGTGAGGAGGACAATATTAGGAGGGGAAGACAAAGAGAAGAGGTGGCCGAGGGCAGATTCTGTGAGTTACTGCATGCCCTGGGAGTGCTTCAGCATTTGAGCTGAGGAGTGGAATTCCAACTTAGAGTTTAAGAGGACCCCTCTGGTCCATGTATGAGAAGTGACTATGAGAGGACAAGTGTAGAAGCAGGGAGTTCAATTAAGAGATAAAAGAGTAACTTGAACTAGAGTGATAATGTAGATGTGTTGAGAAGTAATCAGATCCCAGATGTGGGGAATGCAGACCAGAAATGATTTGCTGACCCATAGAATGTGGGGACAGAGAGCCAAGAATGGCCCTGGTGTATAAACAAAAGCATCTTTGTTTGCCCCTGCATGGTTAAGGTTGATGTGGACCATGTCCATGGCCTCCGTCTTCTCTGGAAACTGGAGGCTGGTGGCTGCAGGTGGTCCATGCCCTTCCCCTGCTAAAGTCATTTGATGAAAAGGAAGGTGATTTAAAGATATAGCCCTAGTAATTCGCTTTTCCAATACGTAATTGGTATTTTAGAGCATCATAAAGTTATTGGTCTCTAAAACTGTGCCTTTCTCAGAATGTTTTAGGTGAGTTCTACTTTTCTGCCAGTCCACTTTTAAATCTTGTTTTGTCAATTATTTCTCTTCTGTATACTTTACGTTGAGAAACATTGGAAAAATCTAAGTCACAAATAATTATTTAGATGATGACATAAATTATGGAAGATAACAAAAGAGTGTCTATATTAAATCTTTTTGGTATAGTAAAATAAGAATACGTAGAGAGACATCTGGGAAGATCTTAGGTATACACAATGGTTTTAACAAATGTCAAGGTGCGAGAGATTATGAATATTCTGTTTGATTTTTCTTTAATGAGAGATATGGTTTGGCTGTGTCCCCACCCAAAATCTCATCTGGAATTGTAATCCCCATAATCCTCACATGTCAAAGGAGAGACTAGGTGGAGGTAACTGAATCATGAGGGTGGTTCCCCCAGGCTGTTTTTGTGATAGTGAGTGAGTTCTCACAAGATCTGATGGTTTTATGAGTGTTTAGTAGTTCCTCCTGCATTCATTCTCCTTCCTGCAGCTTTGTGAAAAAGATGTCTGCTTCCCCTTTGCCTTCCACCATGATTGTAAGTCTCCTGAGGCCTCCCCAGCTATACTAACCTGTGAGTCAGTTAAAACATGTGGCCCCAAACTAGTTCACACCAGTTCTCATGCAACAGCCCCTCACAAGTCCACCTGCTTTCATGGTGCTCTAATTGTTTATAATGCAAGTTGTTTACAAATTTGATCATGGCCCTCCTGACTTGCATCTTCCAATGACTTCCAATTACTCATTAGATTGACAAATGGGAATTTCAAGTTGTTCAAGAGTAATTTGGAGAGATAATAACAATCACCATTATTGAGTGGCAACACTATGGCAACTAGCATGAGTGGGTGCTTTAGGGACATTATTTTTTCCTCACAACAGCCTCATGAGGGAGGAACTTTTATCATTAGCACTGTTCAGATAAAGAGATTCAGCCCATCAATCAGCGAGTTGATAAAGAAGTCATAGAATGAATATATATATATATATATATATATATATATATATAGAGAGAGAGAGAGAGAGAGAGAGAGAGAGAGAAACAGAGAGATTATATTTTAATTGGTTGTAAAGTTTCACCCTTCAATCTATTACCCCAACTACAATGGGAGCTCTTGCAGCCAGGACATGGCCTATGTACTTTTCCTCTTTAGAACCTGAGACAGTTCCTCTTATAGAGACATATTTATTAAATGGTACATGAATGAGTGCTTTGATATATTTATAGACATTACATAAGATCAGCCTCACTCAGGTGTATACGTGTTTTCTCGCTTGTTTTTATGTAAAAGAAAAAGCAAGTTATAGCAGCAGGGTAAAAATACTCATGTTAACATCTTTTCAGTTCTATAAATGGGTCAGATTTTGCTTTTCTCTGAGCAGTTGCCAATAGTAATAAAAATGCTTAGAGTTGGTCTTCCAATTCTCTCATATAGTATATAATATTATATCCACTAGAGGGTAATAGCTTCTATTTATAACTCTAAAATGTATTTAACATTTTCTGTTATAGTGATGACAGCTTTAATATTAATACTCTCTTAATGGGAAGGAAGGAAGAAAGAAAGGAGGGAAGGAAGAAAGAAAGGAGGGAAGGAGGGAATGATGGAAAGAAGAAAGAAAAAATGACAGAAGGAAAGCTTAGTAAATTCTTAGGACAAAAAAAGTCCCTGGGCCCATAAATATTTATTTATTGAGGTCAACTTTAGAATGTTTATCTTTTCTCTTAAATTTTATCATTCATCTAAACTTGTGTTTTGTCCTACTATTTTCAACTAACTAGCCCTCCAACTCCTTTTATTTTCAAAGCAGATGATCTCACATCCTATCTCATAAACACCTAAAATTTAATCTCATTACCTTCAAATTTATTAGGGACTTGTCTCATCAATTATTTGTCCCCTTTTCCAATATATTTTCCAATCTCCTTTCAACTAATTTCTATTCATCAAGAGGTAAATATTCCAGCTTTGCCCAATTAAAACAAAAGGCTTTTATTGCTCCATATTACCTTCCAGCTCCTGCTGTGTCTACCGATTACCTATCTCTTTATATTCAAAGTCTTAAAATAATTTTCTACTTTAACTGTCTCCTACTCATTACCTGGTCCACCTCATGTCACTAAGTCAGACACAGCCACATATGAATGCATTTTGAAATCAACGGACATCCCAGTCTTACTTTCCTAATGATTCAGTACTTTACCTATGTACATCTGTATCTGCAGAACAAGGTCTCCTCAGAGGAGCACATCTTTGGAATGGTTCCATCTCCATGAAAGTGGTCCCAAACTATGTCACACCAGGTCTCACACAACAGCCCCTCACAAGTCTACCTGCTTTCATGGTACTCTAATTGTTTATAATGCAATTTGTTTACAGGTTTGATCACGGCCCTCCTGACTTGCATCTTCCAACGACTTCCAATTACTCATTAGATAAATTCTAAAAGTCCCTGATGCAATATAAAATGCCCTCTAAGTTTTATCCCTGTGTGCTTCTGGAGCCCTTCTCCCAGCATCAAATCCAGTCATAATAAACTTCTTTCAGGTTCTCAAAACGTTAAGCTCTCACCCAACTCCAAATCTCACTGTGCTTCTACTTTTGCCTGGAACCCTATCTTCCATCACTCATCTCTGTCTAATGAACTCTTACTAGATATTTAGGTCTGCTTTAATGTCACGTTTCTAGGAGCCTTGTCTGAATTTCTAAGCTATCAAAAGTGTCGCTGCTTATATGGTCCCAAAGCATATCATTCTTCCTCTATAATAATACTTACTATGCTTCACTGAAATTTCACATTTAGTCAATTGTTTCTGCAGCTAGGCTTTAAGAGAAAAGAGTCTTGATTACTGTTATAAGCCCAGAATAAATTAGAGAGACCCACAAATTGTGGATTTAAAAAAGTATTTATAGAATGAATAAATAAATGGACAGATACTCATCAATTGGCTGAACCACTCACTATTTTAGGTGGTTGGTACAAGTGAGTGAAGGTCAGGAGCTCTTGACTAGAGTAGCAGCAATTTTACTTAGATTTACATTTATTATTGAACATGGGTCATACTCTCTAATATCTGTGCTAAATAGTAGCTGTTGTTGAATATTAATAATCTCTATTATCACTGTGAAGTCTGCAATAGGCTTTAAAATAATGCACACAGACATATAAATCTATGAATATATTTCTCACTTTCCTTCAAAGGGGCCCATTGTAATTTGCGTACTCTACATCAGGATTCTTTTTGTCCAGTGTTCCTCAGCTTTAAACCAACTTCTTAGTTTCCTGATCATTTAATGTTATTTCCTCTATCAGCAACATTGCAACTTTCCATCAGCTTTTCTCTCTTCAGAAGGCCTTCCTCTTACTAATTTTATCAGGTTTTTCTCCACTTCCAGATTTTATCCAACTGAAACATCTTCACTTCTCTATAGAGCTCCTTGAAATTGACATCTTTTTTTTTCAATTTGCCTTCTAGTCTAGCATAGTATTCAGAGCAGATAAGAATCTCAGGAAAATAAATGAATTAAATAAAATAATGAATGGATAGATATATGAAAAGACAGATGGTTGGGTAAAACAATAAATGAATGAAATGAATGAGTAAAATGAATGGATCTATCCCTCATAAATCTAAGTTTTGTGGAAGACGAGGGCACATACATCTGGCCTTATCTCACAATGTACAAGTAACCCAATAACAAGAATCACAATAGGCTAAAGAACTTCTCATAAGTCCACATGAGGGGTCTTCGTTCCACACTGACATATATTGCTTCTGCTTGAGAACATCAACAGCAAATACCATTGAGGAAATACAGCCTTCTCTCATAAAAATCTCATATAAAGGCAGGTACTGTTAGAATATAACTGAAGTGTTTTATTGTTATTGTCATTGCTTAAAGCATTGGATACATAACTATCTCTAACTCCATTCCATACTAAGACAGAGATGTTGCATCTCAAACATCTTTTCCTTGGGAAAAAAATAATCCAATAAAACCTCATACTTCTCCAAAACACAATGCTCTGGAAGCTTTGTCTAATAGAAGTTGTCCATTAGTGGACATCTGATATGGTTTGGCTGTGTCCCAACCCAAATCTCATCTTGAATTAGTTCCCATGATCCCCACATGTCATGGGAGGGACCTGGTAGGAGGTAATTGAATCATGGAGGCAGTTGCCCTCATGCTGTTCTCATGATAGTGAGTGAGTTCTCATGAGATCTGATGGTTTTATAAAGGACTTTTCCCCCTATTGCTCAGCACTTCTCCTTCCTACCATCATGTGAAGAAGGATTTATTGCCTTCCCCTTCTACCATGATTGTAGGTTTCCTGAGGCCTCCCCAGCCCTGTGGAATTTTGAGTCAATTAAACTTCTTTATGTTTTAAATAAATTACCCAGTCTCAGATATTTCTTCATAGCAGCATGAGAACAGGCTAATACAGAAAATTGGTACCACAGAGAGTGGGGTGCTGCAATAAGAATACCCGAAAATGTGGAAGCAACTTTGGAACTGGGAAACAGGCAGAGGTTTTAACAGTTTGGAGGTCTCAGAAGATGACAGGAAAATGTGGGAAAGTTTGAAACTTCCTAGAGACTTGGGGGGCTTAGAAGAAAGGAAGATGTGGGAAAGTTTGTAACTTCCTAGAGACTTGTGGAATGGTTTGACCAAAATGTTGATAGCGATATGGACAATGAAGTCCAGGCAAAGGTGGTCTCAGATGAAGATGAGGACCTTGTTGGGAACTGGAGCAAAGTTGACTCTTCTTAATTCTTTAGCAAAGGGACTGGAAGCTTTTTGTCTCTGCCTTAGAAATCTGTGGAACTTTGAACTTGAGGGAGATGATTTAGGGTGTCTTGTAGAAGAAATTTGCAAGCAACAAAGCATTCAAGAGATGACAGAGCATAAAAGTTTGGAAAATTTGCAGCCTGACAATGTAGTAGGAAAAAAACACATTTTCTGGGGAGAAATTCAAGCTTGCTGCAGAAATTTGTATAAGTAATTAGTAGCCAAATGCTAATCACCAAGACAATAGGGAAAATGTCTCCAGGGCATAAGAGACCTTCCCAGCAACATTTCCCATCACAAGCCTGGAGGCCTAGGAGGGAAAAATGGTTTCCTGGGCTGGGCCCAGGGCTCCTTGTTGTGTGCAGCCTAGGGATTTGATGCCCTGCATCCCAGCTATTCCAACTGTGGCTAAAAGGGGCCAAGGAGAAGCTCAGGCCATTGCTTCAGATGGTGCAAACCCCAAGCCTTGGCAACTTCCACATGGTTTGGGGCCTGTGGGTTCACAGAATACAAGAAATGAGATTTGTAAATCTTCATCTAGATTTCAGAGGATGTATGCAAATGCCTGAATGTCCTGGCAGAAGTCTGCTGCAGTGGCAGAGCCCTCATGGAGAACCTCTGCAAGGGCAGTGCAGAAGGGAAATGTAGGGTTGGAGCCCCCACACAGAGTTCCCACTGGGGCACTGCCTAGTGGAGCTGTGAGAAGAAGGCCACTGTCTTCCAGAACCCAGAATTGTTGATCCACTGACAGTTTGCACCACAGACACTCAATGCCAGCCTGGAAAGCAGCCAAGAAGGAGGCTGTACCCTGCAAAGCCACAGGTGTGATGCTGCCCAAGGCCATCAGAGCCCACCTCTTGTATCAGTGTACCCTGGATGTGAGACATAGAGTGAAAGAATATCATTTTGGAACTTTAAGGTTTAATGAATGCCCCACTGGATTTCAGACTTCCATGGGAACTGTAGCCCCTTTGTTTCGGCCATTTTCTCCCATTTGGAAAGGGTATATTTACCCAATGCCCCCATTTTATCTAGGAAGTAACTAATTTGCTTTTGATTTTACAGGCTCATAGACAGAAATGACTTGCCTTGTGTCAAATGAGACTTTGGACTTGGACTTTTGGGTTAATGCTAAGACTATGGCAGATGGTTAAAAAGGCTTGCTTGTGTTTTGAAATTTGAGGACATGAGATTTGGGAGGGGGCAGGGGTGGAATGATATGGTTTAGCTGTGTACCCACCAAAATCTCATCTTGAATTGTAGTTCTCATAATCCCCATGTGTCATGGGAGGGACCTGGTGGGAGGTAATCCAATTATGGGGGTGATTACCCCCATACTGTTCTGGAGATACTGAGTGAGTTCTCATGAGATCCAATGGTTCTATAAGGGGCTTTTTCCCCTTTGCTCATCACTTCTCCTTCCTGCTATCCTGCGAAGAAGGTGACTTTCTTCCCCTTTGCCTTCCACCATGACTGTAAGTTTCCTGAGGCCTCCCAGACATGTGGAACTGTGAATCAATTAAAACTCTTTTCTTCATAAATTTCCCAGTCTTGGGTATTACTTCATAGAAGCATGAAAATGAACTAACACAACATCTAACAACTGAAAATAGAACACCTCTCTACTATGTCAGAATTTGGACTTGACAACCTTTAAGATTATTCCAAATTTGAAGATTCTGTAATTCATTGCAAGCTCTGAAAAGGGCAATAGGAGAATTGAGTCTGAGAGAGGTGCCAGACAGGATGCAATCAGAAAAACAGAAACCATGCTAGGTATTTTAACAGAGAAAGCTTATTATTAGATCTGAGTTAAGTAAATGCTACTCAACTGAAAAAGCAAACAGGTAACCTGAAGATAACCCAGACTGCAACTGCAGAAAGCAGCTGTCATTCTTAGGGTTAGGGGGAACCGTCTGTTACTGTTATGGGAGTAAAGATCTATAGCTGAAACCACACTGAAAGGAATTACAGGCAAATAGAAAGAGTTAATCCCTTCTGTCCTGTTCTGCCTTCAAGTCTTGCTCTAACACTCTTTATCAGCAGATCCTAACAGCTGGCATACCAGAAATAGAGTTTGCAGGTTCCAAGCACCAGCATTAAGAGGACAAATATTGAAGGATGGATTTGATGCTGAGAGATTGAGAGATGATAGCTTAGTAAGTGACAAATATAGGAATCTTGCTGGCTAAAAATTTAGATGCTTAGAATTGTATATGGGAGCACAAAATATTCTTTAGTAATGCTGGGATACAGCAGTAGAACAGCTGAATAAGCAAAATGCAAATGGGAGATCTGGAAAGAAAAGTTAACCTTATATCATTGGAATGGTTTTGGTAGCCAGTAGAAAGAAACCCAAGTGGAAAATACCAGATTTTTGGAAATTAAAATGTTCATATGATTTAAGCTGTGTGTCTATATAAAAAAGCAATCTGCATAAAAGAGAGTAGGGCAGAATCTTGTTCTTTTCCTAGTGAGACAAAACAGATTTAAACCCCTTAGGAGCACAAATAGAATATTGGTTAAGGGCTGGGTCCCTGCAGCCAGGAAAACTTGGTGTTAAATGCTATTGCTGACTAGCCCTGCCACCTTGCACTTGTCTGTGTTTCCTGATCATTAATGTTGAGACACAAAACTACCTTCTTTTAGTTCCAGTGAAACAGGATAATTTTGAGGAGTAAATAAAATATGCTCTTAAAATGCTTAATAAGCACACTTAGCGCATAGCATCAATGCATGGGAGCCATTACCTCACCCCGTCCTACCTTCATCTGGTCCTTCCTATATTTTCTTCAAAAATTAAGAAGTTGATAGCTTAGGTCTTCTTTGTGGAAAACAGCATGTCAGGGAAAATTCTTGAATTAAGAAGGTTAGCTTCCTTCTTTGTTCTCTGCCTATACAACTGAGACCCCTGATTTTTCCCCAGCCTTTCTCATGAGTCTAGAATTGCCCAGATTCCTTTGACTAACTCTGAACTTTCTTTTATACCCATGGCCCAAGGAATGTTTTTCCCTGCCTGAAGATGGTACAAAATGTTCAGTCATGCCCTGTACTCCCTGAAAGGCTTCTGTAATGGGATAGACTGTCCTACCTCAAATCAAGCTCTCATTAAACCACATTAATTCATGAGTGAATTGCTATGCTTTCTTCAAAAATTAAGAAGTTCACAGCTTAGGACTTCTTACGGATTAATGAATCCCTTGGGAATTAATGAATTCACAAAACACCACTTGAGTTAAAAACAGATTAGAATAAAACAAAATATCCTTCTTCTTTACATTAACCCCAAGTTGATCTTCAGGTTAAAAGGGTACAACTGTGGCCATTCTTATGTTTTCTCCACAGATAAGCATTGTTAGTCTTCGCTGTTCTCTACTGTAGTTTGTATTCTTCTGTTTTCTTCATAAAGGGGTTGAGGATTGAGGAAATGAGCAATTAAATATTATTTTTTGGGTATTTGTTCCCAAGATGGGGAAAAAATCACATTCTGTTGATAAAATGCACAATGAAAATATATGAAGAAAAGCTCTGTGGAACCAGAACCAACTAAAGAATCTGATCAGAATTTTTTTTTTAACAAGAACAAAGCAAAACAAAACAAGCATGCATTTGCTCCATCTGTCACTGTCCCATGGAAAATAGGGTGGGGTTTACCCAGATTTAATTTGTTGACATAACGACATAAGGGACAACACTAATTTAATCTTGTCTTCAAAATCAAATAACGATTAACCACACTGAATTCTTCCCACAAATTGCATTACTATTTTTTATTATTCTAACTCATTATCCACAAGAGTCCTGCTTTTAAGGGCGGACTTTCTATTATGGGTTGTTACAATTGATTAAATGAGAGGCATCTAAAATGTTTTCTTGGAATCCCAATGACGTTGCTAATGCAGACTGAGATTTGAATAACTACAGCTGAAACTATAAACGGAAGATGAAAATTATGCCTCCAGATGTGGGGAGTGTTTCACAACACACATCATTCTCCTGCCTCTTAATCTAAAATAATAATAATAATAATAGATGATTCATGGTTTCAAAGCAAGTTTTTCCATGCTTAGAAACCACATTTTCATTGTGTGACCACAGTTTTTAAAGGATTTTCATCGGAAAGATAAAGAAGGGTTGATGAAGTGATAATTGCCTTGAGATAAAATGTAAATTTCATGAATTTTTTTCAAGGTTAAGATTTTTGCAATTGTTGGCTTTTTCTTCAGTTTATCTCACTCCTATATCTTAATTCCTATTTTCAGAGCCTTTCTCAATTCATGCTGCACTTTTATTGGATGATTTCATTCTTTGGGTACAAAACAATATTGAGGAAGGAATTACTATTATCCCTCTTTTATGGGTGAGGAAACAGAGGTTCAGAGAAATTAAACAATTTATTGAGCAAGGTCACATAACTAGCAAGAGACAAAGGTGGGATTGGTGCCCAGGCTGGCCCAATGCCAAAATTAATGCCTTTTCTAGAAACCTATATTGTCACCAGCCCTGATTTCCATCTCCTTGTTAACCTCAGGAAAGCTCCTGAAAATTTTGACATGCTTAGAAAAGATTTCCCAAGTTAATCTCCCATAGACTTGGAGGACAGAGGCTAGTTCTGGTTATTCTCTGCATCTGGAGAGCTTGGTACAAGGTTGGCAGCAGAGTATCCGTTCATTAGAACAGCTTTAACTGAGGGACTAGTTTCTCTATTTAATCTGCATTAATGGAGTCCTACTGGATGGGGAAGCAGGTAACAGAGAAGACCAAAGGAGAAAGGGAAGGAGGAAGGGATGGAGGCTGAAGAGAAAAACAAAGAGGCTTGAGAGGCCCCAGAGAAGGACTGGTGACATATGATGGCCACGAAACCCGCCCAGGTTTTAGTTGACCTCCAAGAGGCCTTTGCAGTAATAGAAGAGAAGAGCATATCTGAAAGAAATTATCAGGAGCAGAATGGCAGGCACAGAATATTTCTCCATTATCTGCTAGAGGAAAAAGAAATGTAGGTTCTTAAAAACAACTTGTTTTGTTCTACTCTCACACTGTTAAATTATAAATCCTTTTTCTTTTCTTTTTTGAGATAGAGTCTTGCTGTTGCCCAGGCTGGAGTGCAGTGGCATGATCTCGGCTGACTGCAACCTCCGCCTCCCAGGTTCAAGTGATTCTCTGGCCTCAGCCTCCCAGGTAGCTGGGACTACAGGTGCACACCACCACACCCAGCTAATTTTTGTATTTGTAGTAAATACAGGGTTTCACCACGTGGGCCAGATGGTCTCAATCTCTTGTCCTTGTGATCCGCCCACCTCTGCCTCCCAAAGTGCTGGGATTACAGGTATGAGCCACTGCGCCCAGCCTATAAATCATTAAAGCTAGACAGGCAAAATTTACCAATCTTAAAAAAATGCTATATAGCATTTATTTAGTTAATAGTCTGGGTCAGACATTCTGCTAACTGATATGCTTATATTACCTCATTTAATCCTCACAACAATTCTATGAAATAATTACTATTATTCCCCTTTGTACAGATGAATGGGCTCAGATAAGTTAAGTAACTTGCCCAAAGTCAGAAAGCAATAACCTCTTTTATTTTTGTTCCATATGTTATATATGTTACGTATGTTTATATATGTTTTATCCTCTGTAAAACAGTGATTATAACAGCTCCCTATTGGAGTTGTGTCCCAGTGAAAAGAGAAAATGTATATATGGGAACAGAGTCCAGCATACAGCAAATAACAGATCTTCACTCAGTCACTTAAAGCAGAAGTACAGATGTGGTTTGAATGCAGGTGGTTAAGGTCCCATGTGTTACAACAAAATACAGGGGTCAAAGCACTTGCTCTGGTTTATTCATCTGGATGGGTTATCTTGGCTTTTTAAGCTAGCCCTGTTTCCTTAGTTCTATATGCTAATATATAACAATGATAGAATGTGCCTCATGAGGCTATTGCTAATAATCAAATGAGGTTATGCATTTGGGTAGGTAGAATTCTACTATGCCCCCTATAATCTCTGCCCTCTGGTGTCATGTTTTTTGTAATCCCCTACCCCTGAGTGTGGAAGGCACCTGTGACTTGCTTCTAACTAATAACATGTCAATGGCAATGGGCTATCATTCCTGTGATTAAGTTCCATTATATAAGACAAGCTAGTCCAACTGGCAACCTGAGGACTGCATGTAGCCCAGGACAGCTTTGAATGTGGCCCAACACAAATTTGTGAACTTTCTTAAAATATTAAGAGAGTTTTAGTTTTTGTGTGATTTTTGTTTAGTGCATCAGCTATCATTTGTGTTAGTGTATTTTATGTGTGGCCCAAGAAAATTCTTCTTCCAGTGTGGTCCAGGGAAGCCTAAAGAGTGGACATCCCTGATATAAGACTTTGTTTTAGCAGAGCAAAAAGAAAGATTCTCCTGCTGGCCTTGAAGAAACAAACAGCCATGTTGTGAGCTGCCATGAAGGGGCCACGCAGCCAGTAACTACAGGCAGCCCCTAGGAGCTGAGGTAGCCTCCAGCTGACCATCAGTAAGAGGCCAGGGCCTTCAGTCATGAAGCCACAAGGAAACAACCTGAGAAATCTTGGAAGTAGATTCTTCCTTAGTTGAGTCTCCAGATGAGAATGCAGCCCAGGTGACACCTTGATTGCAGCCTTGTCAGTTCCAGAGCAGAGGACTCAGCTAAGACTTCTGACCCATAGAAATTGACAGATAATAAATGTGTGCTGTTTTAGTCTGATAAGTTGTAGCAATTTCTTATGCAGCAAGAAATAACCTAATACATACATATAAAGCATTTGGCACCGGGCCTTGTATGTATTAGTCTTCAAAAAAATACTACGGGTATCTTCTACATATGTCAATCAGTAAACATATGTTTACAGAGTTCTTACTTGTGCATAAAATATCTCTTTAAAAGACAAATGCATTTATTGAATTCATGCCTTCTATATAGTTAAGACAAATATATTTTTAGAACTTTCTAGTTAATGTCCAGAGTTACAGAACACTCTTAGGGTGCTAGATAGCTATATTGTAACAAGGTCTCAGAGACGCTGTGAATGCATAAGATTCAACTATGTGCCTAGAATATGAAAGGCCTCCAAATAAGGAGTGAATCTGTAAAGTGGATGGGTGAGACTGACTTTATATAATAAGCCATGTCATTTGTTTTTAGGCTTTTGTCATATTACTAAATGACAATTTTTAGCAAACTAAATGATAGCAGCAAACTTCAGTTTACCCACGTTTAGCCACGATACAATACACATATGCTTTTAAAATCCTCTCTAACAGCTAGTGAGACTTCAGCCTGAGACAAATTCATAAATATGTATTTTATAACTTGTTTGGTGGGACATTACAAAATGAAGCTAGCTTTATCTATCAGTTATTCAATCAATGGAAATAGAATACTTTCACAATACAGGCTGCTCCTGCTCTAAGGCTGCTGATGTTGGGGGGCTCCTTCTCTAAGGCTGTTGATGTTTGGAGGCTTCTCCCTCAGACTCCTGTTACCTCTAGAGAAGGGGATTACATGTCCATGGACACACTGACAAAAGTATTCAAAGACCAAACCAAAGAAAGTCTTCATCTTGCCATACACTAGAGCTCTCCTTGGCTACAACACTGAGTTAGGACTCCACTTACACAGTTTTTCCATACCTAGTTGAGCATTTTTTCATTATATTAACCTTGAAATAAGTGAGGACTAGTTTTTATTAACCCATGCATTCCTTCAATAAATAAGTCATTCAGTACCTACCCTATGCCAGTAAAATAAAACAGAAGAACCTAAAGAAGTTTAGTGACTTGACTGATGTCACACACTTGAAATGCAGGAGAGTTGGAACTCACACATACAGCCAGCTCTGTTGGTCTGTTCCCAACATGTCCTCTGGCCACAACAGCACTCACTTGTTTCTGTCATAATGATGTAGGATGCAGGAGCATGGATGAAGCTGGAAGCCATCATTCTCAGCAAACTACCACAGGAACAGAAAACCAAACACTGCATGTTCTCACTCATAAGTGGGAGTTGAACAATGAGAACACATGGACATAGGGAGGGGAACATCGCACACTGGGGCCATTCGGGGGCTGGGGGCAAGAGGAGGGAGAGCATTATGACAAATACCTGATGCATGTGGGGCTTAAAACCTAGATGACGGGTTGATAGGTGCAGCAAACCAGCATGGCACATGTGTACCTATATAACAAACCTGCATGTCCTGCACATGTATCCCAGAACTTAAAGCAAAATAAATAAATGAATAAATAACTTTCTGAAATTAGAAAAATAAATGCAACCTCAAGGGGAGCAATGACAGTTAGAATTAGTTCTGAAAGACAAATGATGCCTTGTTGTTCTAACGGGTTTTGCTTAGGACTGTAATTGTCAGGGAAGTACAGAGATGTGTACCAATCCCAATACTCAACACTTGATGACCCCACACTGTGCAATGGGGAGGCACTGACTCATTACCTAATTACATCCAACAGTCTTCAGATTGCCCAGTGGCTTGTGTTGATATTTTTGTTTGTAATTTTAAGTCTGCTATGAACTACTGCTCTTAAGTATACTTTCCAAATATGCCCTCTCAGAAACATCTCCAAATGATTGAAGGAAAAACAAACACCACCACTTATTTCAAGGTCTTTCCCATACTGTATTCCCAGTACTTGCAACCAGCTATACTAGCCACTAATTCATTTATTCAACAAATGTTGATAGATCACACTTTCTACCTGGGGGGCACAATCAGGATGAAATTGATTTCCACTGGGCAAGAATAACTCTCAATCACTCCCCCTTGTGTCACATGCATCACTCAGCACCTTCTCTCAGTCTTTGCTATAAACTGCCTTTAATTTCTGTTGCAAAGTCCTCACAAAAACACGTTTGGCTATTTCCAGATCTTGTACAGCTTTTGGCATACACGGCTACATTGACCAACTGAACAGGCATGGAGAAAAAAACAACCACTAAAGAAAGGACTCTTGAACCCATAGCATGGAAAGGTGTTGATGAGTGACTGTGAGCGTGGGCTGTGGAGCCAGGCTGCATGGATTTGAAACTTGGCTCTACCACTCACCAGCTGTGTGTGATCCCAGGCACACCCACTTCACTTCACCTGTAAAAGAAGGATAATAATAGCAATTATCTCACAGGACTATTGAAGGAATGACAAGAGCTAACATAGGTAAAAAGCTTAGAACAGTAGCTGACATTTGGTAAGCACTCAATAAATGTTAGCTATCATTATTATAAAGAATATTGAATATTTTCATCCAAATTCTATATATCTTTATATAGGATGTGAATTCACTTTTCATAGTAAATTTGAAAAAAAACTGTCTTATAAAATCTTCCATATCAGCTACCTTTGGGGGAGTAATTCCAAAGCCATTATCATAAACATGGGCTATTGTTTTATAATCAGGGCAAGAAGAAACAAATGTTGTTTTTAAAACTTAGATTTAAAACATGAATTAGTTTTGTTATTCTGACTCCTTCACCTCCCCATCGTGGTAAGTACAATTTGTTAATTCCTTTCCGTGTTTCTGTGCTAAGCTTTCTTTCCACTCTGATTACTCTTGGCTAGTTCTCGACCCAGACTGTCTATATTTGCAATCTGGTTCTTCTACATCTTGTCTATGAGAGCTTGGAGATGTATTTTACTCTCTGTCAATCAGTATCCTCTTATCAAATGGGAAAATAAGTTGGACCTACCTCTTAGTATTGTTAAGCTGGCACAATACTGGGCAAAGATAGGTTCCCAATGAATTCTAGCTATGACTGTTACCCTGAGATTTCAGGACAATATCTGACCTCATAGCTGTTCACTGAACACTTTTTGATGTTATGTTCTATGAGCAGCAGGAGCAATGACTCGGTGCTAGGACAGTGCAGGATGGGTAGCAAAGAATGCAAAGTGTTCCATGAAGCCAGAATATGTGTCACTCCAGACATGAAAGCCAAAACCCTCTTCCAGATGTTGAAGCACTCCTGCTCCAAGTCATTGCCAAAAAGCCAGGCCTCTCCACTTTGCTTGGCAATGAAGACCAATAATCCACCTTAATTTGGAAAATTCCACTCACGTTCCTGGTCTCTGGCTTTCCACATGTCCCCACAAGGTTTTATGCCAGCTCTGAGTTCCAAATGTTGAGGAGGAAGAAAGGAGGGAATGGAAAAAAAAAATAGGTAGAGGAAAGGTCGGAAATTTAAACTGAATTATTTGGTAATGGAAATTCCCTTTCAAGTCTCTTTCATTCTTTATTTGGATTCCATTGAGTGTGGGCCAAAAGAGAAAAAGGAAAGGTTAAATTCTCCTATCAGATCTGGCAAAGAATCTCAGCCAAGCAGCTTAAGGGACAGATTAGCTTGCCTGCAAAGCAAAAGTGTTGATACACAAGATGCCAGCAGGCTGCACAGACCCCTCCTTAGAGGCCTTGGCATCCACTGGCCCTGGGAGGGGCTTGCAGGAGGAAATTGGCCCATAGGCAATAGCTTGATCCTCAAGAAAGTGCAAAACATTCTCTCTGCCCAGGGGTAGAAGGAGGCTTTAGATATTCTCACCTTAACTAGTCGGATCTGCTTCCCTTTGAAGAATAAACTTTCATATCCTCCCCCCAGAGAAATACTCACAAGATTTTGCCCCCAACCTAGGGTTTCATGGACCTCAGCTATCCCACCCACAGACCTTGAACCCCTGTCTTATGAGATCCCCGACCTCTTTGAGAACATCTTACTAAAAGCCTTTCTATTTTTCACAGGCCTCTTTCCATCAGCCTTCACTAGAGTCAAAACCCTTCTTTTTAAACTAAGATCAGATCCAAAATTCAAAACATGTCTGGCTGTGGCCTGATGTGTCTGTGTTTAATTCAAAAAAAAAACTGGCAAGTTTAGTGGGGAAAAATAACCCGAAAAACCGATCCTTGGAGTAAATACTGAGCCCTACTATTATCTCCTGGAGTAAATATTGGTCTCTACTTTTAGCTCCTGCAGTCCTGGACTGGGTGTTAGGAAAGTCACTCAGCATTTCAGAGTTTTCAATTTTCTCATGAATAAAATGGGAATTTATTAGTCACCTGTCAACCTCTTCAGGTTTTTGTCAGGTTACATTTCCTGTTTGTCAAAGTGATTCTCCAATGATAAAAGAAACTATGAAATATGAAAGTTTAATGAGCAGCTATCACATGACAGACCCTGAAGATGGGGACATAGGTTCCTCCTTCCCTGAAGGGGCTCCCACGGAGTGGGGAGGTGGCTGAGGAAGGCAATGACCACAGTTCATTATGAGAAAGCATTCTGATAAAGGCTTGAAGAGGCCTTCCAGGGAGGATTCCATGCCTTCTGAGACAATCAGGAGACACTTCCTAAGGGAGAGAAGCATCTGAACTGTTCCCACTAGGGCAGTGAGAGGAGCCAGCTGGGAAAAGGAGGGACAAGATATTTCCATCAAGGGAATCAGCATGCTCAAACTTAAAGAGGAGAAGTGTAATAATAATGACTGCATGATATGGTTTGGCTGTGTCCCCAGCCAAATCTCATCTTGACTTGTAGCTCCTATAATTCCCATGTGTCATGGAGGGATCCAGTGGGAGGTAAATGAATCAGGGGGGTAGGTCTGTCCCATGCTGTTCTCATGATAGTAAATAAGTTTCCTGAGATCTGATGGTTTTACAAAGGGCCTCTCCTGCACACACTCTCTTGCCTGCCACCATGTAAGATATGACTCTGCTCCTCATTTGCCTGCCCCCATGATTGGGAGGCCTCCCCCAGCCATGTGGAACTGTGAGTCCATTAAACCTCTTTCCTTTATAAATTACCCAGTTTCAGGTATGTCTTTATTAGCAGCATGAGAGCAGACTAATACCCTGCGTATTTCAGCTCAGGCTGCTGATACGGACATGAGTGCTTACTGTGATGCTGGGAGTCTTGAATTAAAACACAAATACTGAAAGGACATTTCAGGGTCACGAAGTGGGGCTGAGGAGGAGAGAGTAGGGAACAAGTCCCCTCTCCAGTCTCCTCACCACCCTGAAAAAAGGCAGAGCTTGGCTGTTGAGAATATCGATTCTCTCTACTCCCATGTTTCCCTGTGTCCCCATGTCCATGGTTCTATTTAGGGGAGATGCTACAAAAGGCCACACTTCCTCAGTGTGTCAGATTCTTCCACCTGCCTTTAGACTCTCCAAATTTCAGATTAGAGGACATTTTTAGTTCTTCAAGGTCTTTGGGATCGAGCTCTTAAGCAAGGGACCCGGGTGTACATCAAGAAAGCTGAGCCTGCTTTCTGGCAGAGGAAAGCAAGCCTGTCATTCATGTGAAGAGCATCCCCTAAATGATCATGTGTCTACGTGCATGCAAACACTGGGGATTTAACAAAACCAAAGAAAAGTATTTGGAAGCCCCTTGCCAAATACTTTTCTCATTAAATGTTAAGTGTGTTTGTGTTTTAAAGGGAAATGTAATCCGTATGTTTCTGATGGACTTAGATTTAATATATCCAAATGCTTCATAGTAATGTCTACCATCCAAGAAGTTCTTGGAACTTGGATTTTAGTCTGAAATCCTCCTCAAAAATAGAAAGCTATAGATATTTTCTAAGAGAAGGAAGAGCATGAAGCAGGTGGGACAAACTTCAGTTTTTTGTTTAATGCATGGAAAAATAAATCTCCCTAAAACAAACTCATCTGTGACAGTTCTCACCTGCCCTTTCTCTTTGGCATTCACAGTTACCTTATTCATTGGGAAGTTGACCTCATATCTCACTGTCTAGGACAGTCCCAGTTAATGCCACTTGTCCCAAAATCATTGTCTACAGTGCCCATTTTTATTCTCCAAATATCCTGGTATGAATAAGAAATGATGTGATCACCCTAGATAGGGCAGAACTCTGACATGCCCATTCTCTCCTTCCTTCCCCTTTGAGATAGCCCGAATACAAATGTAACACAAGCCACAAATTCAAGCTACATATGTGACTTAACATTTTCTAGTAGCTATATTAAAAATAGTAAAAATGAACAGGCAAAATCAATTTAAATATATTTCATTTAACTGAATATATCTAAAATATTATCATTTCTAAATATAATCAACATAAAATATTAACAAAATATTTTACATTACTCTATTTATACTGTCTTTGAAACTTATGATGCATCTCAGATTGGACTTACTATATGCCATAACCACATACCACAATTGTCTACTGTACTGGACTGTGCAGTTCTGCTATGAATGTCTTCCATGTCAAGCTTTTTTACCCCATCTATGGTTAGTAGTTAAATTCATTTACAATGAGTTCCTGTACTTGTATCTTAGTATGTAAAGTGAAGATTTTCAAAGACTGGCTTTAAAACCCATCATCTTTCCATGGCCTTAATAACAGGAATAAAATCTAGTTTCACACTCAAATCCCAGGAATAACTTTGTATTCAAGGTGGTATCTTGTCTCCCCTTGAAATACTGAAATCCATTATTTTCATGGGGTAGCCAGACACATAGCAATGCAATTTTTAAGTGAGGAAGAATATATTGGCTATTTCAATATTTCACATTAACCTCAGTATACAATCAACAAAGGTTGTTTGCTCTTATTTTTATGTTCTTCTTGTCTGCCACCCTTTAGTGTCCTTTTAGGTCAATAAGATTCTTGGATTTTTTTTGTTTTTGAAGCCCTGCCCTAGGGCCTCTGCCATGCCTGCAAATATTAGACTCCTAGTCATTGTCCTAGGAAGGTATTTGGGCTCTGACTTCAACTCTCACTTGTTTAGGAACTCTCTGGCAGGGATTTCCTCCCCAACCATTGGGCCTGAAACATCAAAGGCCATTCACTGACATCTGCTACTGGAAATGATGGACTTTCTCCAAAAGTGCCATATTTGATTAGTGATACATTCAATTCTCATTTAAATTGAAGTTGTCACTTCCTTGTCACACTGGGCTCCTAAAAGGCCATGTTCACATATGTCCATGTGCATGAACACACACACACACACACACACACACACACGGTTAGTAATTAATGCATTTGTGTATTCTTTTCTTCTCTCTCCCTGCTTGTATTTCTTCCTTTCTACCTTTTTAGCATTTGCCACTAAGGCTGACATATAATATGTACCTGATATGGTTTGGCTGTGTTCCCACACAAATCTCATCTTGAATTGTAATCCCCATAATCCTCACGTGTCAAGGGAGGGACCCAGTGGGAGGTGATTGGATCGTGCGGGCAGTTTCCCCCATGCCGTTCTCATGATAGTAAGTTCTCATGAGATCTGATGGTTTTATAAGTGTTTGACAGTTCCTCCTTCACATGCTCACACTCTTACCTGCCAGCTTGTGAAGAAGGTGCCTGCTTCCCCTTCTGCCATGATTGTAAGTTTCCTGAGGCCATGTGGAACTGTAAGTCAATTAAACCTCCTTTGTTTATAAATTACCCAGTCTCTGGTAGTATCTTTATAGCAGTGTGAGAATGGACTAATACAGTACCCAATAAATAGTTCTTAGCTAACTGATATATCTGACAAATTTTAATAAAAAGCAAGAGGTTTTAAAATTTAAAAATACTCATAACTAAACATTTAAATACGTTAAAAGGCAGCTTTATAATTCCAGATGTCACTACAAACCAACTCAACAGGCTCAAGCCATTTCTAATCTGGGAAAGTCTAAAATAAAGCTAATTCTGTTAGCTTTTTAATGGGACAAAAATTACGGTTACTGTGAAAACTTTAACTTAGAACTCTCAGACTTGAGGATAATTAAAGTCACAGCTTGAACACTACAGAAATAACTATTTCAATTTAATTTACTATTGCATACAATGTAAGGGCTGATTACTTTCCCCTCAGCATTTTGGACTTTGATATAACTTCCTTTTTGTGAGTTAAATTTACTTAAGTGTCAATATTTTGCAATTCAAAGTACCAATTAACTTTATGTGTGTTTTTTCCCCTTTAAAAAAAGCAGCATTCAACAAAATTGTAAATGTTCTCTTGTTTTGCTTCTATCACACACTTTGGGCTTGAGTTGTATTTTGGAAATGTTTGTGTCAGGATAAGGCAAACTCAGGGTGTTCCTAGGTCAAAAGCTCTAATCATCAAATAAATTCATCACCACATTGGTTTTATTCTTGGACACTCACCCCTTTTACCTAAGAATGTAGTATAGCATATTCAAAAGAACAGGTGGTCTACAGAATACTGGGATTTGAAACCTAGATTTCTATGAGATGTTGGGCGAGATATTTTAACTTCTCTTAATCTCTCCAAATAATAATAATAATAATACCTATTGAATGCTTATATGCTAGGTACTGTTCCTGGTAATTTTCAAATGTTATCTCATATAATAATCATTAAAAATCCCATCTCTCCATTTTGAAGATAAAAAAATGAAGCTTAAAAAAGTTAAATAACATGCTCAGAATCACACAGCTAGTACAGAATAAAATCTGGATTCCCAACTCATCCAACAGTTTCAGTTCCACTGCTTTTAATCCCTACTACTTGGATTCTGTAAACTGATGGTGGCACCATTGTTAAGACACAGACTGGGAGACTTGATGCAGGGCATGCATCTGGCTCAAGCTTACTGTTGTCAGTGGACCATAGGTGCCCAGAGCTCTAACTCATCCTCTGTTTGACCTGTCAACCTAACATGAGTGACACAGAGATCAACTCTCCAAAACAAAGAGTTTATTCAGGAAGAATAAGGGATTGCATTTCTGGATATGTGTGCTACGGCAGACCATAGGCATATCTGAGAAGGCATAAGCAAGGGAAGCTTTTTTAAACTGTTTAATTTTTTTTTAGAGATGGGGTCTTGCTCTGTCAGCCAGGCTGGAGTGCAGCAGAACAATCATAGATAAAAGTAGATTCGACCTCCCAGGCTGAAGCGATCCTCCCACCTCAGCCTCCCAAATAGTTGGGATTACAGTGTGAGCCACTGTGCCCAAGGGGAAGCTTTTAAAGGCAAGACCATTGTTTACAGGAGATTTTCAAAGTCGCTGGTGTTGGTTCATTGGTGGTGCTAGCTGTTGATAGGTGAAGGCCTTCATAAAAGAGGCTTAACTGGAAAGTTCTGGTTGGGAAAGTCCTTTGTGGCAGTTCCTGTTACTGTCATACCTGTGTGAGGGCCCTTCCTTCATGGCCTCCCAGTTCCATTTTCTTAGGGTTTGACATGAGTGACTCCATCTTTGTACTGATAATTTTCACAGACCTGAGAGAGAATCACCCCAAACTGTCATGTTTATACCTTTCTATGTGGCCCAAATTTATACAATCCTGCAAAATAAATACTGAACCAGCCAGTAGGAGCAATCTGCTTACCAGGCAATCCTTCTGGAAACCTTGCAGGCTACAAGTCCCAAGACAGCCCTGTAGGCACAAGTCCTAGAGCGACTCACAACATCTGGTCGACTCCACATAAGGTTCAGAGTTCCCCAGGGGGCATCTCAACCAGTTAGCATAGCCAGACCCGGAGACAGGGGCTCCAAAACTCAGTCATCTCTGATGCTGGGAAGACCAGGACCTCCTGTTTCCCAGATCAAAAGACAGTATTGTTAACAGTCCGATCTTCTAACCAGGTGGACGAAGTTGAGCCGAGAGAAGCAGAGAAGAACAATGAAAAGACCGTCTCATCAGCTTTCACATTCCCAGAGACCAGACTGGACCCCTGCCCTCTATATTAGATGAACTATTTTAGTGTCCTTCCACACAAAACTTGCCTATTTTGATTAAGCAAATTCAAGACAGATACCTGTGTCTAAAATCAAAAGAATTTTTAAGAATGTACCAATGAACAATTTCATTCTTGTTATTTATCCTGGGACTGGCTTCCATAAAAAATTCATAGAGCAGAAGCTAATCGACTTGAAAGTTAGAACACTGGGAACAGTTTCCCATCTGCCCCTTATGAATTTCATGACTGTCAGGAAGTTATTTCATCTTTCTTGCTCAGTTTATTCACCCCATTTAAAATTGCAAACACACACATTCCAGAAGTCCCTACCTTCCTTCCCCACTTGATTTTCCCCATAATAATTTTTATTTCTAATATATTAACTTATTTTTAATAATATTTTATTTTATTATTTTATTTATTTTATTTCTAATATTTTTGGATATAAATTTCTAATTATTTTATTTCTAATATTTTAACTTATTTATTCATTTTGTTAATTGTTCCCCCCCTATATGCAAGTTCCATATAGATGCTTCTGAATCTCCCTGGTCCAGAATAGAATATAATACATAAGAATTCAATAGATATTTCTGGCAGTTGTTGTTGAATATATTATGTGATTTGATTATACCGTATCAGTGGTTGCCCTCTTGAGATCCTATGAACTCTGTGAGTTCATGAAGATAGTATTAGACAAGCCTCAGGCTAATTTGAATATGACTGAAAGCATAATGGAGATAACACATTTTAACCATCACTATGTTCCTCCAGCTAACATATCTAACATCTTATTACACAAGAGAATTTAATGCTTCTTAAAATTGCGTTTATTATTACTTTTCACTATTTTCATTAATTATCTATGTCTTTTGTTAATAAAAAATGATAATGTTATTAGTTTGACCAAAAGTCATAACAAGAGACAATGGAAGAAAGAGCTACAAAATAAATCTTTGGCGTGTGACAATTCTCAAGTTAATCTTCTCAAGCCATATTTTGTTACCTTAAAAATAAGTGTGGTATAAGATAGCACATATAAATAGCCTAACATGTACTTAATAAATACTAGCTCCTTTTTTTCTTTCACATGGTAGAGAAATAACTCTTTTCCAATCCTAGAATCCAGGATTCTTTGTTGTTGGAGCTGCACAAGCTGAGATGTGTAAGTGCAGTTTAAGACCAGAATTTCAAAAGATCATATTGTCCACTTAAGAGCTCTTTTAAAAAGTATAATAATAATAAAATAAAAAAAGTTCAACAAATAAATAAGGCTTAACAAATCTCTATTAAGCTATCATGAGTTCAATTCTTATTGAACTTATCGAACACTGCAAAATTGGCTCAGAAAAGACAGCAACATAGGTGAGAATAGTGCTTATATCTCTGATTCTCAGGAAAAGTAACCAGTGTGGGGCAATTCATTGAGTGGTTTATTTCTAGTTGCATAAGGAGAGACTGGGCAAAAGTGACAGACTGAGATAAAGTTTGAGAAGAAACAGAAAGAGGACACTGGAAGACAGAGTGACAGGGCAGGTAGATGACAAAAGCTAATTCCTTCCTTATGCTGAGGAGCCCCGTATCTGCATTAGCATTTGAGCAATAGAGGAATTAAACAAGCATATTCCCTCTTTCCCCCATTGGTTGCTAAGTGACACCCAGAAAAGAGGTCAGAAGAACACAACTTAAAATGGGAATCTTTTTAATTTCTCAACATTTCTCATGCTTCTTGAAAGTAGGAAGCTTTCACGGTTACCTTTGTCAAGAATCCCTGAGGCTATGCACGGGACATTAAACACAATAATAATAACTAGGAGCAATTCCTCTATGCCCAGATGTTACCTTAGATACTTTGCACATATTACCTTGTTTAGTTTTACCCTTCAAAAATTCCACAGTTTTCTAAATATTATTAGTTCCACTTTTAGGATGAGGAAGCTGAGCTTCAGAACAGCTAAGAGGTTTGATTAATCAAAGATAGGACAGGTTACATTAAATCAACAAACAGCCGCCAAATCTAAATGGTATTTTTTTACACAAAGTTCTTTCTGATTTGAATCCAAGGCACTCTCCAGAATAACTTTCCTCCATGTGGTGAGTTGAGACTCCAAGCTGATCACCATTTTGAATCTGCAATCTTAATGTGAGACCTCTTCAACAGCTATTTTGGCAGGAGAAGGAAAACAAGTGGAAGATCTCATACTGACAAATGCTTCAGCCCAGAAGTGGTAGGTGTCACTTCTGTTTACAGCCAATGGGCAGCAAAAAGCCCTCACTCAACTGTGATTACCCACAAGAGAAGAATTAGATATCAGTAAGTCCTAACAGAGGCTTCCCCAAGGCAACATAGGGAAAAGACAGAGTAGTAAAGACCCTATTTCAAGTGTTTTGATTCCAAATTCCTAGTTTATTGTTTTGTCAGCCAATTAAATAGGAAATTCCAAATGTATAAAAGAAAGATTCTCAAATATTGACAACATTTTAGAAACTGTACATGCTTAGGGAAGATTTAGGGCAAGTAAGAAGTTTCTTGCCACCTTAAATTATACTCTACTGTCAACCAAAAACAGATGTTTCTGGAACTACAGATGCTTCTGGAAGAGCCAAAAGGGAGAAGTCTATCACTCCTCAGTAATGCCATCATGGTCAGCTCAACACCACCCCAAATAAACAATCTAATGGTAAACATTACTAGTGTTAGTATTAGTATAGCCTGTATCTATTGAGCAATTGTGTCATAGCAAATGGTTTTGAAAATTCTTTTCACATATTGATTCATTTCATCCTTACAAGAGCCCAATGAATTAAGCATCACTATCAGCCTCGTTCTCATGTGAGAATAAAGGATGCAAGGATCAAGGGGTCAGGTAACCTAAGTTCAACCTGTAAGCCTGCTACACAAATACAGTTGAAGAAGCAGTCTCCGTCTTTGCCTTTTTACCAGATTGCTCTTTTTGGGTTCCTTGTGTATCCAGTTCTAGAGCTACCTCCATGCACAGTCATCTCTGGGTAGGACAAGTCAACACACCAAGTCTCAATAAGTCAGAGAAAGCAACTGGCCAGGTCCAGAGAGGTAGAAACTGAAGTTTAAAGCTTTGGCTAAATACCAGACACTCGGGTTACACAAACCAGCTCTCAGGACAACCCAGTGGAAAAAAGAACAGGAAGAAAAGAGCAAACATTTATGGAAACTTGTTAAACTAGCGAAGTGGGAGAGCTCAGCACTCTGTAGAGGATTCGGAACTCCAATGATACAATCCCAGCAGGTTCCTCCTTTTTACTTTTTATTAGCAGCACTGGTTGAGGCTCACTGTCAGCTGCAATAGGGCTTGTCTTCCCAGAGCATTCTCCTTCTCTGAACAGTTTTTTTTAATGGAAGAAAAAGCAAGAAAAAAATTTTTAAAAATTTGCTTAAAGAATTTACAAGTAAATTCTCCAAATATGAGAGCTTTTGAGTGATGAATAAGGACAAGTTATGAATCTTCTGTAGCCAGAACACTGAATTAGGAGCTTTAAGAATGTATGAGAAGGGACTCAGTATCTCAGCTTTCAATGTCCAGTAGTGTTAGGATTGAAAACAGCACTGGACTTAGATTTAAAAGATCAGATTTTTGGTTTGCTACCCATGGCACCACAAACAAATCAGTTAACCTCTGTGAGACTCATTACATTGTCTATTAATAGTGAAATATGCATCTCTTATCTCCTAGAATACATGGCATACATAAGAAACACAAAGATTTCATAATACCCCAGACCCTTTCTCTTACTTAACAGCCTCTGAAAGTGTGTCTCCTTCTCTTTTGAATGTCCTGTCCCATCCAGTCACCCTTCATATGGCTAATTGTATGAAAACACATATGATCCTGTATTGCAATGCCATTTTACGTGCCTGTTTCCCAACTCTGCTGTGAACTCCTTCACAACAGAGGATGGTGTCTGCTGTGAACTCCTTCACAGCAGAGGATGGTGTCTTGCTATGCATCATTGAATGACCAGCAAACATAGGGGTTGTGCTGAAAACGCACAGTGGGGACTTGTAATTCCAGAAATACTATGAACAAAACATCATAACACTGAAAATGCTGACTACAATATACACAAACTTCTCATTAAATTCATCAATGGACTGACAAAGAAGGAAAAATATGTAAAGGTCAAAACCTAAATGCACAAGGGTAACCCAGAAGGTTGAGCATAGCACTGAAGTCAGCTCGCATCCAGGGTTTGTTTACTGAGCTCCAGTGGTCTTGAGCACTAGTTAACAAGGAGACAATCCCCAAGGCTCACCCAAAGTAGGAAATCTGATAGGAGATTTCCCAAAGAGCTATGACTTTAATTTAAGACTGAACATAAAATGAATCTACCATCAAAATGATTACAAAAGGATGATCCTGTCACAAACTTTTACACCGTGTGGAAGACAAAAAGCTCTCTGAACATTCTTAATCATAAGTTGGCCTCCAATCAGGTTTATTGTTCCAAATCTCCATAGCTGGGTGAAAATTCCTATCTGAAGATTTGGTTTAGAGTATTCTCAAATTAGTGGAACAAATCTCCCCTGAAGGAATCAGGTCCAAATGAGGCCTCAAGTAATTCTTCAGATGAGGAATAAGAGGATAGAGCTCACTATCACCTCTTCCATTCAATATTTGTTGGGGGTCCCAACAAAATAAAATGGAATAAAAGTGATGAATAAAAACATTTCTAGAAAAAAAGAAAAATATTATTATTTATAGACTATATGATTATCCACACACAAAAAAACAAAATCAACAGATTAACCATTAGGCTCAATAGATATATTATCAGAAGTTCTTGATAAAATATGAAATATGAACAAACAGAAAATAGACTTTAAAAGAGAAACCATTTATACAATTAAGTATTTATGTCTGTTAGACGTAAATCTAACAGAAATGGGAAAGAGCTTTATGGAAAATATAAAACTTTATATTGAAAGTTATATATTGAAAAACATTAAAGAAGGACAAAATTTTAGAGAAGAGATATGTACATGGATAGGAAGACTCAATATTTATGACACTTCTTTCCAAATTTATTTATAAACCTATAAAGTCAATATAACTCTAAGAAATTTTAACAGGTTATTTTTAAGGAACTTGGCAAAATGACTTGAACATTTTATATGAAATAGCAACGCTCCAAGGACAGCCAAAACACTCCTGAGGAAGAACAGTTTGGGGTTTTATCTTTCACAATACCAGGCATTATTAGATGAGGGTAATTAAAGAAGGCTGGTGTTGGTGACAGAAAAATAAGTACAGAAGAAGGAAAAAGGTGGACAAAAACAGGACCACACATATATGGAAACCCGATTTATGACAGCCAGCACTGCAGATCAGTGGCAAAAGATGACCATTCAGCAAATAATCTTAGAGCAATTGGTTACTTATATGGACCAAAATAAAAATTAACCCCATCTCACACCACACATAAAATCAATTTCAGCTGGTTTAAATATTTAAATATGAAAATAAAAAATATAAAACTTCTAAAATATAATACAGGAGAATACCAGAATATCTTGATGACATCTGGGGAAGGAAGGGTTTATAAACAAGAAATAGACAGTATAAATCTTGAGAAAATGAATGATGTACTTTGTCAATGTTAAGAACATCTATGCATCCAAAGGCATAGTACAGAAACTGAAGTGACAAGTCACCAACCAAGAGAAGGTGTTTGGGAATATATCATGATGAAATTAGTATCCAGACTGTATATACATGTATATACAATTTATATTAATTGATAAAGACAAACAATTTAATAAAATAAAATGGGAATGTCCTAAATAAGCATCTCACAAAATTAGAAACTGTAATGACAAGTTTTAAAATATTCTTCACCTCTCTAGTAATCAAACTAATGCAAACTAAAACCACAAGGGGGGACAATTTTTTATCCAATAGATAGGCAAATATTAAAGACTAAGAATAACAAGTGTTGACAAGGATGTGAGGCAGACATTACCATGATAGACATGAGCTGGGATTGTAAATGGGCATAGCTACTTTGTGTAACAAGGCTACGGCATTATCTAGTTAGGTTGGAAATGTTCACATCCTGCAGCCCATCAGTTTCATTCTCTGATATCTACGCTGCAGAGAATTTTGCCCATGTATACCATCAATTTATATAATAATGTTACTAGAAGCACTTGTAGTAACACGAAAACAAATTTAAAGGAAGTAACTAAAATGCCTATTAAGAGTGAAATGGATAAGTGAATTCCTCCATATCTGTCCTCTTGCATAGTACTGAAAGAATTCATTACAGTTATGTGAACAACATGGATACATTTCAGAATACCACATTGAGCAAACAAAGCAAATAGCATAAGATCAATAGCAATGTGATTACATTAATATAAATGTCAAAAGCATGAGAACCCCCCCCAAAATTTATTGTTAACAAATGCAAACATAAATGGTATAACCATAAAGAAAGGCAAGGAAAGGCTCATCACAAAATTAAGAGTTGTGGTTGCCTCTGAAAGGAGAAGATGAGTGCTTTCATATGGTCGTCTTCACAGTATGGTGAGTGGATGGTTTATTTTGCTGTCATGTTATATAATGTATGCATTTTTCCAAACACCTCATGTTCTCACTCATAGGTGGGAATTGAACAATGAGAACACTTGGACACAGGAAGGGGAACATCACACACCCGGGCCTGTCATGGGGTGGGGGGAGGGGGAAGGGATAGCATTAGGAGATATACCTAATGTAAATGACGAATTAATGGGTGCAGCACACCAACATGGCACATGTATACATATGTAACAAACCTGCACGTTGTGCACATGTATCCTAGAACTTAAAGTATAATAAAAATAATAATGTATGCATTTTTATAATTAATATTAATATATATTTACTACATAATTATAATTAACAAGTTTTTTGATATTTAATATAAAAATTTAATGACACATTGGATAATGAATAAATTAATTACATACCTCCTTACATTGGAAATAATTAACTTATGAATTTCCCTTTACTAAGTATTTTGCTAATGCTACTAATAACTAATAATTACCAAACCATTGTTATGTAGCTGGAAATGAGTAACCAGTATTTATACATTATTTCTTTTAATCTTCTCAAACCTGTTTATATCTATGCCCGTTATATAAATGAGAAGACTATATGAGAAATTAAGTAAATTACCAAGGTTTCATAGGTATTGAAGCGGCCCTTGTTGGCGCCCTTGAGCTCACCAAGCTTTAGTTTTCAGTGTCTCATGCAACATTTAGATGCTTGGTACATGGTCAGTGGTCAATGTATTGGGAGCATAGTTTCTACTGCCAAGAAGCTTAAATAACCTCACTCAATGACCTCCTGAGATGAGGCTTGAGAAGGTGACCCCTGCAAGTTGCTGATAATTAGTGAAAATCAATAAGAAGGATGTTAACCATCTTGGGCACTATAAATAAGTCAACTCCAGGTGGGGAAGCAAAAAAACAAAACAAAAAAAAACAAACAAAAAAAAAACCAGAAACGTGTGGGTTTGTTTTGTTTTCTAAGAAGATTATTATTTAAAAACATACAAGACTGCCATTATGGGGAGGAGCAGAGGGAACCAGCAGGTATGGAGCAGTCCTTATGCATGACAGTCACTTTCTCTGTACTCTCTCATTTCATTTTCATACCCATCCTGCCATGGTATATTTTATTTCTTTCATAGGTAAGAAAACTGGGGCTCAGGCATTATTTCTGACTTACCCAAGCATGCCCATCTAGTAAGGAAGAGATCTGCATTTGAATCCAGGTCTGTCTTTCTCCAAAGCTGTCTTTACTCTGCCAGATCAAATCAAGAAAGAAACATCTTTGAGCCTCTGCTAGGTATCGGTCCCTCTGGTGGATACAGCATGGAGGGTGTGTGACATCTCATCCATATCAGCTTTGGTGTCAAATAAACTACATTCTGGAAATTTGATGCTTGATCTTTATACTTTTTATTTAGAAACTTATAATAATTAATAATAATAAGAAGAAAACCAATCTTACAAGATTGTCATAGTGAATCCAAAATAATATTAATTATAAAATTCTTGACAGCTAATAGGTGTTTATACAGGTTTGTGCTCTTACTCTTCCTACCTTTCTCTAGGTAGGAAATTAGTGAGCTGGGCTTCGATTTTCCACAGTAGCTGAGAGGGCTTTATGAACTGACTCCCCTCCTCTGGGGCTTCGTGTTCTCATCAGCACAAAGGGCAGTAGACCAGATGTCATTAGGAAGGACCAAGCCCCAAGGGCCACGGTGAATCAGGCTTCAAAAATGAGATGGCAAATATCCTCCATCATTCTATGAAGCAGTGTGAACAGAGAGCAGGGAAATGAATCTCATTCTATTCTTTTCTGAAACAACAGGAATACGAACCCTCACCACCCACCTCGCTGGGATCTGGGAAGGATTAATGAGACATAATATGCAGTGCTCCACTGAGAGCTATTACCATCTTATAGGGGGAAAATTCCCATTGTTGCCTGCAAACAAGACTGACAATTTGATGAGGTGTGAATATTTTTAGTGTAACAGTATGTAAACACTGCTTTTTTCATCCAAGTCATCACTGTGCACATACCCTTATGCATTTTTATGAGGCCATTTCTCTGCGGCTGTAAATAGTCTGTGCTTGCCCTTTTCCACGAGCTCGTAGAATGTGCCGACCAGGGGCCAGGCTGAACCTCTAAGCTGATTCCTAGGGCTGTCCACATCCTTTGGGAGAATGTTAATAGGCATATTCACATTTTGTACCAAAGTATATGCCTTCCTGCTGGCCTATACAAATTGCATCATGCAAGGACAGGGGCAAAAAAGGCCTCTGTTGGAGAAGGTTCAGCTATTTCATAGTGATAAATATGGAACGGCAACGTGATTACCAAAGCAGAAAAGCAGAAAAAAAGGCAGGATTCCTGATGCTAATTTCTGTTCCTGTCACACTTGCTTAGAAAGTCAGAAAAAAGCCTAAGTCTTCAAACCAATACCTTTTCAATAAAGAATTCCACCATTCATTCAAGAAGCATTAACTGGGCACTAGGTACTAGAGGCTGAGCCACGCACTAGGATATAAAAGTTAATACGACTTAGTTCTACCCTCCTGTGATTATATTTTAGTGAAGGAATTGACAAATAAATGACGACAATTCAGTGAAAAGTGTGCAATGCACAGATTTTCTTCCATCTTATCCCCCGTCCATCTAACCCCTAAAGCATCACCTTCCTCACAATACCCGATAAAGAGATGGTTTGTCTCATGTCTTTCCTGGAGGGATGTCCTTGGCAATTGTTTTTGCACGTTTGTTGTTGTTTTTGGTATTTTGTTTCGTTTTGTTTTGTTTTTTGAGACAGAGTCTTCCTCTGTCGCCCAGGCTGGAGTGCAGTGGTGCAATCTCAGCTCATTGCAACCTCCACCTCCCGGATTCAAAGGATTATCCTGCCTCAGCCTTCAGAGTAGCTGAGATTACAGGTGGACACCACCACACCTGGCTAATTTTTGTATTTTTAGTAGAGACGGAGTTTCACCATTTTGGCTAGACTGGTCTCGAACTCCTGACCTCAAGGGATCTGCCCACCTCAGCCTCCCAAGCTGCTGGAATTACAGAAGTGAGCCACCGTGCCCAGCCTGTTTCTGCATTTTGATATCTCTTTCCCAACCCTCTCTCTGCTGCTGGTTACATCTTAAATTCTAGGGCCATTACTGTCTGAGACCCTATTACTACACTGCCTGATAGGCCTGGGCAGTGGGGTGAATGAGGGGCAGGGCAGGGTTTTCTCTTTTGCCTCAACACTGCATTCCTTATGAAAGCACATTGCAAGGTGGTAACACATATCTCATACCACTGAGGGTGGCATGCATGGTGAGGTCAGAGTATATAAATCCATGCACTAAAAATAACAAATCCTGCCATATCCACCTCCAGAAGATCCCCAATCCAATCATTTCTTTACCCTTCCAGTAAGATCCCCCAATCCCAACAACTCATGATTATTTGTAATTTGGCTAAACCAATAGTTTCCTATTTCTCACACTCTACTCTTTTCCCCCACTCCCAAAATCAATTTCCCCTCAACAACCAGAACAACTTTTAAAATTATAAATTAGATCATATTCTGTATTATATAGGCCCTCCAATTCTTCTGTAACACTTAAAATCCAGAATCTTCACAATGGTCTTTAAGACCTGGTTCCTGCTGGTCTTTTCCAAACTCTCTCTTACTTCTCTCCCCCTTACTCTATGGATCCAAACTACATGGCCCTCTTTCTGTGCCCTAAAGATGTTCAGCTTGGAGGAAGAGCTCCCGCCTGTAGCTCCCAGCAAGACCAACGCAGAAGGCAGATGATTTCTGCATTTCCAACTTAGGTACCCAGTTCATCTCATTGGGGCTGGTTAGACAGTGGGTGTAGCGCAGGGAGGGCTAGCAGGAGGGTGGGGCATCAACTCATCTGGGAAGCACAGGGAGTCAGGGAACTGCCTCCCCTAACCAAGGGAAGTCATGAGGGACCTTGCTATGAAGGATGGTGCTATCTGGCCCAGATACTATGCTTTTCCTACGGTCTTCACAACCCACAACCCAGGAGATTCCCTCAGGTACCTACACCACAAGGGCCCTGAGTTTCAAGCACAAAACTGGGCAGCCGTTTGGGCAGACACCAAGCTAGCTGCAGGAGATATTTTTTTCCTATCCCAGTGGTGCCTGGAATGCCAGTGAGACAGAATCATTCACTCCCCTGGAAAGGAGGCTGAAGCCAGGGAGTCAAGTAGTCTTGCTCAGCGGAGCCCAACCCACAGAGCCCAGCAAGCTAAGATCCACTGGCTTGAAATTCTTGCTGCCAGCACAGCAGTCAGAAGTCAACCTGGGACACAGGAACTTGGTGGAGGGAGGAGAGTCAGCCATTACTGAGGCTTGAGTAAGTCGTTTTCCCCTCACAGTGTAAACAAAGCCTCCAGGAAGTTCAGACTGGGTGGAGTCCACCGCAGCACCATGAAGCCACTGTAGCCAGACTGCCTCCCTAGATTCCTCCTCTCTGGGCCAGGGATATCTGAAAGAAAGGCAGCAGCCCCAGTCAGAGGCTTATAGATAATGCTCCCATCTCCCTGGGACAGAGCACCTGGGAGAAGGGGCAGCTGTGGGTGCAGCTTCAGCAGACTTAAACATTCCTGCCTGCTGGCTCTGAAGAGAGGAGCAGATCTCCCAGCACAGTGGTCAAGCTCTGCTAAGTGGACCCCCAGCAAACTCCAGCAGACCTGTAGAAGAGGGGCTTGACTGTTAGAAGGAAAACTAACAAACAGAAAGGAATAGCATCAACATCAACAAAAAGGACAACCACACAAAAACTCCATCAGAAGGTCACTAACAGCAAAGACCACAGATAGATAAATCCATGAAGTTAAGGAAAAACCAGCACAAAAAGGCTAAAAATTCCAAAAACCAGAATGCCTCTTCTCCTCCAAAGGATCACAACTCCTCAACAGCAAGGGAACAAAACTGGACAGAGAATGAGTTTGATGAATTGACAGAAGCAAGCTTCAGAAGGTGGGTAATAACAAACTTCTCTGAGCTAAAGGATCATCTTCTAACCCATGGCAAGGAAGCTAAGAACCTTGATAAATGCTTACAGGAATTGCTAACTAGAATAATCAGTTTAGAGAAGAACATAAGTGACCTGACAGAGCTGAAAAATACAGCACGAGAATTTTGTGAAGCATACGCAAGTATAAATAGCCGAATTGATTAAGCAGAAGAAAGGATATCAGAGATTGAAGATCAACTGAATGAAATAAAGCATGTAGGCAAGATTAGGGAAAAAGAATGAAAAGGAACAAACAGAGACTCCAAGAAATATGGGATTATGTGAAAAGACCAAACCTACATTTGATTGGTGTACCTGAAAATGATGGGGAGAATGGAACCAAGTTGGAAAACACACTTCAGGATATTGTCCAGAGAACTTCCCCAATATAGCAAGACAGGCAAACATTCGAATTCAGGAAATACAGAGAACACCACAAAGATACTCCTCAAGAAGAACGACCCCAAGACACATGATTGTCAGATTCACCAAGGTTGAAATGAAGGAAAAATATTAAGGACAGCCAGACAGAAAGGTCAGCTTACCCACAAAGGGAAGCCCATCAGACTAACAGCAGATCTGTCTGCAGAAACCCTACAAGCCAGAAAAGAGCATGGGCCAATATTCAACATTCTTAAAGAAAAGAATTTTCAGTCAAGAATTTCATATCCAGCCAAACTAAGCTTCATAAGTGCAGGAGAAATAAAATATTTTACAAACAATAAAATGCTGAGAGATTTTGTCACCACCAGGCCGGCCTTACACGAGCTCCTGAAGGAAGCACTAAACATGGAAAGGAAAAACCAGTGCCAGCCACTTAAAAACAAATGAAAAAATACAGACCATTGACACTATGAAGAAACTGCAACAACTAATGGGCAAAATAACCAGCTAGCATCATGATGACAGGATCAAATTCACACATAACAATATTAACCTTAAATGTAAATGAGCTAAATGCCCCAATTAAAAGGCACAGACTGGCAAATTGGATAAAGAGTCAAGACCCATCAGTGTGCTGTATTCAGGAGACCCATCTCACCTGCAAAGATACACATGGGCTCAAAATAAAAGGATACAGGAAGATTTACCAAGCAAATGGAAAGAAAGAAAGCAGGGGTTGCAATCCTAGTCTCTAATAAAACAGACTTTAAACCAACAATGATCAAAAAAGACAAAGACGAGCATCACTTAATGGTAAAGGGATCAATGCAACAAGAAGAGCTAATTATCCTAAATATATATGCACCCAATACAGGAGCACCCAGATTCATAAAGCAAGTCCTTAGTGACCTACAAAGAGACTTAGACTCCCACACAATAACAGTGGGAGAATTTAACACCCCACTCTCAATATTAGATCAATGAGACAGAAAATTAACAAGGATATTCAGGACTTGAAATCAGCTCTGGACCAAGTGGGCCTAATAGACATCTGCAGAACTCTGTACCCCAAATCAACAGAATATACATTCTTCTCAGCACCACATAGCACTTATTCTAAAATTGGCCACGTAATTGGAAGTAAAACACTCCTCAGCAATTGCAAAAGATGGAAATCATAACAAACAGTCTCTCAGCCCCCAGTGCACTCAAATTAGAACTCTGGATTAAGAAAATCACTCAAAGCCGAACAACTACATGGAAGCTGAACAACCTGCTCCTGCAAGACTACCAGGTAAATAACGAAATTAGGGAAGAAATAAATAAGTTCTTTGAAATCAATGAGAACAAAGACACAACATACCAGAATCTCTGGGAAACAGCTAAAGCAGTGTTTAGAGGGAAATGTATAGCACTAAATGCCCACAGGAAAAAGCAGGAAAGATCTAAAATCAACACCCTAACATCACAATTAGAAGAACTAGAGAAGCAAGAGCAAACAGATTCAAAAGCTAACAGAAGACAAAAAATAACTAGGATCAGAGCAACTGAAGGACATAGAGACACGAAAACCATTCAAAAAATCAATGAATCCAGGAGCTAGTTTTTTGAAAAAATTAACAAAATAGATCGACTGCTAGCCAGACTAATAAAGAATAGAATAATCAAATAAACACAATAAAAAATGATAAAGGGGAGATCACCACTGATCCCACCGAAATACTAACTACCATCAGAGAATACTATAAACACCTCTATGCAAATAAACTAGAAAATCTAGAAGAAATGGATAAATTCCTGGACACAAACACCCTCCCAAGACTAAACCAGGAAGAAGTCAAATCCCTGAATAGACCAATAACGAGTTCTGAATTTGAGGTAGTAATTAACAGCCTACCAACAAAAAAAGCCCAGGACCAGATGGATGAACAGCCGAATTCTACCAGAGGTACAAAGAGGAGCTGGTACCATTTCTTCTGAAACTATTCCAAACAATAGAAAAAGAGGGACTCCTCCCTAACTCATATTATGAGACCAGCATCATTCTGATATCAAAACCTGGCAGAGACAAAACAAAAAAAGAAAGTTTCAGGCCAATATCCGTTGATGATGAACTTCAATGTGAAAATCCTCAATAAAATACTGCCAAACCAATTCCAGCAGCATATTAAAAAGCTTATCTACCACAATCAAGTCGGCTTCATCCCTGGGATGCAAGGCTGGTTCAACATATGCAAATCAGTAAATGTAATCCATCACATAAACAGAACCAATGACAAAAACCACATGATTATCTCAATAGATACAGAAAAGGTCTTTGATAAAATTCAACACCTCTTCATGCTAAAAACTCTCAATAAACTAGGTATCAATGGAACATATCTCAAAATAATCAGAGCTATTTATGACAAATCCATAGCCAATATCATACTGAATGGGCAAAAGCTGGAAGCATTCCCTTTGAAAACCAGCACAAGACAAGGATGCCATCTCTCACCACTCCTATTCAACATAGTATTGGAAGTTCTGGCCAGGGCAATCAGGCAAGAGAAAGAAATAAAGGGTATTCTGTTTGCAGATGGCATGATTGTATATTTAGAAAACCCCATCATCTCAGCCAAAAATCTCCTTAAGCTGATAAGCAACTTCAGCAAAGTCTCAGGATACAAGATCAATGTGCAAAAATCACAAGCATTCCTATACACCAATAATAGACAAACAGAGAGCCAAATCATGAGTGAACTCCCATTCACAATTCCTGCAAAGAGAATAAAATACCTAGGAATACAACTTACAAGGGACATGAAGGACTTCTTCAAGAACAACAAACCTCTGCTCAAGGAAATAAGAGAGGACACAAACAAATGGAAAAACATTCCATGCTCATGGATAGGAAGAATCAATATCATGAAAATGGCCATACTGTTCATAGTAATTTATAGATTAATCACTATTCCCACGAAGCAACCACAAAGATTCTTCACAGAATTAGAAAAAACCACTTTAAATTTCATATGGAACCAAAAAAAAAGCCCGTATAGCCAAGACAATCCTAAGCAAAAAGAACAAAGTTGGAGGCATAACACTGCCTGACTTCAAACTATACTACAAGGCCACAGTAACCAAAACAGCATGGTACTGGTACCAAAACAGATCTATAGACCAATGGAACAGAACAGAGTCCTCAGAAATAACACCATAAATCTACAACCATCTGATCTATGACAAACGTGACAAAAACAAGCAATGGGGAAAGGATTCCCTATTTAATAAATGTTGTTGGGAAAACCGGTTAGCCATATGCCAAAAACTGAAACTGGACCCCTTCCTTACACCTTATACAAAAATTAATTAAAGATGGATTAAGGATTGAAATGTAAGACCTAAAACCATAAAAACCCTAGAAGAAAACCTATGCAATACCATTCAGGACATAGGCATGGGCAAAGACTTCAGGACTAAAACACAAAAAGCAATTGTAACAAAGCCAAAATTGACAAATGAAATCTAATTCAACTAAAGAACTTCTGCACAGCAAATGAAATCTAATTCAACTAAAGAACTTCTGCACAGCAAAATAAACTATCACCCAAGTGAACAGGCAACCTACAGAATGGGAGAAAATTTTTGCAATCTACCCATCTGACAAAGGGCTAATATTCAGAATCTACAAGGAATTTAAATTTACAAGGAAAACACAAACAACCCCATCAAAAAGTGGACAAAGGATATGAGCAGACACTTCTCAAAAGAAGACATTTATGCAGCCAACAAACATGAAAAAAATGCTCATCATCACTGGTCATTAGAGAAATGTGAATGAAAATCACAATGACATACCATCTCATGCCAGTTAGAATGGTGATCATTAAAATGTCAGGAAACAACAGATGCTGGAGAGGATGTGTAGAAATAGGAACACTTTTATACTGTTGGTGGGAGTGTTGTGGAAGACAATGTGGTGATTCCTCAAGGATCTAGAACTAGAAATACCATTTGACCCAGCAATCCCATTACTGGGTATATAACCAAAGGATTATAAATCATTCTACTATAAAGACACATGCACACTTATGTTTATTGCAGCGCTATTCACAACAGCAAGGACTTGGAAACAACTCAAATGCCCATCAATGTTAGACTGGATAAAGAAAATGTGGCACATATACACCCTGGAATACTATGCAGCCACAAAAAATAATGAGTTTATGTCCTTTTCAGGGACATGGATGAAGCTGGAAATCATCATTCTCAGCAGACTAACACAGGAACAGAAAACCAAACACCGCATGTTCTCACTCATAAGTGGGAGCTGAACAATGAGAACATATGGTCACAGGGAGGGGAATATCACACACTGAGGCCTGTCGGGGGCTGGGGGGCAAGGGGAAGGATAGCATTAGGAGAAATATCTAATGTAGATTACGATGGGTGCAGCAAACCAACATGGCACATGTATACCTATGTAACAAACCTGCACATTCTGCACATGTATCCCAGAACTTAAAGTATTAAAAAAAAAAAAAAAAAAAAAAAAAAGATGTTCAGCTTGGTTCTATACCTTTGGGTTTATGCATTTGTTATTTTTTTCTATCTGAAATTTACTCCACCAAGACCTTCACTTGGCTGGCACCCTTATATCATGTCTCGGCTCAAATGCCCCCACTTAACTGACTATCCAATTTGTCCCCCACCCCCATGCCATGAGGTGCTAACAAAAAACTCACTTTTATTTCATCATAGCTATTGTCATGATCTGAAATTGTCATGTTTATTTCTTTGCATTTGTTTTTATTGTGTGCATTGCCCTACCAAGTTTCTAAATCACATTAGGAAAAGCATTTTACTGCCTTATCTACCCTTTATCCCAACACTTAGCACAATGTCTTCCAAAGGGCAGTGGCTCAATAAGTGAATATCCTGATCATACAAAAGGAAACTATAAGAAATGTTGATTGTTCAGATTTCCCAGACAACTTATCAATCTATAGTGCCCCACTCCAGTCAGAGTACCACCTTCTTCAAAGCCTTCAGTGCTGATGCCTAACTCCTATCCACAGGGCTGGTCTGGACCAGAAATCTGTACCCTGACAGTGCTTCACCTATTTGCAGAGACAGAACTACATTTTTCAGAGTCTAAGTCTTTCAGTCTAATATTTCAGCAAAATATTTTAACACCAATTCTGGCCCTATACATTTATCAAAACTGTTCAGCCCCTTCAAATTCTCTTCTCCCAGGAGAGGTGCTGCAATGCTCCCAATATGGTTTGAATGTTTTCTTGTGTTCTCCCAAGAGTCACATGTTGAAATCTGAGCCCCCAAGGTAATGATATTAGAAGAAAGGATTAAGTCATGAGGATCAAATCCTCATTATTGGGATTAGTGCTATTATAAAAGATGCCCAAGAAAGATCCTTGCTTTTTCCATCATGTGAGGACACAACAAGAAGTCGGCTTTCTGCAAGCCAGGAAACAAGCCCTCACCAGGAAAGATATTGATTGGCATCTTAATCTTGGATTTCCCAGTCTCCAGAACTGTGAGAAATAAATTTCTGTTGTATATAAACTACCCAGTCTATGATATTTTTATTGCAACTCAAACCAACTAAGAAACCCCCTCATTCTTCTTAATCACCAAATAAATAGATGTTAGGTCAAGAAAATATACAAACACACACACCTGTTAGGGGTAAGCATCAATTTTCAAACACAATACAATCTGAATCCATCCTAAGTAGAGGAATAAAAATATTCCTGGGAGCAGGAATATTTTCACAATTGTTATTGCTCATATTGATCATATCATCTTTCAACATTAGAAGAGCAATGGCCATTTCCCTTCAGACTCTGTCCTGTATCACTGGTGATGTATGAGAAACAAGGTGCAGTACAGAACCATCTACTCCCACTGGTCAACTCTTAACTACCAACAGGCCAGTAGAACATTTTACATTATTTTAATTTTGTTCGTTTACTCTTTGGTCCAAGTCACTTCTCTGGTAGATTGTCTTTTTGAGATTCCTAGACACAGAAGAAAGGCTGTGTAAGAATCCATCTGTAATTCTTGGAAAAGTAAGACAGTCATTTTTCCAGGGAGGGTCTTTCTCTCAGGTACAGATAACAGCTAAACAGAATGTTTTAGCTCCTTGGAGAAGAGGCCACTGACACAGCCCACGTGTGACAGGTGGATGAGGCAGAAATGAGAGAAGGTTTCCCAGGCAGGTGATCTAAGAGCCAGCTCTAAATAGTTTATAAGCAAAGAAGATAATTTCAGGCAGAATCTGCATGAGCAAAAGTCTGAAGGCAAGTCATAGCATGAAACAACCCGAGAACCCAGGGAATTTCATGCAGGTGAAGCACAAAGAGGCATAAGAGAAGAGTGGTAATAGATGTGTCTGAAGTGGAAACAACAACAACAAAAAAAGCACCTATCATAAATAACGTAGTAAGTAGTATAAGAAATCCAAACACTTCTCTGAAAACAAAGCAAAAGAGTGACAGGTTTTAAGCAGAGAATGGAACTTGGATTTCAGGATTTTGTTTTAGCACTAGAGTTTGCTTCGACCCTATGTGCCCCTCCCGTTGCTCTCTCCCCTCCCATTGCTGGCCTATACCTGAGCGCTGAGTCATTGCCAGGTGCTAGGACTTCTAAGAACATCAACCACAAATCATTACCTGAGAAACAGGCTTATGTTTTTGTTTTGTGGTTTTTTTTTTTTTCATTTTACAATGGAAGAGACCTAACTGAAGTTCCTAGTAATTAAAATAAGCAAATGCTACTTATGTAATGGATTATTAATTATCCTGCCTGTGCTTCTGAATGTCTTGTTTGAATAGATCTTGATATTTAGAGGGGAATTTTGGTGTCAGAGGTGCCTATCTTCTGCGTCATGCATGACTGTTGATCCTTTTCCAAAACAAATTCAAGTCTGCTGACTAATATTTAGATGATAAACTTGACATTTCCATTTCTTAGGTTATTAATCATGTGCTGTATCCCAACTGAGGTTTGCTTTAAAAAGTCCTCTCATATTATCTACACTTTCTCTTCAAGCATTATAGAAAATGTATCTGTGTGGAATGGGAGAAAATTTTTGCAACCTACTCCTCTGACAAAGGGCTAATATTCAGAATCTACAATGAACTCAAACAAATTTACAAGAAAAAAACAAACAACCCCATCAAAAAGTGGGCAAAGGATATGAATAGACACTTCTCAAAAGAAGACATTTATGCAGCCAAAAAACACAGGAAAAAATGCTCATCATCACTGACCATCAGAGAAATGCAAATCAAAACCACAATGAGAACCATCTCACACCAGTTAGAATGGTGATCATTAAACAGTCAGGAAACAACAGGTGCTGGAGAGGATGTGGAGAAATAGGAACACTTTTACACTGTTGGTGGGACTGTAAACTAGTTCAACCATTGTGGAAGTCAGTGTGGCGATTCCTCAGGGATGTAGAACTAGAAATACCATTTGACCCAGCCATCCCATTACTGGGTATATACCCAAAGGACTATAAATCATGCTGCTATAAAGACACATGCACACGTATGTTTATTGCGGCATTATTCACAATAGCAAAGACTTGGAACCAACCCAAATGTCCAACAATGATAGACAGGGTTAAGAAAATGTGGCACATATACACCATGGAATACTATGCAGCCATAAAAAATGATGAGTTCATGTCCTTTGTGGGGACATGGATGAAGCTGGAAACCATCATTCTCAGTAAACTATCGCAAGGACAAAAAACCAAACACTGCATGTTCTCACTCATAGGTGGGAATTGAACAATGAGAACACATGGACACAGGAAGGGGAACATCACACACTGGGGACTGTTGTGGGGGAGGGGGAGGGGGGAGGGATAGCATTAGGTGATATACCTAATGCTAAATGATGAGTTAATGGGTGCAGCACACCAACATGGCACATGTATATATATGTAACTAACCTGCACGTTGTGCACATGTACCCTAAAACTTGAAGTGCAATAATAATTAAAAAATAAATAAATAATAAAAAAAAAAGAAAATGTATCTGTGTGTTGAACCAGCTTCTTTCCCAATAATGTTCCCAGCAAGCCAGGTAAGGAAAGAAGCAATGTTTAATTATGTTAACCTGTCTCCATTCGCAACACAATTAAAATACATTACTGTTGTACAGAGCATGTGAAAATAGTGATAAAGAGTAATTAGACCATGTGGTATTTGACGTTCTGTTTCTGAGTTATTTCACTTAAGATAAAAATGGACTCCGGTTTCATCCATGTTGCTGCAAAAGTCAAATAACACATGTTCTCACTTATAAGTGGGAATCAAAATAAAGTGTACACATGGACACAGATCATGGAATAATAGACTGGAGACTTGGAAAGGTGGGAGGCTGGGAGGTGGGTGAGGGATGAGAAATTATTTAATGGGTACAATGTATACTATTTGGGTGATGGTTATACCAAAATCCCAGACTTCACCACTATCCACTATGCAATATATCCATGTAACAAATCTGCATTTGTATCCCATAAATGTATATATATTTTTAAAAAGAATAATTAGAATATTAATTTCTAAACTCGGAGACCCCCCATGTAGAGGAATGAGCATCAAACCCGGGATCAAAGACCTCCATTTGGACCCAGCTCTGCTCCTGGGTGTGTTTCCTGCCTTAGACAAGCTACTTCACATTTCTGAGCTCTTCACAAGCTGCATTAACGGGGTAAATATGAGACTTTCCATCAAGATTAAAAGCAGGCAGCCTGGTTAAGAGGTAATGCTGTTATTCTTACCATCAATACCATTACACTACTGTGTGTGTGTGTGTGTGTGTGTGTTTAAGAATGATTATTGGGGGCCGATTTTTAGAGCGCTTTTATTGTAAGCAGAAGTTTGGGGTTTGTTGATTTGATTTTGCCTTTAGTAGGCAAGAGTACTGCATTGGGAGCCAGACAGACAGGACTCACACTCACCAGCTGTGTGTCCTCAGCAAAGTCAGTTAATCTCACTTACCCTCTATTTTCTCCTGGGTAAAATGAGTATAATGATACTCTCTACCCCAAAGAGCTGTTACTGTGATTAAGAAGTCTCTGCAGTGTTTGACCTGTGCTAATGCTTTGCTGATGCAATACCTCTCTGAACCCTATGGAAAAGTTTTGCTGGCATTTTCCATTGGAACAAAGGAGTTACCTTCAAGAAAGGTCATCAGGATCAGAGAAGATGGGCAGTGACTTCATCCTTTCTGGGGAGCTTTCTCTGACCCTCCATTTGTTCATTAAAGCATTGCCTCAGCTTGCTGAGCTGCCCTGAGTGTAGGACTGTCTACACTGGGTTGCAATCTCCTGTTTGCTGGGTCATTTTCACAACTGTACTGAAAATTTTTAATCAAAATAATTGTATTTAAATCTCCATTCTCCCTTCAAGGCCATCCACATTTTCTAGAACATGTCCATAAATAGCTGACTAAGATAAAATTGAAGAAATAAGCTACAATAAAATTCTTATGACTCTATATGGGCTATAAGAAATCATCAGGATGTGTAATTATACATTTATTTCAAACAACTTTTTTTCAAGCCTAACTATCTATTAGACATCTTTGTGGATTTTAAACTGTTTATTGAAGTGGAGTTCATAAGCAATGAGAAGGAATCTTATAGCATATGAAAATCAGAATAGATATTTCAAAAAGAGTTGTGGACGCTCAGGAACTGGACACGTGAGAAAAAGAACCAACTTTGAGCCTTTATAATAAAGAAATGGAATGAAGTCCTCTTTGGATACAGGGAAAGAGAATACTAGAAACAGTGCATCTGGGCTACAAGAAGGCCTTGAACACCAGTCTAAAAATTTGACCATAATCAAAAAGGAGCAACTGCAGATTCCTGAGCAAACGAATAGCAGAGTAGAAGACGCCACACTTCACAGCTTCTTGCCAGTTACCTTCTCCAAACACAACCATTGAATAAGATAGCTCTCTTGCCTTGCTTAGAAGTTGATGAGTCTATGGAAATAATCTCCTTTGGAGTTTTCCTTTCTTTATTGCACAAGCTGATCTGTATTCTCTTCCCATCTGGTGGTTACTCTTGAACTACACAGAATTTAGCCCAGGTTTGGAACTACAACGCAAAATAAGTTGAAATAAAATTAATAAAATAAACCATCCCCCTCAAAAAAAAAAAAAACTTTTTTCCAACTTGACAACCCCAGCTAACTGTCTTCCTCCTCCCCAACTTCTCCTTCCTGTCAAGAAGTTGAGTATTGAGTACTATAAAAGCAAAAACCAAAGCAATCTGATCTCTTCTGGGAAGTCAGGGACATTTTGTTTTTTGGCTGTGAAACCGTGCTTAGACCTAAACAGAAAGTACCAAAGTCATTTGTGTGTGTGTGCATGTATATGAGAATGTAGGTAATATTTCCAGGAAAGGGTGATAGCACATATAAATATCCCAAGACATGAGAGAAGATGACTCTTAAAGATTTAAAGAATCAAGGAATCTTCAATAAATGTTAAGTGAGTACTTATTGTGTGCTACAACTTTCAGGCAATAGGAGAAATGCAAAAAATACATGCAAAGTCTCTAATCTTAGGAAATGTACAATAATAATAGACTTAATTAACAGTCACAGGCAATTGAGATAATATGAAGTCATAAAAAATAATCATGATGACAAATTTGTATGACTTATTTTACAGGTAGCATATATGCTTAATAGAGCTGAAAGCACATTATGCCTGTATATTATTTCATTTTCATAATAGCTCTATGAAAGAGATTTCATTTTTAATCCCAACATTATATATAACACCAAGGCATAGGAGTGTTAAGTGTATTGTTCAAGCTGATACCAATAGTAAATGATATATACTAGATTTAATCACAGAAATATGAGTTTGAAGTTATTGTCAGAAACATGTAATATATTCATTCAATAAATATTTATAACCTATTATATGCCAAGAATACTGGATTTTTTGGGAGACTGAGGTGGGCAGATCACTTGAGCCCAGGGTGTTCAAGACCAGGCTGAGCAACATGGCCAAACCCTTTCTCTACCAAAAATATATGGAAAGAAATTAGCCAGGCAAGGTGGCATGTGCCCATAGTCCCAGCTACTTGGAAGGCTGAGGCCGGAGGATCACTGGAGCCTGGGAGATTAAGGCTGCAGTTAGCCGTGATTGCACCACTGCACTCCAGCCTGGGTGACAGAGACCCTGTCTCAAAAAAAAAAAAAAAAAAAAAAAAGAAAAGAAAAAAAGAGAGAGAGGGAGAATAATACTGGTTTTGACATTGCCTTCAAGAAGCATACATTTTTGATTCTAGGACTGAGACACACAGTAAACCAAAACATAAATATGTTAATTATTTTAATCAATTTAGGTATAATTTAATGCAATAAGATATTTTGCTGTTACGTGTAAAATTAGAAGTTTTGAAAAATAAATATAGTCACACAACTGCCACTACCCTCATGATTTAGAACATTCCTATTACCCTAAAAAGCAACCTCATGTTCCTTTGTAGTCAATCTCCTACTCCATCCCAGCTCCTAGCAACCAGTAATCTTTCTGTCACTGTAGTTTTGCCTTTTGTTTGATAATTTCCTATAAACAGAATCATACAATGTGTAGTCTTTGTGTCTGGCTTCTTTTACTTAGCATAATGTTTCTGAGATTTATGCATGTTATTTTATGTATCGATACTATTTTCCTTTTCATTTATGAACATTATTCAATTGAGTAAATACACCACAACTTGTTTCTCCATCTATCAGTTGATGGACATTTGGGTTGTGTCCAGTTTTTAGTTATCATGAATAAAGCTACTATTAACAGAAAAATCTCTGTACAGACATATGTTTACATTTCTGTTAGGTAAATACCTAGGAGTGGGATTGTTGGGCTGCATAATAAGTGCATATTTTGCTGTATAAGAAAACTGTCGAATTGTTTTTCAAAGTGGCTGTTCGATTTTGAATTCCCATCACATTCTGCCCTCTGGACCTGTCTGTTATCCATCAACCAAATCCTTCCCAAGGTCCTCAATCTCTTCTATGTTCTAGTTACTGTCTTCATTATGCACATACCAGAAGATCAAATGGTCAGGTAGAATATTCTGTTTGCTACTGTTGCCCCCTTCAGACCTCCTCACTTGCCCCCTGCCAAGAACTCCAACTCCTCCTGAAGTCCACTCCACTTAATAACCCCTCTTTCTCCAACACAGCCATGTTGCTCTAATCCAATGCTCTCCTGATCACTGTTCCTTCTTCATTGGCGATATTAGCATCTGCTTTCCTGTCTTCTTCTCTATCATTATTCCTTTCACCATTAATTTTTTTTTTACTCAACAAATATTTTTAGAGGGTCTACTTTGTATTAGGCAGTTTCAGCTACTGGTCTATAGTAATAGAAAAATATATAAATAAATATCCCAGTCTTCACTTAGCATGTAATTTAATGAAAACCTGTATACATACATATATTTACAACATGCACACCTATAAATGTATACACATATGCACACATTTATATAAGTTATGGAGAAAAGCAAAGCTGGAAGGGGCTAGGCAGGTTATTTTGATAGGGGGAGGTAAATTTGTAATATACCATTTTTAATAGTATATTAAAGGAAGGCCACACTGAGAAGCTGACAGTTGAACAAGGTGACAGACGAAAAAGCAGGTCATGAATTTCTATAGGTAAAGAGATGTATTAGTCCATTTTCATGCTGCTGATAAAGACATACCCAAGACTGGAAAGAAAAAAGAGGTTTAATTGGACTTACAGTTCCACATGGCTGGGGAGGCCTCAGAATCATGGAGGGAAGTGAAAGGCACTTTTTATATGGCGGCGGCAAGACAAAATGAGGAAGAAGCAAAAGCGGAAACCCCTGATAAACCCATCAGATCTTGTGAGACTTATTCATTACTATGAGAGTATTATGGAGGAAACTGTCCCCATGATTCAAATTATCTCCCTCAACACATGGGAATTATGGGAATATAATTCGAGTTGAAATTTGTGAGGAACACAGCCAAACCATATCATTCCACCCCTGGCCCTTCCAAATCTCATGTCCTCACATTTCAAAACCAATCATGCCTTCCCAACATGCCCCAAAGTCTTAATTTATTTCAGCATTAACCCAAAAGTCCACAGCCCAAAGTTTCATCTGAGACAAGGCAAGTCCCTTCCACCAATGAGCCTATAAAATAAAAAGTAAGCTAGTTAATTCCTAGATACAATGGAGGTACAGGTATTGAGTAAATACAGCCATTCCAAATAGGAGAAATTGGACAAAACAAAGGGGTTACAGGCCCCATGCAAGTCCAAAATCCAGCAGGGCAGTCAAATTCTAAAGCTCCAAAATGATCTCCTTTGGCTCCATGTCTCACATCCAGGTATCACTGATGCAAGAGGTGGGTTCTTATAGTCTTGGGCAGCTCTGATCCTGTGGCTTTACAGGGTACAGCCCCCCCTCCTGGCTGCTTTCACAGGCTGGCATTGAGTGTCTGAAACTTTTCCAGGTGCACAGTGAAAGCTGTCAGTGGATCCATCATTCTGGGATCTGGGGGACAGTGGCCCTTTTCTCATAGCTACACTAGGCAGTGCTCCAGTAGGGACTCAGTGTGGGGGCTCCGGCCCCACATTTCCCTTCTGCATTGTCCTAGCAGAGGTTCTCCAAGAGGGTGCTGCCCCTGCAACAAACTTTTGCCTAGGCATCCAGGCATTTCCATAGATCTTCTGAAATCTAGGTGGAGATTCCCAAACCTCAATTCTTGACTTCTGTGCACCTGCAGGCTCAACACCACATAGAAGCTGCCAAGGTTTGGGGCTTACACCTTCTGAAACCATGGGCTGAGCTGTACCTTGGCATCTTTTAGCCATGGCTGGAGCAGCTGGGATGCAGGGCAGCAAGTTGCTAGGCTGCACACAGCATGGGGACCCTGGGCCCAGACCATGGAACTATTTTTTTTCCTCCTAGACTTCGGGTCTGTGATGGGAGGGGCTACCATGAAGACATATGACATGCCCTGGAGACATTTTCCCCATTGTCTAGATTAACATTCGGCTCCTTGTTACTTATGCAGATTTCTGCAACCAACTTGAATTTCTCCTCAAAAAATGAGTTTTTCTTTTCTACTGCCTCATCAGGCTGCAAATGTTCTGAATTTTAATGCTCTGTTCCCATTTTAAAATGGGATGCTATTAACAGCACTCAAGTCACCTTTTGAATGCTTTGCTACTTAGAAATTTCTTCTGCCAGATATCCTAAGTCATCTCTCTCATGTTCAAAGTTCCAAAAATCTCTAGGGCAGGGAAAAATGCCACTAGTCTCTTTGCTAAAAGATAACAAGAGTCGCCTTTGCTCCAGTTCCCAGTAAGTTCCCCATCTCCATCTGAGACCACCTCAGCCTGCACCTTATTGTTCATATCACTATCAGCATTTTTGTCAAAGCCATTGAACAAGTCTCTAGGAGGTTCCAAACTTTCCCACATTTTCCTGTCTTCTTCTGAGCCCTCCAAACTGTTCCAACCTCTGCCTGACACCCAGTTCCAAAGTCATTTCCACATTTTTGGATATCTTTTCAGCAATGCCTCGCTGTACTGGTACCAATTTACTGTATTAGTCCGTTTTCACATTGCTGGTAAAGACAGGCCTGAGACTGGGAAGAAAAAGAGGTTTAATTGGACTTACAGTTCCAAATGGCTGGGGAGGCCTCAGAATCATGGCAGGAGGTGAAAGGCACTTGTTAGATAGCCACAGCAAGAGAAAAATAAGGAAGAAGCAAAAGCAGAAACCCCTGACAAAATCATCAGATCTCGTGAGACTTATTCACTGTCATGAGAACAGTATGAGGGAAACCGCCCCCATGATTCAAATTATCTCCCACCGGGTCCCTCTCACAACATGTGGGAATTATGGGAGTACAATTCAAGATGAGATTTGGGTGGGGACACAGAGCCAAACCTAATCAAGAGAGTTCCAGGCAGAAGCAATAATAAATACCAAATCCTTGAGGCTGGAATATGCCCAAGGAATATGTTCAGAAAGTGCAAAGGCCAGAGTGGCTGGAGCACAGTAAGCAATGGGAGAATAAAGATGAGGTCAGAGAGATGAGGGACAAGTGCAACTGACTGGCCATGGTAAGGACTCAGAAGTTGGTCAAGGTGGCATGTGAAGCCCCTGTGCAGTTTTGAGCATGGAATCAACACGACCAGGTTCATGTTCATAAAGGTTTACTCCAGCTGCTCTATTAAATAAAATAATAGAAGACAGAAGAGCAGCTGACAAGTTATTGCAATAATTTGAAAGATACACAATTTAGGTGACAGTGTTTGGATTCTGTATATAATTTGAAGGAATAGCTATGAGGATTTGCCGAGTAATTAAAATGTGGGATACAATGAAAAAATAATCATTTACTTAGAAACAAAAAGATTATATTGATAAATGATAAATGAATTACTGAAAAAGATAATTCATTTATGCTCCAAGATTTGGAGCATGGGTAACCAGGATGGGGACACTATTAACTTTCACATTAGCTTTCACAGGCTGGCATTGAGTGTCTGCAGCTTGAGTGGAAAAGACAGCAGGAGGAGCGTGTTTAAGGAGTGAGATCGGGAATTCAGTTTTAGATGGCTTTTCTTGATAACTTCAACGTCTGTACAACTCACTCTGGATTCTTGGTCCCATGGCATCCTCCACCAAGGAATCTTACACTCCACTCCCCCTATGATGACTACTCCAAGGCTGTGGTTGCCATGGTCATTTCCTGGATCCTGTCATTGCCAACAATCATTCCACCTCCAAAGATCGATTTCAAGTATCTCACTTTCTGGTTACCACCTTGTAATCTACAGCTCACTCTTCAATGTTAAACTTGCCCTCTTCTTTGGCCCCACTGAGAAATCCAATCCAATGACCTCACAAGAGTGTTGCTATAGTTCTGTGCTCCTTTTCATCTACCCACACCTTTCCTTACCGGCCTTAGATGCCATGGTCAATTATTACATCAAAACCCTAGCTTGCTCACTCGGATCCCCTTTTCCTGCTTTTCCCATCATACTCCATGTCACAAAACCCTGGGGTCCTAGTAAATCTCATCTCTTTACTACTTTATTACTACACTTGAGTTCCAGGACATAACTGCTGAAAAGCTCACAAGTGTGCTGACTAGTGTCACTTTAAACTTATAAAGTCAAACTATCCCTGTTTGCAGATGCCATGATCTAGAAAACCCTATAGTCTTGGCCCAAAAGCTTCTAAAGCTGATAAACAACTTCAGCAAAGTCTCAGGATAAAAAATCAGTGTACAAAAATCACTAGCAGTTCTATGCACCAACAATTGTCAAGCTGAGAGCCAAATCAGGAGCACAATCCCATTCACAACTGCTACAAAAAGAATAAAATACCTAGGCAAACATCTAACCAGAGAGGTGAAAGATCCCTAAGATGAGAACTACAAAACACTGCTCAAAAAAATCAGAGATGACACTAACAAATGGAAAAACAGTCCATGCTCATGGATAGGAAGAACTAGTATCATTAAAATGGCCATACTGCCCAAAGCAATTTATAGATTCATGCTGCTCATGTTAAACTACCAATGACATTCATCACATAACTAGAAAATAACATTTTAAAATTCATATGGAACCAAAACAAAAGAGCTCGAATAGCCAAGACAATCCTAAGTAACAAGAATAAAGCTGGAGACGTCACACTACCCTGCTTCAAGCTATATACTACAAGACTGCAGTAACCAAAACAGCATAGTACTGGTACAAAAACAGACACATAGACCAATGGAGCAGAATAGAAAACCTAGAGATAAGGCCGCACACCTACAATCATCTGATTGTTGACAAACCAGACAGAAACAAGCAATAGAGAAAGGATTCCCTATTCAATAAAGGGAGCTGGGATAATTGGCTAGCCATATGCAGAAGATTGAGACTGGACCCCTTCCATACAGCATATACAAAAATCAACTCAAGATGCATTAAAGACTTAAATGCTGGCCAGTGCGGTGGCTCATGCCTGTAATCCCAGGACTTTGGGAAGCCAAGACAGGCAGATCACCTGAGGTCAGGAGTTTGAGACCAGCATGGTCAACGTGGCAAAAGCCCATCTCTACTAAAAATACAAAAATTAGCTGGGCATGGTGGCATGCACCTGTAATCCCCAGCATCATCCTGATACCAAAACCTGGCAGAGACACACACAAAAAAAAGAAAGTTTCAGGCCAATATCCCTGATGAACTTCAATGATACAAGTTTAACTATGTAACAAACATGCACATGTACCTCTGAACTTAAAAGTTAAATTTTAAAAACCAAAGATCCAGTGGTCACTCAACTTTGCTTAGCCACCCTGACTTACATGCTTAATAAATTTACTTTCTCATTCTCTGGGTGACCATTGTATATATTCTGTGATGTTTTCAAACATGTTAATTTTCCATTTCCCCATTTCAGGGAAATTCAGTATTTCCGAGAGAAATACTGTCAGCTGGTGACTGCATTTCTTATTAAACTGAGAAAACTTTAGCAGGAAGCAAGGCAAAATGCACAAGTACCGATAGAGACAGGGTGGCAGATTTGGTCTGAGGGAGATGAGGGAGCATTTTGCCTTGCTTCCCCCTAAAGTGAGTGAACATCACTGTGCCTATTTGGAGTTACTTCTTTGATCTGAATTCTGTCTCTTCTCACCTATTAAACAAGATTTCTTCTACAACTATTTTTTCTCTCATCACCTGAATCTTTACTGCCCTCCACCTGCTAGATTATTCCCAACTACATTCAAAAGTGCCATAATAAAACCCATCTTAACAAAAACATTTCCACTCACCCCACATTTCATTTAGGCCACCTCCCCATTTCTTTGCCTCTCTTAAAAACAACTCCTCAAAAGAGTTTTCTCGGCATGATTTCAGTTGCTTACTTCCATTCTCCTTTCAGCCCATCTCAAATACAAACTACCTCATCAAATCACTGAAACTACTCTTTCAAGGTTATTAACAATCTTCAACTTGCCAATTCTAGTGACCAATTTTCTGTTTCACCTTATTCCAAATCTCCACAGCATTTGACAGAGTTGGTTCCTTCCTCTCTCCTTAAATACTTCCTTCACTCGATTTTCAGGGCACCACCCCTTTTCCTACTCTTTCCTCCTAGCTCAGCAATGACACCTGAACAATCTCTTTTGCATGTCTATCTTGAAGTGCCTCAGGGCACAGTCCTCATGCTTCTCTCTCCATGGCCTCACTCGTGATCTCAGTCATGCCCCCAAGATTGTAAATACCATCTAGAGTAGTGCTCCCTTATCCACGTGGAGTATGTTCCAAGACTCCCAGCGGATGCTTGAAACCATGAACAGTACCAAATCCTATATAGACTATGATTTTTCTCATACATACATACCTATGACAAAGTTTAATTTATAAATTAGGTACAGTAAGAAATTAACAACAATAATAATAAAAAAACAAGTATAACAGTATACTATAATAAAATTATATAAATATGGCCTCTCTCTCTCTCTCTCTCCCTTCCTTTTCAAAATATCTTCTTCTACTGTGCCACAGGTAACTGAAACCACAGAAAGGAAACTGGATAAAATGGGATTACTGTATATGCTGAGTGCTCCCAAGCACCAAAATGATGAGTCTCATTGCCCCCAGGAGTCCCCAAATGGATGTTTAGTGGGCATCTCAGTCTGAACAAGGTCAGAACAGAACTCTTGATTTCTCACCACCACTACCCCATCCCTCCACACACACATATTCAAACCTCCTGTGTTTGCTCCCAGTTTTCTTTTAATACATGGCAACAGTACTTCTCAGTTGCTTTATTAGTTTGCTACTGTTGCCATCACAAAATACCACAGATTGGTGGCTTAACAAAGAGATTTATTTGCTCTTGATTCTGAGGCTAGGAACTCAAGATCAAGATGTTTGCCCTTTTAGTTCTTCTGAGACCTCTCTCCTGGGCTTGCAGACAGTGGACTTCTCCTTGTGCACACATTGTCATCTCTCTGTGCACACACACATGTGTCTGGTGTCTTTCTGTGTGTACAAATGTCCTTTCTGTATAAGGATTGTCAGTCATATTGGATTAGGGTCCACCTTAAAGGCTTCATTTTAACTTAATTACCTCTTGAAAGACCTTGTCTCCAAATATAGTCACATCCTGAGGTACTGTGGCTAGAACCTCAACATATAAATGCTGGACATGGGGAGATACATAATTTGATCAATAACAGTTGCTCAATCCAAAACTTCAGATGACATTCCTGTTTCTCTCTTTTCCTACTTAATATATCAATGAATCCTTTTGATCTAGCTTAAAGCATGTCTGAAATTTGATCAGACACAATCTGTCCTTCTAGAACCTAGATACTAGAGTCTCCCCAGAACTGGTATCCATATTTCCAAACTTGCCCACACAGTAGTTACAGGGAAAAATAAACACATTAATTCATTACTTCAGTGGCTTCCTGATGCACTACGAATAAAATCCAAACCCCTTACATTTGTCCACATGATCCAGCCCCTGCCTCTCCCTCCTATCTCAGCAACCATGTGTCTATCCTTGATTTCCACGTTCTAGCCACACTGTGCTTCTTGCCATCTTTATACACACCATCTTAACTCCAGCATCAGACATGTTACATTTTCCAATTTCTCTGACTGAAACACTAGTCCCCTATATCTCTACCTCCCAGTGATGCTCCATCCCTTTACCCCACTCTATTTTCTTCAGGGTTCATGTCACTCTCTGAATTATGTTTAGTTATCCATTGCCTGTCTCTGCAACTAAAATGTAAAGTCTGAGATGGCACAGACCTTGCTGCTTTGTCTACTGTTATATTTGCAGTGCTTAGAGTATAATCACGTATAGTACATGCTCAACACTTAGTGAGTACATAGATCAATGGATAAGTGAATATTATTTTTACCACCAGTTTGCAGTTTTAAAAATGGACGCTGAGACATTTTGAGCAAGTTGCCCGAGGTCATATGGCTCTAAATGGTCACTGCAGAGCCACTTACTTTAAATCCGCATCTTGTGTGTTCTTATCACAACACACTGTCTAGTTGGGACTTAGAACAGTCATCGGAATTAAAGTTTAAAAATAATTGGAAGATTTAATATTAAATTTTTGTCACTTTAACTTGCTCTTATGTCATCTTGTGACAGCCAGATGTGTTCTTCCACAGTACCAGAATGGAGACATGTAACTTACGCTCCCCCTACTCAGAAAACAAACACAGCAGAAACCACACCTTCCAGAGAAAAGCAGATGTACAGAGACTGTGAGAAAATCATTGATTTTTCGGCCCAGCGTGGTGGCTCACGCCTGTAATCCCAGCACTTTGGGAGGCCGAGGCAGGCGGATCACGAGGTCAGGAGATCAAGACTATCCTGGCCAACATGGTGAAACCCCGTCTCTACTAAAAATACAAAAATTAGCTGGGTGTGGTGGTGCATGCCTGTAATCCCAGCTACTTGGGAGGCTGAGGCAGGAGAATCGCTTGAACCAGGGAGGCAGAGGTTGCAGTGAACAGAGATTGCACCACAGCACTCTAGCCTGGTGACAAAGTAAGATGCTGTCTCAAAAAAAAAAAAAAAGAAAAAAAGAAAATCATTCATTTTTCCCTTAGTGTCCTGTCCAAAAAAATGAAGGAACTTTTAATAGTGAGGAAATTTTTCCTGGCTTCACATCTGCTATTGTTTTCAAAAATTTTTTGTTGTTGTTGTTGTTTTAGATAAGCTCATAGACTCTCAGTTGTATTGCTTTTCACCACAACATTTTAAAGTTTAGATTTTACTTCTGTGAGTGGCTGAAGTAACAGAAATTTATTATCTCCCAATCCTGGAGGCTACAAGTCTAAGATCAAGGTGTTAGCAGGGTTGGTTCCTCCTGATGACTGCGAGAAAGAATTTGTTCCATGGCATTCTGCCTGTGTATGTGTCTGTCTCCAAATTTCCCCTTTTTAAAAGAACTCTACTCGTATTGAATTCACGCCCACCTTCATAATGTCATTTTGACTTGATTACCTCTGTAAACATCCTATCGCAAAATAAGGTTATAGCTTGAGGTACTGGGATTTAAAACGTCAACATATGAATGTTGGGGTGGGGGCCGGGGGTACCATTCAGCCATTAACAATTCTTACAGGTACTCTAATGAATCATATATTCCATTGCCAGAAAATTGTAAAAGGAACAAAGCAACCTCTTTTACGATATCCTCAAACTCACCATTTCTGGAAAGAAAGGGGGAGCAGATAAAAAAATAATACACTCACTGAGAACATACTATTACTTCATTATGTAATTCAATTTCATTGAATTAATTTCAAATCAATGTTATCTAATGAATTCATTACATTTTCTTATTCTACTCTTAAAACATTCAGGTGAATAATATTCCTACTTGACAAAGAAAGGTATTAAGATAAAGATAGGCAAAATGAAATATTTGTTGTCAACATAATGGAAAAGTTTTGATGTCTTGGCATTTTCATGTGATTCTAAAGCCTTGCTTTAATGCATGCTAACCTTCTCATGATTCCTGCCTTTAATAAAAGAGAAGTAGAAATCAGTCTCTGGTCACAAAGTTTTTATAGTCTAGCTGATATAATGAGCTGCATACAAAACTGAAGATGAATTCAAAATCAACTATCAACAAGACTAAGTTTAAGTTTCTTGAGACTTTGTCTTATTCATCAATGAGGCCTCAGCACAGAGTCAAATGCCTAGCACAAAAAGGATGCTCAATACATATTTGCCAAATGAACAGGTGAATAAGTGCATGAACAAATAGCAGCATGTCAAATAAGACTCATTCAGCAAGCTATTTACTGAATGCCTCTTATGAGCCAAGTATGTGCCAGGTACTGCTTCAAAGGGTACAGAAATCCACATGCCTTAAAGGGGCAAACGCTGGAGAATGAATCAAATAAGGTCAAAATCCTCCCATGATTCACCTACATAAGGATCACTCCAGCCCTACTTGTGAGAATAAGACTCCTACTATTTTCCAAGAACTCTAGGAGAGAATTATTGAAAGAACCAATATTTATTGAGTGTTTACATGTTGAAAGGCACTGTGTTAATTACTTTTTACATGTGGATACATTTCTTGCTTACAACATCCCCATGAGCTGGGTATTGTTACTACTCCCATTGGAATACAATATATGTGAAGAAACTAAAACACAGGTATTAAAACCAAATATGACAAAATGTTAACAGTCATTGAATTCAGGCACTAAATTTAAGGGTGATTAATGCAGTTTAATTTGTATATTTATTCAAAAATTTTCATGATAAAACACTTAAGAAAAAGAATAGGTTTTGAGGAGTTTAGATCAAGGTGATTAAAGATCTCTCTCTCTCACACACATACACACACACACATCCTAACTTACAGTTCAATAAAGGAGGAAAAATGCTAAGAATCTAAGGCACAGTAGGACTCATCTATTGGTAGGTGCATGTCTATTCCCTCCCAAGTTTCTCAGATCCTTGAGGGTAGGGACTGTGGCCTCTAACCACGTATTCCCAGCACTCAAAACTGAATCTAAAACGTGGTCAATGCTTAATGATGCTTAATGAACAAATGAATGAAAGAATGGGAATGAGAGATCCAGTCCGATGTAGGGCAGGGAGATGGTTAGAACCACGGCATATCAGTTTCCTAGGGCTTCTGAAACAAAGTATCTCAAATGGGCATCCTAAAACAATAGAAATTGTTTGCTTTACAGTTCTGGAGGCTAGAAATCCAAAATCAGGGTGTCAGCAGGGTCGCACTCCCCCTGAAATGTGTAAAAGAGAATCCTTCGTTGACTTTCCTAGTGTCTGGAGTTGGCAACCACCAATTCTTCGCATCCCATGGCTTGCTGCTGGACCACTCCAATCTCTGCATTAGTCATCACATGGCATTCTCCCTGGGTGTCTCTCTTTCCTCTTCTGATAAGGAAACCAGTCCTATTGGAATAAGGGTCCATCCTATCTCAGTATGACCTCATCGGAACTAATGATATATACAAAGACACTATTTTTAAATGAGGTCACATTCTGGGCTACTGTGGATTAGGACTTCAATATATCTTTTGAGGGGTCATGATTCAACCGAGAACGTATGGTACCAGGAGAGATGCATCCATCCTAACACTCCTTATCTCTCCAAATGTCCAAAAGAACACAAATTTAACCAGACTGCTTCAGCGTGTAAGATGGGGAACAAGCTTAATATGTGTTCATTGACAATCCTGACATGGCAAGAAATTTTATAATCTCCGCCAATCAAATGCCAGCAACAGCTGGCTTTCTCCCAGTGCCAAGTCAGCTTTCCCAAATAGTTTGTGACTGGCTTCTCAGCAGCTATTTATGTTTTCAGAATATTAAGCAGTGTGTAGTCACTTTCTCAGGGAGGGCTTCTCAGTGTGGTTTCTAAAAATGTGCTGAATGTGTTTCCGAAGAGGAAAGGCGCCAGGGGGGCTTTAGTGGGGCACGCTGAGCCTTGTAATCACAAACAGATGAGAGCTTCCTGGTTCTAACTCCAAGAAACCAGCAAGAGTCCCCAAAATCAGCTCACAATCAGCCTGGGCAAAATCGCCATCTTACAAAAATTGTCATGGGCTCCTTCCCTCCATCCTATGAAGTCCTCAACCCTCCAGGAAACTCAATTTGCTGATATGGTAAAGGGACCCAGTCTTCCTAGCTTTGTGGTCTAGAATTCACAAAAGGCCTTCTGTGGCCTCAGATTAACATAGAGAGCTCCCCAAAATGATGATGTACTGAGCACAGCCAGGGCTTTGTCTCCTGCTCCATGTATCCATCGACACTGGTAAGCTCTTGCATCTGCTAAGATTCTAGAGAGCTAGTAACAGAATCTGAGTATAACTTAAACGAAGGGAGAAAAGTGCTTATTGGATGGCTACTGTGGTAGTGTGTGCAACCACAGGAAGCCTGAACAATCTCAGACCCCTGGGGATGTAATAAGGTGTTCAGGAATGGGGAAACTGATGTTGATATTCTCGTTGTGGAAAGATCCAAGAACCCTGGGTGCCTGTGGGTCTTTAGCCAAGATTCCAATTTTTAGCCTCACTAGCGTTATCTGCCCCCTTGGGTAAAACAACAGAGAGGGAAAAGCCGGTCCTCAAGTGAAAGAATGCTATTATCATATGCAAAGAGAGGAAGCAGTGTGCTGAGTGGACAGCAGCACTAGCTCCCACCAGGAGACCAAGGCATATGACTGCCAGAGGACTCACTTAACCTTGCCCAGCAGCAGACAGATCTACCACAGCCTGTTTTCCTGAGGCCACGCTCCAGGGAGCCCTGTAAGATCAGTGAGGCTCTGGGTCTGCCCAAACCATGGGCAATGGGTACCAAATGGAGAAATAACCTACCCAAAAAATGTCTAACTAGGGATTCCCATAAGAGAGTCCACCAAGCAAGATCAATCAATGACTTTTAATATCCTTCTTCCTGCCTAGAGCTAGCACCTAACATAAAATGCAAAGACCAGTGAGCCCTGCTCTAACTCCTATAGGAGATAAAACAGTTTCCTTAGTCTGACATTTAATACTATCTGTAGCAGTAGGTTTTTACCTCCAGGATACTTTCCAGAATGTTCTGAGGCTCAAACTGTGTTCCCACAGTACCTTGTACAAAGAGTCACTTCTGCATGTACCACATTATAAAGCTTCTATGAGCAAGTAGAATTCACCTAATTTCCCTAAATACAGGTAATTTTATGGGCAGAGAGGATGAGAAGAGAGCCTGCGAAGCAAAAGGAAACCTATTAGCAACAGGACAACTTAGGAATAACACAAGGAATCGTCAGAGGCAGAAAAGAAGTCCTATTAGGGGCATTGTGTTTATTTAGAGGAATAAAACATTAAGCAATATTCAAAAACTATAAATTATTTAAAAATAATAAATGTGATTACATTAAAAAGTAAAAAATAAATTTATGAATGTCTTCTCACCAAAAATCTACATACAAAATTAAAAGACAAAGAGAAAACAAAAAAGAAACTTATAACAACTATATGAAAGGATGTTAATTTGTCATGCTATAGAGTTCACACTAATAAAGGGAATAATAACATAAGCAGCATATATAATTGCTCCACAAATATTTATTGTTCACCTATTAAGTATTCAGTTCAGAAAAATATATAAATTGTTTAGAATTATATAAACAGAAGCCTAACTTCTCTCAATGATTTACTAAATGCAAATTAAAACAACAGGATATAGTTATTTTTACCTATCAAATTGGCAATGAGTAAAAGGGATTTCAAAACATGGATTTGGCAAGATTTGGAGGAAATGTATATTCACACACTGGTAATGAGAGTACAAATTGGCATAACTTTTTTGAAGGTCAATTTGGCAAAAGATCAATATCTATTATAATGAAATATCCTTTAATTCAGACCTTCTGCTCCAAATAATTTCTGTGTACAGATATACCCACAGAGGCACACAAGGATGTATGGCTAAAAATATTCATTGGAGTACTGCATGGAAAAGAAATTTAAAACATAAAATGCTCCAAACTGAAAATAATCTGCATGTTCATTAATAGATGATGTATACATAAATCATGGTACATGTATATAATAAATACCATGAAACCATTAAAAAGAAGGTCCTAGAATGATATAAAGAAAATGGTATATACTAATATAAAAATATCTACAATATATTAAAATGAAACAAGAAGGCGCAGAAAAGAGTTCATCGAATCTTTTCAAAATTTATTTAATTGGCAAAATATAGAACTTTCTTTGTTTTGTGAGTGTATCAGGTATGAAGATAGGAGTGTGTGTATTTGCATTCTATATTTGCATATGTTTGTTATATGTATAATAATTTCTATTTCATTGTGTTTATCTTTGTCTACCTATTGCATGAAATTCATGTCTTTAAATCTATACTTTTTAAAATGTTTATCTGATTTTTGGTCATAACATTCTTGTAGACTATTTTCCTTCCCTGGAGCTTTTATTACTATTATTATTAACATTATTAGTGATGCTTAATTTTAATGTGTCAACTTGACTGAACCATGGGGTCCTAGATTGCACATTATTTTGGGGTGTGTCTGTAACGGTGTTTCCGGATGAGATTAGCATTTGAATCACTAGATTCAGTAAAGTAGAACACCCTCCCAATTGGGTAGGCATCATCCAATCCCCTGAGGGTCTGAGAAGAACAAAAAGGCAGAGGAAGGAGGAATTCACTTCTTTTGCTTTCTGACAGCTTGCTTGAACTGAGACTTAAATCTTCTGCCTTTGATCTGGGATTTAGGCCATCAGCCCGCTTGGTTCTCAAATCTTCAGACTTGGACTGAGTTATACCAGCAGCTATGATGGAACTCTAGTTTGCAGATTGTAGATGATGGGACTTCTCAGCCTCCATAATCATATGAGACACATATGGTAATCATATGAGACACATATGGTAATCATATGAGACATATATGGTAATCATATGAGACACATATGGTAATCATATGAGACACATGGTAATCATATGAGACACATATGGTAATCATATGAGACACATGATAATCATATGAAAGAAAGTAAAAAGGAAAACAGGGTATATGCCCTATTTTATACCCAATATACCATAACTCTGTGTATATGTATATGTATATATGTGTGTACATATATATACACACACTATATTTTTAGTGTATGTGTATATAATGTGTATCTATACCCAATTTTTTTCTGTTTCTTTGGAGGACATTAATATAATTCTTATTCTGTATCTTTATTATATCCTCACATTTTAATCCAGCTCTCAAACATACTACATATCCAACACAGGCTCTCCTTTCCCTCTTTCCCAAATCCAGCAAGTTTTGCACTGTTTGTAAAATTTTTTGACCATTTAAATAAGAGACCTTTGTGTTTGAAAATCCTAACTTGAAGCATACAAGTCCTAGAAGACAAACTTATAAAGGTGGCTTGGGGCTTTCCCTCAAGGCCAGAAAGGCAACAACATCATTTGAGAGAGAGATTTGCAGTCCTTGCCCCCGAATAGTAATACCACTACTGTGCACAATACTCTGTGAGCAAAATCCTCAAAGCTGGACTGGTTCTATCTGTTGGGTCTGCTCTGTCTTTCTGATAAGCACATCCCAGGAAAGGAAAGAAATATGGTTGACTAGTTAGGTGAAGGCAGGTCATTTGTGGTTCCTTCTCTGTTTCAGGAACATGGTCAAGGACAGCTTGACCACCCAGGTTTAAGTAACGGTTTCTCAGTTTACATGGTTTACACAGGGACGCCAGGACAATTACTTCAGAATTTAGAGAGTTTCCCAGAGATGCACAGTCCTCCTGGGAACAGGAACCAGCTGGGTGTGAGGCTTGTGCTCTTGCTCTGAAAGGAGCACTCCCACACCCTTCAGTGAACCAACAGAGAGATATGCACACATTGGGGACCAGAGAGACATTTTTTGGATCAGTGCTAGAAGTCACGACTACAAATTCTCTTCCAGATTGTTTCCTTATTAATGGCTGTGAAACATTACAGCCAAAAGCTTCAGGAAAGGCACTATGAACCAACATGGCACTCAGTTCTCTAATTAGAAACATAATATTTCAGCTTGGCTCAAGTGTTGGAAGTCACTGTGGCAGAGAGCAGATCAGCAAAATGCCCTGAGAGCCACGCAAAGGAGACAGTCATTTAGGGGGAGGAGGAGACCTGGCACGGGTCACATTTTAAGTAATAAAAAAATAATAGCAGCAACAAGCACTTTGTCATGTTCAGTATGTAGCAAGTTCGGTTCTAACTTCTTCTTTTGTGATGATCATTTAGTCCCCACTACAGCCCTATGGTCCCTGTCCCTGTTATTGCCACATGGCAAGCCAGGAGGCCTAAAAATAGAAGGAGTAATGTGGCAAAGGCACTCAGCTAGTTAATGTGGAGATGGCTGGCATTGGAACCCGGGTAGAATGGCTCCAGACCCATCCACATAAACTCTGCTATGCTACCTCTCTATGCCTTAACTGGATGCCTCCATCAAGACTCTCCTCCCTCCTGATTTCAGGACAAGTGCAATGACTACTCATAATTGCAACCTCTGTTTGAAATTTTACCTGCTACAACTTGATTTTTATTGCCTCAATTGCTTTGCATCAAGTAGAAATATCACAGGCAGATGTTGGAATGAGACCAACCCCTGTTTGGAATTTGCTCAGCCCCTTGCTCTCTTGTTAGACCTTAAGCTGAGCGTCTACTCTCTCTAACTGAAGTTTTCCCATCTGGAAAACTAGAATAACAACACCCACCTTACAGGGTTCACAGACTAAAGGAGACATTTGCAATTCACCTGGTGGAGGAACAAACACATAGGATGTGCTCAATATACATTGGTTCCTTTCCTTGTCTTTTCCTTTTCCACAGTGCCCTACTTACACTTATTCACCTCAGGTGTTAATAGAAAAACACTTTCCTGTTCTACAACAGCCCTCATCTCCATTCTGGCCAAGAGCAACCACACACAGAGGCACTCATTCCTTCATTCGTTTACTCATTCACTAACACCAGGTAACACGCACCTCGGTGGAGGGTATTTGTTTCCCAGGGCTGCCTTAGAATACCACACATTTGGTGGCTTAAGACAAGGGAAATTTATTGTCTCACAGATCTGCAGAGAAAAAGTCTGAAATCAAGGTTTTAGCAAGGCCATGCTCCCTTGGAAGCCCTTAGGGGAGGATCCTTCCTTGTTTCTTCCAACTTCTGGTAGCCCTGGGCTTCCCTGACTGGAAGGTGCAGCATTTAGACCTCTTTCCATGGTCATGTTGCATTCTCCCCATGTGCCTCTGTCTTCAGATGGTGTTTTCCTCTTCTTAGAAGGATGCCAGTCATATTGGAGGAAGGACCCATCCTAATGACCTCATCTTAACTTGATCAAATTTGCAAAGACCCAAATTATTTCCAAATAAGGCCATGTTGCCAGGTACCAGAGGTTAGAAATTTAATATGTTCTTTGTGGGTTCACAATGCAACCCATAAGAGGGATGAGAATTGCAGAATGGTGCATCATGGATCCAGGGGAGGCAGATGGGGAAACTGAGGCACATACTTGGAACTTTTGGTCAATTTGTTTCTCTCCTGTTTCCCAGCATGATCTCCCATCATGGCTATGCACTCTGCAGGCAGGAAAACTGTGGCACAGGTCAGAAGTATTGAGGGAAACTCCTTCATAAGAAGCCAAGGAGTTGGCAGTCAGCGTTTCTCCTTGACACCTACTATGCACTGCACACACTCCATTCACCTAATTGAATCCTCCCAAAAACCCTATGAGGTTACAAAAGGTGGAAGTGAAGCAACTCATGAATGATTAAGCAGCTTACTGCTGATAAGGTTCAGGGCTGGAATTTGAATCCAGCTCTGCCTGGCTCCAGAGCCTGTGAATAGACAAGAACCATTTAATAGAAAATTTGTCACAGATGTTCAGTGCTGCATGCACATGAAGAATTAAGGTTAGCATATTGTGATATCACTGTGGATCCTTCATTGTTATTTGCCACATGGAAATGGCAACCACCCCATGTGGAACAGCTCACCAAGGAGATGCAGGGTTACTTATTTAATCGACTGCCCTCCACCTTTCCTCTCCTTTCCTCAAATCCCATTTTGTCTCTGGGCACAGATGGAGCATTCACTGAGGTGTTTGTGCAGCTGTAGCCTATGGGGACTCCCACGAATCAGCCACAGGGTGGAGCACTAAGATGTGGTGTTGCATCTGTGACTGCTCACCACACCCAAGTTGTCTTCCCTGCTGTCCACCAGCTCTGTGACCTTAGGCAAGTTACCTAACATCACTGAGCTTCTGTTTTCCCATTTGTAAAATGAGGATAATTATACCTATTCAGAGGTTGTTGTGAAGATTAAGGTAAATGTGGCAACACATGAAAAACCAGTGGTATAGCACCTGATACCTAGTATGTGTTTAACTAATATAACTTTCTTAGGTCTATAAGCCAATGGGTTCTCCTATATTTTAGCTCATTGCACTAGATTCCTATGACATGATCTAAATGGGGAAGGAGTGGAATGAGAGATCACTTTAACCTTAAAACACAAAAAAATGGGATTTTTCCCAAAGGCAGTCATATTTCAAACCAGGGGGTGCAGGGTATAAGAAAGCACAGGGACCTTTAGTTTCCTAAGGCAGGCATAAGGTGGCTAGATGACTTGAAACAACTGAAATGTATCTTCTCACAGTTCTGGAGGTTGGAAGCTTGAAATCAAGGTGCTGGCAGAGCCATGCTACCTCTGAAGCTCCTAGGGGATGAGACTTCCTTGCCTCTTTAAGCTTCTGGTAGTTACAGGAGTTCCTCAGCCCAAAAATGCATCACTCTGATCTCTCTGTCCATCTGCACATAGTCTTCTGCCTGTGTCTTTGTGTCTTCACTTGGCTATCTTCTTATAAAGATGCCAGTCATATTGGATTAGAAACTCACCTTACTCCCGTATGACCTCATTTTAACTAATTGCTTCTACAATAACCCCATTTTTAAATAAGTTAACATTCTGAGGTACTGAGCATTAGAACTTCAGTATACTCTTTGTGTAAGACACACCATAAATGACCATGTGGACTGAACTTCCAGAGAATTGATTTCCACTCCCCCAACCAGGGCCTAGGCTGTGGTTTGCCTGATGGGGTCATTGAACCCTTAGGCTCAGGAGAACCCAGCATGCATAAGTCTCTTCCCAAGTCTACATTCAGTGACATCATGCTGATGGTTTGAAGTCAGCCAGGTGGGAATATTCACACCATGCAAATTAGTAAAAGCTGCTCAGAGAGCCTGTTGTTCAATATTCACCAGCCCACTACTGTAAGTCACTAAGCTAAGGGAGTCACTTGTCTACTGTGAGATAGAAAAGACCCAAGACCCATGGGTTTCAGGAGATGAGAGTGTGTAGAACTGTAGAGAACTCCACTATTTATTGAGGAAGTCAGTTCACTTCTCCAAGAAAGTATGTAAATGCAGGATACCTCCCCTCTGCTACCCAACAGGCCCATGTTGAAGGCTGAAAGAGATAATGGTATAAGTACAATGTGTTCTTTTCAAAAAACAGAATTTTGCTGCTTTTTTTTTTTTTAACAGAATCTTGTTTTATTCAGCATGAAAAGTACAAAAAGCCTCAGACATAATCCACAGTGGGTGTATTAGTGCATTCTCATGCTGCTATAAATAACTGCCTGAGACTGGGCAATTTGTAAAGAAAAGAGGTTTAATTGACTGTGGGGCTAGGGAGGCTTCAGAAAACTTACAGTCATGGTGGAAGGAAAAGCAAACATGTCCTTCTTCACATGGCAGCAGGAAGGAGCAGAATGAGAGCTGAATGAAGGGGGAAGCCCCTTATAAAACCATCAGCTCTCATGAGAACTTATTCACTCTCATGAGAACAGCATGGGGGAAACAGCCCCCATGATTCAATTACCTCCCACCGGGCTCCTCCCATCACATGTGGTGATTATGGGAACTACAATTCAAGATGAGATTTGGGCATGAACACAGCCAAACTGCATCATTCTGTTCATGACCCCTCACAAATCTTATGTCTTCATATTTCAAAACATAATCATGCCCTTGCAACAGTCGCCTAAAGTCTTGTCTGAGACAAGGCAAATCCCTTCTGCCTATGAGCCTGTAAAAATCAAAAGTTAGTTACTTCCTAGATACAATGAGGGTATAAGCACTGATTAAATACATCCCTTCCAAGTGGGAGAAATTGGCCAAAACACAGGGCTACAGGCCCCATGCAAGTCTGAAATCCAGTAGGGCAGCCAAATTTTAAAGTTCCAAAATGATCTCCTTTGACTCCATGTCTCACATCCAGGTCACACTGATACAAGAGGTGGGCTCCTATGGCCTTGGGCAGCTCTGCCCCTGTGGCTTTGCAGGGTACAGCTCACCTCTCAGCTGCTTTCATGGGCTCTTGTTGAGTGTCTGTGGCTTTTCTAGGCACACAGTGCAAGCTATTCATGGATCTACCACTCTGGGGTCTGGAGGACAGTGAACCTCTTCTCACAGACCCACTAGGCAGTGCTCCAGTGGGAACTCTGTGTCGGGGCTCCGACCCTACATTTCCCTTCCACACTACCCTAGCCGATGTTTTTTATGAGGGCTCTTCCCATGCAGCAAACTTCTGCCTGGACATCCAGGCATTTTCATACATCCTCTGAATTCTAGGTAGAGGTTTCCAAACCTCAGTTTTTGACTTCTGTGTTCATGCAGGCTAAACACCACGTGAAAGTCATCAAGGCTTGGGGCTTAGACCCTCCAAAGCCATGGCCCAAGCTGTACCTTGGCCTCTTTTAGTCATGGCTGGAGAGGCTGGGATGCAGGGCATCACGTCTCTAGGCTGTATACAGCAGGAGGGCTCTGGGCTTGCCCATGAAACCATTTTTTCCTACTAGGGCTCTGCGCCTGTGATGGGAGTGGCTGTCATGAAGGTTTCTGAAATGCCCTGGAGATATTTTCCCCATTGTCTTGATGACTAACATTCTGCTCTTCATTACTTATGTAAATTTCTGCAGCAGGCTTTAATTTCACCTCAGAAAATGGGTTTTTCTTTTCTACTGCATTGTCAGGCTGCAAATTTTCCAAACTTTAATGCTATTCTTCCTCTTGAGTGCTTTGCTGCTTAGAAATTTCTTCTGCCAGATACCCTAAATAATCTCTCTCAAGTTCAAAGTTCTACAGGTCTCTAACACAGGGCAAAATGCCACCAGTGTCTATGCTAAAGCATAACAAGGGTCACCTTTACTCCGGTTCCCAACAAGTTTGTCATCTGAGACCACCTCAGCTTGGACTTCATTGTCCATATCACTATTAGCATTTTGGTCAAAGCAATTCAATGAGTCTTTGGACTCATTCCAAACTTTCCCACATCTTCCTGTCTTCTGAGCTCTCCAAGCCTCTAGGAAGTTCCAAATTTTCCCACATTTTCCTGTCATATTCTGAGCTCTCCAAATGTTCTGACCTCTGCCTGTTACCCAGTGCCAAAGTTGCTTCCACATTTTCAGATATCCTTATAGCAGCACCCCACTCTACTGGTACCAATTTACTGTATTAGTCTGTTCTCATGCTGCTATAAAGAACTGCCCGAGACTGGGTAATTTATAAAGAAAAGAGGTTTAATTGACTCACAGTTATATGGGGCTGGGGAGGCCTCAGGAAACTTACAATCATGGTGGAAGGGGAAGCAAGTATGTCCTTCTTCACATGGCAACAGGAAGGAGAAGAATGAGAGCCAAGCGAAGGGGAAGCTCCTTATAAAAACATCAGATCTCATGAGAGCTTACCATCATGAGAATATCATGGAGGTTCAATTACCTCCCACCAGGTTCCTCCCACCACATGTGGGGATTATGTGAACTACAATTCAAGATGAGATTGGGGTGGGGACACAGCCAAACCATATCAGTGAGTGTCCAATAAATATTTATTAAATTGAAGTATTACTATCTTAATCAGAAGAGTGGGTTTTCTGTAGTTTGTTCATAATTTACCTCCAAAAAAAAGCATAAGTAAGTCTAGGATATTGACCAGTTGCTAAGCCAGAATGACTTCTTAAAAGACCTTGTCAACAATTTACCCAGCAGTGGCTAATGCTTTTCTGTCTCCAACTGGGACCCAGAAGAGAACATCATCTCTTTTCTCCTTCATTTTCCCACACTTCCACCACCTTGTACACAGCTCCTATTCTAAGGCCTTACTTGGACTCTGAAATTAGCATCATAATGGGTCTTCCAGCTTCATATCTGCCCCACCAACTCAACTACTTCCTCATTTTGCTCCTGGGGTTTTCTTTGTAAAGACGTATCTGACCATTTCATCCCCCTGTCTAAAACCTGAAAATAATTTCTGTCACCCTCAAATACAATCCAAACTCCTTAGTATGGCATTCAAGTCTCTGGGGCTATTATCCAGTCTGGGTCTGGGTCTGGATAGGATCTTTTGATGCCTGATCCCACCTCAGATGCAGATGGGCAAGTAACCCAACTTAGCCAATTAGATTTTCCCAACCCTGGTCACTGTGGTTGGTAATCCAGGAAGATCACTGACCCAAATAAGGCCAATCAGTCTTCCCTGGGGTTTATTTTTTAAAAAAACAATAAAGTTTCTCTTTATTTCAAGTCATTAGGCTGGAAATAAATAATTCTAGACATATCTATGATTGTTTTTTACCGCATAGGAATTCCATATTCCATCTTGGCAATAAGAAAACACACATACACATACACACACACACACACACACACACACACAAACAGAGAGAGAGAGAGAAACAGAGTCTCAGGAAAGCGAAGATAGAAAGCTAGAGGCAGAAGAGAGAAGTGAGGTCTTTAAGTTTGGGTCCAGTTGCTCTGGGGCCATCTTTTTTGGCCCAACTCATGCTTTGCCACACAAGTCCATCTCCATTCCACCTAAACCACCTCCAGTTGGGTTTCTGTGATGGAAAAGACTCCTCACAAACAAGACAACCATTGACATTCTGTCCCCAGCCTGTCCTTCCAGCCTTGCCCATTTTTCTTCCCTGGACTCTCTCCTCCATACCTTTGCACAATCTGATGTATATTGCTAAAATTCTCTTGTCCACTGTTTAGGCTTCTACTTTTTTTTCATCTTGATTGTGTGTTTCTTTGTAAGCTTTTGGTCTGTCTTTCCCAGTGTGGACGAATTTCAAATGATCAAAGTATAGATGGGAGGAGCCAAGATGGCCGAATAGGAACAGCTCCGGTCTACAGCTCCCAGCGTGAGCGACGCAGAAGATGGGTGATTTCTGCATTAACATCTGAGGTACCGGGTTCATCTCACTAGGGAGTGCCAGACAGTGGGCGCAGGCCAGTGTGTGCGCGCACCATGCACGAGCCGAAGCAGGGCGAGCCATTGCCTCACCTGGGAAGCGCAAGGGGTCAGGGAGTTCCCTTTCCGAGTCAAAGAAAGGGGTGACGGACGCACCTGGAAAATCGGGTCACTCCCACCCGAATATTGCGCTTTTCAGACCGGCTTAAGAAACGGCGCACCACGAGACTATATCCCACACCTGGCTCAGAGGGTCCTACGCCCACGGAATCTCGCTGATTGCTAGCACAGCAGTCTGAGATCAAACTGCAAGGCGGCAACGAGGCTGGGGGAGGGGCGCCCGCCATTGCCCAGGCTTGCTTAGGTAAACAAAGCAGCCTGGAAGCTCGAACTGGGTGGAGCCCACCACAGCTCAAGGAGGCCTGCCTGCCTCTGTAGGCTCCACCTCTGGGGGCAGGGCACAGACAAACAAAAAGACAGCAGTAACCTCTGCAGACTTAAGTGTCCCTGTCTGACAGCTTTGAAGAGAGCAGTGGTTCTCCCAGCACACAGCTGGAGATCTGAGAACGGGCAGACTGCCTCCTCAAGTGGGTCCCTGACCCCTGACCCCCGAGCAGCCTAACTGGGAGGCACCCCCCAGCAGGGGCACACTGACACCTCACACGGCAGGGTATTCCAACAGACCTGCAGCTGAGGGTCCCGTCTGTTAGAAGGAAAACTAACAACCAGAAAGGACATCTACACCGAAAACCCATCTGTACATCACCATCATCAAAGACCAAAAGTAGATAAAACCACAAAGATGGGGAAAAAACAGAACAGAAAAACTGGAAACTCTAAAAAGCAGAACGCCTCTCCTCCTCCAAAGGAACGCAGTTCCTCACCAGCAACAGAACAAAGCTGGATGGAGAATGATTTTGACGAGCTGAGAGAAGAAGGCTTCAGACGATCAAATTACTCTGAGCTACGGGAGGACATTCAAACCAAAGGCAAAGAAGTTGAAAACTTTGAAAAAAATTTAGAAGAATGTATAACTAGAATAACCAATACAGAGAAGTGCTTAAAGGAGCTGATGGAGCTGAAAACCAAGGCTCGAGAACAACGTGAAGAATGCAGAAGCCTCAGGAGCCGATGCGATCAACTGGAAGAAAGGGTATCAGCGATGGAAGATGAAATGAATGAAATGAAGCGAGAAGGGAAGTTTAGAGAAAAAAGAATAAAAAGAAATGAGCAAAGCCTCCAAGAAATATGGGACTATGTGAAAAGACCAAATCTACGTCTGATTGGTGTACCTGAAAGTGATGTGGAGAATGGAACCAAGTTGGAAAACACTCTGCAGGATATTATCCAGGAGAACTTCCCCAATCTAGCAAGGCAGGCCAACGTTCAGATTCAGGAAATACAGAGAACGCCACAAAGATACTCCTCGAGAAGAGCAACTCCAAGACACATAATTGTCAGATTCACCAAAGTTGAAATGAAGGAAAAAATGTTAAGGGCAGCCAGAGAGAAAGGTCGGGTTACCCTCAAAGGAAAGCCCATCAGACTAACAGCGGATCTCTCGGCAGAAACCCTACAAGCCAGAAGAGAGTGGGGGCCAATATTCAACATTCTTAAAGAAAAGAATTTTCAACCCAGAATTTCATATCCAGCCAAACTAAGCTTCATAAGTGAAGGAGAAATAAAATACTTTATAGACAAGCAAATGCTGAGAGATTTTGTCACCACCAGGCCTGCCCTAAAAGAGCTCCTGAAGGAAGCGCTAAACATGGAAAGGAACAACCAGTACCAGCCGCTGCAAAATCATGCCAAAATGTAAAGACCATCGAGACTAGGAAGAAACTGCATCAACTAATGAGCAAAATCACCAGCTAACATCATAATGACAGGATCAAATTCACACATAACAATATTAACTTTAAATGTAAATGGACTAAATGCTCCAATTAAAAGACACAGACTGGCAAATTGGATAAAGAGTCAAGACCCATCAGTGTGCTGTATTCAGGAAACCCATCTCACGTGCAGAGACACACATAGGCTCAAAATAAAAGGATGGAGGAAGATCTACCAAGCCAATGGAAAACAAAAAAAGGCAGGGGTTGCAATCCTAGTCTCTGATAAAACAGACTTTAAACCAACAAAGATCAAAAGAGACAAAGAAGGCCATTACATAATGGTAAAGGGATCAATTCAACAAGAGGAGCTAACTATCCTAAATATTTATGCACCCAATACAGGAGCACCCAGATTCATAAAGCAAGTCCTCAGTGACCTACAAAGAGACTTAGACTGCCACACATTAATAATGGGAGACTTTAACACCCCACTGTCAACATTAGACAGATCAACGAGACAGAAAGTCAACAAGGATACCCAGGAATTGAACTCAGCTCTGCACCAAGCAGACCTAATAGACATCTACAGAACTCTCCACCCCAAATCAACAGAATATACATTTTTTTCAGCACCACACCACACCTATTCCAAAATTGACCACATAGTTGGAAGTAAAGCTCTCCTCAGCAAATGTAAAAGAACAGAAATTATAACAAACTATCTCTCAGACCACAGTGCAATCAAACTAGAACTCAGGATTAAGAATCTCACTCAAAGCCACTCAACTACATGGAAACTGAACAACCTGCTCCTGAATGACTACTGGGTACATAACGAAATGAAGGCAGAAATAAAGATGTTCTTTGAAACCAACGAGAACAAAGACACCACATACCAGAATCTCTGGGACGCATTCAAAGCAGTGTGTAGAGGGAAATTTATAGCACTAAATGCCTACAAGAGAAAGCAGGAAAGATCCAAAATTGACACCCTAACATCACAATTAAAAGAACTAGAAAAGCAAGAGCAAACACATTCAAAAGCTACCAGAAGGCAAGAAATAACTAAAATCAGAGCAGAGCTGAAGGAAATAGAGACACAAAAAACCCTTCAAAAAATCAATGAATCCAGGAGCTGGTTTTTTGAAAGGATCAACAAAATTGATAGACCGCTAGCAAGACTAATAAAGAAAAAAAGAGAGAAGAATCAAATAGACACAATAAAAAATGATAAAGGGGATATCACCACTGATCCCACAGAAATACAAACTACCATCAGAGAATACTACAAACACCTCTACGCAAATAAACTAGAAAATCTAGAAGAAATGGATACATTCCTCGACACATACACTCTCCCAAGACTAAACCAGGAAGAAGTTGAATCTCTGAATAGACCAATAACAGGCTCTGAAATTGTGGCAATAATCAATAGTTTACCAACCAAAAAGAGTCCAGGACCAGATGGATTGACAGCCGAATTCTACCAGAGGTACAAGGAGGAACTGGTACCATTCCTTCTGAAACTATTCCAATCAATAGAAAAAGAGGGAATCCTCCCCAACTCATTTTATGAGGCCAGCATCATTCTGATACCAAAGCCGGGCAGAGACACAACCAAAAAAGAGAATTTTAGACCAATATCCTTGATGAACATTGATGCAAAAATCCTCAATAAAATACTGGCAAACCGAATCCAGCAGCACATCAAAAAGCTTATCCACCATGATCAAGTGGGCTTCATCCCTGGGATGCAAGGCTGGTTCAATATACGCAAATCAATAAATGTAATCCAGCATACAAACAGAGCCAAAGACAAAAACCACATGATTATCTCAATAGATGCAGAAAAAGCCTTTGACAAAATTCAACAACCCTTCATGCTAAAAACTCTCAATAAATTAGGTATTGATGGGACATATTTCAAAATAATAAGAGCTATCTATGACAAACCCACAGCCAATATCATACTGAATGGGCAAAAACTGGAAGCATTCCCTTTGAAAACTGGCACAAGACAGGGATGCCCTCTCTCACCGCTCCTATTCAACATAGTGTTGGAAGTTCTGGCCAGGGCAATCAGGCAGGAGAAGGAAATAAAGGGTATTCAATTAGGAAAAGAGGAAGTCAAATTGTCCCTGTTTGCAGACGACATGATTGTTTATCTAGAAAACCCCATCGTCTCAGCCCAAAATCTCCTTAAGCTGATAAGCAACTTCAGCAAAGTCTCAGGATACAAAATCAATGTACAAAAATCACAAGCATTCTTATACACCAACAACAGACAAACAGAGAGCCAAATCATGGGTGAACTCCCATTCACAATTGCTTCAAAGAGAATAAAATACCTAGGAATCCAACTTACAAGGGATGTGAAGGACCTCTTCAAGGAGAACTACAAACCACTGCTCAAGGAAATAAAAGAGGACACAAACAAATGGAAGAACATTCCATGCTCATGGGTAGGAAGAATCAATATCGTGAAAATGGCCATACTGCCCAAGGTAATTTACAGATTCAATGCCATCCCCATCAAGCTACCAATGACTTTCTTCACAGAATTGGAAAAAACTACTTTAAAGTTCATATGGAACCACAAAAGAGCCCGCATTGCCAAGTCAATTCTAAGCCAAAAGAACAAAGCTGGAGGCATCACACTACCTGACTTCAAACTATACTACAAGGCTACAGTAACCAAAACAGCATGGTACTGGTACCAAAACAGAGATATAGATCAATGGAACAGAACAGAGCCCTCAGAAATAATGCCGCATATCTACAACTATCTGATCTTTGACAAACCTGAGAAAAACAAGCAATGGGGAAAGGATTCCCTATTTAATAAATGGTGCTGGGAAAACTGGCTAGCCATATGTAGAAAGCTGAAACTGGATCCCTTCCTTACACCTTATACAAAAATCAATTCATGATGGATTAAAGATTTAAACGTTAAACCTAAAACCATAAAAACCCTAGAAGAAAACCTAGGCATTACCATTCAGGACATAGGCGTGGGCAAGGACTTCATGTCCAAAACACCAAAAGCAATGGCAACAAAAGACAAAATTGACAAATGGGATCTAATTAAACTAAAGAGCTTCTGCACAGCAAAAGAAACTACCATCAGAGTGAACAGGCAACCTACAACATGGGAGAAAATTTTCGCAACCTACTCATCTGACAAAGGGCTAATATCCGGAATCTACAATGAACTCAAACAAATTTACAAGAAAAAAACAAACAACCCCATCAAAAAGTGGGCGAAGGACATGAACAGACACTTCTCAAAAGAAGACATTTATGCAGCCAAAAAACACATGAAGAAATGCTCATCATCACTGGCCATCAGAGAAATGCAAATCAAAACCACTATGAGATATCATCTCACACCAGTTAGAATGGCTATCATTAAAAAGTCAGGAAACAACAGGTGCTGGAGAGGATGCGGAGAAATAGGAACACTTTTACACTGTTGGTGGGACTGTAAACTAGTTCAACCATTGTGGAAGTCAGTGTGGCGATTCCTCAGGGATCTAGAACTAGAAATACCATTTGACCCAGCCATCCCATTACTGGGTATATACCCAAATGAGTATAAATCATGCTGCTATAAAGACACATGCACACGTATGTTTATTGCGGCACTATTCACAATAGCAAAGACTTGGAACCAACCCAAATGTCCAACAATCATAGACTGGATTAAGAAAATGTGGCACATATACACCATGGAATACTATGCAGCCATAAAAAATGATGAGTTCATATCCTTTGTAGGGACATGGATGAAATTGGAAACCATCATTCTCAGTAAACTATCGCAAGAACAAAAAACCAAACACCGCATATTCTCACTCATAGGTGGGAACTGAACAATGAGATCACATGGACACAGGAAGGGGAATATCACACTCTGGGGACTGTGGTGGGGTCGGGGGAGGGGGGAGGGATAGCATTGGGAGATATACCTAATGCTAGATGACACATTAGTGGGTGCAGCGCACCAGCATGGCACATGTATACATATGTAACTAACCTGCACAATGTGCACATGTACCCTAAAACTTAGAGTATAATAAAAAAAAAAAAAAAAAAGAAGTTTACGGATAAAAGAAAAAAAAAACAAAGTATAAATTCACTGCAGTATCCCTGACACCTAGACAGGGCTGGGGATATAGTATTTGTACAACAAATATTTTGCTGAAGAAATAAACACATTTATCCTCAAAATAGGAGAGAAGGTGGTCATGATAAAAGGTTGCAGGCTTAATGTCTTAGCTTTGCTAGACTATGAACTCGCTGAGAACAGGCAACAATTCTTACCATGTCAAAAGCCCCAGCCCAGTGTGCAGTTCCTTGCGCATGGGGGTGCCCAGTAAAAGGGAATAGGCTCGCTTTGTCTATAAGCCTGTGGGGTCTGAAGAAAGCCCCAGGAATCCCTAAACATTAGGGGCACTCAATAAACCTGTGTTTAAACCTAGGTGAGAATTAGTCTAGTTTTAAGCACAGTTTTAATGAGTGCCCCCAATGACTTCTGGCTTCATCCCTACTCTTTTGGAAGGAATAATAAAATTAATTTATTATTGATAAGAGCAGCCAATAACTTATCTCTTACTAAAGGCAATATAATTTTTTCATAATTTTGCAGTTTTGTAGTTTTATGTAATTTAGTCTATAGAAGAACCTTATATTGAAGCTATTATAAGTCTTTCCTTTTTACAGATTAGGAATTGAGGCTCAGAGCTGTTAAGTGACTTGCTCAGAAGCCCATGACAGTCAGTGTCAGGGAAGGACTGGAATCTGGGGCCATCGTCAACTAGCCCCTCCGCCATCACTCACTTAGTGGACACTCTGAGGCAGGCCCCATACTCACATTCAGGATAGAGATATCAGTGGGACACAACGCCTGTCCTCGAAGGGAACACAGAAACTGATGGCAACATGCAAGGGAGAACATCAGGGTAAGGTACAGGGAACAGAAGCTGAGGGTAGTGGGAACAGCAGCATCAGAAAAGGTCCTGAGGACTGAATTTTGGAAGGTGAGTAGGAGTTAGCTTGGAAAGGAAGCAGAAAGGAATAGAGAAGAAGAAAACAGGAAGCATTCTCCAACAAAGAGACAAGTGTCTTTGAGGGCTAAAACCAGAGTTGGCAGTAGCTCCTTAATTAACAGGACTCAAAGATCAGGATTTGAGGTAAGGAATGGGAAGAGGGAAGGGGTAGATGATCAAAATTCCAAAAGGCCATTAGTGTCTCATCAGGGAGTCAGACCATCCTGAAGATTTGTGCCTAGAACAAATACAGCACAGTGTCCTAGGAATGGACTTAGGAATCAGAAAAACATAGGCTGTTATAGCCTCAGTTTGGAAAACAGAGCCCCAGGTAAGATCCTATATGATAGTTCTTTATTATGTATCCCAGAGAGTAGAAGTGAGGGAAAAGGAAGACGAAATAGGAACATAGGTTGAAATAAAAAGATGCATTATCAATTTGGCTGCCACAAGGCACAACTTGTTGCTTGATTCTGTAGGACTGTTCTTCAAGAATATATATAAAATGTATGATTGCATAGCCTGCCCAGGGTAACAATCAGTATACCTGATTCTACCTCCTACCGATCAAAGATTCATCCCATGGAGCATTAATTCTCCAGTTCTTGTGGGCTGGGTATGCACAGGTGACTAAAGGTACTGTGCAGTTGGGGTCACAGAGAAGCCGCAGGACAGAAGGCAGCAGGCATAGGGTGGCTGGGTGAGGTGGTGTCAAGTCACCTCTGCCTGAAGTAAGTGGAACTCACGCTGAGCTTATTGCTATAGCAGCCCCTGAAACAAAAAACCAAGTGAAGCCAAGAAATAGGTAAGTCTTGTGCAAACTGTCCCAACGCCTGCTGGCTATGTGTCTTACATGTGCCTCAGTTTCCTGTGAATAAAATGGAAAGAGTAATTGTACCTGGCTCATGAGAAAGTTCCAGTGCTCACAGTTGTTCCTAGAACACAGAAAATGCTCAATAAATAGCAGCTATTCTTATTACTACTGTCATCATCAAAAACAGTGGTATGATCAAACTAACTTTGCCAGAGATTTACATTTTGAGTCATTGATTTTTAACCTATTATTATATATACAGAAGTTTATCATTAAAAATGCATGAGTAACCTTGAGCTTTAAAAATAAAAATGCAGCACTTTTTAAAATCCCTTTTATCTCTGTTCCTGGAATCAAATTGACCTCTCTCTAAAAACGTGTCTTGGAAAGCACCATGAATGAGGACACAGAAGATGTGGGCCTCAGTTTCATCTTTGTACAGAGCTGTGTGTCCTTAACAATTGCATTTGTTCCAACCAACAGAATGTATTGATTCTGGGGGGAAGGCCCTGGGTCTTGCCCTACAGACAAAAATCAGTCAGGGTTAGTCTTCTGAGATCTCAGTCTAGGAGGTGAATACAGACCCTGAAACATCTGACTCTGGTATCAGACAGTAAAATTTTCACAAATATTACAAATAACCAAGGAGCAACCAGAGAATCACATGGAGTCTCTAGAAAATTGGTTTCCTCACAAGGTCACAGGAATCCAACAGAGCGTCCCAAGTATGGAGCATAAATCTCTAGTAAAATTGAGGCAATTTAGGTGGTATACAGACAGGACATTAAATAAATTATAATTAATAGTGTAGTAAGAAAGTAATTCTCTTTACAATCCTTCTGGTTCTTTCAGGAGGTAGCCGCCATGTGGAACTTGATAATCTTCACTTTTAATAAAGAAAATATGAGACCAGTGGCTTGCTCAAAGTTTTTGGCTAACTTGGTATTTGTGTATAATTGTATAAATTTGTTTCATTTTACTTTTTTTCATAATTTCTATGTAAAGTTTTACTTTTTAATTGAAGATAACAATATATTGCTTTTATTTTAGACATAGTCATTTAAGTTTTAAAAAGTAACTTGATTGAAAAACACATTATATAAAGACAGTACAGATGCTATGTAAATGTAAGGAAATAATTTTTCACTCTATGATTCAATATAAAGTAATCACTTTGATGGATAGCATCAAATATAGCAAAATCATAAAGGTAGAATGAAAATTTCTGAAGTTGGGGAAATATTGGAGTAGATGACTTAGAAGCCCTCCTGTTTTCTAAATATGTTTTGTCTATTATACAAATACTTATGGAAAACACATCTGAGAAGAGTCCTTCAAGGGCGCTGACTCTGCCAGGGTGATTTACCTGCTTCATCCTCTGTGGCTTGGAATGAGGATATGATGGATTTAGCCAAAGCAGTCATTTTTGACCATGAGGTGGTCTTGATGATGGATGCCAAACTCCAGGAGAAGAAAGAAAAGAGATTGGGACACCATTGAATACCGTACCACTAAAGCCAAAGGAGTCCTAGGCTATCTACTGGTAGGCTTCTTTTATATGATACTGAAATAAACTTCTTTCTTGTGTATTCTACTGAATTTTTAGAGTTTCTGTCAGATGCAGCTGAACCTAATATTAAATGATGTAGCATTTATTTCTTGCAAGAGAGGTACTATGAGAAATGAAATCTAAAATACAGTATTACCTCATTGCATAAAGTCCTAAAGGCAAATATTGTGGACTAGGATATTGCAGGTAGAAAAGCTGAAGTCCCATGCTATATGATAGCAAAACAGTTTGCCAATCTATTGACTAACAGAAGTTGGAACACAGACCACACACTCACTTAGGCTATACCATTAGGAGAGAGGAAAGGAAAAGTCAAGAATGTTGATATATTAGTTATCTATCACTGCATAAAAATTACCCCCCAAACTTAGCAGTTTAACACAGCAAAGCATTTATTATCTGACAGTTCCTGTGGGTCAAGAATCTAAGCACAATTTAGCTGGTTCTCTCTGGATTAAGATTTCTTTTAGAATTGTAATCAAGATTTTTCCTGTGGCAACAGTATCATCTGAAGACTCAACGGAAGGAGATCCACTTACAAGCTCACTGATGTAGTTGGCAAGATTCAGTTCTTCAATCAAAGGCCTCCTTCAATTTCTTGCCATGTGGATCTCTCCAGAGAACAACTCACAACATGGAAGTTGGTTTTCCTGAGAGAGCAAGTGATAGGATAAGAGAGAAAGTATACCCAAATCTTAATCTCACAAGTTGTATTTATCACCCTGTTGTGTTGTGAAGTGTATCAGTAAATTCAGCCCACATTCAAGGGGTGTAGATTACACAAGTAAATTCCAGAAGGTAGGGATCATTAGGGACCATCATAGTTGCTTACCATAGTTGATATGTGATAACACTGTCTGCCACTTTCAACAAAGATTCACAAAAAATAAAGTCAAACACCACCTATCCATTTACAAAAAGAATAGCAAGAAATGAAGCTTTGCTTTGTCTGCAGACTAAAATCTAGGCTCCCTAAGAGGCCATAATTGGAGGTCTAGAAAGATTATAGTCTAACCTGAATCTGTTATCAGCAGCTGCAGGCTTAGCATCAAATAAACTTGCTGGTGAAATGAAAATAAGTGAATTGCTTCCTGACCAAAGCCTATTGTTTCAGATGGCCATCAAGCTAGGGGAGAAGAATGGACAGATCACAGAGGTCTCTGATTGAAATTCAAGAGCCGTCAGGTTTAAAATCTCTAGCTGGACAAGATTTGGGGCTGTGGTCACTTATATGTGGAACTTTCCAGAAGCATATGGAACAGGAACCTTCTAAGTTATTAAGCAAGAAACTGCCCCACGAGAGTTGTTATTTGTTATGGACTTGTGGCTGTTGGGTTTGTCCAACCCTCTCCTTTACTGAGTGGAGGTTCTTTCTGCAGGAATGCTGTTTCTGCTTCACTGCTGGTTGCTGGTGGACAAGGAGTGAGAAGGAGATAGGTTGTGTCAGTGTGTAGGTCACTGGGGTTTAAGGAGATAAAATCAGACCTGGTGAAGAGAACTGCACATCTTCCAAGATCCTAGACTTTCAGCAAATAAAGCACCTGGAGATACCAAGGTCCTCTTCCTTGGATGGGGATTATATTCTAAATATAAAAAAAAATGTAGGTTTGTGCTGGGCGTGGTGGCTCATGCCTGTAATCCCAGCATTTTGGGAGGCTGAGGTGGGTGGACCACGAGGTCAGGAGTTCGAGACCAGCCTGGCCAATATGGTGAAACCCTGTCTGTACTAAAAATACAAAAATTAGCTGGGTGTGGTGGTGTGCACCTGTAGTCTCAGCTACTCAGGAAGCTGAGGCAGAAGAATCACTTGAACCCAGGAGGCGGAGATTGCAGTGAGCCGAGATCGTGCTACTGCACTCCAGGCTGGGCAACAGAGTGAGACTCTGTCAAAAAAAAAAAAGTAGGTTTGGAGGTTAGGCAGCTAAAGGATCAACTGTGACAGAAATTGTTTGATGACTACCTAGTATCTATTGTCTTCTTTTGCACAGTCTAAATATTGGAGCCTCCAAAATGAAATACTCCTTGAAACTAAAGCATCTTTCACTCCTTGTGTCAATTGTTGTTCTGGGCGAATCCCCTCACACCCAGCAGAAAGTGTTGGTTTGATAGAAGAAGCAGAAATGAAGCTGGAACTATTAGGAATCAAAAGAGGGAAGGAAAACCTGAAACAGATAAAGTTTGTGTATTAATCTGTTCTCACGCTGTCACAAAGAGCTACCTGAGACTGGGTAATTTATGAAGAAAAGAGGTTTAACTGACTGACAGTTCCACAGGTTGTACAGGAAGCATGGCTGGAGAGACAGAAATATATGACCATGGCAGAAGGGTGAAGGGGAAGCAAGCACCTTCTTCACATGGTGGTCGAGGACCAGGGGGAAGAGAGAGAGAGAGAAAGAGAAGGGAGAAGTGCTACACAGTTTCAAACAACCAGATCTCATGAGAACTCATTCACTATCAGGAGAGCAGCAAGGGGGATGTCCACCCCATGATCCAATCACCTCCCACCAGGTCCCTCCCCTAATATCGGGGATTAGAATTCAATATGAGATTTGGGTGGGGACACAGAGCCAAATCATAGCAGTGTGGCTTGAAGGTTCTGCACAAGCAGCCCCCAAATGGAGTTGAAAAAGTACAATAGACACATTTTATCCACTTGGCAGTTTTTTCAACTTTTGGCAATAGTCAGGATAGAGCCTGTGAAAGTTAAAACTTCAGGACTCATTTGGAAGTTGGGACACTAAGTTCTTCCACTTTGATGTGGTCTTTCTGTTGTGGAGAAGAAAACTAGAAATAAAGGAAGTGAAACAGAAAATGAAGGAGTGAGCAATACTCAGCACAGATGGCTTAATTCAAACAACAGGATGAAGCTGATTGCTTCCCTGACACTGATTATGTGCTGCCACTGTTCTGAGTGCTATACATACACTGCTAATCACTTCACTTTCTCAGCAAGGGGATACTCTCTATCTCCATTTTACATATGAAGAGACTGAAGCTCAGATAGCCTACCAGCCAGGATCCTAACCCAGGCATTTGGTGTCTAGGGACCATGTGCCTAAGGATCAGCTCCTCTGTGCAAAATTGTTTGAGTCAGCTAGGGAAGGAGTGTATGAATCAATTACAGTATGACCAAATTTATAAGTAAGTAAATTACTGAATGCATACATTTACAGACAAATGAACTGAATAAATATATAGACAGCATCACTTTTCTGAGAACTAAAAAGGATTTGGCAAATCTCCTTAGTCTTTATCTTGAGATATATCCTCCATGAAATCTTTGAATCTAATCAAAACTGCCACTAAGGGAAGGCAGGTTGTTATTTGCATCGTTGTAGGTACCATAGGGGAGGAGAAGCCAGGGTAGGGAAGAGAGGGAGAGAACATCAATGCAGCTTCACTCGTTCCTCTAAGGCCAGCCTTGCTGCCTCCCATGCCACAGAGTCCAAATCACCCACCAGTTACTTTCCAAGGAAATTATATTTTCTCTTCCAAAATGTTATTATTACGGATTTATTTGGCTTTGATTAAAGAAAAAATAGGGGGAAAACTGCTATCAGTCACTCACATTTCATTGTCCATTTATTTATTCACTAATTTATTTGCTGGACATTTATTAAGTCTGTGTGCCAGGATTTGTGTCAGATCCAGCTTTGCCTTGAGAGGAGAGTTGTTGTCTTAGGTTTGATTCCCCTGGAGGTAGACTGAGACCAGAATGGGTGTGCAAGAGGTCTGTTTGTAAGCAATCCCAGGACAACTGGCACAAGTGTGTGAGTAGCAGAGTCAGATTGGGCAGGGAAGGAAGCTAATAGAGGGTATGCCTTCATGCCGGTTAGTGCAGAGCTCAGTTTTACCTGGGCAACCCTGGAACATGTTGTAGAACATACCTCCAAGGGACCCTGCCCAAGGGGTGATGAGATAGGCTCATGAAGAAAAGAGGTTTAATTGACTCACAGTTCTACAGACTGTACAGGAAGCATGGCTGGGGAGGCCTTAGGAAACTTATGATCATGGCAGAAGGGCAAAGGGGAAGCAAGCACCTTCTTCACATGGTGGAGCAGGAGTGAGAGGGAGAGTGAAGGAAGAAGTTCTACACAGTTTCACAGTTTCAAACAACCAGATCTCATGAGAACTCACTCACTATCATGAGAATAGCAAGGGGGAAGTCCAGAGTCTTATCATCTAACTCACATCCATAATTGGTTGAGGTGAGGGCTGCTCCCAGGTACCATAATCCCCTTGCACTTTTGGTTTCCCTGTCTGTGATGCAGAAAATTCTCTCAGACTGAAAGCTGCAGGTGCTTGGAGTAGGATACTGTAGGCATGCACTAGAATGGTGAGTGCCAAGAGGATATAGTATGGGTAAGACCCCGCAGCATCTGCTACAAATGAACACATAGATGATTAATTTAAGCAGAAGCTAGACTAGGAATATGACCCTGGTACTACAAAAGCACATAGAAGAGAATGATTGATTTATTCTCCACTAGGCTTCCCTGACCACACAAGCACACACTTGTACACACATATCCATGCATGCACATGTACACACACATGCATACCTATGCGCAGATGCACACACACATGCACACACACACTCTTCTTCATTCCACAGCTCACAAGTAATTCTTTATCAGGTAACTTGGCTAAATGCTTATGTTCTGCTGTTTACAAGGATGAAGGCTGTCCTTTTGAGACCTCAAGCCTTGGAAAGACTGTGATTCCTCTTCTGATATGGAATTCAATGTAAAATCACCCTAACATATAAATATGTGTATGGAAGTTCAAGCTAGTTGTGATTTTTCTGATGTTGATACGCCAGTTTTTTTTGTATGTGCAAAAAAATGTCATATTTTTTCCAAACAATTTCTTGGTGTCCCTGTTTTGTTTGTGTCTCGGGTGCATACTTGGTGTGCCCATTGGGTGGTCTCTACACTCTTCACAAAACTAATGCATCATGCGGAGGAGGGTGACCTTGTCCACTTTAGAATCAGTGGTTTCTGCAAGGCCTGGTAACATTAGGCATAGAGTGGGAAGTCGTTCAATGCTAGATGGATGGGTGGGTGGATGGATGGATGGATGGATGGATGGATGGATGGATGGATGGATGGAGAGAAATATGAGTGAGCTCTATTTGAAGAGAGAAATCCTAGGACATGTCAGAGCTTTCAAAGATGAAGTAAGCTCTAAACTTAGACTTGGAGGATGGCCATTGGATATCTTCAGATAGGGGATTCAGTGTGGGAGATAGGGAACACCTGACTTTTCAGGTGTGTTGAAAAACACCGTTCAGTTTAACTTAGTTGTACTATTGGATTGGAATTCATCAGGCTCCTGAGGTTAGAGTTTCTCAGGGCCTGCAAGTCAGGGCCTTGACTTGGGAAGACCACACAGGTGGTCTCTGAAGTTGTCAGCAGCTTTGGCCACTGCCACAGATAATTTATTCCCTCTGCTGGAACTTCAGCTACTGAGAGGGACAGGCTAATTGGGTCTTCCTGGCAATCCACGTCAGCTAGAAGCTCCCTGCTACAATCCCTGCACCTCCTTTCTAACCTTTTGCAGTGCCAAGGCATAAAGAGAAGGAACATTTATAAAGCACATGCCTGCTGAGAATACCCTGTTGTGATTGTTTTCCTCAGTTCAGACAATCCCTGCCAGCTACTTCAAAGGCTTTTGAAGTTACTGCTAATTTAAAAGCAATAATAAGATTGACACTGAAATGCTTCCCAGCTGGTTTTTCTGGGCAATAACTTTCACCAGTTCCTTTACAGCCTGCTTTCTGTTACAGTTTGGGGTTTGGAAAACATGGGCTTCTAAAACACTCAAACAGAACAGAACATGTTTCTAAAACAAAGAAATAACATGATCCTAGCACAGATAAAAACATGTTCTTCTCCATTTAGGATATATTTCTTAACAATGAATGTCAGTGAAATGTACCTAGCCCAGTACCTGGCACTTAACAGAGTGCTTATAGCAAGTGTGGGGTCAATGAGTCCTAGGTTTAAAACTCAAGTCTTCCACTTATTAATTGGTTGTTCTTAGACAAGTTATTTAATGTCCATAAAACTCCAAGTTATCCTCTAAAAATAGAGTATAAAAGTACCTCCCATGAAAGCTAGTTGAGAAAGTGGAAACTCAAGGATTTAATAAAAACACAGGTGTAAGATTCAGATCGGAGATGAAAGCTTAGCTTTGCCACTTTCCAGCTGGTAACCTAGGGCTTAGTCAATTCACCTAACCTCCCTGAGACTCAGTTTCTTTACCTATAAAATGGAAATAATAAGACATCTCTCATAACTCATATAGTAGACATAATAGGAATTAAATTTTATGACATAATATTTAATGGCACAGTATTTGGTACTGAGTTCAGTAAAATGACAGCTTTTATGGATGTAAAGATGAAATGAGAAAAAGTATCCAAGTAGCTGTCCCAGTATCTGGCACTTAACAGACTGTTTCACAAGCTTTTTCTATTTTAAAACCATTTTCATTGACATGTCTCTATCGGCTGTTGCCTCATAATCAGCTTTCTCAATGTTCAGTGATTAATTTTATCACTGTTTTTATTATTGTCACAGTGATTTAATCATTTTAAACATTCTGTCAATGTTTAAGCTCCAGCTTAGAACAGTAACAGCTTAACATGGCTCATGAGTTGCCCCTTCAGCTGCAGGCTGGGAGTTCTTCTGACCCAGAATAGCTTTGGTTGCAATTGTTTGTCTGCTCCACAGTTTTGTATCCTCCGGCAGGCTAGCCCCAGCTTGTTTATTTACATCAGAACCAGGCAAAGTCCCAAAAGTGAGTGGGAAAAGACTTGGAACTGGCATCTCACAGCTTCTGCCACATCATTGGTCAAAGCACATCACCAGACCAACCCAGATCCAAAGACTGGGGGAAAGACTGCATGTCTTGATGGGAGGTGCTGCAGAGTTATATGCAAAAGGGCATGAACATGGTGAGATGTGGAAAGAAATGTGTCCATTATCGCAATCTATCATATTGCTCCAAAATAAATTGTAGACATTTTACCATGAGTTCGTCATGAGAACTCAGATGCTCAATCTTCAGGCATAGGCTCAGAAACAGCCTGTCAGCCCCTTGGAAGTGACAGACTATGAGCTTTTCTTTTTTAAGAAAACCGGTTAGCCATGTAATTTGCCTCATATGTCCTTGGAAGAACTAACCTGGCATTGCTTTTCTCACACTATCTGCCTGAGCCTTCCCACACTCATAGTAGGGGTGCTGAGTGGCAGTCCTATGGACTGTCATTATGCAGCAGCTGCAATGCTCTTACCAAAGCAGGGATAGCAAATGGGCATGATGCAGCTCCTGAATGCCAACCTTGCCACAGGCCCATCAAACCATCTAAGTTAGGGTGGGTAGCTTAGCTAGGATCCAGAATTGTTGGGGTTACCAGAAAGGGCAGAGCCAGTGCCCTCAGGGTTGGGAGAGGATCAGAATGTCAATTCTTTCCCATCTTAGTCATAGCTAGGGTGGGAATTCAAACTGACTCAAGGGAAAGAGAATATGGTTATTTAAATCTGGTATCATTAAAGAGCACAGGAGATATAGTCAGAATTGGTGTGAATCCCAGTTCTGCTGTTTACTCACTCTATGACCTTGGATGACTTGCTTACCACTCCTGGTTTCCATTCTTCCAATCTTCCTAATGGGGACAATAATATTTAATTTACAATGATACAATGAGGACTGGATTAAGGATATACCATATGTAAAACACGTGACAGGTGGGCACTCAATAAATGTATATTTCACATTCTATCATACTAGCAGCCTTCTAAAATGGGGTATTAATAGAACAAATCAGAATGAGACGTTTAAATAGTGAAGTTGAATACCTTCTTTTTGAAGTAGTAGGATCTGTGCACTAACTAGAGATGATGAAAATAAATGGTTGCACTTGAAACTTCAGAAAACCCTACTCATATAAATGCCACCCCTACTTTCCAATACATTTGGCCCCATTATGACTTCTTATTTCTCAGCTTTTCTTTTATTGGCTTATCCGGATAGTCAGATTATTGAGAGTTCTGTATGACTATGAAACCAAAGCATGGTAGAACACTTAGGGTCTGAACTCAAGCTTTCTGTTTCCATATTAAGTCACTTAGGTTAGGGAGAAGACTCAAAGCTGCCACTAATGCAGAGCAAGTCCTAGAAGCTGGCTTATCGCAGGACCAGCTTTGGTTTCAGGCAGAACTTACACTAAGGTTCCTAAACTATCTTTTTATCTTTCCATTAAGAATAACCCAAGAGTATTTTTTTTCAGCCAAGGTTTACACTGGAATATAAATTTTATTTAGTACAATTCTCAATAACTTACTAAATACGTATATGTGAGAGGTAAGGTGATATTACTAACAACTAGTATTTATTTGATGTCCACCATGTGTCAGGAACATTGAACACAATATATCTAATACTCACTATGACTCTAAGAATGGTGTATGGTTAAGGTGAGGTTGGGCTAAAGGTAAGGGAGACTCAAAATGTAACAGTGGCTTATGCAAAAGTTTACTGCTCTGTCTTTGTAAGTTCCAAGACAGAAAATAAGCTTATATACTGACTGTGTTCCAAACCATTTTCAAGAACCCAAGCTCCTCTGAATGTGAAGTTTATTCCCAAGATATCTTCAGAGTTCAAAATTATTGTTTGGCTGACAGCCACTATGCCCACGTTCCAGCCAGCAGGGCAACATAAGGACCAACAATAAAGGTAAAGGGTGTGATCCACTTGTTTTTTTTTTTTTAAAAAAAAAAAAAACTAATAAATAAATAAATTTGATAAATAAACTTACAAAATTTATTTATCAAATCTAGAAGTCTTTTGGGGAGTTCTTGGGGTTTTCTACGTATAAGATCATATCATTAGCAAACAGAGATAATTTGACTTCCTTTTTGCCAGTTTGGATGCCTTTAATAAGCAGCATTTCTATACATCAAAAATAAGCAAGGTGAGAACCAAATTAAGAAGTGAATCCCATTTACAATAGCTATAACAACAATACAACAACAACAACAACACCTAGGAATATATTTAACCAAGAAGGTAAAAGATCTTCACAAGGAAAACTACAAAACGCTGATGAAAGAAATTGTGGGTGATACATACAAATGGAAGAACATTCCATGCTCATGGACTAGAAGAATCAATATTGTTAAAATGACCATACACTCAAAGCAATTAATAGGTACAATGAAATGAATATCAAAATCCCAATGTCATTTTTCACAGAATTAGAGAGAAAAAAAAAGCACTAAATTTCATATGGAACCAAAAAAGAGCCCAAATAATCAAGGTAATCCTAAGAAAAAAGAACAAAGCTGGAAACATTACATTAACTGATTTCAAATTATACTACAAGGTTATAATAATCAAAACAGCAAGGTACCATTATAAAAATAGACATAGATTAATGGAACAGAATAGAAAACCTAGAAATAAATCCAAATACCTACAGACAACTCATCTTTGACAAAGTTGACAAAAACACACTGGGGAAAGAACACGCTATTCAATGAATGGTGCTGAGAAAATTAGCTCGCCAAGTGGAGTGAAACTAAAACCCTACCTCTTACCATACATAAAATTTAACTCAAGATGGATTAAAGACTTAAATGTAAGTCCCAAAACTATAAAAAATACTAGGAAAAAGCCTAGGAAAAATTCTTCTAGACATAGGCCTAGGTAAAGAATTCATGACTAAGACCTCAAAAGCAAATTTAAAAAAATAGACTTAAATAAAAATCAACAGAGTAAAATGCCACCTGCATATTGGGAGAAAATATTTGCAAACTATATATTCAATGAAAGACTAATATCCGGAACCTACAAGGAACTCAATTCAACAGCAAAAACCAAACCATACCACTGAAAAATGAACAAAGGGCACAAACAGACATTTTTTAAAGGAAGACATAAAAATGGCCAAGAAACACATGAAAAAATCCTCAACATAACTAATCATCAGAGAAATGCAAGTTAAAACCACAATGAGATACCATCTTAAACCAGTCAGAACAGCTATTAAAAAGTCAAGAAAAATAATAGATGTTGGTGAGGATGTGGAAAAAAGCAAATTGTTTATACACTGTTGGTAGGAACGTACATTAGTGCCAACTCTATGGAAACCAGTATGGAGATTTCCCAAAGAACTAAAAGCAGATCCACCATTTGATCCAGCTATCCTACTACTGGGTATATCCCAAAGGAAAAGAAATCGCAATATCAAAAAGATACCTGCACCTGTATGTTTATCACAGGACTATTCATAATATCAAAGATATGGCATCAACCTAAGTGTCCATTAATGGATGATTGGATGAGGAAAATGTAGTATATACATATATACGATGTACTACTACTTGGCCACAAAAAAAAGAATAAAATCATGCAGCAATGTGGATGAACTTAAGCCTATCTAAAGTGAAATAACTCAGAAACACAAAGTCAAATGCCACATGTTCTTACTTATAAGTGGCAGCTAAATAATGTGTACATATGGACATAGAGTGTGGAATAATAGACACTGGAGACTCAGAAGGGTGGGAGAGGGGCGAGGAATAAGGAATTACTTAACAGGTACAATGTGTACTATTCAGATAATGGCTATACCAAAAGCCCAGACTTTACCACTATGCAGAACATCTATGTAACAAAATAGTACCTGTACCTACTAAGCCTACAAAAAATAAAAAAAAAAAATTAAAAACATTTTCCAAGTAAGGACCTATGACACTTCAGCATGAATATCACTAGCCAACACTTAGTCAAAGGCTTTAAGAGTACCTGGAAAATGTACTCTTCATTCTGGCTAGTGATTTTCTAAGAAGAAAGAAGAAAATAGATACTGAGGGAAAATTAGCAGTCTAGGCCATTGTTATTAAAATCTTCAAAATACAGAGTAGAAACAGCCTCAGAGATGTTGTCACTTGCTTAGCTAATCCAGATTTGAGCCCAGGGTTGTGTGAGTTTATTTCATTCTTTCTACTAAATTCTATTGTTATAAATCCATTCTTTCTATAGGGATCAAGGCCATAGACAATGCCATTAATGAATGGATTAGTGGAGTGGAGTTCCAGATATGCCCCATCCCAAACTTCAAACCTCCTTCTTCCACTGTTTTACAGCAAGGTTATGACTAAGGATAATTATTACATTGCCAGTGATCTTTAAAAAAAATCACAAAAACTCTCCCCTTTAGTATTCTCATCTGTACAATAGGTATAATACCTATTAAAAATCAGGATCAAGGGCTTTAGTATATGTAAAAGAGATATATAAACAGAACAATACTGTAAACAGATGTTAGCACATTTTGTTATTTTATGTAAGGCATTGAGTACATTATTTTATGTAAGTGGGTCCTCATAGGAGGAGGAGATGTATTTCTGCAAGGGGCAAGCTTTAAATGTTTCATGAATGCAGCGGCACTTTTATTTATTTGTCAGTCAGGGACTGAGGAAGAAGGTGCTCTGGACTAGGGGCACCCACAGTATAGAGACAATAGAGTTTGCCAGGACATGGTGTTTGGGGAAGACTAAGGAAATGAAAAAGAATAAACCCCCATGAATCACTGATGACGGGCAGATATCCTTGCAATTATGTGGCTATTCTGGGTGACCTTCATTCTCAAGGTCATCTTATGGTAATGATAAAAGGTGGCTACTCTAGCCACTTTGTTCACCATTGTCTTGCCCAAGCAGCTTATCTAAAAGAGACGAGAGAGGTAAATGAAAGAAGTTATGGTGACTCTGATGGGGAACTATACAGCCCATTCCTAGGAGAGTTACAAAAGATGTGTTCATTAGGGATACAACAAAGGACCTAGGAAAGAGAAGGTCTAGCTCCATATCCAAGTGAGTAAAGGCTAGGATTATGCAATAGCTAATTTCAAATAGTCCTATATTCTGAGGATTCCCAGATTTTTATGTTCTTATTCCTTTACTCCTAGTCTCATCTGTAACATTCTCAAAAGACTTCAAGAGAGTTTTGTGTTATCTTAGTAACATGATAGTAAGAAGGGCACCTGTGTCACCATCCACAGTGGCCAGGAATGAAGGGAGTGTTGTGTGGGACATAGGAAAGGGAGAAGCAATAGGGAAAAGCAGGCAGGCTGGTCCCAGAAGCCAAGTGGACAGATTCATAAGACTGACTGGGTTTTCCAGAGCTGGAACCTCCTGAAAAATCCTCAGCTTTCCCTCGCCCAGCCTTCCCCCTTAGCTTAAGCCTAAGATGCATGTTCAAGATGTATGAAAGGTCTACATGTCTAGACTTCTCTCCCGAGACAAAGGGAAGGTGCCTAGGTGCATGAAGTCTGAGATGTATACAATTTGGGAGAACCTCTTCAAGAAATAGAATACAAACTTGGGGATACAGAATTAATTATGGAGCCTTGGAACAAAGTGAAAGAAAAAATAAGGCAAAGAGAACACCATATAAGAAAATAGTGAATGGGACTCACGTGATTGGATTCTACAATTGACTTTATCATTAACCAATCATGTGAAAATAAATGCATCACTCTCCTCACTGAGCCTAAGGTTTATTCTGGAAAATGGTGTCTCCTCCCCCATCTCCATCAGTCAGGGTCAAGGAAGGAAATAGATGGTTTGATATGGTTGGGCTCTGTGTCCCCACCCAAATCTCACCTTGAATTATAATAATCCCCACGTGATATGGGAGGGACCTGGTGGGAGGTAACTGAATCATGGGGGCAGGTTTTTCCTGTGTTGTTCGTGATAGTGAAGAAGTCTTATGAGATCTGATGGTTTTATAAAACGCAGCTCCCCTGCACATGCCCTCTTGCCTGCCACCATGTAGGGGAGGCCATTGCCCCTCCTTCACCTTCTGCCATTATTGTGAGGCCTCCTCAGCCATGTGGAACTGTGAGTCCATTAAACCTCTTTTTTAAAAAAAATTACCCCAGTCTCAGGTATTTCTTCATAGCAATATGAAAATGGACTAATACATGGTTCATTCTAATTGGATCATAGCAGAAGGATTTGGTAGGTGAGGCCTGGATGAGGATAAAGTATAAGGAATTCTAGTAGAGTACCCAGGACTTGCAAAATGGAGAGTTGTCTCCAATGCTAGGCCTGAAAGGACAAGGATTGAGAGTAAGTACTGAACCTTAGAGAGGGTAATAGTATGGAGAGGGCTTCCAGATGCCACCAACATTGAGCAACCTAAAGAAAAGGAGTTGGGGAAATAAATACTCCATTGTCATTCGCCTCTCACCCACTACCTTCTGCTGAGGGTCCGTGTCCAAGAAACTCATCCAGAATTGTGAAGACAGAGGAACCCACTGATGTGATCTATAAAGGTTGCTCTCCTGAGGCATAGAGGAGGAAAGAGAAGGGTGGAAGTGGGTCTGAAGGAGCAAAGTAGCAGTAAAGATTTCTGGTTCTCTTTAGACCTGGCGGGCTAATGGTCTGTCTGTATAGAAGATCTCCAAAAGTTTGCTGACTTACAACATGAATTTGGTAAACTTATCTCCTCCTTTTCCTTCTTCACCATGAAAATATCTCTGGCCAAAGAGAATAAAGGAAGCAATGTATGTATCTGTGCCCATTTCCCTCTGAAAATGGAGCATCTGTGATAAACTTCAAATACAGCTCTGGGTATGCCGTGCGATTTCTCAGAGCTTCAGTTCATTCCTCAACTGCTCTGCAAGATGTTATGATGACCAGCTAAGATAATGGATTTTTGCTTTGTAAGCTGTAAATTGGCACACAAAAATTGGCCTTTGTCATAAGAACTAAATAACAATAATAGTGACATTTTTGATGTTTGTCCTATGCTTCTGAACTACACTTAATATTCTTCCAAATCACCCTTTGAAGAAAGTATTATTAACCCCCCTTTTTTACAGATGAGGAAACTGGAGATTGAGAGGGGTTACATAATTTGCTCCAAGTTATACAGGAAGAACAGCGCCTCTTAAACATGAATACAACTAGAATCAACTGATAAGACGCAGACTCTGATGACGAAAGTCTAGATGAGACCTGAGATTCCGAATTTGTAACAAGTTGATATTGCTGATCTACTAACCATGTCCTAAAGAGCAAGGAACTAAAAAGTGGAAAGCAGAGATGCAAATCCAGCAACCTGACTCCAGAGCCTGGGTATCAAAGCACTACAAAAACTTCTGGACTAACTCTACCCTGGTTTCAGGATCCTGCTGAAAGAAGTCAGGCCTGGGGACACTGATGTGCAGAAGCTCTTGGAGGACAGAATGTAGGAGTGAGGATGGCTGTGAGGGAAGAGCAGATCACATAACCAGGCCTAAACGTGAATGGGACTGAGGAACTCTGTTGCCTCCCTCACCCCTTCCTGCCATTCAGGCCCCAAGGTCTAGACCTTCCACCTCCCATGGTCATGGACCTAATCTGGATCTTCATTTTCTAGAGCCAGCACCCCCAGTTCAAATCCTAGCTCTGCCATTTATTAGCTGGGTGACCCTGGGCAAGTTATTTATTCTTTCTTTGCCAAATGAGAGAAGACATTTCTCCTAAGATTATCGTGAGGGCTAAGCTACTGAAAATGCATTTAAAGTGCTTAGAAAAATGTCTAAACTACAGAGAACTGTAAACAAGTCAAAAAATATCATAACTAGTCTCCTTTATTGTAGGTCAATTCCCCTCAGATCCATTCTCTTGTAAAGGCCAGATGAATCTTTCAATAAACTTGATCTGGCCTTGCCAGTTTTTACCTTCAGACCCTTTGATGATGGCCTTTGATTTCAGTGTGGTGTGCTTGGTTCTTCCTCTAAGCCTTGGGCCCTGCCATGTTCCTATACTCAGATCACATTTAAAAAAAAAAAAAAATCTGTTGTTCTCTGAAATTGATATTTACCTTTTCGCCTTTAAGCCTTTGTATGCACTATTTCCTCTGCCGGGACAGTACCTCTTGTTCCTTCAAGGCAAAACTCAAACACCTCTGTGAGCCAGTCTCATTCCCCTATCTCTCTTCCCCATCTTCCCATCATGGCCAATTTTGTAAGAGAGCATGTGCCCCCAGAACTCTCTGTATCCTCCATTATGAAACATCACAGGGTGATCCATTTGTCCATGCCCATTACTCTCCTCTGGAATATGAGCCTATATCATGCACCTCCTGAGCTAATGCAGGTCCTGGCATGTGATGGAGTATTCTAGGGATTTGATGCAAGATACAGAAAACAGGAAGCAAGGGAAGGAAGAAAGGAGAGAAGCAGAAGAAAGTCAGAGAAGAAGTTGGGGTAATTTGTGCTGCTGTAAACCCAGAACTCACACTTACTCATCAATATAAAGATTCACCCAATTTAGAAATAGGTTTTGTTTTCAAAAGTTTGTCCAGAATTTTCCTGGTTCTTTGGTGGGCATCCACATACTTCTCCACAGAAGTGATTCTGTATTGCAGGTTTGCAAGTTGTGATGTAAGTCAGGAATAGTAATTTATTTGTAAATTAGCCCCAGGCCAGTTCTGAAAAGCCTTTGTCAACTTTCAAGTCACCAGGTTATCAGCATACTGAGGTTCTCGACTCTCAAATTCCAGACAGAAAAAGGTTCCTAAGGGAAAACGCTTGCCATATTTTAAGAGCAGGTCCCCTAAAAACACCTGATAAAGGGGCTTGGGGAAAGAATATAGGACAGGACCACAATCTGGGTCAAAGCTGGGGAGCAAATTTTTATAGGTAAAGTGTTCGTTCACCTCATTGGCTTAATATGTCATCTTTTATCAGCCTGTGGAGATGTAAGAGTCTGTTGATGGGGCCTTGTGTGTGACATGCAACGAGCAGTCCATGCATTGAGTGGATTCTGAGTTCTGCAATAACTCCAAGGATACATACTTGCTCTTCATCTCTCACAGCAATATTGTGGGATAAGAAATGCCAGCATTATCACTCTATGTGGAAGAAGTGAAACAGCTGAAAGGCTTAAGTTGCATAGTCACCAACCAACAAGTGGCTCCTACAAAAAGATATGTTCATGACCCAATCTTCAGCACCTGTGAATGTGACCTCATTGGATAAAAAGTCTTTGCAGGTGTGATTGTTAGCAATCTAGAGATGAGGAGATCCCTTGAACAATCTGCATGGGCCCAAAATAAAATAATACGTGTTCATGTAAGAGGACCACAGAGGAGAAAATGATGTTAAGATGGATCAGAGAAAGAAGTGCCCACAAGCCAAGGATTGCCTACAGATGCTGGAAGCAAGAAGAGGCAGTAGACAGATTCTTCCTGAGCGCTCTAGCCCTGCAGGCACTTTGATTTCAGATTTTTGAGCTCAAGAGCTGTGACAGAATACATTTCTATCGTTTTAAGCCATCAAATATATGGTAATGTGGCCTCTGGAAACTAAAACAATGGCAAAGCCAGGATTCAATCCAAAGTCTGCCTGGCTCTGCTCTGTGACTTGGGACACGTTATTTATGTTTCACAGGCTTCAATTCCTGATTATAGCAAAAATTAAATGAGGTAATGTGCTCATATCCAGTACCTGACACACTGCCCAGTGGCAGCCCTCACCATAGTTTAGTAGGAGTTTATGAAGCAAGGAGCATACAGGAAGAGAACCTTCAGAGGCCATGAAGCTTGACTTCAGAGGTCCTGATGACCCTCTCTTCCACTTCCTAGCTGTGTGGCTTTAATCAACTTACCCTCTTAGGCCTGAGTTTCCTCATTATTAACATGGAAATAATATCTACCACCTAGGACTGTGTTATGCATATAAAACAAGATCAAGTTGAAACGCAGCATGATAAAGACTAGTTGGTTTGTACTTCTTCCTTCTCAGTTTCTCAGAATTAGAAACATAATCCCAGTTTCTCTGCTGGGGAAAAGCTAGATATGTATAAGGCGAGATTTGGCTAAATTGTTTTTTAAATGTTCAGTGAAAAGTCCAGTCTTTCATCCCTCAGATAGTGTCCATGCTGAGTCCACTCAGGGCTAATCACTGGGGACCCAGAGTCAAATATAAATGAGCAGAACTCATTTCAGCAACTTAAAATTCTCTCAGAATTCATTATTTGAGCGCTCTGAACTGAACTTGAACTCTCTGGCATTCAAATTGGCTTATACAGTTTTGATTGCAAGAAAAGAGAATTTTAAAAAGTCATTAAACAAGGTGAAAAGCCTTATTGGATATGAATTGGCTCTTAAAGAATATTACAATGATATAAAGCTCAAATGGGTCAGAAATTTATGAAAGTCATTTCCCTTAAATAAAACATGATTTTAAAATTCAAGGGAGAACACTTTGCCAAATTTACTTGGTGTTTTAAAACATCTGAAGAACTACAAGAGATTTTGTTCATTCCAAAGACAACATGCTAGACAGCAGGATATCCACATCAGAACTGAGGTCTCCACTGGGCCTAAGGCATGTGCATGAAGCCACCTGCACAGCCCTGCTGGTCTCAGGATAGAGCCACACTGATTGCCCCTTGTTTCCCCAACTGTGAAGGCCATTTAAGACCCAGGCATTGGACATACAGATTAAGAGCCCCAGTTATCACAGGATATACTATACTGGAATTGCTTGCTCTTCAAACAGAACGCAAACTTCTTGAAGGCAAATAATGGGCCTTTTTACTGTTACATTACCAAACACCTTGCAGAATGACCAGTCAATACATGGGGGTTAATGACTGAGTAGGTGAGGAAGGAAGGAAGGAAAGAAGGAGAGGGAAAGAAAATGAAGGAAACAGTGGATGGATAAACAGATAGGTAGATGAGTGAGTATATGGATGAATATGATGATATGTAAGTGTATGGATGGTTAGATGGGCAAAGCAAAATGGGTAAGACAGATAAATGATCATGATAAAGATAGATAGATAGATAGATAAGATAGATAAGGATGGACAGATGAATAAGTTGATGTATGGAAGGATGTATATGTGAAAAATGAAGGATTCGATAATACATGGATAAAAGGAAGGAAGGGAAAGATGGATGGATGGACAAATAGATGAATGGATGGATAAACAGATGAATATAGGGCCTACCTAGGAATTCTTATGCGAAGGGACTATCTAGCAATTCCACACTTGAATATTATACTCCCATGTTTCTATTTCCCTTTTAAAAGGTCACATTTACCTTGTAAAACAGTGGCCTGTAATGCCTTAATCCCAAAATAATATACTATACCCTTACAATTCTTTCTGCTTCAACAAAAAAGTAACATGTGGCAATGAACAAAGCAACTGGAGGTCACAGAATCTGCTCCAAGGTGACAGCTAGTAGGGTAGAAATGGGATTTGAAACAGTCAACAGCTATCCATATAATCATCATACCATGCTGTTTTCTCTTGTTGGCTAAGTGTTAAATTTGGATGCAGCCAAAGTTATGTCATGTTATACAAAACCTACACCTAAATTTCTATCTTTCATGGTTCTTGTGAACACATATTGGTGCCAATATATTATGCAACCTTCAAAGAAACCCTAGGAAATATCTAATACGATTCTCTAACATGTAAGTTAGGAAAAGGATGATCACAAAGGTTGAGTCACCTGCCAAAGCCCACATAGGTCCGTAGCTGAGCTGGGATTGGATGGAGCCCTGATTCCCCTGGCTCTGAGGCTGACTCACTTCCCATCAGTGTCTGCCTTTCTGTGAGATGCTCATTTCTTTGCACAGTCATAAAGGAAACCCAAAGGAGTCCTCAGTGATGGTAATGAAACCTGACACCTAGGCTGAAAATAGTCCAGCGGGTCTGTAAGGGAATTTGGAAGCAGAAAGTAATGTTCAATACTCTCAGATGCCCCTGAAAGTCTCCTCTAATCTCACTCCTGAGGGGTCGCCTCTCCCCAACTTTGTGACTCAGAAAGACTTGGTCTCCCTTGTGGCATTAGCAATTAGTTTCAGAACCAATGATCCTTCCTCACCGTGAGTCTCTAGTCCTGCTGCTGAGAAAGCACCATCATCACCCAACAAGTCTATACATGGAGTTGCTCCTCACAATGCCCTGAGCTAAGCCTGTACATTTTTAAGGAGCAGAGATGTGGTTAGAAGGGGAATAAGTCAATGGAGATCCCAAGAGATGGAGAACAGCCAAGAATCAGAGACCCTGTGACCTGGAAAACATCAGAGATCAGCTGGATGAACACCTTCAATTTATACACAGTGATGTGAGACTCAGAAACACCCATGAATCACTACAACTCTCATCCACTCATCATGCACTGCAATGTCGAACTCATTTAAATCCTTACCAAAAATTAAGCAGTAGGTGATAACCCAAAGAGAAAACAAATGCTCAGAAATAGGTGACTTGCCCAAGGTCACAGAGCTAGTAAGTGGCAGAGGTAATCCAGGCAGGCAGGTTTCTGATCTCCATACCACTGCTCTTTCCACAGCCCCTGTGCTTTTTGAAGGTCCTAAGGCTTACAGTCAAAGAAAAAAGCAAGGGATGAGGAGAAGAGAGTCAAAAAGAACAAAGAGAATGGAGGAGGTACCCAGGCTCAGGTTTAAGGCATGTGCAGCCCCTGAAAAATGCTTGCAGAGATGTGTGTCTGCATGCATGGTTGAAGAGAAGGGGAAAGGGTTTCATGCGTTATTGACCTTTTCTCCCACTGGTTTGGTGGGATTGGGAAAATAACAAGCAGGGAATCCCTCCAGGTTACAGGACATGGTAGTGATAAATGGACATGCGTGTGGGCATGCGTGTATATATGCCTATCTTTTCACAGTTGTCAGCCTTTGTTTATTCTAGTACATAAAGTTTCCTTGCATTTCTTGAAAAGTTCTGAGAACTCATCTGAGAAATGAATTGAAAAAGTTAAAAACAAAAATGTTGAACAGAAATATAAGTGCCATGGAGTTCAAAGGGCACTGCTGTGCATTAGTTGTTGTGGGGGAAGGGGGAGGTGTAGATGATAGGTAGGGTCCAGCAGGCCAGTGAGGGAATTTGCAACTGCCTGGCCATTATGCTTAGCTTCTGCTGCACACATTCTGATGCTTTGTGATATTGGGAAACAATCAATCTACCCATGAGCTTCCTTCCCCTGAAACTCAAAGCTAACCAACCACACCTCTGCTAGCCTTTTTTTTTCCTCCCTCCACAAGTTTAGCATGGAGGGAGAGGTTGGTGTGGTAGTGTTGGAGTTAATTATACACTTCTAGGTGCTGCTCCTTTATTCCCTGATGGTGATATTGTAAGCCACGCATTGTTCTGAGGTTGTATTTCCATCTGTAAGTGGGGGTAGTAACACATTTGCTCCCTTTTTTTGCTCTGCACATCAGCCATGCTGGTTTTCTCAAGTGTGCCCTCCGACTCTGGCATGCGTTATTCCCTCTGTTCAGAATACTCTTCTCAACCCTTACCCCATTATACAGTCTACTAGACATGTACCCTGGCCCTCATAGATCTGTCAGAGTTCCCCTTTTACATTTGTCATGGTGGCTATTTGCCATCATCTCTCTCCCACAAAATTTCCCAAAGTGAAGGATTGTGTCTGCTTTTGCTTGCAGTTATAGCCCAGTGTCCAAGCTCTGTGCCCTACACTTAGTGAGTGCCCAAAAAATATTTGAACTGTTATGTTTCTTTCAAAGTGTTGTCCTAAAGGAGAAAGGATTGAATCAATCTAAAAGGCCATTATCAAAAAACAAAAGACAAGTGCTGGTAATATGGAGAAATTGATAACCTTACACACTGTTAGTGGGAATAAAAAAAATGGTGCAGCCACTACGGAAAACAGTATGGAGGTTCCTCAAAAAATTAAAAATAGAACTACCATATGATCCAGAAATTCCACTTCTGGGTATTTATCCAAAATAAGTGAAATCAGGATCTCTAAGAGATACTAGCATTCCCATTTGTTGAAGCACTATTTATAACAGCCAAGATGTGAAAGCAACATAAATGTTCATTGACAGGTGAATGGATAAAGAAAATGTGGCATATACATACAGTAGAATATTATTTAGCCTTTAAAAAGAAAAAAATTCTGCCATATGTGACAACATGGATGAACCTTTAAAACATTGCACTGAAAGCAATATAAGCCAGTTTCAGAAAGACAAATACCACATGATTCCACTTACGTGAGGTATCTAAAATACCTACAATAGTATCTAAAATAGTCAAATTCATAGAATCAAAGAGGGTAATGGTGGTTGGTGGATGCCAGGGCCTGGGGGGGGAGGGAGAAATGGGGAGTTAGTAGTCAATGGGTTCAAAGTTTCAGTCAAGCAAGTTGAATAAGTTCTAGAGATCTAGAGATTGTTGTACCTATAGTCAGCAATCCTATACACATCAATATTGTACACTTGAATTTTTAAAAAATGTTTAGGAGGGTAGATCATGTGGGAAGCATTCTTACCACAATATGATTAATAAAGTAAAAAATAAGAATTCACCAAACAAATATGAATTATGAGAATTATCTTGGAAAGAACATGCATATAAATGTAGACTCATAAGTGGGTCTTATTTTTCCCTGAGCATCCTACTCTCTCCTCTTGGGCCCATAGTCATATGTGGAATATTCCCAATCCCTACTTTCTCCACCATGAGCAGCCGAGACCACCTGAGAGATGCATATAAAGTGCTGGATCATCACCTGGGAAGTTGTGAGAACTCAGTTAATGGCAGTTCCCTTTCTTCCTATTTGGTTTATATTGTGAAGAATACTTGAGACCATGGTCACAAAAATTATTCATAGCATCAAGGCATCTTCCGGCATGACTCAGTGTTTTCTGAAGACATACGAGACTTCCTATGCTTGATTTCGCATAATTGAACAGACTATCCCCACTTTATTTAGTAGATAAAAGACCTTGTCTCATGCTTCATCTTTTACTCTTCCCTGAGGTGTAGTCATTTGCCTGCTTAATAGCAGTAGTCATTGGTTCATAGCGTGGAGCTAATTTACAAGGACCCCAAGCCCTGGGAATCTCTTCTCTCTCTTCCCTTCCACACCTGCACCAGTGACAGAGTGACCTAAATAAAGGAGTCTGGACTGTAGCATCCAACTTTGCCAGGGTGGGCTAACTCAAGGCCTAGACAGGGAGCTGGAGTTAGCAAGCCCATTTTCAATCTCAGTCTATAAGATGTATGTCTACATAGACTTTATCAATAATAAATCTAACATTTTCTTCTCTATTTGCTAATTCTCTTGCCTATTTCTCAATTGTTTCAAAACTCTGGTAGAAAAGAGAGGGCTGCAAGTTACAGACCCTATCACATACCCTGACGCTGCCCCCACCCCTCATTTCCCTGGCACATAGTAAAAAGCAATTTCAGGAGTGAATAATATTATTTAATATATATTATCTAATAGATATCTAATATATAATATTATCTAATAGATATCTAATATATATTATTATCTAATAGATATCTAATATATAATATTATCTAATAGATATCTAATATATAATATTATCTAATAGATATCTAATATATAATATTATCTAATAGATATCTAATATATAATATTATCTAATAGATATCTAATATATAATATTATCTAATAGATATCTAATATATAATATTATCTAATAGATATCTAATATATAATATTATCTAATAGATATCTAATATATATTATCTAATAGATATCTAATATATAAAGTTTATCATGTGCTAGGCACTGATCTAAGCATTTCACATGTTTTGCTTCACTCCCATGCTGAAATCCAGGCATTTAGAACACCCACTCACCTGAACCAGCAACCTGAGGTGCCCTACCCTTCATAGACATAGATTATGATGCAGCAGGACCCTCCCTACTCTACGCCCAGGGAAATATCCAGGCATTCAGAGCACCCACTCACCTGGATCAGCAGACTGACCTGCCCAACCCTTCCCATGCAGAAATTCTAGTACAGGGAGGCTTCCTCTGCTTCACACCCAAGTAGATCTCCAGGCATTCGGAGCACCGGCTTGCCTGGATCAGCAGCCTGAGCCACCCCACCTTACCGAGACATAGATTGTGGTGTAACAAGGTCCTCCCTGCTCCACACCCAGGCAGATCTCCACACCCAGGCAGATCTCCAGCTGATTCAGTGCACCAGCTCACCTGAATCAGCAGCCTGAACTGCTCCACCCTTAATGGACATAGATCACAATGCAGCAGGGTCTTCTTTGCTCCCTACCCAGGCAGATCTCCAGGCATTCAAAGCACCTTCTCACCTGGATCAGCCACCTGAGTGGCCCTACCACTTCTGTGTAGAGATCTTAGTATAGGGGAGCCCTCCTTCACCTATGCCCAGGCAGATCTCTAGGCATTGAGAGGACCCATTTTCCTGGATTAGGAGTTTAGACTGTCCCCTAGTGCCATGTGGAGAACTTGGGGCCAAGAAGGTTTCCTAGATCATTGCCTAGGCACACCTCTGGATATTTGATGGCCACCCACTGGATTCTCCCTCAGCACTAGTGCTTGTGCCTGCAATCAGAGGACCCATAAGAGTACATGCTCAGTCTGGCCCTGCTCAACATGGTCACTATCCCCTTGGGGCTGAGCAGGAAGCTCAGACCACTATGCATTTCACCAGTCAGCCCATTGACTGAAGCAACAGGGAGCTTCTGCCAGCAAACAAGGATCAAGTATATACCCAGCCATGTTGGCCACAGCCAGCTCTTACCTATAAGCACCCTCTACTGGTTGGGATGTCAAACTGCACAGCCCAGTACAAAACCTGCAGAAAGAAGTGCATAGGGCCATAGGAGCAAAGCCAAAAGATCCTACCCTGCATTGTTTACAACTGCATCCCCTAAGGAGTGAGGGGAAGGAAGGGGGAAAAATATATTATAGAGAAAGCAAGAAAAAGGAAATATCCTACCCACAAAAAAAAATTACAAAAATTAAAAGTGCCAGCATCTCCAGATGGGAAGGAACCAGTACAAAAATTCTGGTGCCATGAAAATTCTGAATGTAATTACCCCACCAAAGGATTACATTAGGTCTCCAGCAATGGCCCCTAATGAAAATGGGAACTCAGAATTTACAGATAAATAATTCAAAACATGGATTGCAAGGAAGCTCAACAAGATCCACGCCAAGGTTGAAAATTGACGCAAAGAAACTTCTAAAGCAATCGAGGAAATGAAGAAAGAGAGACATATTTAAAAGAAATCAATCAGAGCTTCTGGAATTGAAAAACTCACTTAAGGAATTTCAAAATACAATTGAAAGCTTTATCAGTAGACTTGATCAAGTAGAAGAGAGAATTTCAGAGCTTGAAGACTGGTCTTTCCAAGTAATCCAATCAGACAAAAATAAAAAAGAATTTTAAAAAATTAAAAAAGTCTTCAAGAAATATGGTATTATGTAAAGTAACCAAACCTATGAGTCATTAGCATTTCTGAGAGAAGGATAAAAAGCAAATGACCTGGAAAACGTATTACAGAGAAAAATTGAAGAAAATTTTCCTAATTTTACTAGACAGGTAGACATCCAGATACAAGAAATCCAGAGAATACTATGAGATACTGTACAAAATGAACAGGAGGGCATAGAGATACCAGATTGTCCAAGGTCAATGCAAAAGAAACCTTAAAGAGAAAGGCCTAGAGAAAAAGGTCAGATCATGTGCACAGGGAATCCCATCAGGCTAACAGCAGAAACCTTATAAGCCTGAAGAGATTGGGGGTCTAAACTTAGCATTTTTCAAGAAAAGAAATTTCAACTGACAATTTTATATCCCTCCCTAAGTTTCATAAGCAAAGGAGACATAAAATCTTTTCCAGATAAGCAAGTTTTAAGGGAATTCATTACCACTACACGAGCATTACAAGAGATTCTTCAGAGCATTCTAAACATGGAAACAAAGAACAATAACAGCTACCACAAAAATGCACCTAAGTACATAGTCAATAGACCCTATAAAACAACCACACAATACAAACTACAAAGCAACAAGCCAATAACTTCGTGGTAGCCCCAAAACATCATATATCAATATTAACCTTGAATGATAATAGGTCTAACAATCCAAATTAAAAGTCACAGAACGCCAATTTGTATTTTTTTTTAAAAAAAAAGAGGATCCCTTCATCTTCTGACTTCAAGAAATCCATCGCACACATAATGACACCCATAGACTCAAAATAAAGAGTTGGATAAAGATCTATTATGAAAATGGAAAACAAAAAGGCAGGGGTCACTATTCTTATATCAGAAAAAAATAGACTTTAACTAACAACAGTAAAAAAGGACAAAGAAGGGCATTACACAATGATAAAGGGCTCACTTCAACAAGAAGACTTAACTTTCCTAAATATATACACACCCAACGTTGGAGCACCCAGATTCATAAAACAACTACTTTAGAAATATGAAAAGACTTAATAACATTATAATAGTGAGGAAAGCCCTATTCAACACCCCTCTTACAGCATTAGAGAGATCACTGAGGCAGAAAATTTACAAAGAAATTCTGGACTTAAGTTTGATACTTCACCATTTGGACCTAATGGGCATCTACAGAATACGCCATCCATCAACCACAGAATATACATTCTTCTCATTTGCACACAGAACGTACTTCAAGACTGACCAGATGCTCACCATAAGGCAAGTCTCGATACATTAAAAAAGCAAAACAATACCAACCATACTCTCAGATCACAGTAGAATAAAACTAAAAATCAATAACAAGAAGATCTCTCTAAACCACATAATTACATGGAAATTAAACAACTTGCTCCTGGATAACTTTTGGGTAAAGAATGAAATTAAGTCAGAAATCAAAAACTTATGTGAAATAAATGAAAACAGAAACCCAACATACCAAAATCTTTAGGATGCAGCAAAAACAGTGTTAAGAGAAAAGTTTATAGTGCTAAGCACCTACCTCAAAAAGTTAGAAAGATCTCAAATTAATAATCTGAGAGCAAACCTAGAGGAACTAGAAAAGCAAGAACAAACTAACCCCAAAGCTAGCAGAAGAAAATAACTAAAATCAGGTCAGAACTGAACAAAACTTATGTCCCAGAATCTTCACAAAGACTCCATGAAATCAAAAGGTATTTTTGAAAGGATAAACAAGATCAATAGACCACTAGCTACATTAACAAGAGAAAAAGAGAGAAGATGCAAATATCCACAATTAGAAATAACAAAGGTGACATAATATCTCACAGAAATACAGAAGATCCTCAGAGGCTATTATAAATACCTCTATACACACAAACTACAAATTCTAGAGGAAATGAGTAAGTTACTGGAAACACACAGTCTCACCAGGTTGAATCAGGAAAAACTGAAACCATGAACAGACTAATATTGAGTTCTGAAATTGAATCAGCAACAAAATCCTACCAACCAAAAAAAGCCATAGACTGGATGGATTCACAGCTGAATTCTACCAGACATACAAAGAAGAGCTGGTACCAATTCTACAAAAACTATTCCAAAACATCAATCAAAGAGGAGGGACTCATTCCCAACATATTCTATGAAGCCACAATTATCTTGATACCAAAAGCTGGTGAAGACATGAAAAAAAGAGAAAATTACAGGCCAATATGCCTGACAAATATAGATGCAAAAATTCTCAACAAAATACTAGGAAATCAAATCTAACAGCACATTACAAAGTTAATTCATCATGATCACCTAGGCTTAATTCCTGGGATGTAACGTTGGTTCAACATATGCAAATTAATAAATGTCATTCACCGCATAAACAGAATTAAAAACAAAAACCATATGGTCATCTCAATAAATGTGAAAAAGTCTTCATTAAATTCTAACATCCTTTCATAATAAAAACCCTCAAGAACTTAAGCACTGAAAGAGCATGCTTGAAAATAATGAAAGCCATCTATGACAAACCCATGGGCAACATCATACTAAGTGGGCAAAAACTGGAAGCATTTCCCTTGAGAACTGAAACAAGAATGTCCACTCTTACCACTCCTGTTCAACATAATACTAGAAGTGCTAGCCAGAGCAATCAGGCAAGAGAGAGAAATAAAAGGCATCCAAATAAGAAAAGAAGTCAAACTATCACTCTTCACAGATGATAAGTATTTTAGAGACCTAAAAACCCCTAAAGATTCTGCCAAAAGGCTGGGGAACTGATAAACAACTTTAGTAACATCTTAAGATACAAAATCAGAGTACAAAAAACAGTAGCATTTTGTTGCACCAATAACATTCAAGCTTAGAGCCAAATCAAGAATGCCATCTCATTCATAATAGCCACAAAAACATAAAATAAAATACCTAAGAATAAATCTAACCAAGAAGGCGAAAGACTTCAAGGAGAAGTACAAAACACTGCTAAAAGAAATCATAGATTACACAAACAAATGGAAAAAACATTCCATGCTCATGGACTGGAAGAATCAATAACGTTAAAATGTCCACAACATCCAAAGAAATCTATAGATTCACTGCTATTTATATCAAACTACCAACTCATTTTTCATGGAACTAAAAAAAACTGTTCTAAAATTCATATGGAACCACAAAAGCCCAAATAGCCAAAGCATTCCTAATGAAAAAGAACAAAGCCAGAGGTATCACATTACCTGACTTAAAACTATACTAAGGCTACAGTAACTAAAAACAGCATGGTGCTTGTACAAAACAGACACATAAATAAATGCAATAGAATATAGAATCCAGAAATAAAGCTGTACACCTACAGCCATCTGATCTTCAACAAAGCCAACAAGAATAAGAAACAGGAAAAGTAATTTTCTATGCAATAAATGGTGCCGGGATAGCTGGCTAACCATATGTAGGAGACTGAAACTGGACCCCTACTGTATTAATCCATTCTCACACTGCTATAAAGAACTACCTGAGGACAAAAAAGTATTGGATGTGGCGGATGGGAGGCAAGAATAGATTGCAGCTCCAACTCAGATGGACAGAGAAGTGTGTGGAGGCTTGCATCATGAATTTTAGATCCAGAACAAATGCAGGAATAAATCAGGAAACATGAGAGGACCCAAAGACCCTCTGAAGGATGCAGACTGCTCCTGCACAATCTGGGAGACACACCAAATATTGTAAGTGTGCAAACTGTGGAAGTGGGAAAAAGAGGTTGTCCACCCCTGAACACACACCTCCACTGGGGAAACTGAAGGTCTAGTTTACAGGAGAAGATTCTGACCTTACCTGGAGCTGAGTCAATTTAGACAGCCAAGCGAAATACAGGGGTAGAAGAAGCAGTGGGAAAGGTCTGGTGAGCTCACTGCATCCCCAAGCAGGCCACTGCTGCCTGGAATCACAGGGAACCTTCAGGAGGGTGGCCAGAGATGTGGGGAAAACACCACAGGGAGAAGGAAATCTCTAGCTGAACTTTGTAACAATTCAAACTGCTTGAGAAGGCTCCTAGCCACAACTTGGGGGAGGGCATGAATCCAGCATCCAGACTTTGCAGGTAGGGGAAGAACTAAAGCCCTACTTTCTGTTGCAGCTAGGAGGCAGGTATCCTGGGGCAAGTTCTCAGCCCTGCTTGCCCACTGCCAGGAAACAGACTTGGTGCTCATAGGAGAGGCATGGTGGGAGTGAGACCAGCCCTTCAGATTGTGTGGGAGCTGGGTGAGGCCTGTGGCTGCCAGCTTTCCCCCACCTCCCTTACAAACAGCATGACTCAGCAGAGGTAGTCATAATCCTTGTAGGAACATAACTCCATTGACTGGGCACCTCACCCCCATCCTCCACAGCAGCCACAGCAAGACCCACCCAAAGACAGTCTGAGTTCAGACACTCCTAGCCTTGCCCCCACCTGATGGTCCTTCCATACCCAACCTGGTAACTGAACACAAAGGACATATACTCTTGGGAGTCTAAAGCCCCACTCTCTGCCTTCTCCATAGTATGACAGCTGATGCTATCTGGAAAGCACCATCTCCCAGCAGGAGGCCGATCAGCATAAAAATAGAGCATTAAATTACCAAAGTTAAGAACCCTCACAGAATCCATTTCACCCACCACCACCTGCAGCAGAACAGGTGCTGGTATCCACCGCTGAGAGACCCATAGACCATTCACATCACAGGACTCTGTGCAGACAATCCCCAGCACCAGCTCAGAGCCTGGTAGACTTGCTGGGTGGCTAGATCCAGAAGAGAGATAACAATCACTACATCTTGGCTCTCAGGAAGTCACATCCATAGGCAAAGGGGAAGGCACTACATCAAAGGAACACCCCGTGGGACAAAAGAATCTGAACAACAGCCTTCAGCCCTATAACTTCATTCTGACAGAGCATACCCAAATGAGAAGGAACAGAAAATCAACTCTGGTAATATGACAAAACAAGGCTCTTTAACACCCCCCAAAAAATTACACCAGCTCACCAGCGATGGATCCAAACCAAGAAGAAATCCCTGATTTACCTGAAAAAGAATTCAGGAGATTAGTTGTTAAGCTAATGAGGGAGGCACCAGAGAAAGGTGAAGCCCAATGCAAGGAAATCCAAAAAGGAATACAAGAAGGGAAGGAAGAAATATACAATGGAATAGAAGGCATAAATAAGAAACAATCAAAACTACAGGAAACACTGGACACACTTTAGAAATGCAAAATGCCCTGGAAAATCTTGGCAATAGAATTGAACGAGAAGAAGAAAGAAATTCAGAGCTCAAAGGCAAGGTCTTCAAATTAACCCAATCCAACAAAAAGAAAGAGAAAAGAATAAGAAAGTATGAACAAAGCCTCCAAGAAGTCTGGGATTATGTTAAAGAACCAAACCTAAGAATATTTGGCGTTCCTGGGGAAGAAGAGAAATCTAAAAGTTTGGAAAACAATTAGGGGAATAATCAAGGAAGACTTCCTTGGCCTTGATAGAGACCTAGACATCCAAATACAAGAAGCACAAAAAACACCTGGGAAATTCATTGCAAAAAGATCATTGCCTAGGCACACTGTCATCAGATTAACTAAAGTTAAGACAAGGAAAGAATCTTAAGAGCTGTGAGACAAAAGCACCAGCTAACCTATAAAGGAAACCCATTACATTAACAGCAGATTTCTCAGCAGAAACCCTACAAGCTAGAAGGGATTGGGGCCCTATCTTCAGCCTCCTCAAACGAAATAATTAGCAGCCAAGAATTCTGTATCCAGATAAATTAAGCATCATATATGAAGGAAAAACAGAGTGTTTTTCAGAAAAACAAATGCTGAGAGAATTCACCACTACTAACCCACCACTACAAGAACTGCTAAGAGAAGCTCTAAATCTTGAAACAAATCCTGGAAACATAACAAAACAGAACCTCTTTAAAGCATAAATCTCACAGGACCTATAAAACAAAAATAAAATTTAAAAAACAAAAACAAAAAATCAAGGTACACAGGCAACAAACAGCATGATGAATGGAATGGTACCTCACATCTCAATACTAACATTGAATGTAAATGGCTTAAATGTTCCATCTAAAAGATACAGGACTGCAGAATGGATAAGAATTCACCAACCAACTATCTGCTGCCTTCAAGAGACTCAACTCACACATAAGGACGCACATAAACCTAAGGTAAAAGAGTGGAAAATGGCATTTCATGCAAATGGACACCAAAAGTGATCAGGAGTAGTTATTCTTATGTCAGACAAAACAAACTTTAAAGAAACAGCAGTTAAAAGAGACAAAGAGGAACATTATATAATGGTAAAAGGCCTTGTCCAACAGGAAAATATCACAATCTTAAACATATATGCACCTAACACTAGAGCTCCCAAATTTACAAAACAATTACTAATAGACCTAGAAATGAGATAGACAGCAACACAATAATAGTGGGGAACTTCAATATTCCACTGACAGCACTAGACAGACCATCAAGACAGAAAGTCAACAAAGAAACAATGAATTTAAACTATACCTGGGAACACCTGGACTTAACAGATATATACAGATATTTCATCCAACAACCAGTGAATACACATTCTATGCAGCAGCACATGGAACTTTCTCCAAGATAGACCATATGATAGGGCACAAAACGAGTTTCAATAAATTTTAAAAAATTAAAATTATATCAAACACTCTCTCAGACCTCAGTGGAATAAAACTGGAAATAAACTCCAAAAAGAACCTTCAAAACTATGCATACACATGGAAATTAAATAACCTGCTCCTGAATGATCACTGGGTCACAAATGAAACCAAGATGGAAATAAAAAATTTATTCAAACTGAACAACAATAGGGACCCAACCTATCAAAACCTCTGGGATACAGCAAAGGCAGTGCTAACAGGAAAGTTCATAGCCCTAAACACCTACATTAAAAAGACTGAAAGAGTACAAACTGACAATCTGAGGTCACACTTCAAGGAACTAGAGAAATAAGAATAAAACAAACCCAAACCCAGCAGCAGAAGAAAAATAACCAAGATCAGAGCAGAACTAAATGAAACTGAAACGAAAAAATACAAAAGATAAATGAAACAAAGGGCTGGTTCTGCTAAAAAATAAATAAAATTGACAGACCATTCACAAGATTAACCAAGAAAAGAAGAGAGAAAATCCAAATAACCTCACTAAGAAACAAAGCGGGAGATATTACAACTAACACCACAGAAATATAAAAGATCATTCAAGGCTACTATGAACATCTTTACATGCATAAACTAGAAGATCTAGAAGAGATGGATACATTCCTGAAAAGATACAACCCTCCTAGCTTAAATCAGGAAGAATTAGAGACCCTGAACAAACCAATAACAAGCAGCAAGTAACTTTTAAATTACTTTGTAATTTTTGTAATTGTAAAATTGTACTTGTAAAAATTACAAGTAAAAATTACAAGCAAAAATTGTACTTGTAAAAATTACAAGTAATTTTTAAATTACCAACAAAAAAAGTCCAGGAGCAAATGGATTCTTGGCAGAATTCTATCAGAAATTCAAAGAATTGGTATCAATCCTTTGGCACTATTCCACAAGATAGAGAAAGAGGGAACCTTCCCAAAATCATTTGATGAAGACAACATCACCATAATACCAAAACCAGGAAAGAACATAGCCAAAAAATAAAACTATAGACTGATACCCCTGATGAACATAGATGCTAAAATCTTTAACAAAATACAAGCTAACCAAATCCAACAACATATCACTATGGAAAACAATGTGGAGATTCCTTAAAGAACTAAAAGTATAACTACCATTTGATCCAGCAATCCCACTACTAGGTATCTACCCAGAAGAAAAGAAGTCATAATATGAAAAGGATACTTACACATGCATGTTTGTAGCAGCACAATTCGCAATTGCAAAATTGTGGAAACAACCCAAGTGCCCATGGGAACCATCAATCAACAAGTGGATAAAGAGATTGTGAGACACACATATATATATATATATATATAATGGAATACTACTCAGTCCCAAACAGTAATAAACTAATGGCATTTGCAGCAACCTGGATGAAACTGGATACTATTATTCCAAGTGAAGTAACTCAGAAATGGAAAACCAAACATCATATGTTCTCACTGATATGTGGGAGTTAAGCTATGAGGACACAAAGGCATAAGAATGATACAATGGAGCTTGGGGACTTTGGGGGAAGGGTAGGAGGGGTTCAGGGGATAAAAGACTACAAATACAGTGCAGTGGATATTGCTCAGGGGATGGGTGCACCAAAATCTCACAAATCACCACTAAAGAACTTACTCACATAACTAAACACCACCTGTACCCTAATAACCTATGAAAAATAAAAAAATTTAAAAAAACTACCTGAGACTGGGTAATTTCTGAAGAAAAGAGGATTTACTGACTCAGAGTTCTGCAAACTGTACAAGAAGTATGGCTAAGAGGCCTCAGGAAACTTACAATCATGGCAGAAGGTGAAGAGGAAGCAAGCACGTCTTACCATGGCAAAGCAGGAGAGAGAGAAAGAGAGAGAGGGGACAAAGGGGGAGATGCCACACACTTTTAAACAATCAGATCTTGTGAGAACTCACTGTCATGAGAACATCAAGGGGGAAATGCACCCCAATGATCCAACCCACTAGGCCCCTCCCCTGAAAGACGGAGATTACAATTCAACATGAGATTTGAGCGGGGACACGGAGCCAAACCATATCATTCTGTCCCTGGCCCCCTCCAAGGCTCATGTCCCATGAAAGCAGCTGGGAGGGAGGTTGTACCCTGCAAAGCCACAGGGATGGAGCTTCCCAAGACCATGGGAACCCGCCTCTTGCATCAGCATAACCTGGATGTGAGACATGGCATCAAAGCAGATCATTTTGCAGATTTAAGATTTGATTGCCCTGCTAGATTTCAGACTTGCATGGGCCCGATAACCCCTTTGTTTTGGCAAATTTATCTTATTTGGAACGGCTGTATTTACCCAATACCTGTACCCCCATTGTATCTAGGAATTAACTAGCTTGCTTTTGATTTTACAGGCTCATAGGTGTAAAGGACTTGCTTTGTCTCAGATGACTTTGGACTGTGGACTTTTGGGTTAATGCTGAAATGAATTAAGACTTTGGGGGATGTTGGGAAGGCATGATTGGTTTTGAAATGTGAGAACATGAGATTTGGAGGGGCCAGGGGTGAAACAATATGATTTGGCTGTGTACCCATCCAAATCTCAACTTTAATTGTATCTCCCAGAATTCCCAAGTATTGTGAGAGGGACATAGGGGGAGGTGATTTAATCATGGAGGCTGATCTTTCCCGTGCTATTCTTGCGATAGAGAATAAGTCTCACAAGACCTGATGGGTTTATCAGGGGTTTCCGCTTTTGCTTCATCCTCATTTTTCTCTTGCCACTACCGTGTAAGAACTGGCTTTTGCCTCACACCATGATTCTGAGGCCTCCCCAGCCATGTGGAACTATGAGTCCAATTAAACCTCTTTTTGTTTCCAGTTTCAGATATGTCTTTATCACAGCATAAAAACAAACTAATAAAACAAGTTAGTTACTTCCAAAATACAATGGGGGTACAGGTATTGGGTAAATGTTCCCATTCCAAATGGGAGAAAATAGCCAAAACAAAGGGGCCACAACTCCATTTCAATACCCAGCAGGGCAGTCATTAAATCTTAAAGCTTTAAAATAATCTCTTCTGACTTCGTGTCTCACACCCAGGGCACATTGATGTAAAAGGTTGGCTCCCAAGGCCTTGGGCAGATCCACCCATGTGGCTCTGCAGGGTACAGCCTCCATGGCTGCTTTCAGTGGGTGGCATTGAGTGCCTACAGCTTTTCCAGGCACACAGTGCAAGCTGTTGGTGGATCTACCATTCTAGCATCTTGAGGATGGTAGCCCTCTTCTCATAGCTCCACTAGGCAATGTCGCAGTGGGAATTCTGTGTAGGGCACTGCCCTAGTAGAGGTTCTCCATGAGGACTCCAACCCAGCAGGAAACTTCTGCCTGGACATCCAGGCATTTCCACACATCCTCTGAAATCTAGATGGAGGCTCCTAAAATCTTGCCTTCTGTGCACCCACAGGCCTAACACCACATGGAAGCCACCAAAGCTTGGGACTTGCATCCTCTGAAGCAATGGCCTGAACTGTACATTGCTCTCTTTTAGTCACAGCTGGAGCTGCAGTGGCTGGGATGCAGGATGTCATATCCCATGGATTCACAAAGAAGCTGGGCACTGGTCCTAGCCATTGAAACCATTTTTCCCTCATAGGCCTCTGGGCCTGTGTTGCGAGGGGTGCCGCAAAGGTCACTGACAGGCCCTGAAGATATTTTCCCCATTGTCTTGGCTATTAACATTCAGCTTCTCTTTATTTGTGCAAGTTTCTGAAGATGGCTTGAATTCCTCCCCAGAAAATGGGTTTTTCTTTTCTACCACATGGTCATGATACAAACTTTCCAAACTTTTACGCTATGCTCCTCTTTTAAGCATAAATTCCAATTTCAGATTATCTTTTTGTAAATGCATATGACTGTATGCTGTTAGGAACAGCCAGGTCGAATCTTGAACACTTTGCTGCTTAGAAATTTCTTCCACCAGCCTGTAATCCCAGTAGTTTGGGAGGCCGAGGTGAGCAGATCACTTGAGGTCAGGAGTTCGAGACCAGCCTGGCCACCATGGTGAAACCCCATCTCTGCTAAAAATACAAAAATTAGCCAGGCATGGTGGTGGATGCCTCTAATCCCAGCTACTCAGGAGGCTGAGGCAGGAGAATCGCTTGAACCCAGGAGGTGGAGGTTGCAGTGAGCCGAGATCATGCCACTGCACTCCAGCCTGGGTGACATAGCAAGACTCTGTCTCACAAAAAAAAAAAAAAAAAAAAAAAAAAGAAAGAAAGAAATTTCTTCCACCGGATACCCTAAATCATCTCTCTCAAGTTGAAAATTCTACATATCTCTAGGGCAGGGGCAAAATGCCAACAGTTTCTTTGCTAAAGCATAGCAAGAGTGACCTTTACTCCAGTTCCCAAGAAGTTCCTCATCTCCATCTGATACAACCTCAGCCTGGACTTCATTGTCCATATAACTCTAAGCATTTTGGTCAGAACCGTTCAACAAGACTCTAGGAAGTTCCAAACTTTCCCACATTTTGCTGTCTTCTTTTGAGCCCTTTAAACTGTTCCAACCTCTGCTTATTACCAAAGTCACTTCCACATTTTCAGGTATCTTTATAGCAATGCTCCACTCCTGGTACCAATTTCTGTATTAGTCTGTTCTCACACTGCTATAAAGAACTACCTGAGCCTGGTAATTTCCAAAGAAAAGAGGTTTAATTCACTCACAATTCTGTAGGCTGTACAGGAAGCATGGCTGGGAAGCCTCAGGAAACTTACAATCATGGAGGAAGGTGAAGGGGAAGCAAGCACATCTGACCATGGCAGAGCAGGAGAGAGAGAGTGTGTAAAGGGGAGGTGCCACATACTTTTAAATGATCATATCTCATGAGGACTCGTTCACTATCACAAGAACAGCAAGGTGAAAACCACCGCCATAATCCAATCATCTCCCACCAGGCCCCTCCCCTGACACATGGGGATTACAATTCGAGATAAGATTTGGGTAGGGACACAGAGGCAAATCATGTAACATACTTTTCATCATATAAAAAAATTAACTCATGGTGGATTAAAGATTTAAGAATAAGACTTCAAACTATAAAAGTCCTGGACACAAGCCTTGAGAAAGAATTTATGACTAAGTTCTCAAAATTAATGGCAACAAAAAGAATCATCAATAAGTGGAACCTAATTAAACTAAAGAGATTTTGCACAGCAAACTGTAATCCTAGCACTTTGGGAGGCTAAGGCAGGCTTGAGCCCAGGAATTCAAGACCAGCCTGGGCAACATAGTGAGACACCACCTCTACAAAATATAACAATAATAAATAGCCAGGCAAGGTGGTGCACACCTGTAGTCCCAGCTATTTGGGAGGCTGAGGTGGGAGAATTTCTTGATCTCAGGAGGTTGAGATTTCAATGAGCCACAATTGCACCACTGTACTACATCCTGGGTGACACAGTAAGACCTTGTCTCAAACAAACAAACAAAAACACATGCATAAACCAAAAAAGAGAAGCTATCAACAGAATAATCAGACAATCTAAAGAATGGCAAAAATATTAGCAAACTATGCATCTGGCAAGGGTCTAATATTCAGAATCTGTAAGAAATTTAAACAACTGAACCAGCAAAATACAAATAACCCCATTAAAAAATGAGCCAAAATCATGAACAGACAATGCTCAAAACTAGACACAGAAGCAGCCAACAAAGATGATAAAATGTTTCACATCGCCAGTCATCAGAGAAATGCAAATCAAAACCACAATGAGACACTATCTCACACCAGTCAGAGTGGCTATTATTAAAAAGCCAAAAAACAACAAATGCTGGTAAGACTGCGAAGAAAAGGGAATGCTCATATACTGTTATTGGGAATGTAAATTAGTTCAGCCACTATAGAAAGCAGTTTGAAGATTTCTCAAAGAAATTCAAACAGAACTACCACATGACCCAGAAATCCCATTACTGGGTATACATCTAAAAGAAAACAAATCATTCCACCAAAAAGACACATGCACTTGCACGTCCACTGCAGCACTATTTACAGTAGCAAAGACATAGAATCAACCTAGGTGCCACATCAATGGTGGACAGGATAATGAAAATGTGGTACATATCCACTGGGGAATAATACACTGCCATTAAAAAGAACAAAATTATATATTTTATAGCTACATGGATGCAGCTGGAGGGCATTATCCTAAGCTAATTAATCCGGGAACAGAAAACTAAATATTACATATTCTCACTTATAAATGGAAGCTAAACACTGAGTGCTCATGGACATAAAGATAGCAACAGTAGAAACTGGGTACTACAATAGGATGGAGGGAAGGAAGGGGAAGGAGATGAAAAACCTACTATTGGGTTCTATGCTCGGTACCAGAGTGATGAGATCATTCATACGCCAAACCTCAGCATCACACAACATACCCAGGTAACAAACCTGCACATGTATACATGTACCACCTGAATCTAAAATAAAAGCAGAAAACAATAAAAATTTAAAAATAAAAGGCATGGCTATAAACAATCAGAGGTAGGACAGATATAATTATCCTCACATCTCAGAATAACAAAGACAATCAGAGATGACTTGCCTGAGAAAGTATCCTTTGGTTCCACTACTCTTCAACAATGGTGTGCTGGGAATTGCACTCAAAGCTTGTCTATACTTAGGCATACCATGTTGAAATCAAACTGTTGTCTGTTCCTGTATCAATTAGCATAGGATAATGGCCTTCACAGCCTGATTGCTTTCAGATAAGGCATGTAATGTCTGTTTCATGGATGATCAGGACCAACCATCAGCCATGCCTGGTCTCCTTGATTTCCTTGTGTTTTCTATCCTTAATACTTATTCATCTTTACCAAAGCTTGTTTGTATCATTTTTCCAAAGAGATCCAGTGTAGTGGGTTTAACTGCTTTATTGTAAGACTTAAAAAAATTAAAAGGTGCTTAGAAGCCTCTTGGCTCAGGACTCCAATGTTGAAATCAGTCATTTGATGAGTACCTGCTATATATGCCAGGTGCCTTAAAAACATTCATCTTACTAAACCCTAATAATAATGATGAAATGTGGGGTTATTATCCTATTATCCTAATTAAGCAAGAAAAGAAGCCAAATCTCTGGAAAGTCAAGTGACTTCCTTACATGTGCACAGCTACTAGGTAGCAATGCCAGGATTTGAACTCAGATCCTTCCCTTATGCTATATTTCCTCTATAGTTAGCTTTGTTGTCTAGATAGCCAAGAACTTGTGTTCTGATTCAATATTCGCATATTCACCAAGAGTATTCATATAATTCACAATATTCACCAAGAGTAACCTAAAACAATAAATGATGCAATCATTTCGCTTCAGATAAGTCTCATAATCCTCAAAATTGTCACTGCCTAGTATCTGTCATATTGGCTAAAAGATCAGTCACATAATTACATCATAAAACCTGATCTCATACCTGGGCTGCCTATTTTCTAAAAAGGAGACAGTCAAATGTACTTGATATTCAAACAAAGCATAGGCATCACTTGCTCTTCTCTTGCCATTAAACCACTGTGGTTCTCATCATCAGCAACTATCATCAATTCAGGAAAATGTGACCCTGGCTGACAAGGAGATCCAGCTAATGAAGCTCTCAATGAGAGTTGAGTGTGCTTGGTAGATATGAAATGCAGACAGGGAAAATTGGTACTTTTAACTAATGCTGGTAAGAGCATAAGAACAGTTTGGTAAAACTGATTGAAATTATAAATATAAAAGCATTTAGACCCATGGAACACAAGTATAGAATTATGTATTTATCAAGATATCATTGTAACATTGTTTGTGGGAACAAATGTTGGAAACCATTAAAAGGTCCGTCCAAAGAAAGCAAGTTAAATAAAACACAATAAAGGTCTACCGTTTCTAATCCAGAATGCTTGAGGCCGATTTTGTTTTAGAATGCAGATTGTTTTTCACTCTAGTTTAGTAACATGGCCCACAGATGAGATGTACACCCATTACCATCAGGCCTTGGGAAGCATACTCTAATCAAATATATTGGTACTTCTGAGGTATGTCACATAAACATGAAGTGGGATAATCAAAAAGCATAAACATTTTCATACCAGTTCAAATTCGTTTGCTGCCAGATGAGTTTGGGTGTCAAAATTTAGAGGAAAAAAACCCAGTTTTCAGGGTTTTGGGGATTTGGGAATTGGAGTTAAGGATTGTGGACCTGTATATTTACATAGTGGAATATTGTGAAACGAGCTAAAAACAAGTGAGGCAACTCAATATACTGATGTGGAAACTTCAATATATATTCTAAATTGAAAAAAATATATGTCAGGAAGTGTATACGGATGCTATCATTGGTGTTTTATACGCACACACACATGAGCTGTACATGCATAGAACTGCTCTAGAAAGACACAAAAGGAACGGATTTCAGTTTTTGTCTGGAAATGCAAATGGGTGGCTGGGGAATAGATATGGAGAGAGAGATGACCCTTTTCTCTACTGATGCACTTTAGAATATTTGGAATTTGTGTAGAGTGCCTGTGTTTGCAAATTAAATTGAATAATTAATATTCTCCTGACTGCCACCTGAAAGAGCTTTCCCTAAATATCGCATTCCCCATCACTCTATATCACATCCCATGTTTTTTTTTTTTTTCTTTGCAGCACTTTCTACTAGCCATGACTTCATCTTCATTTGTATATCGTTTTACTGTTGGGATACCACTTTAGAACACAAGCTCCACGTTTGCCTGGCTTGTTAGTGAACCTCAGCACCTAGACAGGGACTGGCACAAGGGAACTTTGAGGAACTATACATCCCACACCAAGAGGCAGGCTGAGGTAGAAAGTGCAGAGTAAACCATGCTTGTTCTCATAACAAAGCCTGACCTCAGTGTGCAGACAAAAGTGGCCCTACTGGTTGTCCATAAAGGACAATTTTTGAATTATTTTCCTGATTGTAAAGAGGGCAAAAGGGCTGGCCACACTCTAATCTATGGCCCCATTATAATATCTGGCTGGGAATACTTTGAACAACACATTGTGTGATGAGGCTGAGGTGTTCTGAGCACCTCCCAACCTCCTTCCTGTCGTTGAAGAAAGAAATTCACACAACTGCACCTGCCTGCAGACCTCCCTGCAGCCCCCTGCCAGAACATCCTGAAAAACCCCATCCCCTCCCATGTAGAACACACTGTATGCTTCCCTGCTCCCTCTCCTCCTGAGTCCTCTGCCCAGAGGTCCTTCCTGGCCATTCTCTGCTCAGCTGAACCTCATCCTTCAAAGTACACCTCAAAATATTATTTCTACTATGGAGGCTTTCTAAGTCCCTCAGTTATAACCAATCCCTTCCCTCAAAACCAGTCTCCTCTCCCCTAACACTCAGGCAGATAGTTCATTCTAGGAAACTTATTCCATCTGGTATTAAAATCAGCTGTTTCCATATCGCCAGTAGACCATGAGTTTCTCGAGCACAAAGACCCTACCTAAAGGGAAAGTTCTCCCTTTATTCCCAGCACCTAAAGTGGAACTTAACACATTCTTAGAACAAAATTTGTTTTAACTTTACATCAGAGAAGAGAGGAGAGACAATTAGAGCATTCAAAAGCAATATTCTGTGCTGTGGAAAAAAAAAAAGTAAATGCTTAGGAATCCTCATCTTTATCTTGGCCCCACCACTGATAATTCTGTAACTTCTAATTGTTTCCTTAACATCTCCGAGCTTCTATTTCCTCAATTCTAAAATGGGCCAATAATATCTACTTTGTAGGAATGAGATAGAGATTAAATTCCACTTAGCCAAGGACTTAACACAGAGTAAGCATTCCATAGATGCTATTTCTTTAGTTTCCTTTATTACATGGAAAAAAGATGGATAAATTAGAAAGTATTTAAAAAATAAAGCTGATATTTACTGTTAAATCAAATTCATAATTGGGCCATACAGACATTTAACTTTTGACCTCATTCCACTACCCCCAGGGTCCAGTTTTAAATTGACTAGGATAATTAACAATGGCATAGAGTAAATCCAGATGAAGAACACTCATTCCCAGAGGTAAAGCCATAATTTCTCTGAGCCTTCAGATTAAAGGCAAATCTTCTAAAATCCTATCCAGACAAACAATATGGCAGGATTTCTCCGACTCAAAAAATACAAAATGTGGGGCTGGGATATCCTACCTCAAATTCCAATTCTGTTTCTTACTTGAGTCAGGTGAAAGGATAAGGAAGACTCAGAAGCAGCAGTGCTGTAACAAAGCTGCAGCAGGTAAATTAAATGCCATTGGCATCACTAGGAGGCTGAACCTGGTTATGTGCTCCAGTGATCATACGCTATGCTTATATTGTGCTACCTGATTTTCCACTCACCTGTCCTGTTGGTTTCTGCTCTTTTTGTCCTCAATTGGGTCCAAGAGAATTAGTTCCTTTGCAAAAGAGACTCACCAAAAAATTGAAAGACAATTACATAATGCTACACTTGCCAGGTTCTGTTTATTATGAATCCAGGAGTTGGTATGAGTTCTCTCTGGCAGGAAGATTTGAGCTGTGTTCTGTTAAGTCACAGGTATCCAACCTATGGCCAGATAAGTGGAGAGACTTGACTACATGGCTTTGGAACTCTCCTTGGTTGTGATATGTGTGTCATGTCACCATGCTTGTTTTGTACCCAACATTCAAGTCTAGTTTTACCTTCTTTGGGAATCTTTTGGGACTCTTTCCCTATGAGGGATACCACCCTTCTGGGACCCCCACAGCAAGGGCCATCTTTAAACATTTTGCAGGATCTAGGAACTCATGTTTTCAGAGGCTGTCTGCACACCACGTTAAAATAAAACATATCCACATCCCATGTTTACTATATAGTCTGCTCTCCACACCCATGGGTTCTACATCCTTGGGTTCAACCAACTGTGGATAGAAAAATGTATTTAATGGATGGTACTGTTTGCCCTAAACATGTACAGACATTTTTCTGTCATTCTCTAAACAATACAGTATAACAATGATTTACATAGCATTTACATTGTATTGGGTATTATTGGTCATGTAGAGATGATTTAAAGTATACAGGAAAATGTGTATAGGTTATATGCAAATACTAAACCATTTTACATAAAGGGACATAAGCATCCTTAGACTTGGTATTTACAGGGTTCCTAGAACCAGTCCCCCATAAATACTGATGGCCAACAGTCATTGTTTCATTGAAGGAAATGTTAAGGATTATAAAAATAATTCTTAATTCGTTTAGTATAAATTATTGACTTTTTTCTTATAGTTTAAGTTTTATGTGTTTATATATAATATGTGTATTTTGCATGTATATATATGTACATATTAGTGTATATGTGTGTGTATATGTGTCTGTGTTGAGTTGAAGTAGAACAGCTGATGTAAAGTTTTATAAACATTTAACTTATCATTTGTTCACTTGTAATTTTGCAGTTTTCTTTTAGGAGTTGCTACTTTTTTCAGATATTGAACATTTACATTCAAGCCCATGAAAACTCGCAGGCCTCAGGCTCTCTGCTTTGAGTGCCTAATGGATAAACTGCATTAGACCACAGCCCTTTCTAGTTGAAATGTTGGAGTAAACTATGTTGTCATGAAGGTCTCCCCACTGGACTCTGACTCTCCCAGGACAGGGCACCCTGATATGTTCTACACCTCTGTGTACAAGGGACCTCCATATAGTGGAGGCCTCAGGACACTGTTGCAGATTTGAGGGCCACCCAAAACATTTCTATTACACTCTCTGTCAGAGATCATTTCTAGTTTTCACAGATAGAAAGCTACTAAAGCAAAACAATACAAATATTCCTGTCTCCCCTCTTTTCTCCTTCAACAAAAATTTTATCATCTCAAATGCAACTTCACAGTAGACTTAAAATGTCCTTTTAAATAGGGCCAGGATGTGAAGGTTGGTACAGAAATTCAAACCTAGAATATTTTTTTTTCTGAGGCTGTAACTCAGCCATGAAATTTTGCTCCAGGCAAATTTCAACAAGCTAGGTCTTAGCTGCAAGATAAATGTTTCATGCATGTACTTCACTTGACAACCAGAAGCTTTTTTATACTATTATTTTATATATATAAGTCGGACAAAGACTGTTCTCCCACACATTCTCTTTTGAAACTGAGTCTGACGGAACAGTCTAGAATGTCTGAACTAGTCTCCCCTCTAGAGAAGAAAACTGACTTTACTGAAAAATTACTATGTATCTAGGGGTGTCCAAGGGAAATAATATAGTCATGGGGTCCTGGTTTCTGTTTCTGGTTGGGCAAGTAAAGCCCCTTTTTCATCTCCCCTTTCTGCTTATCACTAGAGACAGAAACTAAAATCCATGGTGTATTAGTCCCTTTTCATGCTGCTGATAAAGACACATCTGAGACTGGGCAATTTACAAAAGAAAGAGGTTCAGTGGACTTACAGTTCCACATGGCTGGGTAGGCCTCACAATCGTGGTGGAAAGCAAGGACGAGCAAGTCACGTCTCAAGTGGATGGCAGCAGACAGAGAGAGCTTGTGCAGGGAAACTCCCATTTTTAAAACCATTTGATCTCATGAGACTTATTCACTATGACGAGAACAGTTGGGGAAAGTCCTGCCCCCATGATTCAATTATCTCCTACTGGGTGCCTCTGACAACACATGGGAATTGTGGGAACTACAAGATGAGACTTGGGTGGAGACAGAGAGCCAAACCATATCACATGGCTTCAGGCTGCTAAAAGCCTAAAACAAAACCAAACAGAACAACAACAAAATAAGGTGGGTTGGATAAGCTTGTAAAATTAGACATTGTGCTAAGTGCTTTTTATGTACATTGTTTCTTTTTTAACCTTGTACCAATTTTAACCTTAAGAAGGGTAGAAAGCATTATCCCCTTTTTATAGATGAAGAAACTGGGTTCAGAAAGGTTATAAATTTTGACCAAAATCAAACATCTAAAACTAGTCAGGGACAAAATCTGAAATCAATTTTTATCATTCTATAATTGCACAAAGCTGCTTCAAGAGCTAATTGAGAAAAACAAAAGCTTAAATATATACATATTTAAAATCAGTTCCAGAAGAATTTTCCCATAAAGAAAAGTAAATTCAAGTGTGCACTGAAGATATAAGAGATCCAGTTTTTGGTGATCCCATTCATTTTGCAGAGAGAGTAATTCTGTATTGCAAGTATGTCCCAACTTTCCCTCTCTTACCACTTTATTTCTGGATTCTTGTAACAGCCCTATAGCTGTTATATATAATGATGTGCTTCCCAGATGCCCCTTCAATGAGGGTCTAGTTGTCCTAGCCTGGGAGTTCTAGGGGCAGAAGTCTGCAGTGATCAGCCCCTTCAGAAATCTTTCAGTTGTAGAGATGCCCCAAGGTTATCTAAGTTCATGCCCCTCCCCAGAAGGCCCACATCCAATGATGGACCAATGTGAGATTATGAAAAATCCAGGTCATCTTGGCTTAACTCAGGACAACTCTGAAGAACCACTCTAGCTCTGGAGCCTTCGTAGGGTGGGATAAAATTATCAGGGATGTATCACCATTCAACTTCTCCCCCTGCCCAGTCCTGCTTCCTTCTTTTCCCTTCCACTGGTCTTCATCCCAAAGAAACACTTTGATAAATATCCAGCCTGTTAAATTATTTCCAGAGTTGGCTTTCCAGATGAACAACCTATGATGTCTTATTACATTAGAAACTTTCCTTCCTCTTAGGAACTATCTGGGTTCCTAAGGAGGAAAGGAGAGAAGGGGAAAGGAGGGGAGAAGGGAAGGGAGGGGAGAGAAGGAGAAGACAGGGGAGGGGAGAGGAGGGGAAAAGGGAGGGGAAGGGAGCGGAAGGGAGGGAAGGTAGGGGAAGGTAGGGGAAGGGAAGGAAAGGGAGGGGAAGGGAGAGGAAGAGAGGGACAGGAAATCAAACAGAATTATTCATGCTAATTAACTAAATTGGTCTCTTCTTCCAGCACCCTCAGAAGCCTCAGTGTGGTTACTATTTCCAGTGATATTTAAACATTTAGCAAAAGTGATGAGAATCTTAATTTGTTTACTTAGAAATAGGATTATTCCTAGACTAAAAGAAAATACTAGGAAAAGGTGGCCATAAACACGATCTGCTGAGCTGATTTTTCCCATACTGCCTACTGCTTCCCTGCCTGAAAGTTTAGTGGGGTCTATCTAGTTCTAAACACATATACTTGTATGGATCCTTTAACATAGACATTATAACAACAGACATAATGGGTTTGCTTAAAAGTCATCCAAACCTGAATTGTGAAGTAAGGCATATATACATGGATTACACTAAACAAGTACCTTGAGCAAAGTTATTCACCCCAAACTACCAAATACACCTGCAGCGTGGTCTAACATTTATTTGTGATTACCACTCATAATCATACTTAGCCAGGTGTGCCAGGGAGAAGAGTATCTGACCCAGCTGACACTAGATTGCTCTACCATTTGCATTGATCAAGTTCTGCTGGTTCCTTTCCATGTCCTCATACTGCTATGTTAGTCTGCCTTGGGGCACCTTTTCTATGTTTCAAAGACCATATTCCCAGTCCTTGCCATTTGTTTTCTGCTGGTTTCATTTATAAATCATCTTAAGCAATTGGATTAGATTGCTTAGTCCATACAATGCTGCACAAATATCTGTGCATAAATGTCCCTTGGCCTGAGAATGGCTGCTCTGCATGCATGGCCCTGCGGTCCTCTGTGTCTGTCTCTCTGATCTGAGTGCACTGTCTTGAATGCTGTTTTTATGCTTTATGTCATACCTTTGGGCTCTGCACACATTTTACTCATGTTAATGTAATTCATTGCTGAGGATCTGGGCTAAGAACAGCTCCTTTATAGAGGCAGCTGCCATGACACTTTCTGAGTGTCAACATTTGCATCCTCTGACTCCACGAGTGTAGGGATTCTGATATTTAGGAATGTCACTCACAATCATGTGGGCTATGCTGGTTTGCTGCTCCTTCAGCCATCTCTAAGAACACTGACTGTTTAATTCTTCCAATTTCTCAGGCATGAATCTTCTGCTCTTGGGACACTAAGACCCCTGCCATTTATTCTCCCATGCATTTCTACTCATTGTAAATGTGATCCTGTTGGGGCCTTAAATAGGACCCAATAAATAAATAGTCAACCTCTTTACTGATTAAGTTCCAAACCAGTAGAGAAATCTAAGGAAGCAGGCAGGTTGTGCCAAAGTGTGACACTGTTAAGCTGATAATAGAGAATATGGCTTATAACCACAGGCATTTAAACTTCCTTATACTGAATACCAGAATTTGCCAGAATTATCTCCCAGACATAGCAATTCGGAGCCAGAGCAAACACACATAGTTCCTAAGAGGAAGGAAAGTTTCTAAGTATTGCCAGTTTCTCTCTCTAGACTCTCCAAAGAGTTTAGTTATTTCTCTCCTCCAAGGGAAGAGGCCAGGAGTGATATGGTAATGGATGTTTCTCTACATGGATTAAGAACACCAAGAACGGTCAACAGTAGTATCAAATAGCCTTTCCAGATGCATCCTATGTCCAAGACACTGTTTTAAGCCCATTACATATTTTAACCCATTTAATCCTCATGACAACCTGATGAGGTAGGTACTATTTCTAACCTCCACTTCAGCAGATGAGGCACAGAGAGAGTAATATGTTTGCTTAGGGTCACTCTCCCAAAAAGGGCTAGAACCAGGATTTGAACCCAAGAAGTCAGATTCCAGAAACAAGGCTCTTAACTACTGAATTATGAGTTCCAAATTTACCAAGAATACACAACTGTTCTCTCCTAACAATTCCCTTCTCTATAGTCCAACTACACCTGCCCCTCAAGGCTAAGCACGAGCTCCAGCTTCCTGAAAAGTCTCCCTGACAAAGGAGTTCCTTGAAGTTCCCTCACCTATTAGACCTGCAAGGCTTTGGAGCTACAAGAATAGCCTTTACTTTTAAACCTACTAATTGACAGCTTGAACACTGTAGCCTTTGTTCCAGGGTGGACAGAAACCAAGGGATGCAAGGGTTAAGCCAGTGAGAGATAAGGTCTGATTCATTCTAGCCTATTATTAGATAACTCCAAGTGAATGAAATGATGTAGAGAAAAAATGGCTAAAAATAGGGTCTGATTTGTATCTTGCAACTATCAATTTTCTACCATCTTAGGGTATTATTATGAGTGCCTGCTCTGTGCTACGTGCTGGGCACCGTTCTAAAGCCTCAGTGGTAAGGTGGTGGAGGCAGGGGTTAGTGGAGAGTAAGAGATGTAAACAAAACAATCAAGCAAGTGAATAAAACCTCTCTGACCTCAGGGACTTTAATGCCTTATCAAAAAGCCCAATTTTAATTCTATAATCACGTAAGCATGCTACAATGCATTGGAGAAAGTATCAGGAAACAAATAGAAAAGTGCTAAGTGAACAAAGGGCAGAGGAAGACATCTTGTCTAAGGAACTAGATGTCAAGAAAACTTTCCATGGGAAGCCATTTAGCCACAAGTTGAAAGATGGGTAGCCACTCACTGGCATAAGATTGGTTAGAGCAGGGAGCACATTCCAACCAGAAGGAAGAGAATGTACAAAGTCTTGGGAATGGGGGCAGTATGGGACTAACAGGCAGCTTCCTATGGCTGGTACCAGAGGAGATGGAATTAAGCAAGGTTGAAGAGTTACATAGGCCATGTGAGAGATTTTGGAACTTATCCTAAAAGCAAGAATAAGCTTTGCTTCATGTTCCACTCATTCATTGACTCATCCATTCAAAAGACTTTTTTTTTTTTTTTTTTTTTTTTTGCAAAATATACCAGGTGCCAGATCTGTGATGAGTTCCGGGGATATGACAGACAGGTAAGGCAGCATCCTTCTCTCTCTCTCCTTCTCAATCTGTCAACTGAGAGATGTAGATTAGATAAGGAATAATTATAACACATTTTATTGTGATGAAGGAGGCTTGTCTCAAGTCCTAAGAGAATACAAAATGGAGTTCTCACCACTGGCACTAAGAAAACCATAAAGAACAAAAGGAAACCATCCAGACTATTCCCAGCAGGGAAGACTTCTGTCCCAAAGAGCAAGGTGGATCAGGAAACTAAATTATGAGTGGGTAAAGAGAAGAGCTGTCTATGTGTGACCTGTCAGGTAGGTGGAGATTAGAAAAAAAAAGAGCCTTATATGCCATGATTTTATCTCATTATATTCGTCTTCTCAGGCTGTTATAACAAAATAACACAGACAAGTTGGCTTAAACAACAGAAATTTGTTTTCTCACAGTCCTGGATGCTCAAAGACCCCAGTCAAGGTCTGGCAAGGTCAGTTTCTGGGGAGGGCTCTCTTCCTAGCTTGTGGATGGCTGCTTTCTTGCTGTGTCCTCACATGGCAGAGAGAGGAAACTCTCTGGTGTCTCTTCCTATGAGATAGCTAATCCTATCAAATCAAGGGCCCACCCTCATGACCTCATTTAACCTTAATTACTTCCCAAAAGCTCTATCTCAAAACACAGTCACACTGGAGGTTAGGGGTTCAATGTGTGAATTTTAGGGGACACAATTCAGTCCATAGCACTCATAGTTAGCAAAGAGACATTGAAAGGTTTTAAGCAAGAAAGTAACACAATCAAACTATTAATTATAAATGGCATACTGGTCACAGGGTTGAGACTAGATTAGAGCAGAGATGGGGACAAGACTTGAGGCAGAGAGAGGAACTATAGTATTATTTCTTCTTCTGAGTAAAAATAATAATAATACTAATGAGCATGGAGAGAAGAGGTCAGGTAAAAAGATGCTAAGGAGGGGCCTCAGAGGGATTGGTGACTCCGGGTTTTGGGCTTGGGTGATGGGACCCAAGTGACTGCTACTCACTAAGACTGGAAGCACAGGATGAACAGATTTAGGGACAGAAGTGGATAGGTAAAGAGTTCATATCTGGGAATGTTGACTTTGATGCAAAGGTAGAAATGTAGACCATCTTAAAGATCCATTTTTATACATAAAGATCATTGCTGGGCTTTAAAGTAAAGACAAAAACAAGAATTGGAAATTTGGTTGGTTGGCCAACTAAGAAGTGAACTTGAAGTTCTTAAGGGATAGAGGTTTATTTAAATATGTATTTTTTTTTTTTTTTTTTTTGGCTGGGCACGGTGGCGCATGCCTGTAATCCCAGCACTTTGGGAGGCCGAGGCAGGCGGATCATGAGGTCAGGAGATCGAGACCATCCTGGCTAACACAGTGAAACCCCATCTCTACTAAAAATGCAAAAAATTAGCCAGGCGTGGTGGCGGGTGCCTGTAGTCCCAGCTACTCAGGAGGCTGAGGCAGGAGAATGGCGTGAACCCAGGAGACAGAGCTTGCAGTGAGCTGAGATAGCGTCACTGCACTCCAGCCTGGGTGACAGAGAGAGACTCCATCTCAAAAAAATAAAATAAAATAAAATAAAATAAATAAAATAAAATTAAATTAAATTAAATTAAATTAAATAAATAAAATAAAATAAAATAAAAGTGTGTTTTTGCAAAGAATATCTTAGTCCTTAGGCCTAATCCTAATTCTTAGTTCAAGCAACATGTTCCCTTCCCATCAAAATTATCTTCCCTAAATAGTACTGTCTTGATGGTCCTTATCCCAAAACACAGCCCCTCACCTTGTTGGGTCAGAGAACCTGGAAATACTTGGTGTGGTGGGCAGAATAATGGCTCCGAAAGATGTCCAAAAAGCTTCTAAACTGGAAGCTTTTACTATCTAGCATCGCGTTAACACTAAATGTAGATTAATTTCTTTCTAAACAATATTCAATGGCTTAGTTCAAAGAAACAAAAATACAGCAGGTTTAGTGGCATATAGCCTTTGGAGAAGAAGTTTGTCTCCATTTCTAATACATCTACTTCTGGGCTGCTTCTCTTTGGTTGTTATCAATCAGAACAACTCCATAGTTAGCTAATATCTGAATTTACAGATAATCAATGGGATCATGCATACTAATCTGATAGTCTGTATGTGATATTTTATACATGAATAATTGAGCTTCTGAGAGGTTAACTGCCCAAGATCACAGAATGAGAGAAATGCAGTCAGGTTTTAAACCATATTATTTTGTTCCAAGACCCATGCTCTTCCACTTTCCCAGAGGAATCCTCCCAGTACAATGTTTGCTCTCCTTTAAGAAAATATCAGCTAACACTTTTTCTGTTTTAATTGTGCTTTCCTGTGCTTGGCTTGGGCCACACAGGGTGGTCACCTTTACACACTCCAATCCCTGAACTCAAACCCTCTGGCCGGTTTCCTACCCTATCCCTTTCCTGTGTTATGCCAAGTAGATTAGTTTCCTATTGCTGCTGTAATGAATTACCACAAGCTTAGCAGCTTTCAACAGCACAAATGCATTATGTTACAGTTCCATGGGTTAGAGGTCCTACTCTGGGCTCATGGGGCTACAATCAAGACGCCAGCAGGGCTATATTCCTTCTGCGGCAGAGAACCTGTCTCCTGACCAGCTCTTTTTGTATCATGGCCTCTTCCTCCATCTTCAAAGTCTGCAACATCAGGCTGAGTCCTTCCCATGCTGCCAACTCTCTGCTTCTCTAACTTCTGCCAGCCTCTTCCACTTTAATAGGCCCTGGTGACAATATTGGGCCCACCTGGATAATCCTGATAAGTCAGCAGACTTGCAGCCTTCATTCCATCAGCAACCTTAACTCCTCTTTGCCACGTAACGTAACACATTCACAGCTTGGGGGATTGGGACGTGCACATCTTTGGGAGCCATTGTTCTGCATACCACACCAATAATTTCCAGGTTCTCTGACCCAGCAAGGCTAGGGGCTGTGTTTTGGGATAAGGACCATCAAGATAGTACTAATTAACTTCAACAGAGGATAAAAAATAAAAACAGGGAGGGGGCTGCCCCAACCTTCCTCAGGCATATAGGGTGGGTAATGTAAATGAGAAAAGGAAACCAACAGTGGTAAGAAATTACTCATGTCAGGGACCACCCAGACTCTTAGAGCCTTTGCCCACCCCTACGAGGACAAACTTGGTTCTCTTTCCCAGAAATTCCTGTTAGCTCTCTGAATTTCATCTGGGAAGGGCCCTGCCTGCCACAGAGAAGTATATAAACTTATCGATGGATATTCAAAATGTCTCCCATAGCCCATGAAATGCCTTGGGGATGGTAAACAGATGAGTAGATTCAGAGTTACCATCTCAACCTGTTAGTACCCAGTGCTCCTCATTCCAGCTTCTTAACACCCGTATTGGAGACCCTATATTTTCACTGAAGATGTTTATAACTAAACTCCCAGATGAGGGTAACTATCAGCACATGTGTGCACGTGTGCAGGACCCCAGGCTGCTCTCTTATGAAATATTTCTCCTTTTATAGCTTTCCCTTATTCTTTTTAACGCAATTTCACCCAGATATATGCACTGTGGAGGGAGGGAAGGAGAGAGATGATTGGAGTCAGGCTCCAGCAACATGCCACTGCGTGACCCTAGGCAAATTATTTCACCTCCCTGGGCCTCAGTTTTCTCATCTATAAAGTAGAGAAGATAACAACATCTACCCTACATGCTTATTATAAAAATTAAATGAGATTCTATGTATGTTGTTTAGCCCAATACTTGGCACACAGTTGGTGCCAATGTCCTTTAGTTTCTGCTCTCGCCACCTACAAGGTTCATGAGTCAATAATAATTAGAACAACCCAATAACAACAAACGTTGATTAGTTGTATTTGTGTGCCAGGCACCATGCTAAACCCTTTGCAGGCATCATTACTTGTAAACTTATATATATCACAACCATCCAACAATGTAAGTTCTCCTGTTATATCTGCTTAACAGATAAAGAAACTGAGACTCAGAGAGGTTAAGTAACTTCTCCAGGGTCACAGTGAAAGGGAAGTGATTTAAACCCAGATGGGCACAACTATAAAGCCCAAGTTCTTAGGAACAGCTAGACTTAGACATATGACCAAAAAAAGATTTTAAAAATAAACTGAAACTTCCCTTGCCTTTTTTGGCCTTCTGCCTACAATAAGCACTCCAATTTCTGGCCACCAACCAGGTTATTTTCTCCAAGCTCTCCTACCACCTGGATTCCAAAGCCCAGAAAAGGAAGAAGCATGTTTACCTGATTAATCTGTGTGATCTCTGAGCCATCACCCATCAAAGGGCTGGCTTTGCCAGGAAGCAATTAGTGCCTAATTGACAATTGCTGGTGTCTCTGTAGCTATTCTCTAGACCTGCTGACAGCGCCCCTCAACCAGAGTATTTTATTATAAACATCTTCTCTGGTGAGGTTTCCAGGGCCTGCATTCTAGGTGTGAACAAGCTGAAGGAGAGCACTGTGCTGCTAGATAGGAGAGAAGACCCTGGAGTCCTGCCTGAACTCAGCTCTGGCAGAAGCCATGTGCCTTAGTTCAGGCTGCTATAACAAATGGCCATGTACTGGGTAGCTTAAAAACCAACATTTACCCAGTCTATCAATGATGGGCATTTGGGTTGATTCCATGTCCTTGCTATTGTGAATAGTGCTGCAATGAACATACATGTGTACGTACCTTTGTAATAGGATGATTTATATTCCTTTGGGTATATACTCAGTAATGGGATTGCTGGGTCAAATGCTATTTCTGGTTCTAGATCTTTGGAGCTGAACAATGAGATCACACGGACACAGGGAGAGGAACAACACACACTGGGGCTTGTCGGGGGGGTGGGGTGGGGGGAGGGAGAGTATTACAAAAAATAGCTAATGCATGCTGGGCTTAATACCTAGGTAATGGGTTGATATGTGCAGCAAACCACTATGGCACACCTTTACCTATGTAACAAACCTGCACATCTTGCACGTGTACCCCAGAACTAAAAATAACAATAAAAATAAGTAAATAAGAAACCAACATTTATTTCTTGCAGTTCCAGAGATTGGGAATTTCTTCTCTTTCTTTTTTGTTCCAGTGGGTACATGTACAGGTTTATTACATGGGTATATGCTGCATATGCATGATGCTGAGGTCTCGGGTATAACTGATCCAGTCACCCAGGCAGTGAGCATAGTACCCAATCATTATTCAATCTTTGGTTCCCTACCTTCCTCCCCCACAAATAGTCTCCAGTGTCTATTGTTGCCATCTTTATGTCTATGAGTACCCAATGTTTAACTCCCATGTATCAGTGAACATGTGGTATTTGGTTTTCGGCTCTTGTGTTAATTTTCTTTGGATAATGAGGCTGGGAATTCTAAGATAAGGGTGCCAACATGGCCGAGTTCTTGGGAGGGCTCTCTTCCCGGTTATGTTCTCACATGGCTGAGACCAAAGACAGAGGAAGCAAGCTCTCTCCTGCGTCTTCTCCTAAGGGCACCCATCCCATTCCTGAGGGCTCCACCTTCATAACTTAAGTATCTCCTAAAGCCCCACATCCTAATACCATCCCATTGTGAGTTAGGGTTTCAACATATGGATTTTGGGAAGAGACAAGCATTCAGTCCACAGCACCTTTAACCTGAGAATGAAAGTGTTAAAATTCAAGAATTGCAGAGCAGGTGGGCTCCAATAGCCTTGAGGGCCAGAAGACCATAACATGGTTTCATCTTATAACAATCTTGAAAAGTTTTTAAAAATATTGATGCCCAGGCTCCAACCTAGAACAACTGAATCAGAATCTCTAGGGGTGGACCTAGACTCAGTAGTTTTTAAAATCTTCCCAGGTGGTTCCAGTATGGTGTCAGAGTTAAGAGTCACTAATGTTCCAAAAGACTCTTTTTCACAGATGAGGAAACTGAGGCTCAGAGCAGGAAGTCATTCTTGCCTAAAAGTAGCAATTGCCACTATCCTGAATTACAGCTTCATCTCACAATGCATAATCAACCTAGGGAATCAATAAGTGATGGAGGAATAAAAAAGTTAAAGGTAAAAATGTGGGGAACCAAAGAGACTTCTGAATGAAGATGTGCTTTGTAAATGCAACTATCCGAGTGCTGATTCCATTATACTTTCCTCATCTGCTCATTTTTCTTAATAATCCCACTGAATCCATAGACAATGATTGGCTACAGAAATGAACCATGACTGCTTCATCTCAGAATCTCTGGTCCTGGCACAGTGCCTGGTCCATTGTTATGGGCTGAATTATTGCTCCCAAACAATATGCTGTAGTCTTAACCCCCGGTTAGGGGTTGTATGTGAATGTGACCTTGTTTGCAGTTAGTGTCTTTCCAGCTGTAATCAAGTTAGGATGAGATCATTGGTGAATCCTTAATCCAATATGGTATTCTTATAAGAAGAAAAGAAGAGACACAGAGATGCACAGAAAGAACAGAGTGTGGAAGTGGAGGCAGAGATTGGAGCAATTCATCTACAAGCCAGAGATCAATGGCCACCACCAGAAGCTAGAAAGAGACAAGGAAAAACTTCTTCCCTGGAGCTTTCTGAGGTAGCAAGCCAATACCTTGATTTCAGACTTCTAAGCTCCAGAACTGTGAGACAATACATTTCTGTTGTCTTTTTAAATTTTTATTTATTTATTTATTTTTATTATTAATTTTTTTTTGAGACAGGTCTTGCTCTGTCGCCCAGGCTGAAGAGCAGTGGTATGATGGCTCACTGTAACCTCTGCCTCCCAGGCTTAAGCAATCCTTCCACCTTAGCCTCCCTAATAGCTGGGACAACAGGTATGTGCCACTGCACCCAGTGAATTTTTGTATTTTTTTTTTGGTAGAGATGGGGTTTTGCCATGTTGCTCAGGCTGATCTCGAACTCCTGGACTCAAGTGATTCTCCTGCCTTGGCCTCCCAAAGTGCTGGGATTATAGGTGTGAGCGACCATGCCCAGCCCATTTCTGCTGTCTAAAGTCACCAAGGTTTTGATACTTTGTTATGGCAGTCTCAGCAAATTGATACAGCGAGTGTCTGAACAGAATTCCTGAGCTCATCTCTGACCATGAGTCTTGGAGACAAAATGCTGAGGTTCACAAGTTAGCTCCCCCTCTTATTTGGCTGTGCAACCATAAGAAAAGTGTGTAAATTTTCTAGGTCTCAGTTTCTCTTCCTATAAAATGAGAATAAAATAGCACCTACCTCCCAGAGCTGTTGAGAGGATTGAGTCAATACATCTAAAGTGCTTGGTATAGCATTTGTTCCATAGGAAGAGCATAATAAATCTTAGATAGTGTTTGTATCTGTGTTATCTCTAGAACTACAAAATTTCTGCCTGGAAATTTTTCTCTATGCCTGGTAGGTTTTCTCTAATGAACAGGGCTTTCTTGACCACATGAAATATGGTGTCACTTCTTAGAGGTTCATATTTGATCCTCTGTGTAATAGTTACTTTTTGTGCCTCACCCATGTCCCCTTGGGTCACCCTCAAGGTCACTATCTAGTTTGGCACACATTGAGGAATCCTATGCCTCTTGGCCCAAGGGTGTTCTCTGGACACAGAGCATGCCCAGCACTCCTGGGGAAGATGAGATGGGCTCAAGGTCAACCAGGTGAAATCGGGGGACCAAGGGATCAACCCTTCAAACCATGAGGAAAGAGATTTGATAGATAAATCTACCAATATGCTTTTCAGTAGGACAAATTAGCGGAAGTGTTTTTCCCGTGGGTTCTCAGTGCAGTTGAGCCCCAGTTGCCCACGGTAGGTACCCTCTCCCTCAGGGGTCAGCAAATATGAACCAAATCCTGCTAGATACTTGTTTTTAATAAAGTCTTATTGGAACACAGTCACGCCCATTTATTTGCATGTTGCCTGTGACTGCCTTCACACTACAACAGTGGAGTCAAGTAATTGCAACAGGGACCATATAATCCACCAAGTCAAAAACATTTACTATCTTGGCCTTTACAGAGAATATTTGCTGGCCCTTGCTCTAGAGGAAGCATACTTTATTGGTTTCCTTTTCTTCCCTGACTCACTTCTCCACTTATTTGCATTCCTTACTAGGAGCACCTGTTTCCCAAATAAGCTACCTACACCCCAATAACTGTGTTGGGGTTGGCTTTTGGATGGATCCAAACTCAGATGCTCTGTTAGAGCAACTCCATCTCAAGACCAAACACAGTACCTGGCATGGAGCAGGCTCTCAAATATTTGTTGTATAAATGAACGGATGGAAAGTAGAAAGAAGCTGCACTAGGTCACAAATTAAAGAACCTTGTTAAAGGGGACAGCATTGCTAAGAGGGACCCTAGGATCAGGTAGAAAAACAGACAGAGCTTTGATATGCTAGATACCACTTCTCTGCTCAATGAACACCTCTGTCTTCTGAAATCCCAATATTACCACATCATAAATAAACTTGACTCCTGCAGGAACATTCTCTGAAAGAGTAAATACTCCATATAAGATTAAGCATGTAGAACACAGGCTCTCATTCTGGGCCTTAGGACAGGTACTTTGATAAATTTGTTACCTAAGTAAATTAAGGTAAGTGAAAGTAAAGGGGGTAGAGTGCAGAGAGAGGAAAGTTATGGAGCCGTCCTGCACTTAGGGTTACCTATGTCTGGTAGAGTTGTCTTGTTTTACCCTCTTGTCAGCTCCCTGTAATAGGTAAAAATATGTTTAAACATTTTCCCAAAGGCATTTCATAGGATTGGGACTTGAAGCCAGGCATATTTTTTCCATCATATGTGGGCCCCTTCCCAGGTTTCCTGAGCATCTCTTGTGTGCTGCTCACAGCACTCGGCGCTTTCTCATTCTTTGCCAATGTGAAGGCTTTGTCTATTTTGAGGTAGAGGAACCCTGCCCCACAAATTCAGGAAATGGCATCTCACTTCAGATTCAAGTGTTGGACAGTCACTTTTGTAGTCCAGGAAATGTGACAGGCATTGACGTAGCTGTGAGGATGAACCTTGCAGACCTCCTACAACAGGGAACATAACTGACCTTGGACCCAGCTGTTGTACCTGAAATCCATCACCACATTTATGCCTGAGTACCCCCCCACCACAACACAGGCTGCCCCCACAATGACTAACTGCAGCAAAGACACCAAAACCAACCCATTCCTGAGAGACATGGAACTCCAGGACATCTTTGTTGGCCAACTGAAGCTCAAGGACTTCCCAAAGGCTTTGTCAACCCTTCTGTAGACTAAACAATAGTCTCGGATGCTTCCACCAACTTCCTCTCCCTCTCCCCTTCACTGGGGTCAGAGTTACACTGCCTCTGAGGCTCTCCCAGCCTTTCCAAACTCCTGACCTATTTCCTTTCTCACAGGCATTTCTTCTAATAACATCTTAACGTGTCTTATCCCACTTTGGTGTCTGCTTATTGATGGACCTAAACCAATGCAGGCGGTTCACTGAAGTCTCACAATTTTAATCTCTAGTTTTTAAATAAAGCCCCAAGAAATAGACCAGCCCACAGCCAAATAGCCAACTACAAAAGGCCTAGTGCTTAAATTAGTGTCACCTGACTCCAAAATGTGCATTCTCTGCACTTGTTTGCCTCCCAGAATTGGCTGTTTCATTCCCGCACAGAAATTTTCACAGAGATAAAGAGGCATCAGGCACTTCTGGGTTACTCTCAAAAAAACATGGAGACTAAGAAGAGATACAACACTTGAGTTAATGTTAGAGAGTAAGAAGACACTATGAGGAGCTTAGAGGTGTACTGATGGCATAATTCAACAAGGAGGAGAGAAAGACCCACAGCACTAATTAAGGCAGGAAGGCATAGAGACAGAGATGCTTGAAACCATTTTGGACATTCTATTTAGCAAGAAACTGTAAAGAAATATCTGTACAACTGATGGAAAAGAAAGACATAAAACACCAATTTCAAAAATGTAATACAGGGAAAATGAAGTAAAATTGATCAGATTTAGAGTAGCGTCTCTGGTGAGGGTTTCAGGATGTTTGTAAACCTGGTAACTTTGTCCTAAACTTCATAACCAAGCAAGGTGAGGGTGGGATGGCAATGTCAGAGGTAAGATAGAGAGCCCCTTCTATGTGGTCAGTGAATAGCCACTTCCCTGAGTTCTCCCAACTGACTGTGCTCAACCCCTCCCACCCTGTCTCATCCTCAAGGTTGCTGGGAGTCAGCAATTACAGGGTTAATGCTTGGCATAACAGAATGCATCTAAGAATCCAGTCCTAACTCCTTGACCAGAATCTACTCTGATTGGTCCAACACCAACATAAACTGTCTACCAGATCATCTTCTTCAAGCAACCCTCCCTGGCCCTTCAGTGAGGTGACTAGTCCCTCTCTCTGCCCCCATCCCATAGCTCCTCTGCTTATTTCCATCACAGTGTACACCAGGCTGTATTGCCTACAAACTAAGAGTGTGTGCCTCCTCACACAGGAACTACATCTTTGGCTCACTAGTGCAGTGTTCGGCACATAGTAGGGGCTCAATAAACCCCAGTTCAATGGTTGAATGCACAGATGGAGGAGAGCTGGATGCACCATGAGAGAGAAAAAATTGTTTGTACTCTGGTACAAACAACTTTTGTATGCATGGTATGTACAGCATAACCAAGGTGTTCTCTGAAGTGGCTATATCATATTTGAATGTATCTTTTATACTTGATCAAATATAAAACTCTTTCCAATACACCTGACTTCTGGCTATGCCCTCACCAGCTGTGTGTCTAAGAGCCAAGGACTTAACCTTATCTAAGCTGCACTGAATCTATGGTATTACCTAGACATTAGAAGGCAGCTCATTCACATGGCCACTAACAAACACACAGTGTAGCTGCAAAAGACAGATCATGGCTAAACTCCCACTCCATTGATTCGGGAGGATTTGCTGAGTCCTTGAGCCAGAAATATTTTATTTGTTCCATTACTTTATCCTTAGAAGAACTCTGTGAGGCAGTTATTATTGTTTTGCAGATGAAGAAAGCAGGAGGCTTAACATATCTTTTCCAAGAAGATGCAGTTAATAAGAGGCATGGTGATGATTCAAACCCTAGACTTTGTTTCCTAATTCAAAGTAAACAGCTTTCTAAGCTAACTCCCAAACCAGGTCTCCTGATTGAGGGCCATGGTCTCCTTCTCTCGGAGAATTAGGACCAAGTAGCTCAGGCTGTCTCAGTGTTCCCTAAGAGGATGTAGAGTTGCAATTGTGTGTCTGCAGAAAGGATAGAAAAGAAGAGAACAGGATGATTCTAGGGGATGCTTCCCAAGCACTCTGGGCTGGGGAAAAAAAAAAAGCTACTTTCATCTTGCTTAATGCCCAATACAAATAAATACACCAAAATATTTCCCTTCCAGCATAGAGGCACTCAGCCTTCAGAGATACAAGACTGTAGTTCTCTGAACACTGGGAAACGTCTTGCTCATCTTTCTATCTCAAGCATTGGACACAATAATTTTCTATGGACTTAAATTGAACTGTATGTCTAAGCCAGTGCTTCTAAACTTAAGGACATTAAAAAAAATAGTATTAAGGAGGTGGGAAGAGGGGAAAATACTTTGGAAATTAAACTGGGTACAAAGTGAGTATGACAAGATTTATTTAAGAAAGAAAAACTAAAGGAGCTAAACTGAAGAACTTGACTAGCAGACAAAATACAAGGACCAAGAGTGTACAAATATTTGAAAGGTGCTCCCTAGAGCAGGAAACATCATATAGTATGATTGTTAGTATGGTATATAGTGAGAGTAACTTGGGGAAAATGGTCTAGAGGTAGGAAATGAGCATGCAAGGCAAGCAGGGTCTACGGACAAGTTGATGTAGGGAGATGGTTTGGGATGGGGAATTTAGAATTCCAAGTCTCCAGAATTAGCTCTTGATGGCTCTGGGCAAGCCACCACACTCATCTGCTCATCCTTCTACCTAATATGCATTGAGCACTTGCTATGTACCAGGAACTCTGCACAAAGTGAGGCCAGGCTACCTGCCCTAGTGAAACTCACCATCTTCCAGAGAGGAAAAATGTTAACAAGCAGTGGCAGCAGGGAGTGGTTGAGTTTTACAATGGGAGCTGCAAGAGCACATCCAGGGATCCGTCTTGGTTTATGACACCAGGAAGTCTCCCTGAGACTAAAAGAAAGAGAAGGTGTTGGCCACTGAAGACAGAGGCGGAGAGCATTCAAGGAAGAGGGAGAAGCATGCGACATGGGAGGGCAGTAGGAGAGTTAAGGAGCCTCCAGAAAACTGGAAGAAGTTTGGAGTGGGAGAGGGAGGCTGCCAAGGCATTATTCAAGAGAGGAATAGGCAAGAGCCAGCCAGAACTGGCCACGTGTGCCAGGCACCTTCAGAGCAATAGGGAGCTAATGAAGGGTGAGGAACTAGGGAGGAACAAGATCTTAGCTGCATTCTAGAAAGGTCCTCATGGCAGATGGGTAAAGAAAAGATTGGATTGGTGAGAAAGGGTTCAGGAAGAGCAGGCTGAAAGTTGTTCAGCAGTCTGTGAAAATATAATGAGAAAAGCCTTCCTCAAACAGTGACACATGAGCTGAGCATTAAAGGAAGAGGAGAAAATTGTGAAGGGAAATCTTGGCAGATGCATGACCTAGGCAAAGACAGAGGTACAGAAAGGGCACAGAGTCCAGGAACAGCAATAACTTCTTGTGGCTGCAGTGTGGCATGAGTGAGCAGGGGTGACAGGGGCCAGTCATGAAACACCTCGCATGTTAAGCCAAAGGATAGAAACATTCTCCTAAAATCCAGTAGAGTGGAGCAGTTTAGGGCAGAGGTTTGGGATCAGAACAACCAGGGTTCAAATCCCAGCTCTACTGCAGCCTGTGTACTGGTGGTCAGTGAACTTACAGTTGAATCTCACTTCCCTCATCTATAAAATGGTAACACTGTATGGAGCAAAAGATAAGTGCACAATGAGTGGTCATGGAAGCAGTGGGGCTGCATTCTGGGCACTCTTTGGACACTACAGAGAACACACTCTTGTTTTCTTCCCCAGAGAGCGCTGGAGAGATTAACCTTGGACCTGTCCAAAGGGTTTGAGTTAGACAAGCCACCCAAAGGCTCAAGTCACTTGAAAATGTAGTTTTTTCCATAACAGAATCAATCAATGTGGAGGCTCCACTGGGGCTCTGATCCTCTGTCCCATGTGTTCTTGAATGTAAAGTGCCTCAATGTCTCCTACCTGGAAGGACCTGCCTCTTCATCCCCAAGTACCATCCTGTATCCTGTCAATGCCTGCCATTGCCTTCCTGGGAATGAGGCCTCCCATTTCAACAGCTTCTTCCTCTCCCAGGCCTTACTGAAGACAGCACTCTCACCTGACCCTCCTATGCCCTGAACCAGGCTAGGGCAGCTATGACCCAGAGAAATTAAAGTTGTGCAATTTGGTTTTGGCCTCCAGCAAGTCTTGCCTGGGCCCCCGGATGAACACAGCATGGCTGCCCTCTGAACCAATACATGTCCCACTTCACTCCACGTCCTGCAGCCTGTGGCCTGATCTGTTTATTCCATTTGCCAGCTAAGTCCCATGGTGTACAGCCAGATGTAGAACTGAAACCACTATAATCGAAGCCCATTTCTACTTGACTGCTGTGTCACCTTGGCAAGGTAACCTTCTCTGTTGCCTATTTTTTTAATCTGCAACACAGGTATAATGTATTTGCTTCATGAGATACTTGTGAGGGTCAAATGAATTAAAGTATGTGAAGTGTTCAGTAATAACAAAGTGTTTGCAACAATGATGATGATGGGTCTGGGAGCTGCTAAGAATTGAGGAAACCTTTCTCCATTTTTTTTTTTTTTTTGAGATGGACTTTTACTCTTGTTTCCCAGGCTGGAGTGCAATGACACTATCTTGGCTCACTGCAACCTCCGCCTCCTGGGTTCAAGCAATTCTCCTGCCTCAGCCTCCCGAGTAGCTGGGATTACAGGCATGTGCCACCACGCTCAGCTAATTTTTTTTTCTTTTTTGTATTTTTAGTAGAGATGGGGTTTCTCCATGTTGGTCAGGCTGGCCTCAAACTCCCAACCTCAGGTGATCCTCCCACCTCAGCCTGCCAAAGTGCTGGAATTACAGGCATGAGCCACCACACCTGGCCTCTCCTTCTTTAAAGTTTTGTAGGCTGCCCAGGGAGCTCCTTGCCTTGTCATGTTTCACACATGCTGGAAACACCCCTCCTGTGACCTCTACCATCTAAGGTCAGGCTAGTGCTCAAGGCAAATTTCTATAAGACAGGCATCTGTGATAAGCTTTCCCACCCCCTGGGAAGACTGGGATATTATAGCAGAAAGAGTGAACCTTCTCTGACCTCCTAATCTTCTAGTAAGAACACCCAGAGAGGGGCAGTGACTAGCCTGAGGTCACACAGCTAACAGGTGACGAAGCCTGGTCCACAATCCGTGGTAATTGACAAGTCCTACCCATGCTATGCCACAAGTCTGTGGTGAAGGGAACCACAAACTTACTAACATTCACTGAGGACCTACTATATGCCAAGCCCAGAAACGGGGGCTTTAAGTTCATGAACCCATCTCATCTTCACAGGAACTCCAGGAAATGGATGTCATTATTCCCATTTTACAAGTGAGAAAATAATTACAAAGGTTGTAAACCCATACTGGCATGTGCTGTGGGCAAGACTCTTTAAAGTGTGTGTGTGTGTGTGTGTGTGTGTGTGTGTGTAGGCATGCTCATTGGTCCTCATAACAACACTCTGAGGAGGTACAACATTGTTCCCATTTTACACATGTGGAAGCTGAGGCACAGAACACTAAGTAGCTTGGCCAAATCACAGAGTTGGTAAGTAGGTCCCAGAGACGATCTTTGCTGAAGTTCCATACCTTGCCCACATAGAACAAGGATTCAAAACCAAGCCCAGATGACCCTGGAAGTCACAGTCTTCCATTACCCACACTCCTTCCTGGCCCCTCCTGGGTGCCTGGCCATATTCCAGGCCCTGTGGAAGGCCAGCGGCTGACGCATCTGGCATTTCTAGGGGCTTCCCTGAGTCGCTGAGCCAAGCAAAGTAGCACTAACAATCCTGCCAGGCTGGGGGCTGCTGAGTGCAACTAGAAGTGCGTGCACTGGGGATTAAGAGAAGAGAGCAAGCCAGGCGTGGCTCACGCCTGTAACCCCAGCACTGTGGGAAGGCCGAGGCAGGTAGATCAGGAGGTCAGGAGTTTGAGACCAGCCTGACCAACATGTGGAAACCCCATCTCTATTAAAAATACAAAAAAACTTAGCCGGGCATGGTGGCACACACATATAATCCCAGCTACTCAGGAAGCGGAGGCAGGAGAATCACTTGAACCCAGGAGGTGGAGGTTGCAGTGAGCCGAGATCACGCCACTGCATTCCAGCCTAGCAGCCTGGATGACAGAGTGAGACTCCATCTCAAAAAAAAAAAAAAAAAAAAAAAAAAGAGAAGAGAGCATGATTTTTTTTTCCTTCTGGCTCCTGACCAAGGCACTGAAATTTGCAGAATAACTGCCAGATGGGTTACTGAATCTCTGAGCATTCCAATTACCAGCCTCTAAAAGCCCAGTTCCCATTCCAAACCCAGAGCAACTCACAGCAAATGTTATCGTCGCTCACACCCAGGTCACTTCAATTTCTGAGCGGGTACACATTCTAATGGTGGGTGCTCTTTCCCCCTTTGCTTACCCTTTCTCTCTCTGTTTTTCATAGAGCTGAGCTCTGTAAAATGAGTGGCTGCTTCCAACCCTGCCCACAGTCCTGAACATCCTCCACTCTGCACAATGGCAAGGAACAATGGTTCTGCTATCAGCAGAGGCCACCGTGCAGATGGCATGGCGATGAAACCTCTGCAGTAGACCCACACGCCTCCCCGCTGCTGGCCAGCTCCCCTGTGTGCCAGCAGCTCTTTTCAAGCACAGCATCTCTTTAGAAAGCAAAGCCCCTCCCAGTCTGCAAGCCCACTCCGTCCTAAGAAAGACTTTCTTCTTCCCTGGTGCCAGGCCCTTCACCTCTACACTTGAGAGACCTCAGATGCAAGTCCCTGGCCTGAAATGAGAAGGAACAAGGCTCCTTTTTATTTATTTTTTCTTGTTTTTTGAGAGAGTCTCACTCTATCACGCAGGTGGGAGTGCAGTGGCACAATCTCGGCCCACTGCAACCTCTGCCTCCCGGGTTCAAGCGATTATCCTCCTCAGCCTCCCAAGTAGCTGGGATTACAGGTGTGTGCCACCATGCCAGGCTAATGTTTGTTTTTTTAGTAGAAACAGAGTTTTGCCATGTTGGCCAGGCTGGTCTCGAACTCCTGGCCCCAAGTAATCTGCCCGCCTCAGCCTCCCAAAGTGCTGGGATTACAAGTGTGAGCCACTGCCCCTGGTCAGTTTTATTTTTAAAAAATAACTCTGGCCGAGGCAGGTGGATCACCCAAGGTCAGGAGTTCGAGACTAGCCTGGCCAACGTGGCAAAACCCTGTCTCTACTAAAAATACAAAAACTAGCTGGGTGTGGTGGCATGTGTCTGTAGTCCCAGCTACTCAAGAGTTTGAGGCAAGAGAATCACTTGAACCTGGGAGATGGCGGTTGCAGTGAGCCAAGATTGCGCCACTGCACTGCAGCCTGGGTGACAGAGCAAGGCTTCATCTCAAAAAAATAAATAAATAAATAAATAAATAAATAAATAAATAAATAAATAAATCTGGGCACATCTACTGCTTGTGCCTAGAACCCTGGATGAAAAAACGTCAATGAAAACATCTCTGTTCTTGCCGTCTTATCTGGCAAAGGAGGAATGACGCAGAGAGGGGATCCATAGAAAGACAAAGACAGCACAAAACAGCCTTACATTTGTCTACAGGGAAACAGAAAAAGCAATGTGAATCAGAAGCTACAATAGGGGTCAAGACAGCATGCAAAATTTAGTGTGGGGCTGCATATCTAGATGGCAGCCTGTTTTATAAATAAAGTTCTATTGGAACACAGTCACTCCTATTCATTTACATATTGTCCATACCTGTTCTTGCCTTACACTGGCAAAGCTATAAGACCATATGCCTTGAAAGCTGAAATAATTTGCTACCTGGCTCTTTACAGAAAAATTTCGCTGACCCCCAAGCCTGCTATATTCCTGGCCCCACTGAGTAATTCATACATTTAATTCTATTGAATCATCACAGCCATTCTTATACTGTGGATATTATTAATTCCTTTGCAGCTGCAGGCTTGGAGAAGTAAAGTCGCTGTTCCCAGGTCACATAAAAGTTAAGAAAAGTATTTGGATTTGACCCAAAAGCACTGACCTTCCTTCACACCTGTGAGCTGGGACTCGTGCTCTACCTGTAAGTGAGAGGATTCCAATGAACAGTGAGGAGTTACAGAAAACTCCTCACATGGCTCAGGTGAAGGCAGAGGGGCAGGAGTGAACACAGCCAATAGCAGAGGGGATGTTAAGAGAGAATGCTAGAATTTCAGAGCTTGATGGAGTCTTTGAGATTAAGCTCAACATACTACAGGAGGATAGACTGGAGACCAGAGAAGCAGAGCAATGGGCCCAAGGTCACACAGGGACAGAGGCCTCATGGTGAGCAAAACACCCTAAGAGACTTTGTAGGGTCTGGGTGCTTCTGGCCATGCCAAGCAGGCCTCCTATCAGTTGCCCTGTGTTCACTCTGGGCTGATCGCAGTCCCAGGGCACACCAAAGTCATGAGTACCATCGGGCTCTTTGAAGTCATAATCGAACCAATTGTGGACTTGCTGTTTGTTTTAACTACATGCCCTCGTGTGACTGCAGTTTTTGTTTGACCAGGTGTAGAGAAAGGGCACAGGACTGGAAACCATCTAACCTAGAATCCTGTTTGTCACTGGCTCCATGTGTGACCTTGGGCAAGTCACTTAAATCCTCTGGTTCCAATCTCCAGCTCTATCATACGGGGAGGGAGGGGTGGGGCTGGGATAAACAACACTTTCCTATCAGTTCAAATATTTAAAATGATAATTAATGAATATTTACAAAAAATTTTGAGCTGACAAGAAAATGTTGTTTATCCCAGGTGATATTCATTAAATAAGATGAATTAATACAGAAATCATTAAGGAACCCAAAAAGAACTCACCAGTTAATTGGCCATTGTGTGTGTGTGTGTGTGTGTGTGTGTGTGTGAGACAGAGTCTCACTCTGTTGCCGAGGCTGTAGTGCAGTGGCACGATCTTGGCTCACTGCAACCTTGGTTCAAGCAATTCTCATGCCTCAGCCTCCCAAGTAGCTGAGACTACAGGCACTCCTCACCATGCTTGGTTAATTTTTGTATTTTTAGTAAAGACAGAGTTTTGCCATATTGTCCAGGCTGGTCTCAAACTGCTGACCTCAGGTGATCCACCCACATTGGCCTCTCAAAGTGCTGGATTACAGGCGTGAGCTACCATGCCCAGCTGGCCATCCTTTTTTTTTAAGTCAGACTTCATCTCACAAAATCAAGAATGAATTACTTGAATTTCTGAGACATAGAGTATCTGTAACTAGAATTCAGGCATTTATTTCACCAAAAATATTCATTGAGTTTAATTTTTGCCTGGATTTCAGCTTTATGCTCAAATTCCTGAATTCTAGTTACAGACAAATGTAAAGATTTGAGCTCACAGCTATGAGTAAAACAGGAGTAACTAGACAGTGCAATGCATTGTGACAAATGCCGTTCACGAGAGGCAGTCAAGAACAGCTATGCCCTGTGGCTTTAGAGCCAGCCAGCCTGGGTTCAAAACCTGACTACACCACTAATTACCTGTGCAGCCTTAGACAAGTTCTGTAACTTCCTTGTGCCAGATGTCCTCATCTGTAAAACAGAGATTAAAATAGTACCTGTCTCAGGGTGGTTGTGGAGGATCAATTGAGCTAATCCTTGTACAGCTCTTAGAAATGTGCCTGCATAAATGAAGCATTCTATGAACAGTGGCTACTATGATGATGATGAAGATTTACATGGTGACAAAGGAGAAAAAAGAAAAGGCACCTACATGATCCAAAGGCACCTGCATGATCCAGGCCTCCAGGGCTCAGGGGATGTAAGCAGCACAGGCTTCTTCTTAAGGGAAGGAGCATCAAAACCGAGGCTCACAGGAGGAGCAGGAGTCAAGTTAAAGGGTGGAGAGTGGGGTTGAGAAAGTTTCCCAGGCATGGGCAGGGGGTGTGCAATAACCCAGAAATAAGGGCAAATGGAAGTTTTGGGGGAAACCACAAAGAATGCTGGCAGGTTAGGCTGGGGAGATAAGCCTTAATTTGATAACCACCCTCTCCCACTTCTACTCTGGAACTAAAGATGTGTAACTCGTCATACAACTTCTCTGCAGAGCTATGTAATAAATTCTGGGGGAATCCCACTCTTGCTTTAGAGGCTGTGTCACACTGGAAATTGGGACTTGAGTTGGCATTTGGTCAAGCAGGAGACTTGCCAGAAGCTGCCAGGGGCAGAAGAACCCAGGCAGAGTGCTGGCTGTATGAAGTGAGGCTCACCCAGGGAAGTCAAGCACTGCTGCAAAAACTGAAAAGGTTGCAGGAGCTAGAGCTGAAAACAAAGCCAAGAGGGCCGAAGGGTAGCCAAGTAAACATGGGAAGAGAATACGGAGAGAGAATAAGAGTGGAAAATAAGCAGCAGTGTTCCAGACAACAGCCTGAAGAAGGCTTGGAATGCCAGCATCCTACTTGCACAAGCCCAATCACAAGGTGTGCAGATAGCCCAGCCTGGTGAACCAGATGGCCAAGAGTCTGGACAGATAAGAAGCACCCCTATGCATTATAGTTTGAGTCATGAGGGGTAGTCTGGGCAGGGGTTAGCAGGGGGACAATCTCTATATAGACCTTTGAGTGTGCTTAAATATTGCCCTCTCTCCATGGGCCTGGGACCATTCCCACCCTCATCACCCCAGGAAGCCCACTGGGGAGGTATTAGAAGAGACATAGCTTTCAACAGCCACAGCTCTAGAGACAGAAAGTCTGCAGTCACCAGAGCCCTCCATCTCATATACAAGTAAGCAGGGACAATAATAGAACTCTTGCAGGGTATTGCATGAACCCACAGAGGCAAAGTGCTTAAAAACAGTGCTTGAAGCATAGTTCTATTGATTCTACTTTATTCATTTAAGAAAATGTACTGAAGCCACTTCTAGGCTCCATGTTGGTTGCTTAGAATACAAAGCTGAGGCCGGGCATGGTGGCTCACACCTATAATTCCAGCACTTTGAGAGACCGAGGTGGGTGGATCACTTGAGGTCAGGAGTTCGAGAGCAGCCTAGCCAACATGGTGAAACCCCGTCTCTACTATAAATACAAAAATTAACTGGGTGTGGTGGCATGCACCTGTAATCCCAGCTACTCAGGAGGCTGAGGCAGGAGAATTGCTTGAACCTGGGAGGAGGAGGTTGCAGTGAGCCGAGATTGAGCCACTGCACTCCAGCCTGGGCATCAAGAGCAAGACTCCATCTCAGGAAAAAAAAAAAAAAAAAAAAGAATACAAAGCAGCTGAATATGGCATGATCCCTGGACTCAAAGTGCCTGTAATCTAGTAAGTCAGTCAGGCAAGCAGGCAGATGAGTACGAAACAGAGTTATAGTGGCTGTTAGAGGGAGAAGCCGGGGATGCAGAGGGAGTCCTTGTGAGACCCAGGAAGGACAAACAGGTAGGGAACAAAAAGATAGATGATGAATACAGAATTACGTATCCTGATCTCTAACACCTCTAAGGGTGGCCCAGGGAGGGAGGAGAAACAAATGACAACAAAAACAAGAACCATGAACATAAGGTGGTGACTCTGCCCTGAGAAGACACGGGCCTGCTCTCTTGCCAAGCCCATTATCCGCTTATTAGAGAAGACACTGTCCTCCATGAAGAAACAGAAAAAGATGCCAATGTCCCGCACTTGGAACAAATATATACATCAAAGAGTTAACAACAAGCTGTGACTGAGTCTCCTTTCCTTCCTGACATTCAGGCTCCTGGGTTTTTATTGTTCCCAATCGATTTATAGATGCAATAAACATAAATACAAGAGGCAATGGATTTGTCCCATGTGAAAAAGGAGGCATCGGTGAGTTTCAAATATATTCAGGGCTTTAATTTCTACTTGAAGTTTCATGTTTTGAAAATTAAATATATTAAGAGTTAGAACAACTATAATTCTTGGTTGCTCCAACACTAAAACATTCAAAGCAAGGGAAAAAAAAACGTCTTTCCCAGAATGTAAACTGAGAATGGAAGTAGTTACCAGAATAATTCAAGGCTCTCTAACATCAGATTTTCTAAGTTTTTCACTTGTTTCTGATAACTGTGACAACTGGGTCTGAATCACATTTTAGGGATCCTTTTTTCCATCTGCTTCCAGAAGGACTTTTGAGCACAAATACATATGTGTTTCTTCAGACTAAAACATCACAGCAGTGTTGGGTTAAACTATTCTTTTAAATTTGATTTTAAAATTATATGTGCTTTTAATAGAAAAATTAGAAAGCACAGAAAATCAAAAATAAGGAAAAATCATAACCTACAATTCCAGTTCCTTGTGGCAACCACAGTTTAACTTTGGGGCATTTCCTTTCTGACATTTTGTTTCAATGCAAATTTCGCTATTTTTCTATTCACTTGCTTTAAGTAGTTAAGACTATGTTTTAGGCCGGGCGTGGTGGCTCACGCCTGTAATCCCAGCACTTTGGGAGGCCAAGGCAGGTGGATCACAAGGTCAGGAGTTCGAGACCAGCCTGGACAATATGGTGAAACACGGTCTCTACTAAAAATACAAAAATTAGCCGGGCGTGGTGGGGGGTGCCTGTAGTCCCAGCTACTTGGGAGGCTGAGGCAGGAGAATCACTTGAACCTGGGAGGCGGAGGTTGCAGTGAGCCAAGATCGTGCCACTGACAGAGTGAGACTTCATCTCAAAAAAAAAAAAAAAAAAAGGAAACAAAAGACTATGCTGTAGGCCCACGTTCATATTTGACTTGCTCACCTAATGATGTGCTATAAGTATTAATACTTTGAGTTGCTATTATTTATCATCCCCACATGTCTGACAGCTTTTCCCAGAAAGGTAATTCAACCTGGCTTTTGAACCAAGGATTGGGAACTGAACCAGCAGGAATGGAAAAGGTAAGGAAAAGTATGCTTTAAGTTTTACTCAGACAGACTGAGCTCTGGGATGAGGATGCTTTGAAGCCTTGAAGATACTGACTCTTCTCCAGCCATCAGGCAGGCTGAACTGGAAAAGGCAGCAGGACTAGCCCCGGGAGCAGTCACATAGGAGGAGCCATAGTGGTTTAGAAAACAAAGCAAAACACTCAGGTCCACAGTTCCTGAGAGCCAGCTGATGTCAGAGCCTCTGAGACCACCTTCAGCTGCTCCCCATTTGGCCAGCCTGACAAGTTAGACTGGTTTATCCTCTACAGTTACTGTATGGAGATGCCAGACACTATCCCCAAACTCATTGCCAGGCACCACCCCCAAACTCACTGCACTAATAGTGAAGGGGACCCTACTTCTAAAATCTGGCAAAGGCTCTCTATTAATTGACCGGGATAGGGGTTGACAAAAGTTTGCTCTCAAGTGAGTAGATAGATAAGGCTCTGTGGGTGTCTTACAGTCTCTGCCATGTGTTCTTCTTTGTGTGGTTTTTTAAATAATCATTTTTTTTTAAATCCTTCTTAGGTCAGGCCACAGGTCAGGGCATATGGACTCCTAGGCAAGAACTTCTTTCCCTTTTTATTAAAAAATAAAATAAAACAGAAATCCTGAGAGTTGTTCTGAAATTGCTGAGACATGCTATGTCAAATCTAGTCCAGTCTTCATTGACATCCTGAGAGTAATCAGTACAGGGAATTAAACACTCCATGGGGGAGCCTCCAGTTCCCCTCAGGAGCCATGAGAGTGCACAGGAGTCCCATTAGGTTCTTCTGGAACTCACAACTCTTTTGAAGTTTAAGAAGATGCCTTCCCAGAATCATAAAAGTCTAACTATTACATTCAGCACATGATTTGTGACAATGATGAACTACAGGAAAAGAATTCCAGGAAGATCCATGGTTTCCTCTATTGTCATATTTACCAGAAGCACAAACACAAGACACATTTCCTTGACTTGGGGAACTTTTGAATTGAGTTATATGGGGAACTTTAACCAAGAGCTAGTGAGTATAAGAGGAGGCTGACTATCCAAACAGACAATGGCCCAGCTCTACATAAACGTAGAACTCTGACCCACAACTGGCAACCTGTCCAGAAAACCAATCCATCATCCACAGTAACAAACCCAGGAAGCCAGCCAGCTGTCTATAATCAGATGTACAGAAGTCAGGTTAGCAGTAACTGGTAATCTCTAGTCATTTGTCCAGGAAGCCAAACAATAACCCCTGTCACAGTAAATCCATGATGGCCAAGATTTTATTAATAACTGCCAGGCTTCCTAATTGTTGTCCCCACTTTCAGCTTAGGACCAACCAGCGAAAATTAAATATTCATCCCTAATTGATCGCATGGGATGCCCTGCTTTGAGTTAGCCCATGTTCAGATTTCCCAGGCCAACAGCCTCCACCCAGGGCACACCTGAGCCCTTCCCTTCTTTCCACTACAAATCCTTCCCACTCCCCTGCCTGCCTTGGAGTCTGGCATGTGATGGTAGCTAACTCCCTTCCTGTAGCAAGCTCTGAATAAATAGCCTTCCTTTGTTGTCATGTGGTTAGTCTTCACTTATTTTCACAAGGTTATGACTCTTTTCTCCATTTTACCTATTTTTATCATAAAACTTCACCAAATTTAGTGCCATTAATTCAGAATTACATAGAATTTAAAAGTAGACAATAACTCAGGGCCTCTCCAATTTGTCACACTAAAGCTATAAATAAGGAAAGTAAAGCACAGAAATATTTGGTCCAATGTCCCCTCTATGACATTAGGCTGCCTGCCTGGAAGTAGGATAATTTCCTACCATGCTGGGCTGAAGTTCATTCTCTGTGAAATAGAATACAGATTCCAATGAATTGGATGAGTGACATTTGTGTACACTATGTGTACACTGTCATGGTAGATATAAAAAGACATACACACACACAAACGTATATATTATGTATACATAATATATTATATATACATAATATATTATATATACATAATATACATATTATATATTATGTATATATATTATGTATATATAATATATTATGTATATTATATAACATATATTATGTGTATATTATATATAACGTATATTACGTATTTATAATATATAACGTATATTACGTATATATAATATATTATGTATATAATGTATATTTTATATATTATGTATATAATGTATATATTATATATTATGTAATGTATATATTATATATTATGTAATGTATATATTATATATTATGTAATGTATATATTATATATTATGTAATGTATATATTATATATTATGTAATGTATATATTATATATTATGTAATGTATATATTATATATTATGTAATGTATATATTATATATTATGTAATGTATATATTATATATTATGTAATGTATATATTATATATTATGTAATGTATATATTATATATTATGTAATGTATATATTATATATTATATAATGTATATATTATATATTGTATATATTATATAATGTATAATGTAGATATTATATATTGTATAATGTAGATATTATATATTGTATAATGTAGATATCATATAATGTATATATAATATATTATATATAGTATATATTATACATATAATGTATATATTATATATAATGTATATATAATATATTATATATAATGTATATATATTATATATAATGTATATATAATATATTATATATAATGTATATATATTATATATAATGTATATATATTATATATAATGTATGAATATATTATATATAATGTATATATTATATATAATGTATATATTATATATAATGTGTATATATTATATATAATGTATATATTATATATAATGTATACATAATATATAATGTATACATATTATATATAATGTATACATATTATATATAATGTATATATAATATATAATGTATATATAACATATAAGGTATATATAATATATAATGTATATATAATATATAATGTATATATAATATATAATGTATATATAATATATATAATGCATATATAATATATAATGTATATATAATATATATAATGCATATATAATATATAATGTATATATTATATATAATATGATGAGGAAACTTGAAAATGAGTTAAAGAGACCCACACATACACAAAGAATTAGAAAATTATATAAGATGCCATTTCCAAAGTGCATTCCACTATTAAGTGAAGATGGTGGGTGTACCAAGTTCAACAAGATTTTTGTTCTAAAATTTCCCAGAACATTTAATTTGCAAAGGGGGAGAAACTGTAAATGTACTTCCAAACATAATTGATTCTAGAACTCATTCTAAGAAAAGCATCTTTTGACTTCAGGATACAGAAATTATATCTTGAAAAATGCTATTGTAGGAGATTATCTAAGATGTTTAATGACATTTTGAACTCTTACTGAAAGGAAGTAACTAAGGCAAAAAAAAAAAAAAAGTCACTTCCTTAGAAATGTCCAAGTATGTTCCAGGCATTATGCTAAGTTATATTCTCTCACAGTATCCCCGCGAGTTGAGTATGATTTTTATGCTTGGTATACCAATGAGGAAAGGCAGGGACCAAGAGGTTGAGCAACTTGCCCAAGAGTTGCTTTCCCCAAGAAAAGCTCACTAATGATCCTGCCTTCACTACATTGGCCTCAGGGGGTGCCACTTCCCCTTTATGCTTGTGGTCCTAGGACAGAGGGCCCTTTCACCTCTGTGTGTATATCTAAGGCAAGACGTGAATGTGACTCCTAAAAGGCTTTACCAACGGGGAGTTAACATCAGCAAAATACACATAAAGGATCTTCAGGTTCTAAATATTTGAACTTGTAAAAGAGCTAAGAGTGGTTTGGTTAAATATTTGAACTTGTAAAATGACTAAGAGTGGTCTGTTATGAGCTAAATCGTGTTCCTCCAAATTTATATTGAAACCCTAACCCCAGATATAACTGTAGTTGGAGATAGCATCCTTAGGAGATAATTAAGGTTAATTGAGGACTTAAGGGTGAGGCCCTAATTTACCTCTCCTCATCTTTTCTCTTTCTATCTTTCTTCATTTCTTCCTCTGCCATGTGAGGACACAGTAAAAAGTCAGCTGTCTACAAGTCAGGAAAAGAGCCTTCACTAAACCTGAGTCTGTTGGAATCTTGATCTTCAACTTCCCCCAGCCTCCAAAACTGAGAAAATGTATTTCTGTTGCTTAAGCCACTGGGTTTATGTATTTTGCTATGGTATCCTGAGATAACCATGAGAAAGTCCTAACCCCCAGTACCTCAGAATGTGACTGTGTTTGGTGATGGAGCTTTTAAAGGAGTAATTTAATTAAAATGAAGCTGTTAGGGTAGACCCTAATCCAATCTGACTGGTGTCTTTATAAGAGGAGGAGATTAGGACACACATACAAATACCAAGGGTGAGCAGGACAGAGGGACTGCTATGTGAAGGCAGCAAGAGGGCTGCCATCTGCAAGAGGCCTCAGAGGAAAACAGCCCTGCCGGCACATTGATCTTGGACTTCCAGCTTCCTGAACTGTGAGAAAACATATTTCTGGTGCTTAAACCACCCAGTCTGTGCTATTTTGTTATGGCATCTCTAGCAAACTAATAGAGTCAGAATCATCAAATTCAAATCCCAGTACCTTCACTTATTGCATATGTGACCTGAGAAAAGTCATTTGATTCTTCTGAGCCTCAATCTTTTTGTCTGCAAAACTGGAATAACAATAGCATCCAGTGATCTTTTACATTTGCTGTGAAGTTGATGAGACCACTTCAGATCACTGATCAGAGTGCTTGGTATATAGTGGTAGAGTGCTCGGTATATAGTGGTAGAGTGCTCAACTAGTGTGAGCTACCATTACCACTGGCATTTACTCCCAAGTGACAGAGTCTGTCTCTATCTCCCACTGCTTGAGAGTGACCTCATAGGTACCTAGGTGCTTCAAGTGCAGGTCAAGAAGGGAATACAAAAGTAAACTTATTGTCCATGTAAGCCACCCACCCCTTCTGTGGTTCCTGACCAAGGATCTGCCAGCCCAGATGGTTGACACTGGAAACATAAAAATGTTTCCTGCCACCATCGGGGTATGTTTAACCTTGATCTTGTAGCCCATTGTCTTAGTCATTTTCTGCTGCTATAACAGAATATTAAAGACTGAATAATTTTTTTTTTTAAAGCTGGAGGCATCACGCTACCTGACTTCAAACTATACTACAAGGCTACAGTAACCAAAACAGCATGGTACTGGTACCAAAACAGACATATAGATCAATGGAGCAGAACAGAGCCCTCAGAAATAACGCCGCATATCTACAACTATCTGATCTTTGACAAACCTGAGAAAAACAAGCAACGGGGAAAGGATTCCCTATTTAATAAATGGTGCTGGGAAAACTGGCTAGCCACATGTAGAAAGCTGAAACTGGATCCCTTCCTTACACCTTATACAAAAATTAATTCAACATGGATTAAAGACTTAAACGTTAGACCTAAAACCATAAAAACCCTAGACGAAAACCTAGACAGTACCATTCAGGACACAGGCACACAGGCATGGGCAAGGACTTCATGTCTAAAACACCAAAAGCAATGGCAACAAAAGACAAAATTGACAAATGGGATCTAATTAAACTAAAGAGCTTCTGCACAGCAAAAGAAACTACCATCAGAGTGAATGGGCAACCTATGAAATGGGAGAAAACTTTCGCAACCTACTCATCTGACAAAGGGCTAATATCCAGAATCCACAATGAACTCAAACAAATTTACAAGGAAAAAACAAACAACCCCATCAAAAAGTGGGCAAAGGATATGAGCAGACACTTCTCAAAAGAAGACATTTATGCAGCCAAAAGACACATGAAAAAATGCTCATCATCACTGGCCATCAGAGAAATGCAAATCAAAACCACTATGAGATACCATCTCACACCAGTTAGAATGGCAATCATTAAAAAGTCAGGAAACAACAGGTGCTGGAGAGGATGTGGAGAAATAGGAACACTTTTACACTGTTGGTGGGACTGTAAACTAGTTCAACCTTTGTGGAAGTCAGGGTGGCAATTCCTCAGGGATCTAGAACTAGAAATACCATTTGACCCAGCCATCCCATTACTGGGTATATACCCAAAGGACTATAAATCATGCTGCTATAAAGACACATGCACAAGTATGTTTATTGCGGCACTATTCACAATAGCAAAGACTTGGAACCAACCCAAATGTCCAACAATGATAGACTGGATTAAGAAAATGTGGCACATATACACCATGGAATACTATGCAGCCATAAAAAATGATGAGTTCATGTCCTTTGTAGGGACATGGATGAAATTGGAAATCATCATTCTCAGTAAACTATCACAAGGACGAAAAAACCAAACACCACATGTTCTCACTCATAGGTGGGAATTGAACAATGAGAACACACGGACACAGGAAGGGGAACATCACATTCTGGGGACTGTTGTGGGGTCGGGGGAGAGGGGAGGGATAGCATTAGGAGATATACCTAATGCTAAATGACGAGTTAATGGGTGCAGCCCACCAGCATGGCACATGTATACATATTTAACTAACCTGCATATTGTGCACATGTACTCTAAAACTTAAAGTATAATAATAATAAAAAAAAAAGACTGAATAATTAATGAAGGATGAAAGTTTATTTGGTTCGCAATTCTGGATGCTGGGAAGTCCAAGAGCATGGCACTGGCATCTGCTGAGAGTCATCCCAAAGTGTAAGGGAAGTGGGACAGAGAAGGCGAGATGGACCAGACTCACTCTTTTTATCAGGAACTTACTCCCCCAATAACTAACCACCCCCACGATAATGACAATCATCTCTTCAGAGCCCTAATGGCCTAATCACCTTTCAAAGACCCTACCTCTTAGTACTGTTACAATGACAACTAAGTTTCCAAGACATGAACATTTGTGGACGCTTTCAAATTACAGCATTCTGCCCTTGTTCCCTAAAATTCACGCCCTTCCTCTCACATGCAAAATATATTCATTTCATTCCAATAGCCCCCAAAGTCTAAACTCAGTCAAGCACCAACTCAAAAGTTCAAAGCTCAGAGTCTCATCTAAATTAAATACGGGTGAAGCTCAAGGCATAATTCATTGTGACACAAATTCCCTCCAGCTGTGAGCCTGTGAAATGAAGCAAGATATCTACCTCCAAAATATAATGGTAGAATAGGGATAGGATAGACATTCCCATTTCAAAAGGGAGAAACTGGCAAGAAAAGAAGGGTAGGTCATTCCAAGTAACTCCAAAACCCAACAGGGAAAACAAAATTAAGTCTTAAATTTGAAGAATAATCTCCTTTGACTCCTGAATCCTGAACACACCTGAGCATGGGTTGGGACCTACGCAGTTTGCCTATGCTGCTCTTACTGGTTGGAGTCTCATGCCTGAAGCTCTCCCAGACTAGCACTTCACATTGGTAGCTCTACAGATCTGCGGTCTCAGGAATGACCCCAATTCCACCACTCCACTACATGTTTCCCTACTAGAGACTATCTGCAGCCGCTCCAAACCCACGTTTCCCCTGGCAATGCCCTAGTAGTGGCTCTCTGCAGTGCCTCCACCCCTCTGACAAGTAAATACCACATGATATAAGAGGGAGTGTGAATGCTACTCCCCTGGGAGTGGCAGCCTGAGTCACACCAGGGGCCACTTGAGCCCTGGCTTGGGCAGCTGAGAAGCGCTGTGCCGAAATGCAGAGTGCAGAGTTCTGAGGCAGTCCTAGGAATGAATCTGTGGAGGGCATCCCAAACTCATCCCCTGAAACCATTCTACCCTCCTAGAGCTCTAGGACTGTGATAAGAAGGCAGCCTCAAAAATTTTTGTAATGAATTCTGGGTCCTCCTCCCATTGTCTTGATGAGTAGCACCTGGCTTTCTTCCAACGACAGAAATCTCTTTAGCAAATGTTCACTTGGCCACATCCTTAGTATTCTCTCCTGAACATTTTTTTTCACTCTTTACATGGCCAGGTTACAAATTTTCCAAATCTTTCCATTATGTTTCTCTTTTAAATATAAATTTTGCCTTTAAGTAATTTACTTACTATCATATCTCACTGTGTGGTTAAAAATAGCCATGCAGCAGCCTGAATGCTTTGCTGCTTAGATATTTCTTCCACCAGATATCCTAGTTGATCACTCTTAAGTTCCACATTCTATAAAGTCCTAGGTCACAGACACAGTTCTGCCAAGGTCTTTCCTACTTTGTAAAAAGGATGGCTTTTATCCCAGTTTCCAATACCTCATTTCCCATATGAGACCTCAACAAAATGGCCTTTACTGCCCCTATTTCTACCAACATTCTGGTCATGACCACTTAAGTAATCTCTAAGAAGACTCAAACTTTCCCTAAAGCTCTTCTCTTCTTCAGAACCCTCAACAGAATCACCCTTAATTTTCCATTCATGGCAATACAGGCTTTTTCTAGCCTCTGCCCATTATCCAGTTTTAGATTTTTGTTATAGCAACAACCCACTCCTGGTACCAATTTTGTCTTAGTCTGTTTTCTGTTGTTATAACACGATACCACAGACTGGGTAATTTATAAAGAACAGAAGTTTATTTGGTTATAGTTCTGGAGGCTGAGAAGCCCAAAAGCATGGCCCCGGCATCATGGCCTAATCACTTCTTAAAGACCACACCTCTTACTACTATTACAGTAGCAACTAAGTTTCCATCATGTTCAAATCACAGCATCCACACATATCAAGAGGTCTTCTTACTGGCCACAGTGAGAGAAGACTTGGTACAATGTAGGGAAGTACTTGGCTTCCTGTAAGCTTAATAAAACACCAGTTTTATTTTATTAAAGTGAGTCCTCAAAGCAATGCCAGTTACTGGCATTTTTAAAAAACTTATCTGGGCCATATAATAAGCTACACTGTCATTTCTCTCTTGTATGCTCAGAGTTTAATCTGTCACTTGGTAGTTGTAAAAGAGCAAATGAAGAGGTAGCTGTAGGATTTCCAGTATGTTACTAGTGTCTGTGTGACTCGCTCCAGGCTTCTTGCTTTCATAGCTCTATTTCTCAGTCTTTTATCTCACAAATGAAAGAAGGTAGGCCAAGAAAGATGTTCTACCTTAGTCACATCTAAAGGGTAAATCCATTGACTAGTTTTGAGGGATGTCTGATACATGTCAAAAATCCTAAAATTGTCTAGCTATTATTGAGGGCCAGGAACTCTAGCTTGGTTAGTCCTCTCAAATGATTTTCAGAGTAGGTTAGCATCTCATTTTAAGGAGTAGAGTTTGGGTATGTCATGAAAGTGTTTATGGGAGGCCAAAACACTAGTAAAATAATTTTCATCTTGTTTGTGATAGCTAATATTTCATCACTGCATACTATTTGCCAGACAGGGTCTTTCATTTATGGAATAAATATTTATCGAATACCAGTTATGTGCTAAACAACAAGACAAACCAAATGCTCTGCATTCATGGTACTTGCATACTGGTCAGGGAGACAAACAATAAACAAAACAAATAATAAGTAAATTATAAGTTATAGAATAATAAAGGTTACAGAAGAGTAAGTCATTGAATAGGAATATTACATGCTAGTTACAGGGGTGCAATTTGAAATAGAGACCAGGGAAGTCTTCCCTGAGAAGCTGACATTTGAGCAACATTTGATAGTGAAGCTAAGGATATTTACCTTATAACCACTATCTCATTTAATCCACTGGACGACTAAATATTATGATTTTCCCCATTTCTATATATGCATATACATATCTACATTTATAGTTAGATAAAAAAAGATTTATGAAGAATTGGCTCACATGATTGTGGAGGCTGGAAAGTCCCAAGATCTCCAGGTTGAGTCGGGTGAGTCAGAAAGCTAGAGACTCAGGAGAGCCGAAGGGGAGTTCTAGTTCAAAGGCCAGCCGGCTCAAAATTCAGGAAGAGTCAATGTTTCAGTTTAAATTTAAAGACAGAAAAATTTGTCATTTACTTGGAGGAAAGGTCAGTCTTTTTGTTCCTTTCAGGTGTTCAACTAACTGGATGAGGCCTACCCACACTGGGAAGACAATCTGCTTTACTCAGTCAACTGACTCAAATGTTAATCTCATCCAAAATTATCAGGAAAGAAACACCCAGAATAATTGTTCACCAAATATCTGGGCATCCCATGGCCCAATCAAGTTGATACATAAAATTAACCATCACAGTTGTAAAATCTCACTGTACAGTGGTGCCTTAGTCTGTTTTACGTTGCCATAGCAGAATACTACAGACTGGGTAGTTTATAACAAAAATAAAATTATTTCTCACAGTTCTGGAGGCTGGGGAGTCTACAGTTGAGGAGCCTCATCTAGCAAGGGCCTTCTTGCTGCTTCACCCTATGGCAGAAGGCAGAAGAGCAAGAGTGCATGTGCAAGAGCAAACTTGCTTTTATAACAAACCCACTCGCAAGATAACTAACCCACTCCCGTTATAACATTAATCCATTTATGCAGCAGAGCCCTCATGACCTAATCACCTCTTATTAGGCACCACCTCCCAGCATTGTGTCAATCAGAGTTAGGTTTCCAACACATGAATATATTCAGACCATAGCAAGTAGTTAAAAGCTAGGATGGGAGGGGATAGGGATAGGGATAGCATAGGGTGGGGATGGGGATGGGAGTGGGGATGGGGATGGGGATGGGAGTGGGGATGGGGATGGGGATGGGAGTGGGGATAGGGATGGGGATGGGGATGGGGATGGGGATGGGGATGGGGATGGGGATGGGGATGGGATGGCATGGCATGGCATCACCAGAGAAAGCTGGATTCAAAACTTGACTCCACCTTTTTCTAGCTTGCGTGATTGAAGACAAATGATTATACTCTCTGACCTATGGTTTCCTCATCTGTAAGGTGGGAATAGTCATGCCTGCCTCCAAGGGATGCTGGGAGAATTATAAAAGCTAATATGTAAGGTGGCTAACACAGTATCTAGACCAGAGCCAACAGTATGAGTGCTGAGTGCACCCTCCCCACGTGGAAGGGAACTGTGCTAGACACTTCCCCAGATGCTGTCTCATTGCACATGGCTTCTTTAGGGTTTCTCTTTGGAAATGCTTTTATTCTCAACAAGGCTAATTAGCCAGATTTCTGAGACCCTGAGCTTCATGCGGTTTTTCAGATTGCTTTTCACTCTTTGGAGGCCCAGAAACACTGCAGCCCAAAAAAAGGAAGGATTCTTGCCAGATGCTTGGGGTGGGGCAAGAAACCTGGGTACTCCACTTAGGATGGAGTCATTCAAGGATTGAGAAAACTACAGGCCTGAGGCTCAGTTTTAAGGTTCTGATCAAAATAAGCTGAATACTTTGCTAGAATCTCACAATAGGCCAGCCCTGAGTCGAAGCTCCTCAGCCCTGCTTTTGATTTTGTCAAATGTCCCCAGAATAAGATATGCAATTCCCTCTTTCTTGTCTCCTTGACACAGAGGAGAGCGGATGTATCCCAGGGCCCCTTCCTCCACCTGCATTGGGGTAGAAATGAAGATCATTTGCTCTCACTTGTGCTACTTATTATAGAAATTTCTGCTTATGGGTTTTCCACACAGAACCAGGCAGAGGCCTGGCTCAGTCACTTAGCCATCTGACCTTGTTGGGTAAGTTGCTTTACTTTCTCGATCTTCAGTTCATTTATACAGCACTATTAATATATACCTCTCAAGGCTTCATTCTTAAGTGGAATTTATTGACTTCCTACCTTGTCCTAGACACAGGAATGATCTTAACAGCTTCACAGGCATACAATCTCTGGGGTTGCATGGGGCCCTGGGCTCAGAAAGGCCGTCCTGAAATTCTTAATAACTTTTGAAGGAAGGGCTCCACAGTTTCACCGAGCACTAGGCCCTGCAAATTTTGCAGTTAGCCATGGCTCTAAGAGAAAGGAATTAACCTTATGCTCCTTTCACAGATGAAAAAATTGTGAGGCAAAAAGGTTCAGCAACTTGTCCAAGGTCACACAGCTAGTAAGTAGAACAAGAAGGAAATTTCTTTCTGATTCATGCTTTTAAATCCTCCTGGATAGTGCCTTCCTGGTGAGAGAATTTAATTAAAAGCCATTACTCTGTGCTTTATAACTCCAAGTGGCTTCCATCCTCTGCCATTCTCACTTCCCATCGCCCAAGTAGTCTTTATCCTCATGCTGATGACTCTTAGCCCCGCAGCTTTTAAGAAATGATCCCCATGTTGCAGATGCATATGATTCTTGAATATAGTGCCTGGGAGGCCTGCCACAGTTAAGTCACTGCCCGGTCAGTTAGGTTGAGGCAGGATCTCTTTCAAGGGAGCAGAGATGGAGTATCAATGCCTGCTATCAGTCATCAGGGAAAGTAACAAGACATCAGAAAGTAGATGGAGCCTCCAGTTTCTAGGACAGTCTCCCATCCTGGAAGAGACTCATCTCTCTGTTTGTTTTTATTTTTATTTTTTTAATTATTTTAAGCAATTAATTTTTTTTTTGAGACACGGTCTTGCTCTGCCGCCCAAGCTGGAGTGCGGTGGTACCATCATGGCTCACTGTAGCCTCTAACTCCTAGGCTGAAGCAATCCTCCTGCCTTAGCTTCCCAAGTAGCTGGGACTACAGGCATTTGCCACCATGCCTGGCTAATTGTTTTTCACTTTTTACAGAGAGGGGGTCTTGTTGCCCAAGCTGGTCTCAAACTCCTTGTCTCAAGAGATCCTCCTGCCTCAGCCTCCCAAAGTACTGGGATTACGGGTATGAGCCACCATGCCCAGCCTCTCTGTTTCTTGACTACAGAATAATCAGGATGATCTCAGGCCTATTTGCAGGGGTTAGGAGTGAGCAGAAAGTTGGAGGTGTGGTGTATGAATTGTGAGAAACCCCCTCCAGGAAGCAGCAGGGCTAGAAAGCCAAGGCAAGAGAAGTGGCTATAAAAGGGCCCTGGGCCAGTGCACCACGCATCTGGGGGTAGAGGGCAAGTCTCCTAAGACAGAGTTAGAAATAGATCAAGACTTGGCTTGTGAATCTGGACCCAAGACAGGGACAAGGGTTGTGGCAGGAGCAAGAATCTATGCCTCCTAGACTTTATTTCATCCTTCCTTTTATTTTTCCCCTGTGTTTTGCCTCTGTATTTGGTGTTGATGGTTGTTATTTTATACAGTAAGTGTATGCCTAAAGGAACCAGGAGAATGGGCCTATAACCTTGCTTGGGCCAGACTCTGAAAGGAGGGAGAGGAGCATATGCCCAGGTAACTTTTTGCAGTATGTGGTGGTGGCAGCTGAAATGAATTGAGGGAGGACAAGAAGAAAGCAATGGTCAAGAGGAAGAGAGGTAAGTCGTTTAGATGGCTTCGATGGCCCGTGGAGTGGTGGTGCTTTTTAATGTGCATGGTAATCACCAGGACATTTCCCTGTCAAAAGGCAGACCCTGATTCAATAGGTCTGAGTGAGGCCTGAGACTCTGCCCTCTAACAAGCTCCCAGATGAGGCTGACACTGCTGGTCCACAGATTGCACTTGGAGCTGCAGAGCCCTAGGAAAGGGCCAGCCCCTTAGACAATGGGGGCCACCATTCAGATCGGTTTTACAGCAGAGATTCGAACAGGAGTAAAAATGCCAACAGGCTATTTTCAGGGAAGAACACATCCCTTCAAAGACTAAAAGCTCTTGGGGTTATCACTACAAAGAGAATGGCTAGGAGGAAAGAGAAGTTGAATATTTTCATTGACAGGTTACATTTCCTTTTTGTGAAGGTCAGTATGATCTTAGGAATGATCAAAAGCCCCAGCTGTGTCTCGTATCCCTCCCACCTTACCAGGGTGTCTGAAATTCCCACCATCAGGAAAAATGACTGTATTTTACTAGGGCACCATTTCCTCAAGAATGTTCCACTCAGAAGAGTTGTTCTAAGGTATTAATTGATAGAAAAAATAAGAGTTCTGTGACGATATTAATTAGGGCAACATTGATGCAAATAAAGTGGGATATGATTCTTTACCACAGACTCTTCAGAGCGTGTCCAGTGCTAACATACATTGTGAATAGCTAATATAGGAACCAAACTGCCACAGTATTTCCTAACCTTGTTTGATTGCAGAACTCTGTTTCTGTTTCTCTCTAGCTCCCTTCCTTTCTTCCTTTACTAGCAATTAAATAAGTGCCAATTACATCAACAAAATGCTGAAGGTGGGAAGGTTCCTTATTTGTTTCAACAGAGATTTATCTTTTTAAGTATTCAGTATTCATAGCCGGGTAGTGATATAAACACTCATATACTTCCAATATGAATTTAAATTGGTATCAGCTTTTTGAAAAGTTCTTTGGAAGTATGAAGGAAAAACAACAAAAATATTTATAAACTTTAAGACAATATATTAACTTACGTGATTCTAGATTTAGATTTTTTAATTACCCCAAATATAAAATTTTTCCAACAAAGCTTTGGAAATGTTTAAAATTATCTACGAGGGTGTCACTCAGTTTAATACACTCATTTGTCATATAAAATCATCACAAATGTCCATGAAATCATATAGAAGTGTGCTTATGTTATTTTGCTATATCAATTGCAAAAAGTAGCTGCCATTCTTCACTCCTCCTTCTATCTGTGACCTTTGCAAATGACTGGGGAGTCCCATCCCATCCAGAGGTGGTGTCTACTTCCCCACACTGGAATCCAGGCTGGCCTTGTCACTTGCATTGGCAAAGTGTGGCAGTGACAGTGTGCCAGCTCTGGACCTCAGCATCTTCTGGTTCTGTCTTCTCTCCCAGAATCTTGCCACTGCTATGTACACACCCCCAGGCTGTCCTCTTAGGGAATGAGAGACCAAGGATAGGAGTGCTGTGAACCCACCAGCAAGTGAGAGAACCCAGCCAAGGTTGCAGACCCATTAGCAAGCCCCGCTGAAACTAGAGTGACTATGGAACCTTCCAGCTAACCCCTGAACTCATTTGCAATCATAAATGGTCATTGTTTTAATAGGTGGCAATAGATAGTTGATAGAGTTATGATGTAATATAAAAAGAAAAAAAAGCGTAAAATATGTCAACTAATGTGAAATTGTTATAATTATGACCAAAAGAAAAATGATATGAATGAAAATATGATGAATGGCTGTTTTACAACAGCAAGCTTATTAAAATATTGATATATTTTATCTCTCTACATTTCTGCATTTCCAAATTTTCTTTGATGAGCATGCATTACTGTCATCATGTTTGTATATTACACAAATGGTTTATTTAGCAATAATAACTCAGGAGTCTTAGGGATAGTTGGTATCTGCCACATACTCTAGTATCTAGACTAGTCCAAAGTATGTGTTTTAAAAATCATAAAACGCCTTATAATCTGTAAGGTGTTATAGTTTTTACTGTGGCACCTACTTTCATAATTGTTGAGCACTCTAATAAGATGCCACACTTTCTGCTCCAAAATTGGTAGAGTTTTTACATTTTATTTTTGAGTTAAGAATGTATTAACCCTAAAACGCTAACAAATTGACAATCCAAGGATTTGAACAAACTTCCTTACCATTAAGTAATATATATGGCAATAATAAACACAAGCCCTCTGTGTGTCACACAGAAACTTCTCAGGCTAAATAGAGCTGAGCTTTCATCTTGAATGGCAGCTTTGGAAAAAGGATCATGCACAGAGCAACCATTGAACTGTTTACAGAGAAGGTAATGTGAGGAGCACACCCTCCCAAGATAAAAGCTGCTTTATGGTATATAAAGAAAGTCCTTTGAAAGTACTGCTAAAATTGAAGAGACTTTGTAGTTCTCCAACAACTTTCATGCAAGCATCTGAAAACATTTTACTGACATACACCTTTAATCTGCACAGCCGCCTGAGGGTAAGTAACAAGTTTTACTATCCCCATTTTGCAGGTGGAAAACCCAAGGTAGAAAGGTACCAGAAAATGCCACATGCTAGTTAAATTTATTTGGTTGCAAATAACATAAAAAACTAGCCAATCAGGGAATAATAATTTATATTATACAAATATTATATTTATATAAGATATAATTATATATAATATATAGTATTGTATCTTATATTATTAAACAATGACAAAATTAAAAATAAAAATAAATGTGTGTGTGTATATAAAGGACAAAGGAAGGCACATGGCTATGAAAGAAGGAAGTTGGGCAACTCGAGGGCTCTAGGTTCTAGCAATCAAGTCTCTTCAGGGTGCTGGTGTCTGGATGAAGCTGTTTCAGCCATTTGTTACTCCATTCAAAACAAATTGTAAAGAGAGAATGCCTGAGCACCAGAGTTGAGTCACAGGCCAATTCTATGAGTGCTGTACACTACAGTTGAGGAGTAACTCCCCAGGAGAAAGAAAGTCAATGTCAGGTAGACACAAAACTATGCATATTTTAGAATGAATGAAATGTAACAGGAAGTTCTTTTTGATTTTTGCCTATCTATCACTTATTACTCAGCCCTTTTCAGAATGAACCAGGAGTTTCTAGGAACCAGGAAGGAAGGGAGCAGTGTTTTTGAGCCTAGCCCATGGTCTGGCACAGAGTTAGTTCAATAAAAGAACACTGAATAACTGAATGAATGCATGAACCACTTGGCATCTGTGCAGTCCTGAATGAAATACTGATAATAGCATTTGTCTCCCATTTTTCTCCCATGGGTTTGCACACACTTCAACACCCTGGGCCATTTCCAAGTTTCTTTTCAACAGGCGTTAAGTGCCTACCCACCCAGTCCTCCATGTCCTAGAGTTGTTCCTTCTCAGGGATGTGTTCAGAACTGGTTCTAGTGTGGCCCATCCAGAATTCATTATATCTTCTTCTTTTTTATTTTTTTAATTGAGACAGAGTCTCACTGTGTTACCCCAGGCTGGAGTGCAGTGGCACAATCTTGGCTTACTGTAACTTCCACCACCCGGGTTCAAGCGATTCTTGTGTCTCAGTCTCCCAAGTAGCTGGGACTACAGGCACGCACCACCACACCCGGCTAATTTTTGTATTTTTAGTGGAGTCAGGGTTTCACCATGTTGGCCAGGCTGGTCTCGAACTCCTGACCTCAACCTGCCTCGGCCTCCCAAAGAGCTGGGACTACAGGCATGCCACTGTGCCCGGCCAGAATTCATTACTCTTCAAACCTGAGGCCTCTTGTGCCTCAGTGTTCTTACTGGTTAAAAGGGAATAGGTAATAATAATTCTATCTTGTAGGGTTGTTATAAGGATTAATGGAGATAATATTAGTAAAGCATTTAGAGTAATCCTGGCACATAGGAAGATACTATTTGTTAGCTGCTATCATCATCATCTTTATAATATTCTTGTTATGGAGCATTGTATATTTAATATCAAGAATTTCTCATTCATGGTTGCCAATAACCCTCAGCACAATCAGGGTTGGTTGTGCTGAGTTGTGCAGAGTTGGTTCTTCCCATATAATGAATGATGAAATGAAGCTCAAGGAATTTAAGTTATCAGCTCAAGGTCCATCAACTGCTAGATGTCATCTTCCACTGCTTATCCCTAAGGACTGTCTTCTTTCTCTTACAGTATGTTACTTCCCAAAATAAAAGGTAAAGAGTGTAGCCAAAAATAGTGAACTTGCAATGGTGGAATTCCAGGCACGTAGAAGGAAATGTCCCTCCTGGTGACCCACAATCCATCTTGAACAGGAAATCTTGCTGGCCATGAGCTCCATTCATGATATACCCAAGCATTTTCCCCACTAAACTTCAAGTTCCTTCAGAGTAGAGAGGTGCTCTCCCAGCACCCAGCATGGTTCCTGGCATTTGGTAAGTCTAATACATGCACTGTACAGCCAAGATACTCTACAGGAGAAAAACATCAAAAATTCTCCAGAATATGTCTATGGCTTATATCCTATGGAGAGTTACCTTTTCTTCTCCCTTTTTGAGATCTCTTTTTTTCCCTTTTCCTCCTTAATGAAAGAAGGAATATTTATTTGGCTTTTTAAATGTTAATCTTCCTTACTCAGCCCTCTCCCTAATCTGGTCATATCTCCGAACCCAGCCTGTCACTCACATGGTCACTTGTCCCATGAACAGTATAAACTCAACATGCCCCAAACCACGTTTATCATCTCCGCCAATTTCTACTCCTCCCAAATTTGTTCCTACTCTTGTAATTTCTGATCTCTCTTGGATGCATCATCCACCAAGCCAGAAACCTCAGGGTCATCTCTCTCCTTCCCATCATACTTCCTCACCCATCCATACGTCAAGTCTGCCAATTCTGTCTCTGTAATCATTCTTATATTATTTCTCTAATCTCTCTTTCCACCACTTTTAGGCTACCATCACCTCTAGCATGGACTACTGCTACAGTCCTTTTATCTTGTGTCTTTTCAATCTAATTTTTATTGAGGCAAAGTACCATTTTTGAGCAGAGATGAACTAGCCATTCACCAAACTGGTTTTTCTTTCCTCCAAAGCAACATCTTGGCTAGGCAGGAGACCAAAATATGCCACCTCAAAATATGCCTCTTTGATATAGTATTATCTTGAGCCAATTATTTGGGAACCCTGCAGACACAAGAGAATCTCTGAAAAGAGAGTAGACGTTACCCTTTTGCAGGGAAAATTTGCATCTATAAAAAAATCTCCATATGCAAGAATCTTAGTTGGTTTTATGCTGCTGTAACAGCATACCACAGATTAGGTAATTTATAATGGACAGAAATGTATTTGGCTTATGGTTCTGAAGTCTAGGAAGTCTTCTTGTTGCATCATTGCATGGCAGAGGGCATCATCAGTACATAGCAAGGGAACAAGAGAGGGGGCTAAACTCATTCGCATGGTCTAAAAACATCTTAAAGGTCCTACCTCTCAACAGTGTTGCATTGGGAATTAAGTTTTCAACCCATATGCTTTGGGAGATACATTCTAATCATAGAAGAGTGTCTCCTTCTTTGTACCAGGAAGAAAAGGATGACTACATCTCTAAAGACTCTTATCAATGGAGAAGGCACTGACTTAATCTGCATAACAAACCTTACCCTGTTTACTGAGCTTTTCCTGGGTATTTCTCCATAACCAGCCTTCCCCACACCTTTTTTCCATTTCAACAGACATGGTATTTAAACCTGAATTCAAAGCCACTTCTGTGAGATTTATTCACTTATCCTTGCATATATCTGATGTATACTTGAAATATACATGTTAATAAACTCCTGAGCCCCTTTCTCTTGTTAATCTATTTTTTTGTTACAGAGGTCTGTCCCAACTAAGAACTATCAAGGGTAGATGTTTCTTCCTGTACAGCTCCATTTCCCAGGCTCCCTTGCTGTTAGCATTGGCAGTGTGACTGTGTTGACTCAGCTCTGGACAGTGGAATGTAGATGGAAGTGATGTACTCATTCCCTGATCTAATCCTTAAACACTTTCTGCACAAGCCTTCTCAGTTTCCTTGCCTCATCTGCTGGCTTGATGTCAATGGCCAGAGTTTGGAAGTCATGACTAGAAAATGGCAGAGCCTATGTCCACCTGCGACTCTGAATACATTCCTTGAACAGACCCCTTGCTCTTACCAATTGAAATACATGTCACTGAAAAATAATCTTGCACAGCATTTAATCACTGAGGTTTCAGAATTTCTCTGTTGGAACACCTACCCTTGCCTTAATTAATATATCTTTCTAAAGCAGAAATTTGACCTGCTTAAAACCTTCTAATCTCTGCCTATCATCTTTGAGATCAGGTCCAGAGTTATCTGGCTCCGGCCCTATCAAACTCTCTAATCATTTATCTCACCATTAAAGTCACACATTTCACTTTCCAGTAACATCCAACTACACGTCAGTTCCCCCATTCCCCAGGATAGCTCATATACCTTTCTATCTATCCCTGACTAACTTCCTGGTGTTTGAAACACCCTTACTATTTTTTATCATAAACTTAGTTTATATTAACCTTCAAAGATTAATTCAAGTGCCATCTACTCCAGGAAGCCCTCTCTTCCTCTCTCAATCCAGGCTAAGTTCCCCTCCCCTGAGTGCTTCCCTCTACCTCAATGTATCACAAATTATATTACAGTCCTGATAATGCAGCTCTCTGGTCTACCTGATAGGCTGCAAAGGAGCAGCACCAAGAGGGGTCTATGACTTGTCCATCATGATATCCTGCCTCCTACCCTAGAGCCAGTATACTCTATAGAGTCACCCCTCAGTATCTGTGGGGAACTGGTTCCAGGATCCCCAGTGGATACCAAAATTCACAGATGCTGAAGTTCCTTATACAAAATGCCATCGTATTTGCACATAACCTATGCATTCTCCTATATACTTTAAATAGTCACTAGTTTACTTACATTACTTAAGACAATGTAAATTCTATGTAAATAGTTATTATATTGCATTGTTTAGGAAATAATGTCAAGGAAAAAAGTTTGTACAGACACAACCATCCTTTATTTTTTCAAATATTTTTGATTCATGGTAGGCTGAATCCACGAATGTGGAACCCACAGATACAGAGGGCCAATGGCATATGCTTATTGGATTGAAACCTTTCTCATTCCAGCTGACTTATGTCCTAGGCTAGTGATCTGCTTTCTTTGTTCACAAGGCTTCTTTGCTATGCAAAGGTACTCCAAGAAAGTTTTAATCTTTTTTTTTATCTTTTTGGAATCTGTCTCTTTCATTTGGGTCATGTAAGTATGCCAGAGTTTACCAGTTTCAGGAAAATGGTAAATAGAGAGTGGGATAGTAAGGAAACAACAGCCTCAGCATTCATTTCCCATCCCTAGTGCTGCTGCTATATGTAAGTCCTTACTCAGTTGGCATAGACCACCAAAAAATGAGTGACGATGCTAGCAGCCCCCCGTCCTCTGTATCAGCTCAGCCACAGGGTTTCTGAGGCCACCACACTCAGTACTCAGCCCTCCCAGGCCCCCATGAAGGCACCTCCTTCTAGGAACCCATCTTCCAGCTGGAGCAACTCACTGAACACTCCCACAACCATGCCCTTGACCCAGTCCCTGAAGACCTAACCAACTCACTGATTATGCCTCCACTGTCTTCAAATCTTGAAAAAGTCCCTCTCTACTTTAGACTATACCTCAATGGGTCTGTACCTTCAAGCAAAAAAGAAAAATGTTGTGGGATTAGAACTGAGTTGGGGAGAGGCTTGCCTGTTTCTTTCTTTTTTTTTTTCCCCCATCCTTGAAACTCAAAAAGGCTATTAACTTCTTTCATGAAGAGTAAAGAAAATTCAGATCTTAGTAACACAGACTTGTTAACTTTGCTAGGAGAGGAAGGAACGCCTTTCCTTCATTTCCAGTAACTCTATGGCATCAAATGAGACACAGATAAGTTTCTCAACCACCCTGCTACAGCGCCCATCATTTTGAATGCCTACTATGCCACTAGTGCTAACAAGGCCCTGTCCGTTGAGGAGTTCATGGCATGGTTGGGAAGCTAGATGACTAAATGCAAAACCAAAGTACAGTGCGTTAGGGCTGGGCTAGAAGGAGTTCAAGGTGTGTAGCAGATGCACAGAGCAGGCAACTAGCCCCACTTGGCAAATCAGAAGAGGCAACAGCAGAGCTGAGCCTTGGAGAACCAGGAGCAGTTGTCAGGTAAAGCAGGGAGGCATAGTAGAAGAGGTGTTTCTTGTTTCCTTTCCATTTACGCTATAAAAATATTCTTCCCCTTGTTAAATAGAGATGAAAGGGAAGCATTAAAGATCTTTAGTGTAAGCATGACATGATGATGGGGCAAGCTGGACAGAAGCCAAACTGGAGGCAGGGGAACTAGTTCCAAGGCTCATTCTCTGCTTTCCTCCAGGATGAGCTGTCTGCTAATTATCTCCTGCCCATGAAGCCACAGGCCCAGAGGCCCATAATGACACAGCACTGAGGGGTCCCTGCTTTTACTAGAATTATTCCTGATAAGCTTCACTTGACAGAAGACTTGGCTTCCCCAGTCTCTGATTCTTTTGTAAATCCCCAGAATTCAACTAAGGTCTCTGCCCTGGAGCTTTTGTAAGCTGATCTCAAACCCAAAAACACCCCCCTTGACTGACAATCCTCTCAGGGTGGAACCAAGAAGAAAGATATTAGTCTAAAGGGAAAAACCCACAGAGGCATGGAGTTCCCCTTGGCTAAAGGAAAAAGCATGTGCACAGTGGTGTGGCTTAAAGAATGATAGTACTCCTTGACCTTCAAGGGTTGGGCTCAAGTTCATGGTTCTTTTAAGGCTGTCAGAAGCCACAGTGAGTCATAACGCTGTTTGTCCTGGGAGGAGGGAGGGTGATGGGGTGTGAGTCACAACGGAGAGAAGGACTCACTAGTATGGGGCTTGGGAAAGGCCCGTAATAGTGACGTCTTCCAGTGTCTTCTGAGTTCTCATGTTTCCTTTCAGACTTTGAGCTGGGCAAGGGGCGAAAAAGGGGACTATATGGTAGTCTCTTATTAATTAGAATGGATAACTAGAGAATAAGGGAAAAACTAACAAAAAAGGCCAGAGACAAGACTGGCCCTGGGGAATGTGAATTCCAGGTCATTTATAAAATAATAATAATAAATCAAGGTTGTCTTTTGTCTTTCCTGCAAAAAAAATGTGACTTGGTAGCACCACGAGTGTATGAGTGATCTTGGGCCCAAATCTGTCTGCATGGGATCCCTGTTCTGCCTCTCCTTAGACGTGTGATCATACGCAAGTCGTTGAATCTCTGTGGACATTAAGCAACATATTCTTGAACAATTACTATGTTCTGGGCACTCGACTTGGTATCTTATTTGCATCATCTCAAATAATTCCATCCCTACTTTAAAACAATACATTCATTTCAGGGTTGTTGGGAGGATTAAAGGAGATAGCCCAGTGAAAGAGTCTAACTGCCTGGCACAATATAGGGATTAAATAGGTACCATGTCCCCTTAACCTGCTCCTTTTTAAGGAAGTGTGCCTATCTTGGGCGTTAGGCTTTCTATAAGCATGTTTACTTGAGTGTAGTTGAATTTATACATGTCTCCCTGGCAAAAGGGGAAAAAAATGCCTTTGATTTTGGTCATTCTCGCACTGTATAGCTTTATGTGCATTTTTTCACCAACATTATCTTCACACACATCATTTTAATTATGATTTTGTTACCTGTGATATCTTACAACTATTAGCACAGAACATACTAGTGAAAAGCCAATCTGTTTAAGCAACAAAGAGAACTGGGAATAACTCTGTTTTTAATGTACCTATTCCCATGAGTTCTTGAAGTTAGGAAGAAACAGCTCCCCTGGCTTTGCTGCCCTGACCTTTGGGTTGTACAAATCAAGTCGGCTTGGCACAGGAAGCAGCACTCAAATCCAGATTCTAACAAACCGGAAGTGAGGTGGAGAGAGATAGGATAAGCCTCTCCTTCGGGCACCAGAGTTCTTAATTGAAGTAGGGATTCCTTGGGTAAATCTTGTATCTTACAGAAGATAAAATTATATAATAATTGAAAACTATAGCTCCCTAAGCTATGAGGATACAAAGGCACAAGAATAATATAATGGATTCTGGGGACTTGCGGGGAAGCTTAGGAGGGGTTGAGGAACGAAAGACTGCATATTGGTTGCAGCGTACATTGCTTGGGTGATGGGTGCACCAAAATCTCAGAAATCACACCTAAATAACTTACCCATGCAACCAAACACCTCCTGATCCCCAGAAACTATTGATAAAAAAAGCCAAAATATGAACAAACCCTAATGTAAACTATGGACTTTAGTTGATTATGATACATCAATGTAGGTGCATCAATTGTAGCAAATGTATCACTCTGGTGAGGGATGTTAATAATTGAGGAAGCTGTGGTTTGTGGGGGTAGGAGAGATATGGGAAATATCTGTACCTTCCTCTCAAATTTGCTGTGAAACTAAAACGCCTCTAAAAAAAAAAGAAAACATATATATAAAAAAAGATATGGCTTGGTAGCATCACATAAAATTTAGTATTCGACCCAAGATTAGAGCCTTCTTTGGCTCCTTCGGATCAATAGCTTAACCCATATAGGAGTTATCAAGCCTTCATACAAGAAAAATATATATATACACACACACGTATAAAATATATTTATATAAACAACTTTATATATATATACACACACACACACACACACACACACACACACACACAACTACATCTCCCTAAAAGCTGGGATTGTGGAATTGCTTTTGTTGAATTATCCATGGATTAATAGTACATAGAAATTGCTCTGAAAATTACTAATAAATGAAGGAAGGAAGGAGAGAGAAGACTGAATTTCAACTACACAGGACCTTTGCTAATTCCTGTCTGTCCAAGAACTAAGAGAGATATAAGAACATTGGCTTGGCAATCAGACTTTCCTTGGGTAAAATCCAGGCTCTGCCACTAATCATCTCTGACTAAGGCATGTCACCTCTCTAGGCCTCCATGTCCTCATCTGTAAAACTGGGATATTAATACCTCTGTAGTGTGTAGGATTATATCATCACTCAATTGATTGATAGATAATAGATTATTCATACGAGAGTATCCAGCACGATGTCTGGTACACAACCTGCACACTCAATGCTTTTTTCCCAAAGTTCCTAAAATGGGAAAAACTTCATCCTTTTTATTTCCTCTACATCTCCCTCTTATTTTTCCCTATTATAGAAGACTTATGCTGTATGTGCAACTAAATAAAAAAAAAAATTTGAGAAAAAGTTAAGACCCTATCAGAAATTTAAGACTTCTTTACCAAAGAAGGAATTGTTTCTCCTTCTCTTTCTGGCTCCTCCTCCTCCTCTACCTCCTCCCCCTTCTTCATGCATTCATTAGAGTAGTTATGTCTGTTCACAGACCCCCTAAGGTAAACTGGAATAATGGGCAGCTTACGGAAGCAGGTTAATACAAAGGGTTAGGGACCTGGGTTCTGGAGCAGATAGCCTAGGCTTGACTCTTGGTACTGCAAGCAATTAGTTTTGTGATTCCTGATAAATTAATTAACTTCTCTGTGTCTCAGTTGCTTCATCTGTAAAATAGAGGCATTAACATTTACCTCCTAAAGTTGTTAACTGTTGACATAAGTAAAGCACTTAGAATAATGGCTGGCTCATAGTAAACTCTCACTGAATCTCATATCTTTATTGCTGATCTAATTTTGGAGATAAATATGTAGGCTCAGAGAGACTATGACTTACCCAAGGTCACACAGCAAGAAGTAACAGCAGATCTTACATCGTCTGCCTCAGCTCTCTCTTCCTTTTCCACCACACTGCAAAGGAAAGAAGGTTTATTGTGACGTCTGTAAGCAAAGACAGCCTTGAGAGCCAATATGAATTATGTGCAGCTTTAACACTAGATTGCTTGTAAGTTCCCAGAGCAAGGAGCTCATCTTAATCCACTTGATATTCCTAGTACCCACACAGCATCTGGGACAGAGTAAACACCAAGGGAATATTGGAGGAATGAATGAATAAAAAACATCAATGAGAAAATAGGGGTTGGGAATTATAATACTATTGGGAATTTTAGACTCTGATGAGTGAACCAGGTCCTGCCCATTAGTGGAGGTGTATGGAGGTGGGGAGGAGATGAAGGGGCATTTAGATTTCTAAGGGAAAGGAGGAACAAACAGACCCACCCTTAGAAAATGCAGCTCAGGTATTTCAAACACCTAATGTAAATGATGAGTTACTGGGTGCAGCAAACCAACACGGCACATGTATAGATATGTAACAGACCTGCACGTTGTGCACATGTACCCTAGAACTTAGAGTATAATAATAAAAAAAAAGAAAATGTGGTACATATACACCATGGAATACCATGCATCCATAAAAAGGAATGAGATCACGTCCTTTGCAGGGACATAGATGGAGCTGAAAGCCATTATCCTCAGCTAACTAATGCAGGAACAGAAAACCAAATACCGCACGTTCTCACTTGTAAGTGGGAGCTGAACAATGAGAACACAGGGACACAGAGAGGGGAACAACAAACACTGGGGCCTCTGGGGGGTGTAGGGGGAGGGAGAACATCAGGATAAATAGCTAATGCATGTGGGGCTTAATACCTAGGTGATGCGTTGATATGTGCAGCAAGTCACCATAGCACATGTTTACCTATGTAACAAACGTACATGTCCTGCACATGCATCCTGGAACTTAAAAGAAAAAAAGAAAAGAAAAAAGAAAATGTAGCTCAGGTATAATCTATTGGAAGGGAGCGGGGCACACTGTCTTTGATTTGGGAGATCAAGCCTATTAAGGGGTGTGTCCTGGAAGAGGGGCAGTATATTATTGAACTTACTGCTTCCTATAAGACCTCACCCCTGACTAATCCCCTTCTCCAAACCCCACTTCTGCCCAAGCTTGGAAGGAAATGGCTTGGTAGAAAATGAGCAGAAATAAAATGGCTGGTGAGGAGGAGCAATTGCCAGAGTTGCCCTAGTGAGGAGAGGTCTTTTCATGGAAATAGCTAAGTTCTCTTCTCAGGCGAAGCTGTAGTAACCATCATATTTGTGACTCACAAGGCATATTCCTGTCTGCGATCTCACTGGAGCCCCTCAAGACTGCTACAAGGTAGGAAAGGTAGAGTCTATTAGCCTCGTCTCACAGGTGTGAACACTGAGGACCACAGAGCAAGGCAAAGCTGCCCCAGGTCACTGAGGGAGTTGGGGTCAGGAGCAGGCCCTGACACAAGAATCAAATTCATACCCTGGCCTCCCCATCTAACTCATTCAGGTTCTAGATTGCACACATGGCAAGTTCCATGCCCAGGGGCCTAGACGGTTCACAGGATGCCTCCCCCAGCCTTATACCGCCATCCACACAATCCAGGTTTGAGAGTCAGAGATGGATTCTGGGTCTCTGTCTCTCAGAGCTGGCAGGAGTCTTGTTTGAGCTACTAATGTGATAGCCCTTTGTAAACTTTTGTCAGTCTGGGTATTACAAGTGGTCAGCAGGATAGATTGTGGCAGCTGCCTGCATTCAATCCACAGTTGGCCCCAAACTGACTGTATGGCCTTGGGCAAGTTACTTAATCTCTCAGGGCATCAGTTTCCTCATCTTTATAATGGAGATAATCATAGCGGATTTTGACTTTATTTAAAGATTTCTCTAAGCAGTTCAAAATTTCCATGATAGATTGGAATGCCCCATCAGGTGATGAGTCCCCATCACTAGAAGTTTCCCAAGAGGCTGGTGAATGCAAGCATCTGGATTTAGGGAGAACACTGTAAGGCTGAAGCAAGCACTGGATAGGCTCAGAGAGGCTATGACTTACCCAAGGTAACACAGCAAGAAGTAAGAGCAGATCTTTCATCGTCTGCCTCAGCTCTCTCTTCCTTCTCCACCACACTGTAAAGGAAGGGAGATGGGCTCACCAGTTCCCAATCTCCCAACTAACTTAGAATCACCCAAGGGATATTTAGAAAATGCAGTTCCATTGGCCCCACTCCTGGGTATTCTGATTGCAAACATTTCAGATGGAGCTCAGAAACCTGGGTTATTCTTAGGAGTACCCAGGTGTATTGGTTTGCTAGTGCTGTTGTAACAAAGTATCACAAACAAGGCGGTTTAAACAACAGAAATGTGTTGTCTTATGGTTCTGGAAGCTAGAAGTGGGAGACCAAAGTGTAGATAGAGTTGGTTCCTTCTGAAAGCCATAAGGGAAAATCTGTTCCACGGCTCCCTCCTAGGACCTGGTGGTTCCCATCAGTCTTTGGCTCTCCTTGTCTTGAAGATGCATTACCCTGATCTCTGCCTTCATCTTCATATTAGATTCTCCTTGTGTTCATGTCTGTCTCTGTGTCTCAATTTCCTCTTTTTATATGAACACAGTCACGTTGGATTTGGGTCCATCCATTCTAACGGCCTCATCTTAACTTGATCAGCTGTAAAGACCCTATTTTCAGATAAGGTCACATTCACAGGTTCTGTGGACTGGGACTTCAACATCATTTTGAAGAACACAATTCAACCCATAACTTCAGCCAGGGTTAAGAATCAGTGCTGTTGACCAGAGCTTTTTCAAATGGAGTGTACCCAGGAACCTCCAGGAGATCCTAGAAAACAGCAGGTTCTGACTCGGTGGCTCTGCGGGCCCTGAGTCTGCTTTTTGAACTGGAGATACTGTTGGAGCAGGTCCAGGGACCACAACGAGATCCTTTTCAAGACAAGATTCCTACAAAACCCAGAAATGATTGCCAAGCAAATAGAAGCTCTTTGCTCCATTTCTCTAGTGAAAAGAACTGCCTTTATTCTTTTTAATCTCCACTTGCAAGTAGAACTCAGATCCTTCATGCCTGTCCCGGAGGAGGAGCCCAGGAGGGGCACCCATCCTAAGGTGGAAAGAAAGGATTGGGCTCTCAAGCTTTGGAAGAAGTTTCCCTCATCCTTATCCTCCCTACCCCAGCTTTGACCTGTTTAATCTTGTCTATTCAGTCATTTTCTTATTCTTGTCGTTTTGTACTGTCCTCCCCCTGCCCCACCCAACGCCCACCCCCAACGCCATCATCTGTTAGCCCAGCTCAGCCTGAGCGCGGGTGGGTGCAGCTGGCTCCCAGGAAGTGACCGCCGTCAGGTCACCTGCGCCGGCCAAGTCACAGGCCAGAACCTCGCAGCCCAGCAAGGCCAGCCCGAGTCGCGAAGAAGTCCAGCCTCGCCCCTGGAGCCAATCTGCAGCCGCCGGCGGGGAAGGTGCGCCCCGCCCCCGCACGCGCCGCCCCAGGCCGGGGTAATCGCGTCCACAATGGAGTGCGCAAAGCCGGGTACAAAGACGACAGCTGCGTGGCAGGGCCTGCGAGGCCGTAGCAGAGGGGCAGCCACCCGCGCCTTGCAGCCTCCTTAATTTATTTATAGATGCGCTCGCTCTTTATGTGGCCTAGTTAAGGACGCCTTTCCATAAATACATAGAAACGGATGTTATTCTAGAGCCCACCAATAATAGACACAGCTGTAGAGGTTGGTGCTGAAATTAACAGCCCCACCTTGCTGTCCCCCCAAAATGGAAAATAAAATTAAAAGCATGTGTTTTGATTTGGCTTGGGTATATGCAAGTGAGTAATCCTATTTAACAATGAGATGTTTCTTTTAAAACGAAGGAAGAATGTCTTAGCAAACAACATTTTGGAGCAAGGCTATACCTTCGCTAATCAAAGTTGCCTTGTATCTGGCCCGCGACTCTCACCCTTAACTAGGAGCATCTGTTTAACCCAAACACAATCCTCTTCTTCCCCAGGCCACACGTGGTTCATTTCTTCACAAAATATGATTTGCCAAACACAATTCCGGTTCTTTCTGATCCACCCACTTGTTTGGGGCGTTGGCCCTATAACCGCTCTTTGGAGTCTAGGGGCTCAGAAAGAATCAAATCATTACTAAGCTGTGAAAGCGTCTCCAGCCTGTATCCCTTTGTTATTTCTCCCAGTTTGTTCGACAGACCCTTAATTCTATTATCTGGTTGTAATTTGGTTCTGTGTCTCTCCAACATTCTTTCCTTTATTCTGCCCTCTTTCTTTGTAATCGATTGACTCATCTGTAATTGGATTTTCTCTGGCTCTTACCAGCTATTAAAAGTAGCTATGTGTGTGTGTATGTGAGTGAGTGTGCTTTCTAACTAGGCCACACTTTCCAACGCCTTGCAATCTTTAATCTTGCTCCGAGTTTCTAAGTGTGAATTCAATTCCCTGATTCCTTGTGAGGCGTCAGGGAGTTGCAGAAAGGATACAAGCTTTAGAAGCAGTTTGGTCTCATTTGTTGTGTTTAAGGCTGACATTTATCAAGCTCATACTATGTGCCAGGCATTCTTCCAAGCACTTTACAGGCATTAATAATCCTTACACCTCCTTTTAGGGCAGATACTCTTATTACTCCATTTTACAGAAAGCAAGGAGACAAATGGGCTAAGAAACTTGCCAAGGTCAGAGCTTTTGAACACGATGCAATTTTTCTAAGTTCTCTTCATTTCGTATCTGGGTGACCTTGGGCACAGCTTCTTATTTCTGCCTCTGTTTCCACATCTGCAAAATGACTAAATGTTGGTTTCTCTCACAGGGCATTTGTTAGAATGTACTGAGGGCACAGTGCCTGGTTGTCAGTGGGGATTAAACACACAGTCAATCCCAGCGCTGGGACAATGCAAGGGAGTCCAGTAACCCCTGAGCTGTGTATTAGAGCAAAGACTAAATAAGGGAACCCTGGGAGCAAGAGTACAGAAATAGAGCACTGCTCTTAGACGCTTATAAAGCCACTACAGTCTTTGCTTTAGAGGAACTCAAACAGGAACCAAGCAGATCACTTTAGAGAATCATTAGAAAGATTCTGCTGCTGACAAGCAATGCAATTTTTGAGAGTCACTTCCTCTCTGGAGCCTCCGGGTTTCCCAAATGTAAAAGGATGGGGGGAGATGGCTGATCACTGAGATCTCTTCTGTAACTATCTCTGGGGACAGGTTTGGTGCTGTTACCTCAAGGCTGGATCAACCCTGCCACAGCAAGTGAGTGCTTACACACTTCTTAGCTTCATGTCATAGAATTCTTTAGCTGACACCACAAATGCATAAAGTAGATACTCTTATCTTCATTGCACAGATGGAGAAACTGAGCCACAGAGTCACCAAGTAACTTGCCCAAAGTGGCATGGAAGTATTAGGACAAAGATTCAAACCTTGTTCTCTCCACTAAGGCCCAGCCCTGCCCATTTCTCGTGTGGTTCTCAGGTAAAGATAGAGATGGGGTGGTGCAGACTGCAGGTGGTGAGTTAGGCACTGGGAAGGAATAAATGACTAAGGAACAATGGACGTGCCAGACCGACACCACGAGTAGCTTGTTACTTGACCATCATTTACTTTGTGTAAACTTATGACATCCATTTTTTAAACAATCTAATAGATGATTTTGCAAGGCTGTGGAATGACATAATGAATACGAAACACTTAGCATACATAACACCTGGGCCTCATTGTCTCATAACTCTCCAATCATGTGAAGTATTATAATAATTATTATTGGAATGAATGTTTAAATACAGTCTGTGTGTGCAAAGGTATACAGGGATTTTAAATATAATTACCAGATTTTTTATATCAGATTAAGATCTATTTTTTTAAGTCAAACTTTCAAAATCAGTCCTAAAAATTATAAACAGAATTGGTTCCACCTCACACGCCTCTCTCTACCAGGTCCTCATGCTGTTCAGGGGGACACAAAACCCAATTTTGACTGTCACTCAAGGGGTGCGGTGAGGAATTAACCTCTACTGCAAAACTGCAGAGTAGTATAATTTCATAACTTCAAACATCTGGCAAACTCCACAGGTAGTATTTGCAAAAGCAATTTTGCAATGACCGCTTTTGTTATCGCTTAAGTCTTTTTGAGTTTTCCTTGGGAAATCTCCAACGTTTAACATTCTGCAGATTTAGAGATTTAATTCTCAATTGTCCCAAAACCGCATGATCCCAAATGTAACACTCCTTTTCAGATTTAAACAACATGTGTGTATTAACCTTGACAGCTCAAAAATATAACCTAATTGGACCACAGTTGTATAGACTGATCATTATAGTATTGTTTGAAATAATAAATAGCTGTAAGCAACTTACATATCCAACTATGAAGAGCTGACTCAATAGCTCATGGCATCTTAACAGTACTCTAGTTACCATTAACTAAGGGTTGGAGGAGGCAGGGAATAGGGAGTGACCTCAAATGGATAAGAAATGTTCTGAAATTCAGTAACAGAATTACACAACCTTGTGGAAACACTAAAAACTACTGAACTGTACACTTTAAAGGGGTGAATTTTATGGTATGTGAATTATCTCAATTGAGAAAAAAGTTAGGAAAAAAAGATTGGTATAATTCTGCCCATTAAGAGTCAACAAACTATTATACAAATAAAATTTAAATGATGTTATAGAAATGTACCTATTGACATAGAATAAGATTGAATATATTAAGGGGGGGAACATGTACCAAGTGAGCAAGTAAGACTCATTTTGATGAAAAAGTAATATCTGTGTCCAGATGGATGTAGAATATAAACAAAAGTGTTAACTGGTTATTTCTGAAATTATAGGTGGTTTTTGTTTCTTTTTTTCATCTCTAGGGATATATATATAGGATATATATATAGAGAGATATATATATAGGATATATATATAGAGAGAGAGATATATAGGATATATATATAGATATATATATTCATAGTTGGATATATAAGTTGCTTACAGCTATTTATTATATATATATTTTATTAAGGGAGGGGGAAAAAGGAGAAAACAATTCTAGGAAGAGGAGAGGATAGATGAGAGGATAAGTTTAGACCTTCAACAAAACAGAAGTGGACAAGCTTCAACAATGTGTACAGTGTGCTCCACAATGCATGTTCTGTTCCAGGAAAACCATCATCTGTGGCCACAGGACAAATACACAAGGCTTCAATGTTTACTCGTAGACTGCCCTATCTCTTTCACTTGGATTTAGAAAATGAATAGACAGTTCTCCTGATAAAAGTTACAAACAAAGCCAACTTCATCTGTCAACCTTTTTTTTTTTTTTTTTTTTTGAGACTTTGAGACAGAGTCTTGCTTTGTTGCCCAGGCTGGAGTGCAGTGGTGAGATCTCAGCTCACGGCAACCTCCGTCCCCGGGTTCAAGCAATTCTCTTGCCTCAGCCTCCAGAGTTGCTGGGACTACAGGCACGTGCCACCATGCCCAGCTAATTTTTGTATTTTTAGTAGAGGTGGGGTTTCATCATGTCGGTCAGGCTGGTCTTGAACTGCTGACCTCAAGCAATCCACCTGCCTCGGCTTCCCAAAGTGCTGGGATAGCAGGTGTGAGCCAGTGCACCCAGCCACCTGCCAACCTCTTTTTGATAAACATAACCGAGCTTCACCTGTTATCAAAGACACCCTCTAAGATCTGTGAACAGCAATTTTTTGGTTGGTTATTTCCATATCATTGACATCATATTACAAAATCATTCCTATCAAGAAAGAAAGGAGAAATAAAATGATATTTTCAGAGCATCTGCTATAGATTAGGCATGTTTCAGGCAGTGTTGATGGCCATGTTTACTTGGCACTGACAACATGCCCAGAAGTTGAGCATTGGGACCTATTATTGTCAGAGACACAGAGAGGCTGCTACGCCAGCCTGAGCTCACCTGGCTGCTGATGGCAGAGCCAGGATCTGAATGCCAGTGTGTCTGACTCCCCAGAATCAAGTTCTAAACCTCTACAGCACACCACCCCCACCCCGATCCTTGCTCCCACAAGGTCCTTGTAGCCAACTAATTACCAAAGCACCATAGATTTCTGGAACAGCTTCTGTGAAATAAAATTGATCAGGGCTGCGAGACAACTCACTTACTGAATTGCCAGTGCTCAACCCTGACCTTCCCCATTGAGGATGAAGCCCCCAGCACACACATACTCCATGTGCTAGAAAACATAATACTAGAGGGAGAAGGTGGAAGGGGAAAGGAGAAATAAGGAGGGAAGGCAGCAAGCCTCCCTCCTACTGTGCTCCCTCCCATCCATCCAGGGCTTCCCCTGGCCCCCGCCCCCTCCCCACAGCCCTGCAGTTGGTCCCATTATCCCTTCACCCCAGCTAATTATAGTCACTGATTACCTAACGGCAAGCCCTACTATCACCTGCTTTGGCCTGACAGATTATGCCATCTGGGCCACGTGGCTAGGGTCTGAGAGCCATGAGAGGTCACAGAGAGGGGCAAACGGCTCTGAATGGGAAGAAATGTGTTTACAGCCCTGACAGCTGACTGGGCAATTAAAGGGGCTTTAGCTGTGTGTTCCCAGCTGAAACCCCTCTCCAGGGGCCTCGCCACCTAGTGCTATTAGCTGATGGGATGTGGCTGCATCTCATACCGGTCGGTTCCAAATGTGGACATGCTATGGGACTGCACCCTCTCCTAAAAAGGACAAGAAAAAGGACTCAGAGAAAGCTGTGGGCTCACAGTTGTTTGAGGTCCTTGTTGAGCCGACACCAGAATATACCCTCAGAAGAAATGGCCAGCATTTTGAGAAAGCAGTGTCCAAATACCTTTCTCACTTCCTGTGTTTATTGTACATTACCTTAAATACATGTATGAAACACACTTTATGAAATTGAACTCTATGTGACTTCTATATTAACAACTTTTGTTTCCTTATCAGCAGTGTGTCTGTCTCTAACTTTACTATGCCTGTAAATGACTGTCAATCTTATTAAGATGCAGGTTCTAAATCTGTCTATGTGGGGAAAGACAGGTGAGGTAGAACACAGTTTCAGTATTTCTAAGGAGCTCCTAGAGGAAGCAAACACCACTGGTCCACAGACCATACTTTGAGTAGCCAGGACCTAATTCACTACTGAATAAAATTAAATTAGTGAATTAATATTATATAGAAAACCTACAGATTAGTATTTCTCAAACTGTGTACTTCGGAACGCTAGTTATCCAAGAAAGCTGCCTGCGCTCCAGTAGGTTCTTAGTCAAGTAAGTTTGGGAAGCACTAGGTACTCTGGGTCCCCCTGGGAATTCACAATACACATGATTAGCATATCAGAGCTGAGAAAACCCACAGTGATCTCTTCCACTTTTTTGTGAACAGTTTGCAGTCTACTAAAAGTTTTGTGCTCTATGCCCTTAATGTTTGTTGCAATCCTTGCTGAGTATTTTATACTATCCTGATTGCTTAACCTGTCTATTAATTTCTCCATTTTGAAAATGCCTTCTCAGCCAGCCAAAGTTATTCACATGAAACACACACACGCACATGCACACACACTGGAAAGAAAGGCTTTGAGACTTCAGAGCAATGCCCATATGAGGTACTGCCATCAAATGCAGGCATTTTGGCAGTTAGTTTCCTGACAGCTTCTGAGTACAAATGAGTAAAGCTTGCCCAGCTTTTCCTACTCCCAGTTTGAGGAGGAAGCAGGAATAGAGTAAAAAGCCAGGAGGACTGGATATGTAGCATGTCTGGAGGCCTGATGGCAAAGGCCAGCAGTCAATGGAAAACTGAGTCAAGACTGATTTGCTTAGAATGCAACTTTTAAAAATTGCCAAACATTTCTAAAAGTATTTTTACATGACCTCATAAGATGCACACCATGTAATACCAAAAAAAAAAAAATGACTAAGTGGAAGGCACAATGTGACCATAGCTTGTGTGTGTCTGTGTGTACAGCAAGTGTGTGTGTGCACATGTGCAAGTAACCACACACACAACTATGAAGGAGTAAAGTGGAATCATTAAGAATATTAGCTTGAGAGTCAGACAACATTAGGTTCACATCACAGCTGATCCAAGTTTCTTAACGTTTAGTTTGTATCTTCTTTGAGGTGGGGCTGAGAATTTCCACCTCACAGGCTTATGTGGGAATTAAATGAGAGGTCTGGCAAGCACTTAGCACATTGCCTGGCTCAAATTAAACACTCCCCAAATGGGAGCTATGATTGTAACTAATATGGAAAAAGCCTGCAAGAAAATGCACAAAGTGTTAACAGTGGGTCATCTGCGAGTGATGAAATGAATTTTTTTATTTGTATATTTCTGTATTATCCAAAACTACTCAAAGAAAAAATATTTTAAGTCAAAAAATTAAACAAACTTTATTAAGTAAAATGTTAATTGTAGATTTAGGGGCTGGTAAAATGTGGGTCATTTTTATTTTCTCCTTTATGCTTTTTAATATTTCTCAAATTGTCCACTATTTACTAACTTTAACAGTTTTTTAATATAAAAGCCAGGCCTATACATATTTGGATATTTTGGAGAAATACAGAAAAACCCTGAAAAGAAAGTGAAAAATAACTGACAGTCTCATGACTTTTTCCTTTATGCTTATTTTTTGTTGTTTAAATTTATAAAGTACAGACTCACTCCTAAATGAATGGCCTTCTTGAATTGTAGGGTGCACATTGTAAACAGTCACATCCAGTGGTCCTAAAACAGTCCCCCACTGCCCACCTCCCACCACTCTCCCCAGAAAAAGTCACTGATAAATTGGATATAAATTCTTCCAGCATATATCTAAGACACACATGTGCATGTATGTATATGTTTCTATGATTAGGTAGAAATATCTACATTAAAAAATCCAAGAAAGATTTTGGAGGCCCCCTAAATGTAATGAATATAGAGAAAATCTGTCCCTCAACTCGACTCTGGGAGGGAGAACACCTTCTTCATATTCTCCATATATGAATTTATTTCAGCAAATGTGCAGTAAGCACCTACTCTGTTCTAGGGAGTGTGCAATTTACTAAACAAAGATGAAAAAGACACTAGCCCTCTGATCTCAACAAGCTCCCAGTCTATCAGGGAAATGCACGTATTATAAATGTTTGCAGTGCTATGTGGCATATACAATAATAGAAGCTGATAATAGGTCCAGAGGCAGTAATAAAAGACAATAAATCCCTCCTTCTCTAGGGATTCAGGAAGACTTCCTGGAGAAGGACTTATCTGACTTGAGTCTAAAAAATTATACATTCTGGTTCCTATCAGACCTATGAAACTTGCAGTTTGCCCACATTCATTATGTCTACTCACATCTCCGTTCTTGGGCTGCAACACATCCCCACGCTTCTCCTCCTGGCTAAACCCTACTCAGTCTTCCAAACCTAACCAGAAGTCACTTTTTGGAAGTTTTCCATCACTACCCGGACTATAGGAAGTACCCATACTTTCTGTGCATGCGTATTTGTCATAACTTACCTTAAACTGCTTAGTTATATGCCTGTCTCCCTACAGGACTGAAAATCAGTATTTTACCTTATTCATATTTGTGTGATGAGGCAGGACTGAACACCTGGGGACAACTGAACATCATGCCTGGTACACAGTTAGTGCCAAATAAATGTTGCCTGAAAAAAGTACAGCACTAGAGTAGCAAAACATTAGGCCCATAATACCTATGGCCACTTCTGGCATAAAGAACATGTTTGTGCTAATCAGAAAACTCCTTTTCAGAGCCAACCAATTTGAAAAAAATGCTCCTTCTAGGAGCACATAGTTCTTAAGGTATGCAGATGAGCAAACAGACAGTACCTTGTGTTTATGGGAAGAAGTCGTCATTTATTCTGGCTCTTCCTCCAGGTTAAAGCAGCCCTAGTAAGCAAGAGCAGAGGCTGGAGTCCAGCCCCGGGACATTCATGTGAGCGTCCACCACTGTCAACTGTAGCCCTGATGACAGGGTGATGAACAAGATGGGTTTCTTCTCCATGTGGAGCCTAAAATCTGTTCAATTCAACAGTCAAGTAAACCCACATAATAAGTGGGTGCTTATAAAATGCAAAGTGAATGAATAAATGTTAAAAAAAGAATCAATTTTCTCAGACTGATTTTGACTGGATATAGTTAAGTCCTACTCTGTGTCTGCTTTGTGCTCTTACTAAGGTCCCCTTTGACTGAATCCTAATTCCCTTTCTTCCTGGCTGAAGGTTCTGGAGGCCTCTGGCTTGTTTTTGACAGGTTGAGTTTGCACAGGACTCAGATCAGCACTGAGGGGGCCCTATCAGGGCTTTTATGTAACTGACACACCTCCACTTTGGCTACGATGCTAGGATGCTCGTCAGAATGCCCTTGTCTCTCCTCCATGCTTTTAAGCGAGGTCTTTAATAATAACACACACACACACACTGTTTTACACTGCAGAAGCATTGATTAGTGACAGTCTCACTGGGTGTGTCATCCTGAGGGAGAGGAGGAGCGAGATCTGACCCCACTGTTACTCACAGCTCTTGATGCATGGTGAGCATTCCCAAGTCCTGAAAGAGTATTTCTAAGCCAAAACTCCAATTTGATTGGTGGATACAATGAGCAGATCACCTGGCATGACAGACGTGGCAATCACCCACGATGCTTCAATGAGCTGCCTAAGGCTATTCCACCAGGAGTCAAGCCTACCTGGGGCTCCTGAACCCTCACTGAGGGCTCTTTAAGTGCCACACACAGGGCAAATGGCCACCAGGGGGTGTCTCTGAAATGCCCCTGAGGTCCTCAGACATGAATAACAGCAGGATCAGCAGTTTCATTAAAGAGCAAATTATAGCCCAAGGTGGTTTTAAATGCCTGTGGGACCAGTCCTTTGCTTTGCAATTGCACAGCCTCCACTTTTTTCTCATGTCAGAACTCTTGCAAAAGTATCCTTATTGGGCGGTCCAGACTTGCCCCTTCTCCCTGCTTACTTTCAACTCACTTTTATTTTTCCCATCCAGCCAACACTGAAATTAGACCACCTCTGTGCTAGAAGATCATCATCATCTCTCAGACTGTCCCCCAGAAATAGCTCCCACTTCTCAGCATGACATTGGGGTTACTCTTATACAGTGACTTCCCTCTATTTGGGTAGAGTCACATCTTCTCAGCTAGATGAAATTTCCTTAAGCAAGAAAATCACGTCTTCCTCAGTGAAAAGTGGTAGACAAAATCACAGACTCTGGAGTCAGTCACAGACCTGTTTATAACTTTTAGCTGCCTTTAACTTTCTGGCCTGAAGCAGTTTCCTTTCTTTACCAAATCTCAGTTTTCTCAGCTGTAAAAGGGGTATCATAATAATAATGACGATGATATAGGGCTGTGTGAGGTTTACTAATGATGCAGACAGAGCCATTATAAAGTATACAGCATAGCAAGTGCTCTATAATATCAGTTACTATTATTATGTGAGAAGGTAGGATGTATTTAGGGAAATATGGTAGTTTGCTGGTGGCTGGAACTTCAGCTGAGGGGAGAATAGACAGAGATGAGGCTGGAGAGCTAAGCCAGATCAAGATGACAAAAGGCCCCCTGAGCCAATGCTAAGAAGTTGGGACTGATCGTGAGGACAAGAGTGGGCATCAGAAGATATTAAGCAACGGAAAGACTAATCTGATTTTTACCTTAAAGCCTTCCTTGGCTGTTAGGGGAGCATGGTTCCAGAGATAGGACAAACGAACGTCAGAAAAACCAGTTAGGAGGCTGTTGCAGTCATACTGGTGAGGGCTGATGAGGGTTTGAGATGATGACCCTGGATGATTTATTTCATGCCTTCTACCTACAAATAGTCATTAGATGCGCCAAAGTGAGTAAGACCTAGTCCCTGTCCTTGGGGAGCCCATGGTCCATTGACACAGATGAAAAAACTAAGTACTGTATAAATGAGTGAAGAATAATGGAAAAGAAATGGGCACTACTTGGAAGCAAAGAGAAAATAGTACTGTCTGCCTCTCATGGGGAGGAGGCTCCAAGAAGGCTTCAGGGAGGATGCAGCCAGTGAAGGCTTCCTCTTTCCTGAAGGATCCTCTCTGCTATCTTAAAGATAACCCAGAAAGAAATGGCTGGATATTCTAATATAGCCCATTGTCCCCAGGACGGGAATTCTCAGCATGTATAATGCACCCAAAGATGAAATAGGGAGAATGCTTCTCAGAGATGAAATACTATGAGTTGGCTGGGCATGGTGGTTCACACCTACAATCCCAGCACTCTGGGAGGCCGAGGCAGGTGGATTGCGAGGTCAGGAGTTCGAGACCAGCCTGGCCAACATAGTGAAACCCCATCTCTACTAAAAATACAAAATTCAGCCAGGCTTTGTGGCATGCACCTGTAATTCCAGCTACTCGGGAAGCTGAGCAGGAGAATTGCTTAAACCTGGGGGGCAGAGGTTGCAGTGAGCCGAGATCAGGCCACTGCACTCTAGCCTGGGTGACAGAGCAAGACTCCATCTGGGGAAGAAAAAAAAATACTACGAGTTTCTGAAAATCTCTAAATTCCATTTTTGTGACTATGCTTTAAAACTTTAATCTCCCCCTTTGTGCTATAATGTCTGTGTTTTGTATTTTTTTCCTTCTTTCTTTTTTATACATCATCTTGCTTCTTGCTTTGTTGCCCTGGCTAGAGTGCAGTGGCACAATCATGGCTCACTGCAAGCCTCAACCTCCCCAAGGCTCAGGTGATCCTCCCACCTCAGCCTCCCAAGTAACTGGTACTACAGGCATGCACCACCATGCCTGCATAATTTTTGTATTTTTTGTAGAGACAGGGTTTCGCCAACTCGCCCAGCTTGTTCTGGAACTCCTGGGCTCAAGTAATCTGCCTGCCTTGGCCTCCTAAAGTGCTGGGATAAGAGACATGAGCCACCATGCCTGTCTGTTTTTTGTATTTTAGAAGGGAATTACTTGGATAAAGATAATAGCTTGCTCTTGTGTTTTATTTGTCTGTCTAGCTGTCATTTTAAAAATTTCCCTGAGAAACTTTTTTAGCAGAAACAGGGGTTCTGAAATAAACTGGAATTTAATGTTCCATTAACATTTCAAAAAATGCCAGCAAGCAGTTTGAATAGATAATTACTTACGAGGGAAGCATGCTGGGTGTGTTTGCTCTCCATAGGTCCACCAGAAAGAAAATGTTTCAAAGTGGATTGTGTCACCAAAAATTATTTGGACTATTTTGGTCTCCACAATTATAGATTAACATTTACATTTGGACAAATGGTCTCCAATTGGGTTGCCCATTAAGTGATTGAGTGCAGGAGCAGTGGTAAATGAAACCTAGTATGCAAGCCTCAGACAGGAAGGTGGTGATGAGTTGCAAAAGGTGAGAAATGCTATAACTCCTGGTTCCTACCTTCAGCTGTGCCAGAAGAAGATGGGCAGCCAAGAACTGAACCCGGGATGTCCACAGTGCTAATAAAAGCCCAATCCTTTATAGAATTTTTCAAAGTACTTTCCCATGCACCATCTTGTTTGATCTCACCACCACCCTGAGAAAGACAAGACAGGAGCTCTTGTCCTCATTTTACAGCTGTGGAAACTGAAACTGTGATTCTGATGACTTAAGAAGGGCACACAATGAGGGCAGAAAGGGGCCACAGTTCAGACCAGCTCTTCTGATCCTCAGTCCTGTGATCTGACCACTATACCACATGGCCTCTCAAAAATCTTTGAACAGTCACAGCTCAAAGTAAGGGCTCTGGTAATGAAAGCATATATGAATGTAGCTGGTACATTAATGGGTATAAAATGATTACTCAGAAATGGCCTGACCTCCTGCTGCCAGGGAGTGGCCATGGGGATGCTGCTGGTGAGATCCCATAGGGCAGTGGATTTCATTGAGGCCTCCAAGCAGCAGAATCCCACTTGCCATGCAAAGCCTGGGGGACCCAGGGAAAGAAGCCACACAGAGGAAGCCCTCACAACAGAGAGACTGGAAGCAAAGCCACCAGGAGAGGTAAATTGCTGACATATTGGTGGAGAAACACTGTTCTTCAAAGCTGAAGACATCACACTACCCAACTTCAAACTATCCTACAGGGCTACAGTAACCATAACAGCATGGTACTGTTACAAGAACAGACACATAGACCAGTAAAACTGAATAGAGAAAACAGAAATAAAACCACACATCTACAACTATCTGATCTTCAACCAACCTGACAAAAACAAGCAATGAGGAAAGGATTCCCTATTTAATAAATGGTGCAGGGATAACTGAACCCCTTCCTTATGCCATATACAAAAGTCAGCTCAAGATGAATTAAAGACCTAAATGCAAAACCCAAAGCCTAGGCAATACCCTAGAAGAAAACCTTGACAATACCATTCAGCACATTGGCATGGGCAGAGATTTCATGATGAAGATGCCAAAAGCTATTGCAATAAAAGCAAACATTGACAAATGGGATTTAATTAAACTAAAGAGCTTCTGCACAACAAAAGAAACTATCAACAGAGTAAACAGACAACCTACAGAGAAACATTTTTCCCTCATTCAAAAGAGGGCAAAAGACATGAAAAGACACTTCTCAAAAGAAGATATACATTCGACCAACAATCATATGAAAAAAAGTTCAACGTCACTGATCATTAGAGCAACTCAAATCAAAACCACAAAGAGATACCATCACATATAAGTCAGAATGGCTATTATTAAAAAGTCAACAAATAACAGGCTGGCAAGGTTGCGGAAAAATAGGAATGCTTTTACACAGTTTGTGGGAGTGTAAATTAGTTCAACCATAGTGGAAGACACTGTGGCAATTCCTCAAGGACCTAAAAAAAGAACTACCATTTGACCCAGCAATCCCATTACTGGGTATATACCCAAATGAATATAAATTGCTCCATTATAAAGACATATGCACTTGTATGTTCATTGCAGCACTATTCACAATAACAAAGACATGAAATCAACCTAAATGCCCATCAATGATAGATTGGATAAAGAAAATGTGATACATATATAGCATGGAGTACTATGCAGTCATAAAAAAGGAATGAGATCATGTACTTTGCAGGAACATGGATGGAGCTGGAGGCCATTATCCTTAACAAAGCAATGCAGGAGCAGAAAACTAAATACTGCATGTTCTCACTTACAAGTGGGAGCTAAATGATGAGAACACATAGAAACATAGAGAGGAACAATGCACACTGGGGCCTACTGGAGGGCAGAGGGTAGGAGGAGAGAGAGGATCAGGAAAAATAATGAGTGGATACTAGGCTTAATACCTGGGTGATGAAATAACCTGTACAACAAACCCCCATGACACACATTTACCTGTGTTACAAACCTGCACATCCTGCACATGTACCCCTTAAATTAAAATAAAAGTTAAAAAAGAGAACAGTATTTCCCTGTTCTTTGAAGAAGTGTACAAGGCCAAATTAGGACTCTTCTATTGTTAGCATTATAGGATGCAAAGCAAGAAGCTTAGACCAGAGGCAAGAGGGCAGTGTGAGACACACAGACCAAAACCGAATCTTTTCCTATCATCATATTTCACCAGATTAATGAAGGGTCCCCCTGGTCCATGAGGGAGGCAAACTGGAAACTATCAGACCCTACGAACTCCTGACTTTTCAAAGACTTCCTCAATTGGCCTTAGGATAACATGCAAATTTCACAAGAGGATCCACCTGCTTACCTTCTCAGCTTTGTCTCTCATCACGCTCCACACCCCGCATGTGTATTCACAAACACCCCACACAGGACCTAAAACATGCATTACCCCACTTCCTTTGCTATAGCTTACAGTCTCTTGTTTCTAGGTTTTGGCCCTTGCTATTCTTTGTCTCAGCTTCATTTCCTCCCTCCCACCCCAATTGCCTAACTCCTAACCATTCTTCAAGTATCAGCCTACAGGCCACTTCCTGCAGGAAGTGTCTCTCCAGCACCTCCACCCTTACAGGCTAAGTTTGCCTGCCATGCTCTCCCATGTCAGTCTGCACTTCCTCAAACTTCACTGTAATTGCTTGATTCTTATTCTGTCCTCACCACCTGGCAATTACTTGGTAGAAGCAGGGACTGCTGACGTACTCACTATGGTAACCTCAAACCGGGCACTGTAGTATTTGTTGAGTGATGGAATAGATTAATTCTTTAATTAATTTAGCTCATGGTAAAATATAGTAAACAAAAAGCATTTCTCCTCTATAGGTGGTTAGTTCAGTTGGGCTTAGCTCCACAAAGATCCGGCTGGGCAGGCCTCCATGCCATGTTACATAAAAACCTAAGCAGACTATTAGAGTCAAGATTCTGCTGCAAAAGTGAGCAAGAGTCCTATTTACAGAATTCTGTCTTAAGAAGGCTTATTTCTGTCTGGGTGTGATCCAAGTTACTGAGGGCTTTAAACAATTGGGAAAAACATTATCTTTGGAAAGTAAAATCCAACCCCTGTCCCTTGGTTCTTGCCAAATATCTCCCACAACCCACATTAAGTAGATTACTCTGTCCTTAATCACATGCTAAATGCCTGCATCTGTGGCTGGCATCAGCTGAGTGTGAGGCAGCTGCAATCCCCGTGTATATCTCCTGCTATTACAGCAGGAAATCAACTGGGTAAAGAACCCCCAGTAGTGGGTGAGAAACAAGACAATACAGGTTAAGATCTTCATTCATTCATTCGACATTAGTTAATAGTCAATTATATTCCAGGTATTGAAAAGAGAAAAATAAGACATTCCCTTTCTTTGAAGCGCTCACTAGGGAAAAAAAAAGTGCTTAGAGAATGAAAAATTCCTTGTAATTGTTTAGCCTTCACTTCTGAAACTTTAATGTGAATTTTAAGTCACTTGGGTGTCATGTAAAAATGAGGTTCTGATTCAGTAGGTCTGGGGTAGGGCCTGAGAGTCTGCATTTCTAACAGACTCCCAGGTGACACTGATGCTGCTGGTCTGGGACCACACTTTGAGCAGAAAGCATCACAATATACTCGCAAGAGAGAGAGACAATAATCGTATCCTCATTTAACTCATGTCCTTCTCACACGAATGCTGAGAATGAATACAGGAGGTTCTTTATGACCCTTTCATAGATTAAAAAAAATCATTGACTCTAGGGGGAATACACTTTTCCCAAGGGTATCACAAATGCTAAGGCCTGAATTCATTTATTCATATGCAGTACCCCAAATCCCCAACTTAACCCTCTGTGTTGCCCCCTAACCTTAGCTGCTGATCACAGCCATGACTCTTCTGCCTCTGGATGCAGACTTGGCATCTGCTGGGTGTGGCCTCCCAAGCCTCACATTGACCACATTGACAGCCATAACCCCCTCCTTTGTGATTGGCCTCTGCTGACCTTCACTGGTTTCGTGGCTCCCAGGACAATGGACTGAGGACCACAGGGAGTGGAATAAGAACGGAGTTTGGAGAATACAGGAACACTTATCACCTCTAGGTCTCAGCCAGGTCCCTGAGCACCTGCCATCCCCTCCACACTTCACGGTATCCCTGAACAAGTTACCTGCAGACAACAAGCCACTGACCCAAGGGGAATGGGAGAGAACTGCACTTGGTGAGCACCTGCAATGTGTAGGAGTTTGCACAAGTGATTTCCTTGAGTTATCTCTTTCAAGAGGTATAATATGTGTTATAATCTTCACTTGTACATGTATTTATTCATTCAACACTAGTTAAGGACCAGCTATGTTCTAGCCACTGAGTAGAGATAAATATAAGACACATTCCTTCTCTTCAAGGGATGCTTGAAGAGTGGGTGACAGGCCCCAAATCACCCAGCTAGGAAGTGTGGCAGGAACAGAAAACCATCATCTCTCCAGCCTAAACTCATCACCTTTTCCATCCTCAGTGAACTTGTTGGACCAGCAGCCTTCATCATCTGAAAAGTCTATTAATAATACAGAGATTATGATTCAGTAGGTCTTGCAAGAGGCCCTATAGTTGGCATTTTTACCAATGTCACACCAAGAGATTCTGATCCTAGCAAACTTCAGATCATACTTTAAAAGCTATGGCCTCAGACAAACTATATAAGTAATGCAGGAGCACTGACCATCTTCCCTAAGATCCTGCTTGGTGCAGAGAGAGCAGACATCCTCCTACCTTGGGGAGACTGAGTCGACTGGAAAGAAGAGTGCAATTACTGCATCCAGCCAAATTTGGAAGCAATATAACAAGTGTTACATCTGAGGCCAGGAATGCAGCCCTGCTAGAATGCTGCAGTGCTGGCAGGGCGCGTGTGGGTGGCGCAGCCTGAGAGTCCCACCCCCACACTCACATCATGTCATGCTATTATGACCGGTGTTCCTCCGTACTGCTGTCCTTCCATGTGATTATCGCATTGTGGCTTTCAGTCCCACAATCCTAAGGGATGAGCCACCTGGGTCCTTATGTAGGCAGGTGCTCTCAGTAAACACCCTCCCCAAGTAACTGCACAGCTAGAGTTAACCCCAGGCAACTGGACTCAACAGGAAATCACCCAGAGCCACCAACTAAGACAGAGAATGGGAGCATAATGAACCCATCTGGACAGAGGAGCTGAGCCCAGATGAGCTGGGGACAACTGAGATGGTAGAAAGAGTACTGAGATGAGAGTCCTGGGTTCCAGACCCAATTACTGACTGCAGGATCCTCAGCAAGTCATGTCCCCTTTCTGGGCCGTTGTATCCTCATGAGTAAGATCCTTTCCAGCTCTGATTTTCTGAGCCCTTGATTTTATTACAGGGTGAAGACACTTGCTCGGCTTGAAATGGGAAGCCTGAGATCCACTCCTGGCGCTTTTCTCATTGCACCCTTCACTCCTGGAAAACTGGTCCACTCCTTTCCCCGGAAGGCATCTGAGTCACTCCCATCCTAATTCCCTCCTCCCTCCCTATATGTGTGTAGGGCTACTGGGATATCTCATAGAATGATTCGGAAAGGGGAAGGAAATGGGAATATTCCAAAAGCAAAAGTTTGTAGCCCCCATTTCTAGTATGCTACCATTAGCTACTGCCAGTACCACCACCTTCCAGCCTTTGTATCTTTCTGATTTAAATATTAAATTCTAGGAGAGGGAGAATTTCATTGCCCAGGTGGGGCTGGATGCCTAGTCCTGTCTCAACCAGGTATGGCCAGGTGGGCAGGGTCACTAAATGGAAATATGGCCAGTTAGAGTCCACTGCATGTTAGAGGCAGGCTACAGAAAAGGAGGCTGCCATACCAGGGCTGAACACAGTAATAATTCCTGGGGGACTCGAGCCTTTCCTGTCCTTCCAACTCTTCTCTACCACTGATGCTCTGTCCTTTCCTAGGCCTACATGGGCTCCTGCAGGATGCAAAACTCAGTGCTCAGGACAGCACTGAGCACTCTCAGCCTGATCCTCCACAAAGCACATGTTATTCACTCTGTCTCCAGAGGTCAGCCTTCACTCAGAGCTCATGAATTCTGGAGCTGAGTAAAACACTGACTATGATCCATCACAGCAGAACAGTCAGCTTACTGCCATCTTCCAGGAATCCTGCCAGAAAATCTTTATGGGGCGTTTATTATATTGTAAAGGTCTATACTCAGTGCTGTGGATAAATACAAGCTCAGACATACATAGACTCTCTTCCCAAGAAGGCCATATAGGAGAGAGAATAGAAAACAGATAACAATGTAACTAAACAGTTCCCAAGAACTTTCAGGAGCCAAGCACAGAAAGCAGTGGGAGAACTTTGGGAAAGGAGAGAGGTCAGTAAAGCATTTCCAGGGAAGGTGACACCTGGTAAATTGCATCTTAGATGAAGAGTAGCAGTCAGCCAGAAGAAAAGATGGAAGACAGTTTCAGGCAGAAGTAACAGCCTGGGAAAAGGCTCAGAGGCATTCTACAGTACAGGAAAGGAAGAGCTTGTCTATGTGAGGCGAACCGAACATGTGAGACACACAGTCCGGTGAAGTTGAGATTGGAGGGCTGGGCAGGCGTTATACCATGCTAAACTGAGCGGATCCTGCTGAACCTGCTGAGCAGTGTGGAGGAGTGGGAAACAAGGGTGATTACAGTCATCCCAGACAAGAGATGATAGAGATATTCCACAAGGTGGAATTTAAGCTAAGACCTAGAAAACAAGAAGGAGCCAGCCATAGGGAAACCAGAGAAAAGAATATTCTAGGCAGAGAAACAAAAAACTGTGAAATCCCCAAGAATGGAAGATGCATGGAGCAATAAAAAGTCAGGGGGTGGTTGAAAGAAGCAAGAGCAGTGAGATTGGTGAGGGAGGAAAACCCTGAGGTCCACCCTGTTCACGTTTGAATTTTCTTCACAGGGAAGTCTTTGGAGCGTTCTAAACAGCCAATTTCCATGATCTCATTAGCATTCGTTTTTAAAGACTATCTTCTTATTGTGTGGGCAGTGGACCGCTGGGAAGTGAGAATGCAAGCAGGAAGAACAGACAGGGGTTTATTGACATATTCCAGTAAAGAATGATCAGGATGGCCAAGGGGCAGAGTGACTTGGCCAGATTAGAAAGAAGTTAGAAGTTTTGGAGATAGAATGGGCAGAAATAGCTCATGGCATAGAGAATGGTGATAAGAAGAAAGAAAATCTGACTCGTTTGCAAGTGCCACTGAATATATGGTAGTGTATTTACCAACGGGGAAGATGGGCAGATGAGCGAGGTCTGATTTTGGGGGTGGATAGAGGAAATATGGAAATCAAGGGCTCTCTTTTGAATGTGTTATGTTTGAGATGCATTTTAGATCTGTAAGTGGAGATGTCACCTAGCAGATGGTTATATAGGTTTCACTCTATGACTAGAGACAAAAAGTTGAATATCATTAGCATATAGATGGTATTTGAAGACATGGGACTGGAGGTACAGGACGTACCTAGACAGAAAGTGAGACAGAGAGAAAAAGGAGATTTGGGGTCATACTTGTGGCCAACCGACATTTTAAGACAGAGAAGAAGAGAAAATTGAGTAGGACTAGCCTGTGAGATTATTACTGGCCTGTGAGAGAATGTGGTTTCAGAGAAACCAAAAGCAGGGGTATTGCAGTGGGGCTGGATGGTGGGGTTGTGGGGTAGGAAGATATTTTAAGAAGGGAAAAGTGGGTCAGACACAGTGGCTCATGCCTGTAATCCCAGCACTTTGGGAGGCCGAGGCCAGTGGATCACAAGGTCAGGAGATAGACACCATCCTGACTAACATGGTGAAACCCTGTCTCTACTAAAAACATAAAAAATTAGCCAGGCATGATGGCACATGCCTGTAGTCCCAACTACTTGGAAGGCTGAGGCAGGAGAATTGCTTGAATCTGGGAGGCAGAGTTTGCAGTGAGCCGAGATAGTGCCACTGCACTCTAGCCTGGGCGACAGAGCGAGACTATGTCTCAAAAAAAAAAGTGAACGACTGTATCTGATGTAGCAGATAGGGCAGGTAAAATGTGAACTGAGAAATAGCCATTATATTTATAACCCAACCCTCTAACACCACACTACTGGCCCATAGTAGATGATCAATAAATGTAAGTTGAATTCATTGACTGAAAGAACTAGCCCAGGAATGGCAAATATAGAACAGTTTTAGCTTCCAAGTTACAACAATTATTGCCTTTTTGAAAATAATTGAGACTCAGCCCCAGAATCCTTAAGCACTATCGAGTAATTAGAATTGTCATGCAGATTTAATCTATTTGCCATTCCTGGTGTAGACTAAACAATCAGGACAGGACTTTTCATCAGAGTTGTTCAATAGAGCCTCATTAGCCCAGCTTCAGGAGGAACCACAAACCATCTGCTAAGAGTCTTGCAGCGGGAATTCCTGCTCTGGTGGAGCCTGAACCAGGTGATCGCTAAGGCCCTTCAGAGAGTCTGTGGTTCAGATGGCAATTCCTTCTAACATGCAGCTGTTCAAAGCACAAAGAGAAAAATCCAACCTAGCCTAGGGTTAATAAGGGCAAACTAAATCTTTCCTAAAACTTCCTTCTATGCATTTTTTCTCCCTCTTATCTTTACTGGCCTCCTGAAATGTCTTATCTGCAAAGACATGATTCTGTTCTAAATCTCTGTCTATGAACACAGTTATCATTTTTGCTTCTTCCACACGATAACATTAACCTAACTTACCCATTCAGCCATAGGCAGACTGTCTTCATCTCTAAATGATGCACTCCCCCACATAAAATAAAGGCAGACACTTTTATTCTTTAGTCCAAAGTACTTAGCATTATGAAGAGACAGCTGCTGCAGACAAATCTTGGGTCTTTGGAACCTTAATACTTTGAAATTTATTCCTCTTCACCACCTGGAGGCTCATGAGTCCATTTGTGGACTCTCCCACCTAATGCTGCCTTGCAAGTTAATGAGCAGTTGGTACATAGACATGCAAGTTATAACTCTTCTATAACTGCCTACATCCATATTGCAGTTGAAAGGGCAGAAAATTAACCACTAGAAGTGTCTCAGTGCCCTCTATCTCCTCTCACCTTTATTCATTACTTCAACGAACATGTACTGCATGCCAGATTCCACACTGTTTTCTAGAATAGAATCAAGAGGTACAGTGAGGAATAAGATTTGGTTTTCTTTCCCACCTGGGGCTCATAAATGGGCTTTACAAGTTCTATATGTCCTTCTGAAATGACATTCAAAATGCTGCGTGTGTGTGTGTGTGTGTGTGTGTGTGTGTGTGTGTGTGTGTGTCTGCCTCCAGAAAGAGGTTTATAATTTTCATCAGATTTAGAATCCAAAAGAGCTAGGGATCAATGGGAACCTAAAGTCAGCTTTGACACTTCCCTTTCTGTCATCCCAGATGACATACAAACGAATCACCAAGGATTGCCAGGTTTGTTTTTCATTTTCCCCTAAATTGCTCTAGATCTATCTCCCACTGTCCATCCCCCACCTTAGTTCAAGCTACCCTCATTTCATTAGTTAACAGCCCTGCCTCCTACATGGCATCTCTGCCATCCTCCAATCTATTCTCCATACTGAAGTCAGAGCATATTTTCAGCTCTCTAATCTGATCATTTCGACCTCTTGCTTAAAACCTTTCAATGGCTTCCCACTGCTCTGAGCATAAATGCCAAGCTATAAACATTCCCATGAGCATTTGCAATCACGACACATTGTTCTCTACTATTCTCTTCGCTCTGTGAACTCCAGCCTCGTGCAACTTCATTTTCATCTTTAAATTCTCTTTCCACTCTCCTGCCATGGGGCTTGAGCACATTCTGCAATCTCTACCTGAAAGGCTTCTTCTCCTCTCCCTTCACCAAATTATATTGTAATAATCACTTCTACCACCCACTTCCCCTGACCTCCCTGACTAGGCTAAACGAGCTATTGTAAAACCTCCTAGCTCCATGAACTTCATACTCTTTGTCCAAGTTAGAATTGTGCAAACTTTATATGATCCATTGATTAATATTTACCCTTCAGCAAACCTGACTATGCATCATTGTATCCTAGGGCTTACAGAAACACTGGATACATAGAAGGCAAATGCTTGATTAATACTCAGTGAATGAACAAATGAATAACTGAGTGGATGAATAAAGAAGTAATGTAGCAGATGCTAAAAATAAAAGAAAGCACTGAGCATTGCCACAGCACAAAAAAAGGGACACATATCTTTAGGAGGTCATAAGGGCACGGATTGTACCTCCTATATCTTTAGTGTGTCCAGAGGTTATGATGCATGCATATATGCAATGTACATTGACTGAAAATATTAAATAGCAACTAAATCTGCCTGGATGAGTGACAGGAGGCTTCAAGAAGACTTAGCATTTGACATCAGTCATAAAGGAAAACTAAAACTATGCAGATCAGGCCAGGCATGGTGGCTCACACCTGTAATCCCAGCACTTTGGGAGGCCGAGATGGGTGGATCACCTGAGGTCGGGAGTTCGAGACCAGTCTGACCAACATGGAGAAACCCCGTTTCTACTAAAAATACAAAATTAGCCAGGCATGGTGTTGCATGCCTGTAATCCCAGCTACTCAGTACGGCTGAGGCAGGAGAATTGCTTGAACCTGGGAAGCGGAGGTTGCGGTGAGCCGAGATCACACCATTGCACTCCAGCCTGCGCAAGAGGAGAGAAATTCGGTCTTAAAAATAATAATAATAATAATAATACAAAATTAGCCCAGCATGGTGGGGCATGCCTGTAATCCCAACTACAAGGGAGGCTGAAGCAGGAGAATCTCTTGAACTCCGGGAGACAGAGGTTGCAGTAAGCCGAGATCGCGCCATTGCACTCCAGCCTGGGCAGCAAGAGCAAAACTCCGGCTCAAAAACAAACAAACAAAAAAAGTATTTAGATCAAAGGGAGAAAGAGGCAGGCAAGTGGCATTTCAGACAGAAGAAAAGGCAGGTACAAAGGCATGAAGCCACAGAAAAGGAGGAAAAGTTCTTTGCAGAAAAAAGAGATTAGGTGAAGTAAACATGGAGATACACTTCCTAGATCCTCCTTCTGAGAGGGAAAAATTTTGTTTTCCCAGATGCTGGAAACATTCGCAGAGAAACATCTCCAGCGGTCAGCTCCTCAGGGGTGGCCTGGGCTGCAGAGAGCCATCTTACCCAAGGTCACACCATCCCAGAAGCAGCCCCCTCCCCACCACTGCTCAGACATTTGGGTCCACTGAGGGAAAATCTTAGCAGCAATTTTTCTCCAGAGCTCCCACTGGGGTAGGCAGAGGCCACCATTGGTACTGCATTACCATAGTTTATCTCTTCCCTCCATCCTTCCCCTCACAGGTGTTGATCTCACCTGAACACTAAACTCTGCACTTGAGTCTGCTTCTCAGAGAACCAGACTGCAAGCCTGGGTTATGCCATGAGTGGGTTTATGCAGAGGAATCAACTAGAAAGGTAGTTAAGAGAAGGATGGTGAGGGTTCTGCAATGCTGGGCCAATAGGTATGAGCTTACGCAGTTGGCAGTGAGAGACTGGGGGCCTTGTAATCGGAGGGTGCTGAGTTTAGGGTCTTTTATTGGAAAGACTTCTCTGGCTTCTGTGCAATGACTACATTAGAAGGAGGCAGAGAGGCGTGCTAAAAGGCCATTGGGTTAGTACAGGGAGGAGAAATGTGAGTTCCAAGATGGAGAAATAACCGATCATGGAGAGGAGGGGTGGTGTTGAGCAATTTAGGAGGAAAAATCAAAAGCCCCTCATGACACATTGACTATAGGGACAGAGTAAGGATGAATGGATAATGACACAGAAAGAGTGTGCTAATTCATTCCTAGGTGTGGCAGGGAGATTACTCCTAATTTAAAATTGCAACTTGCAAGAGGAGTTCTTTCTCCCAAGGCCTTTTCCAAGGCACTCCAGGTAGCAGAGAATTCAAATGGTAGCTAGAATTCTCCTTTAGCTTGAAATACATAATAAACCAGCAATGTCTTCTACAAAAAGCATCATTAACAAAGTTTGTGTTTGTTCATCAGTTAAGATCTTGGGGCTTTTTGCCTGATATCATTAATCGTCACGCTTGCTAAAGAACATTCTTCTATCAAACAGACGGGGATTCAAATAAAAGGAGCAAACATATGAATATGCAAGAAGGAAGGCCAAATTATTAATGCAGAATGAAGAAGAATCTGGCAGGAATATCCTTCATTCGACAAGTATTTATTGAGCGTCCTCTACATGCTAACCATTATGCCAGGGGCTGGGAATACAATGACGAGCAAAATGCTGCAGATTTCATGCCAGGAAGCAAGCACACATCTGAAGGAATTTTACATAAATACATAATGTGTTGCTGGTTCCAGCATGCCCCTCTTCATCGGTTTAGTTCAAATGTACTCCTATAACTCTTACTTTTGCACTGAAATTTCCTTCTGTTTTTTTTTCTCATTCATTGTGGCATAATAGAAAGAGTAGACAGGCATACCAATTGCCTTACTAATCATATGACCTTGAGTAAATTACACATCCTTCCAATGGGGCCAATTATACCAATCTCCGAGGGTATGCTTGAAAATACATTAAGATACTGTGTACCACAGCCAGTTAGCTATACAACATATCATATAAGCCTTTATGTGAATTCAACTATACCAAATTGGGATGGGAATGAGGGTAAGTGAGAAATAATAATTTAAATATATGACAAGGGCTGACTATATAATTTGTAGGGACCAGAGGAAAGTAAAATTGAGAGACTCCCTATTCAAAAATTAAGAATTTCAAGACAGTGATAGCAGAGCATTGGGCCAAGCACAGGGTTCTTCTGAGTGTGAGGCCCTTTACAATGGCACAGAATGCACAACCATGAGGTCGGCCCTGGACTTTCTTACTCCCCTGCATATCTAACATGGTGAATAAGTTCTATGATCAATATGATCTTAATTCTAAAATATATGTCTTGTTTACTTGGTTTTTGTTCACTTTGGCCGCTAACCAGAAGCGACCTTATTTTCATGGGCATAAAACCATATATGCAATCATTTGGCTTAAGGGATTTTCAAGGGTAGTTGTATTAGTCCATTTTCATGCTGCTGATAAACACATACCTGAAACTGGGAACGAAAAGAGGTTTAAGTGGACTTGCAGTTCGACGTGGCTGTGTAGGCCTCAGAGTCATGGTGGGAGGCGAAAGGCACTTCTAACATGGCAGAGGCAAGAGACAAATGAGGAAGAAGCAAAAGCAGAAACCCTTGATAAACCCATCAGACCTTGTGAGACTTACTCACTATCACGAGAACAGCACAGGAAAGACCAGCACAGGAAAGACCGGCCCCCATGATTCAATTACCTCCCCATGGGTTCCTCCCACAATATGTGGGAATTCTGAGAGATACAATTCAAGTTGAGATTTGGATGAGACACAGCCAAACCATATCAGTCGTTTTTACTCTATTTTCCCATTACACACTGGTTTCCTAAAGCCTGCAGGAGGTGAAAGCTCACCATAGCTGTCATTTCTGCTGAGCCTTTGACAGTAGGAGTCAACCTTGTGCCCAAGTCTGGATCACATGCTTTGCAGTGAGAACTTCATTCAAGCCACACAGCAAGCCTGCAGGATAAATAATACCATCCTCATTCTCTAGAGGAGGGAGAAACAGAGCCTCAGAGCAGGGAAGCAATTTGCTTAAAGTTACCCAGAAAATAAGTGGCAGATTTGGGATTCAAATACGGGTCTTTGGAGCACACTGTCCACATTCATTCACTGATATCTTAATAAATGGTTGTTCCTTCCAACTCTCTTCTGCAAATCTTGCCCTAACCTTTTGAAATGAAGAATTGTTTGGCAAATTAGGAACCTGATTTTCTGCATCCTGGTAGCAGAGAATGGCTTGCCAATTCAGTTCAGGCACGTAATGCTGGAGGCAGAGCAACAGAAGAGCCTGAAAGTCTGACCTGTGCTTCTAGAGCTCTGATTGCCACATGATGAAAACTCAGGGCTGACATCACCAGTCTCCAGCCTCCCAAACATGAGCCCATGTGGAGAGAATGTTATAAAGAGGAAAAAAATAAAGGTCATGTTAGAGTGAATGATAGGTATAATTAATGTTACTGACAATGAAAAGCTTAGGTGCTGAGAGAAAAATGAGTCAGCAGTGAGCTTGATGTTGAAACTACATGCTGCCTTGTTGCTCAAATACTTACCTATTAGGAAAAAAGAGCAATTTCCTGATCAATGCACACAAAATTCTGGGTTGAGAACACTAAGTGAAAAGTGGGAAAAAAGCCACTTGTGTGTTTTATTTCCAGCATGTGCACAGCCACATTTATGCATAATTTTGGGTTTGTCATTCCCCTTTATGAGTTTTTGTGATCTCAGTGTTTTAGCATGAAGGCCTTTCATAATCTGATCGTATCTTCCCTTTCTATGATCGTCCTCCCTAGTCTCTTCTCTAAATATCCAAATATTACTTCGTCATTCCAGAAGCAGCTCTACCTAGACATGAAGCCTTCCCTGGTCTCCAAATCAGAAATGCAGGCCATGAATGGGCATGAGCTGTTTGTTGAATGATGAGAAATTCAGTTTATTCCCTGATTTTAACTGGGAATGGCCTCATTCACCTCTCCACCTGGCAGGCATCTCCTCTCCATATTGACTCAATCACCTCTTTCTCCAGGTGTCCTCAGCACTTACTTCATACATCTATTATTGAGCTCAACAAGATGCACTGTACGACATATCTTTCCATTCCCCTAATAATATCTGATGTATCACTGAATTAATACATGGGGGTGTCTTCCCCATTAAACCATGGGATTTGTGAGAGTAACATCTTTATATTGCTCATCGTTGCAGCTCCCTCTGTGCTTGGCATAATATTTTGAACAAAATATGTGCTCAATAAATATTAACTAGATGTATTTACATCCATCAGGATTGCTTTTAATGATTACAGATCTGGCTTTTGGTGCCTCTTGTAAACAGAGGCAGTCTGATTATTTGATAACACAAAGATCTTACCAGACTGCAGGAGGGGTGTGAGGGAAAATATGTTCTGGACTGACACAGATGCTGCTGAATTAATAATTAAAAATTGCGTGCGATGTATAAATGATAGAACATCAAATTAGAAAGGACAACACAATGGTCTGTTTCCTGTTGAAAAAGAATTATCTGGTCCACTAATGAAGTAGAGCCATTAGTCTTGGCCATAGGAAATTAATAGCTACCTTCTTGTAGTGACTTGCCATGTGCCAAGTGTTTGCTGAGCCCTTTAGAATATTATCACATTAAATCCTTCCAACAGCCCTATGAAGAAGGTAGTACTTGTATCATCCCTTCCATATTCCTTTTTGGAGAGCAAGCTTGGGAGAAGTATGATAACTTGCCTAAAATTGCAGAGCCATGAAAGAACTGGATTCAAATCCAGGTATGTTGCTTCCAAAGTCCATGTTCTAAACTAGTCTGCTCTGTAGGTAAAATAAGGATGTCAGGTGATGTTTTTCAGCTCAGTTATAAGTGGAATCATCTATTCCATAGACTCCAGTCTCCTCATTCTACAAATGATAAAACTGAGACTCAGAACAATAAAGGAATGTAGGATCTTAGAATCTCATGGCTGAAATGAACATTAAAATTCATCTAGTCAAATATTCCTACATCCACCTGCTGACAATGTCTAACAACTTTGTTGAGATATAATTCACACATCATACAACTCACCCAATTTAAGTTACAATTCAGTAGTTTTTAATATATCCACAGTTATATGTTGATTACCACAATTTAATTTTAGAACATTTTATCACCCCCAAAAGAAATCTCATATCCATTAGCTGTGCTCCACATCCCAGCCCCAACCCCAGCCTTAAACAACCATGAATCTGTCTCCATGGATTTGCCTATTCCAAATATTTCATAGAAATTGAACTATACAATATGTGGTCTCCTGTGCTTGTCTTCTTTCACTTAGCATAACATATGCTTTTGAATATCTTGAAGTCACCTGAATACACAGCAGCAAATTTTTGGCAGCAACAATGAGTGGCTGGTGGGTGGGGAACATTTCCTCCAAATAATCTTCATTAGCCCCACCCCAATAGCTACCCCAAAATAAAAATAAAATTTAAATTAAGAGAGTATGTTTGATATTTGTTATGGTTTGAATTGTGTTTCCCCCTAATATTCATATGTTGAAGTTCTAACCCCAGTATCTCAGAATGTGAGCTCATTTGGAAACACAGGCTTTACAGAGGTAATGAAGTTAAAATGAAGTCATTAGAGTGGGCTTATATGATGGGTGTCCCCAGACACACGGGGAGAATGCCATATGAAGACTGGGTTTTGCCACCACAAGCCAAGGAACTATCAGATGTTAGGAAAGAGGCCCAGAACAGATCCTTCTCTCAGATGAAACGAACCCTGCCAACAGCTTGATTTTGGACTTCTGGCCTCCAGAACTATGAGAGAACCCATTTCTATTGTTCAGGCAACTCAGTTTGGGGTATTTTGTTGTAGCAGCCCTAGCAAACTAATACAACATTTAAACACAGCTTCTGCACAAATTTCCTAGTCATCGTCTCTGACAAGTACAATGCTACTCTGAGGCTCCTCGTCAGGCAAAATCTGAAAGTCAACATTTGTTTAAAATCAAATCCATGAGATTTTCACCTAAGCCTGGACTTCTTTCAGAGCTCCCTATTTCAGGCAATGGCAACACTAGCCAAACAAATATGCAAGCCAGAATTCTAGAGTCATCATTGACTTCTCTTCTCTTTTATGCCTACTTTCTCACAACACACACACACACACACACACACACACACACACACACACACATTTTAGGTCAAGAGTATTTCACAAGAGAATTCTATCAAGCCTATGAAGACAAATCAACCAAATATCTTTTAGAATGTTCCAGATCATTAAAACCTAAACCTCGACATTCCTTCATGAAGCCAGCAAAATGTTAGAATCTGAAAAAAACAAACAAACAAAAAGAAAAAAATGGAAACGTAATAAAGGATCTCTATACAAACCGTAGCTAAGACACAAGGCTGCATAATCTATGGGTGTTTAAAAGAATAATATAGCATGACCAAATACAAATTGATTCAGGAATTTAAGCCTACTTCCTTTTACTCTACTGGTCCACAATGTTATCATATGAGAAAATTAGAAATGGCCGACATGATTTGCCTGTTAAAACACCGAATTGCACTTTACTCTATAACCTAATCTACTCTCGATATTTCTAAATATTTTTTCATTGTTTTCCAGGAATCTTTAAAAGTCCTTTGGCACCAGACACCATGTTTTCCCCCTTTTTAAATACACTAATGGTTTTGCCAAACCTTAATCTATTGAAATGTCGTCTGCACAGAGTCTCTTGCCAATATAGATGCAGAAAACATACTCACTGCCAACATCTAATGGAGGCGACCTATTATGTAATAATCAAAGACAACCTTTCCCACCTAAGAATTTGAATTTGAAAGCCAAAAATCCATTTCCTGGAAAAAAAATTTGAAAAATTGTGTTAGGCCTAAAATTCAACCCAACTCAATGTACTGCTATGATTATCTATTGCTATGTAACAAAACTACCCAAAACAAAACAATTTATTTTTGTCCTAGGGGTTGACTGGACTCCACTGGTAGGTTCTTCTGTTGGGTCTGTCATGTGGTTGTAGTTGGTTGGCCATTGAGCTGACTTAAAGGCTTCCCTGAACTATGGCCCCAAGATGGCTCATGCACATGGCTGGCAGTTGCTATGGGCTGTTGGCTGGCAACACAACAGGGGTCATTGACCAGGGTGCCTGTTGCAACTTCGGGCATTCAAGGCTGTCAGGCAGGTCAACTCAGGACTGCAACAGGCACAGCAGCCAACAGCCGGCTGAGATGGCCCCATTGTTATCTCCATTACATCCCCTATACACAAAGTTACATCATTGGAAGCCCTTTAAACTCATGGAAGGATCCTATGACATTTAGAAGTCTTGTTCTTTGTGCGGTGTGAAGACCTCTAGAACTACATTCTAACATCCTTGGAGGCTAGTTAAGTACTTGACTTTCAGTTGGTCAAGCCTGAGTTCCCAACTGAGTAGTTTTTGTCAACTTTCTAAAGCTCTTCTATAAAATGGAGACATCACCTCACAAAGTTGTGGTGAGGTTAAAGAAGGATAAAATGTGTGAGGTACTTTGTACACTACCTGGTATATAATGATAGGTTAATGAGTGGTATTATTAATATTACCATTAATATCATCATCGTTTTGCAGGGAAAAGAAAGGCTACATTTGGAAGAAAAGAGATTATTTTTATATTTTGAGAATGGATACACTAAAATATCATATTATGTCCCTCTTTTATGTTGCCAAGAGTTCTATTTTCAGATAAAAGGTCAAATGACACTATTCAGCTTACATAGTTTCATTTTTTCTTGTCTGAATATATTTCTTATTCTATATGTAGTAAAAAAATATTATAAAAAGGGGAAGGTGTGTGTGTGTGTGTGCGTGTGTGTGTCTACACTCTGGGGATACTTAGATGACATAAGACTCTTGTCTGTCTTTGAAATTTCACTCATCCTTGAGGCCTTCTTTGCCTGTTAATTTCCTGGTGCAAACTTCCCCTCCCAAACCTCCCTACAGGTGTCTCTTTCCTTGATGTCCCACAGTATGGTTTCACCTCTGAGCTTGAGTTGTGTTAGGGGAACTGGGCATGTGTTCTTGTCCCCAGTGTGCCATATGCTACTTGAAAGCAAAGACTGACCACCCCCCACCATGTCTCTCTTCACCCTGATTCACTCACTAGCTCTAGTACGTGCCAAATAGTTTTCTGTTGAATTGAGTGTGGTCCAACTCCCTCATTTTATAGTTGAAGGAACTCAAATCCAGACAGGTCTGTGACTTGTCTACGGTCACAGAGTCAAGCCAGAACTAGAATCTCAGCTTCTTCCTCCCTAGTAAGTGCCTTTGTGCTCTACCAGCCAATGCTGTGGCCTGCTGGGACATGTGGGGCAGGTCGACAGTGGGACTCAAGGAACCAGGTATGCTTGTCTGCCCATGGGATTACAGACAGGTTCTCTGAAGACACTTTATAATTGCCTTCCTATCATAATCCCTAACTACTGGTGTGGCCCCATGGGGAACAGCATGGCCTACATCGAGGAGAGCGTTTTACAGCTAGAAATGGCCTGACAACAGACATTGGAGATTGCACAGCAGAAAGGCACTGGGCCCTGAGTTAAGCAGGTCTGGATTTGAATGCTATTTCTTCTGCTTCTAGCTGGTTGATCTTGTGGAAATTACTTCTCTTTTCTAAGTCTCAGTTTTCTCATCTGTTAAGTGGGAGTTAAAACATCCACTTGGAAGGCACAAAATAAGTTACCAGCACAGAAAACTGTTATGTATTAATATTTTTGACAATGACACTGTGTTCTGATTGTCCATAAATTCAAGTTTGTTGTTACACCAAATATCTATTCACAATTTCATTTCCTATTCTCTGCCCCTGTATATAAGGCTCACAGGCCTTAGCTCTTTGCTTCCTGCTTGCATAAGTCCTTTTACTGGAGTTCTTAAGGAACCAACTTTGAAGAGGTTCTAAGTGTCTGGGGGTGGAGACCCCTTTGACCCTAGGAGTTCCTGGCTACTTGGGGCTTTCACATGCTCTCTCTGCCTCTTCCCTAGACTCTCTGTCTGTTACATATTTGCTTGAAGGAGATATTCAAATAAGGCATTCATCAAGATACAGTATATTAAACAAGGTGCCAATATATACTTGTGCTAGGCACCCAGAGAAAAGCACCATTAGTAGGATTTAGAAGTGTTTACTACCTTCTGGAAAATATGATACTTCAGCTGTGCTTGAAGGAGGGATACAGCTAGGATCAAGAGTTTGGTCAACTCACATGTGGTAGCTCTCGATAAAATGAGCAGGATACAGTGTAGGTGCTACAGAAAGACAGTATGGTATGGTATGAAAGTTGGGCATGAGGGCAGAGGTTGCTGGAAAATTGCAATGATGGCCCCAGTTTTCCCCCTGCCCCTACCCCCTTTCTCTGCTATGCAACTTTGCAGTGCCCTCTTACTCTGAGCTAATAGCCTGGGCATGCTCATCTGGTGATGACAGAGGCACAGAAGAGCAAAGCCCAAAGTTCAAGGCCATTTGAAGATATAACTTGTGTCAGATCTGCTAACAACCCATTGTCCAAAGCAAGTGGCATGGTTTAGTCCACTCTCAAAGAGCCAAGAAGAAAAGTGACATGAGTGAAGTAGGCTCTATGAGCCAGCAGGTGTGTGCACAATGGTACAGAGAGGAAGACCAAAGTTCAGCTAGCCCCTGTAGCCTGCTAGCTCCTGTCTTCCTTCCCAGCCAACTTTCACTCAACTGCACAATAGAAACTGAGGGAAGGGCATGGTGGAGGATGTTTTTGATCTCTTGGAAGTTCCATTTCTGCCCTCTCACTCATTGCGACTTGAACAGGTCATTGCCTCCTGCTTGTCCTCCTTCATTTTTCTTTAGTGTAAATCCTTGCTCTAAACTCATCCCATTTTTTAAAAGCTCAGTGGATACAGGACACTCAACAAATTGTCAGTGGCTCCTCATGACCTACCAATAAATTCCAAACTCTTTAGCTAGACAATCTAAGAACTTTCTAACCCATAAGCTATTTATATTCTGCTTTGTATTGGGGCTATTTCTGCAGAAATCTTATCTTTACTACTCAATTGTTAGCTTCTTCAGGGGAGGGATTGGGAGTTATCTAGCATTTATCAGAGAGCTTGTCTTATAACAAGCACTTAATATATTTTTTGACTCTGTGTTAAGATAAAGCATTGAACAGCTCCAAGACATGGTGAATGCAATCCTGTCTGTAGTGGAAAGAGTACTGGACCTGGAGTTAGAAGACCCTGCTCTCGGTACTGATTGCTTCTTGTCACTTGGTGATGTTGGAACAATCATCTATTCTCCCTGAGTATCATTAATCTTAACTGATAGATGGAAGTGATAATATCAACTTCCTTGGTTATTCTAAAAAATGAAATGGCCAGTAAAGAAGAAAAAGTTGCAGGGTAACCTAGAAAGAAATGTCACTGAATTATTATTCAAACCAGAGCCTTTGAAGGACCCAAGTTTGTCACTACCAGACCTATGACAGTGCAGAGTTTAATAGCACTTTCTTTTCACTAAAGTCAGTTAAATAAATGATCTTTTGCAAAGCTAAAACCATAATTTTATTTCAACCAGTTATAGGTATTAAAACTAGAAGTAACATCATTGAGTGAAAGGTTTTAGATGAGATAAATGAATGGGATTTGTTAGAAGTAAAAAGTAAAGGGTAAGAAGACATGATTATACCCACTTTACAGTCCATGGAGACAAAATGATTTACACAAGCTAGCAAGCTATAAACCAAATACTATATTAGACATCTTAGGAAGAGAGGAAAAAAGTGTCTATATTACACACACGCAGAGCCATCTTTAGTTACTCATAGAGCATAGGAACAATTTCTTAGACTGCTTCAGGCTGTCAAGGTATGGATCCCCCAAGGAATAGTTTTGAAGTGAAGGGAGCTTTCACTAATGGCAAAGCCAGCCAAGAATTTCCCATGTGAAAATTTATCAGTAATCACCACAATTTGGCAACATTGCAGAAGTAAAGACTTTTGTCTTACCCTATCACAAAATCAAGCTCACCAGGTTTGTGACAGTCTTGGTATAGTCTAAACCCTGGATACCCAAAGCTCAGGTAGCTTAACAATGGAGAGACATTCTGTCTCACCAAGTGAGACTTTTATTGCTTTGAGGAGAGATTGCAAGTGCTGAGAGAGAAGGAGGAGGGTCATGGGTGCAATAAGAAGCTCTACTTTCTACCCTAAGGCTTTTTTCCATTCAGGTTTTGCAGGTATCTTGCTGAAAGCAGTTCCATTTCCTCTTGCACCTTCCTCCTAACTGCCCCTGAGATCTCTGCTGGCAAAAGATGGAGTGGCAAAAGAGGGAGTGGCTCTAAATAGCCCAGACAATGTTCTTAATGGCCATTCAATTTAAAACTCCAACTGTAACTATAAACCCAGCCATAGTGACCTTGTACCTCTTGGTTATGATCAGCCTTGCCAGTAAGCAAAGGAAATGGCTGCTTTCACAGCAACAAGTGGAAGGCTTGAGCAGACCCTTCGGTGAGGAAACGTTGCCCCTTTACCTACATCTGCCTGAAATTCATTCAATACTTAGATGATCTTAAAGATCATCTGACAAATCATCCAAATAGAGAAGCAGAGTCCCAAAGAGATGAGGGAATTTGCCCTAGATTATCCAGCAAATTAGCAGCAGAGTAAACACAGAACCAAGTTCTCACCACCTTAGTCCAGCCCACTTTCCAGGAGTCCACACTCGAATCCCCAGTTACTTAGTAGCATCCAGCATGGATTGGTGGAGCTCATAAGCCACCTCCCTGGGCTGGACACTAGAGGGAAAGGTGAGTCAGAAGTGATCTCCACCCAATATGTTCTCTCGGTCTAGACAGAGATACTTAAAACAAAGACAAACATAACCCAATGGAGTAAGTGTTTCACTGGAGGCTTGCACAAGTGCTAGGGGAAAACAGAAGAGAGAACACTCCCTATAGAGAGACAGGGTTGAAGAGGCCTCTGTGAAAAGATGGCAGTTGATCTGACTTTCAAAGGACAAATGTGATGTAACAAGAAAATAAAGGAATATATACAATAAAAATAGAGTTGTGTTCATAGAACCCTGAGAAGGTTCTATATAGGCCATCTCTCAAGGACAGAAGGGTGAGAAATGCTAGAAAATGGGCCAGAACCAGATCTTGGATTACCTTCTACATCATGATAAAGGACATGGGTTTTACCTAGTAGGCAAGGGGAAGTGCACTAGTTTGCTAGGGCTTCCATTAACAAAGTACCACAGACTGAGTAGCTTAAAGGACAAAAATGTATTGTCTCACAGTTCTAGGGACTGAAAGTCTGAGAACAAGGTAACAGCAGAGTTGGTTTCTTCTAAGCCCTGTGAAGAAGAATCTTTGTCATGCTTCTCTCCAAGCTTCTGGTGGTTTGCTGGCAATTACCCCAATCTCTGCACTCACCTTAAGTACTCTCCCTGTGTGCATGTCTGTGTTAAGATTTCCCTTTTGCATAAGAACATCAGTCATATTGGATTAGTGCCTATCCTAATGGACAAATTCTAATTTGATTCTCTCTGTAAAGACACTGTCTCCAAATGAGGTCACATTCTGAGGTACTGAGGGGTAGTACTCCAACATTTCTGTTTGGAGGGACACAACCCATTCCATAACAAAAGGTGTCTGAAGAGTTACAAGCAGGAGAGGGAATCTGTTACGTATGCATGCAAGGTTGACCATAATGTACACCATAAGGAAGACAGATTGGAAAGAAGTATGTCTGGAGGCAGGAAGACCAGATGTAGTGTCCAGGTAAGAGGGCATAAGAGCTAAATTCTCAGCAGCAGAAGCAAAATATAGTGGAGGGCATCAGGTCAACATGTAGCTATGCAAAATTTGGAGACCAATTTAATGCTGGAGATGAGGGAGAGTGAGACATTTAACAGGTCTCTGAAGCTTTTAGCTTGAGTAAATTGGAAGAACGGTGACACCGTTTACTGAAAAAATAAACAAAAGGAAAAGAGCAGATTTTAGATAAGGGAGACTAATTTTAGTCTCAGGCTTCTTGAGTCTAAATTGTCTACATGCATCCAAGTGAAAATATTGAGTAGGCAGCTGGAAGTATGAGAAAGAATGGAGTTTTCTTGCCATGGTTATTTCAGAAGACCTACTAAGTAAGTGGCAGTTGGCTGAGATTTTGAAATATAAATGTGAATGACAGCAGACATTCTTGGCTGCATAACTAACCCCTCAACTCTGTTTTCTTCTTTCTTCATGGCAAATCCCTGATTTTGTTCAAATGTTTATTTTCCCATGTGCTCAAGGAAGATGTCTCTAGCCTAGACCTTGGAAGAGAAAAGAAAGAAAGGAAGGAAGGAAGAAAAGAAGGGAGGGAGGAAAAGAGAGGGAAGGAAGGAAGGAAGGAAGAAGGGAGGGAGGGAGGAGAGGGAGGGAGGGATGGGAGAAGAGAGGAGAAGGAGAGGAAACTAGGAAAGAGATTCTTTTTTAATGAACCAAGAGACTCATTAACTTATAAAGCTGATAAAATCTCAGGTGAACATCTGATTTAGCCCTCTGATTTCAGAGGGGTCAGGTATTAATAGGCCTATTTTAAAGCCTCACATCTGGTATTTCTACTCAAGAAAAGATTTGCATTCTATCTTTTTTTTTTAGCCATTCTTTTAACCTACTCTTCCTGCTCTTTCTCTTTCCTGTTCTTTCTTTCCAATTTTTAAACATCCAAGTTACCTTTTTTTTTTTCTTTTCCCACTCACATTTCCTTATGTCACTTTCTTGTTCTGGAATATGGCTCTCGCTGTGGTATACAGTATTAAATATGTCTTAACAAGAAGAGAATACAAGGAGGAGAGTTTAAAACCCACAAACTGTGATTTATGCATAGGATTGATATACTGACTACAAAGCGATGGTTGAAAAAATTGAGTCAAGTTGGAGTCATTTTTACTAATGAGGAAGTGTCCATGGCCACAAAGTCAGCTTAGAAAATACAGGGATCTCATGCTATTCCTCTGCCCCTTGCCCACTGCAGACATAACTAATCCATCATGGTATTCCTTTTCATTTGACACTAGAATCAGCCTTAAGTCCCTTTTCTTTGCATCCCTTTAAGTAGCCACTAACAGTAGCCTGTCTGTCATGCATGATGAAACATTTTGCCATTCTGGACCCAAACTCTGCAGTAGGCTAAAGCTAGAGGAGTTAGCAATTGGGTTAAGATGTCAAGGGAATTGTCTATGTAACATAATTATTCATTCATTTACCCATTCCACAGGTTTTTACTAAATATCATCTCGATATGTTGAACACTGTTATAAATAAGGCACAGTGGTTCTAGGAATATATGGGCTAGTTATTGAGGTAGGTAAGTCAGCAAATCTTCACATTCCTGGATTATGGACGCTTAGCTAGTGTTAACCTATGTAGGTTCTGAAAGTATAGAGTAGGTGCCCCAAACCCAGCCTTGGTGACACTTGATGTGAATGGTAACCTTTGGGATTGGGCAACACTGCAACCCCAGCTTATGGTATAGACAGAGTACTTTACCCACTTCTATATTCTGCTGTTCCTAGGCTGCTATCACATTAGCATTTCTTTCTGCTCATTCTGTGCATGTTTCACTGTATGGAGCTCCATTAGTTTCTGTGTCAGCTGTTCACTCAATAATTCATTCATTCAGCTGATCATTCTCCAATACTGATTGACCTTTTGTTAGGTGTCAGATACTGTGCTGGACACTGGGAGTTCGTTGTTGAACAAACAAGGTCTCTATGCTTATGGTGCTTATATTTTACTAAGGAAAGACACATGATAAATAAATAAATCAATAAGAAAATTTTAGGTTGTGATGAGTTCTGGGGCATAAGTAAAACAGAGTGATGTAGCCAGGCCCTTTTCCAGTTCAGAAGTCAGCAAAGTCCCCTCAGGAGACAACATTTTGGGAGAGACCTGAACGATGAGAAAGAGCCAGACAGGCAATGGTCCTGAGAAGTTTGTTGCAGCAATGGAAACAACAAACACAAGGGCCCTGCATCCTTCCCACGCAGCTTCTGTATCCAACCTTATTGCCTTTTTGATTACCTAGCCCAGTGACAGACCTCAAGATACCCAGTGATTTTGAGAACAATGCTATGGTCATCCAGCTTCTCTGTAATTCTTCATCACATCACCACTTTAATCATAGCACTATGATGGATAGAGAAGTACTGGCTATGGGTGCTTTAGCCACATGACCCTTACCTTCCTAAGATCACCCTTCCTTAACTCTTGATCTTAGCCTTAGTTGCTCCACTAGCTATTCAACAGGTAAGGAATTTTATCTTGCCCTGGAGTTTTGGGTTAGAAAGAAGGTAGTATCCTGGAAGTTTTCCTCTTGGAAGAACATTCCACCAAAAAAGCAAACCTTCGACTTCCTCAGTGCTCTATTTCCAAACTCCTCCTGGGTACTAAATGTTAGTTGAGGGTCAGAGTCATGCTTTAATGAAGAACCACTAGTCATCTCAGGCACTGCCATGGAAACAAGCATGGGAGAAGAGAAACTGCCAGCATTGTAAACCCATCATCTCCTTTTAGCCCACTATATAAGGCTTCCATTCTCCCTGCAGCTGGTGATATCCCGGCTCAGCCATGGACAGTGGAGCATGTTTCAAGCCTGAGTTTTTCAGTGTGTGTTATCTGATTGTGTTCCATAGGACATCAATAGGTTCTGTGCCAAAAATAAAGATAATAGGAATGAGTGGTTTCTGTTGTTCTATATGCTATTTACCTACTTATTTTCTTAAAGATATGCCAGAACTTCTGATAATACACTATTGTGTAAGCACATGTAAAATTCTGTGAATAGTATATGGCACATAGGGAGTGACCATTTAATGGTTTCATGAAGCCATTAAACTCTAGGTTTCATTATTTTATCAGTCAGGATAGGCATGCTTATGCTTCTATAAAAAACAATCTCAAAATCTCAATGGTTTAGAAAAACAGTTACTTCTTCATCCTACATGTTCATTACATGCTGTCTGTGGGGCAGGGGTTGGGGTCATCTTTATTCTGGAAATGGCATCACTTACAGAGGCAGGAAGAAAAGCAGACAGAAAATGTGAACACTAGCACTTCTGCATGTCACTTCTACTCATATTTCATTGGCCCAAGGAGTCACCTGTCTGTAGCTAACTTCAGTAACAGCAAAAATACATTTTTTCAATATACCCAGAAAGGGAGTAAGATTGCATATTGGTAGGTGGTCATAAGGCTTACATCAGCAATCATCTATGTATTTACTTTTTATCATTATTATTATTTTCATTGTTATCTCTATCAATATGTCTCTCCAAGAATAAAAAATCATGTATTTTCAAAATTATTCCAAGAATCACTCTCTTTCAGAACACTGATTGGTAAGGAACACAGCTTGGATTATGCTCTTCTCTGTAATCACTCAGAATAACTCCCACTTTGCTCTACCCCTCCCACACTTTACTTACAGTTCTCTCATCTACTTGGTCTTTGAATGTTTTGCTCTATCCCTTGACTTTAGATCATCTGATTTAGAAGTCATCTAGTCTCTCCTCTTAGGTCTTTGCACACCAACTCAGTTTTTGGCCTTGCCTTTGTTCTACTTCAGCACCCATCCTGTTCTCTGTTTCCACTACCACCTCTTCTCAGCACCCCCAATCCCATATACACCTCTCCACCTTGTTAAGCTCTGTCTCCTACTTCAATCAAAGGAAAAAGAGAAAAATTCGGACAGTCAGCTAGTAGCAAAGTATTTTACTGCAATGTATACTGATTGAGGATCACACAAACAGAATTCAATGTGTCTTCAAAAACATGTCAGCTGCCAGCAATTTCCTGGAATAATAATTGCATCTCTCTGGGGCAGGGGAATTGAGAGTTTATGTTCCTCATTTCTCCCTTTGCAATTGGCTGTTCTAGCTGGAGAATTCGGATGAAATGACTGTAGCAGCACGATGCTGGCCCACTTAAAACTTCTATTATGAAACCCAGTTGCATAAGCTATAAGAGCAAATAAGTTATATTCTCAGGAACAAATTCTAGTGAATCAGCTCATCTGAGCTTCACATCTTCATCTGTCTCTGAAGTGGCTTATTTAAATTTTAATAGAAAACGTTCTACACGGGGCTCAAATGGAGGGAATGAAAATAACAGTTTATCTCCAAGAAAAAATTGTGTCAGGAGCAAAAAAAGAAAAATAGGATGCTAATTTCCTGAAAACAAACCCCCCATGTCCCACTTCATAGAAACTGGACAAAGCAAGATAAAGTCTATTGTACTGAACAAAAGCAGCAATGGCACGTTTGGAGACTCACTGTCCCTTTTTGTTTGACTGTTTAAAAAATCATTCAAAAAGGAAAAGTTTCTTTCAGGAAAAGTGAAAAAAGCTTGCAAAACAAAGTTTGCCACTGTCAGGGGACAGTTGCAGAAGGAAATGGAAGCGGAGATAGCATGTGGTGGTGGGAAGGTTTTTAATGGGCTTGGAAATAGAGATCTGGGCTCAAACACTGACTTTGTCATTTGCTTGCTATATGGCCTTGGAGAAGTCAATTGGTAGTGGCAGGGGTAATGAAGATCATCATATCGGCTCTTGCATGGTATTGTCCTGAGGAGGAAACAATGTGAGAAATTACTTGCCTAGCTGGTGCTCCTCCAGGAGACCACTTCTCAGTGACCTTCACACGCTCCAGACCAGGAGTCTGGACCCACAGGCCAAATCTAGGCTGCTTTCTGTGTGTAAGGAAGGTTTCACTGGAACACAGCCTTGCCCATTTGTTTACTATCCTCTATGGCTGCTTTTGCACTACACGGCAGTGTGGAGTAGTTACGAGAGACCATATGGTCTACAAAGCCTAGAATATTTATTCCTTGCCTTTTGCTGGAAATTTTAGCAACAGTCACTCCAGAGAGCTGTGAAATTTGGGAGTCAGCTCAAGCAAACTGGCTTCCTTGCTCCCTAGTGACTCCTCAGTGCAATCACTCCTCAGTTTCTGTGTCCTGTGAATCCTATCTCCAAAATATCTCATGAATCTTTGTGATTCTCTTCACCTCCACAGCCACCCCCAGGTCTAAGCCACCATCATTACTACATTGGCCTCCTACGAGGCCTCCTAGCAGCCGCTCGGCTCTCCTTTCCTGCCCATCTCTCTGTCTCTCTCTCTCTCTCTCTCTCACACACACACACACACACACACACACAATTTGTTCCTCACACAACAGCCTGAGTGTGTTTTTTTAAAATGCAAATCATGCAAATTCCCTCCTTAGAATCACTCAGAGAATTCCCATTGCTCTTAGGATAAGAAGCAAAATCCAAGCAGATCCTGCAGAATCAGATTTCCACCTCCTCACCACCTTTGACTTAAGAAAAACCCCACAAAATTGGCTTTGAACTTCACCAGCCTTCTTTCTGCTGGTATATTGAAGGAGGCCTGCTCTTCTTGCCCAAGACCTTCACATAGCATGATTTCTGCTCTAGGAACAGTCTTGTCCTCACAGTCTCCATCCTTTCTTCCTGGATCACTCCTGCTCATCCTGCAGGCCACAGAATGACTGTCACCTACTCAGGTACAACTGTCTGTCCTGACTCTTCAGCAGCCGTGACCCCGCTCCAGGCCAGAACCCTCTGGTTTACACTTCCAGTGCACTCATAATTGGAAATAGGTGCTTAATTTCACACTTATTTTTGCGTGTTTAACTCCTCCTCCCTGAATGTAAGCTCTAGAGAGCAGGGTAAAGCCACACCCATGGCCACCTCTGTATCTCCAGAGCATGGCACAGCTCTTTGCATATAGCAGTAAAATGCAGCAGTTGAGGGTGGAAATACCACTAGGATGCCTGAATTAAAATCCCTCTACTACTTAACAGCTGTGTGACAAAACCATTTAACCTCTGCATTTCAGCCTATACGTATGAAAAAAGATAATAAATATGTATAGTATAATAGTATATGGTAGGGTGTTGTGAGGAGATTATATGAAAAACAGAACAGTACAAGGATATATTAAATGCTACATGAGTGTTTGCTGTTCTGATTAGGGCAGGTTGTCAGTGAAAATGGTATGGAGGAATGATTCACTTTTCCCCTTTCTTCTCCAAGGAAGCATGTTTTTGGAGTGTGCTATTTAATCTGAGGTTTACATTTGTGCTCCAATAACACTAGATTTAACTTTTTTCCCAAACCACCTGCATTGCACCCCCTCTTTGCTTTTGCACATGCTATTCTCTCCTCATCCCCAGTTTCTCTAGTGAATTCTAATAATCTAGTACAACCCTACAAATGTCACCTTCACCCTGAAGCCAAGGACTCCTCCTGCTTCCTTCTACTTCCTCCTTCCTCCCAAGGACAGCCCAGAGAAGTTAACCTCCCTTTCTGCTGATTATAATTAACAGAGAGAGAGAGAGAGAGAGAGAGATAAGAGAGAAATTGCTCTTTTTTGTAGCTGACATGTATCATTATTCCAAAAAGCTTTAGGTCAGTTTCACTTACACAAGATGATCAAAATTGATACCTCCTCAACATTCCCCAAACATGGTGTTTCCACTGTTGGTATAACACTCATGTTATTTTACTTCAATGTTTTTAGTAATCTACTCATATCTTCTCCAGAAAATTTTTGTCTATGAAAGGCCAGGGACCACGTCTTACTCACCTTGGACCGGCCTGAGTGTTTTGTCCTCTTCTTGGCTTGTAGTAGGTGCTCAGAAAATGCTTATTAATTTATGGCTGGTGGTTGAATTTGTTTTTGTGTTATCAGCACCTACTGCTACTCAGTAGGGTTTTGAGGAAATGGTTGTGGAATTGTGTCAAAAATGCATTTTTAGAAGTGACTTCTTGCTTTCTGAAAATAAGCTTCAAGAACAAGCAGCAATGCAACTCAATTCAAGAGGATTTGCCATTCCTTGACCCAGAGGGAAAGGCAAGGAGACTGTTTCTGAATGAATCAGGGAGACCTGCTGTGGAAATGGGCAGACTATGCCAGCTACAGAGGGAAGTGAGATTTTCCTGCTCCCAGTTCCCCACCCAAGGTCAGATTGAAACTCTGGTTTCTAGGCATCTTAGGGTTTGCCTTCAGTGAGAGATTGCTATACATTGCAAGGCTCTCCACTGGACTATTTTTTTTCTTTCTAGACAATATGGTCCTCCTGACATCCTACACACATATGTTGGGAGCCACCATGTATGGGGAATGTAGCTAAGTGCCGAAGATGTAGCAATGATGGATAGTCCCATCTGCAAAGGAGTTCGCAGCCTAAAGGAGGGGAGGAAGAGAGAGCTGGAAAAGTATGGAAGACACAGACTCACAAAAAAGAATAGAAGTTATTGTGCATGGAAAAAGTGATTTGCTCAGATTGTTGCATGAAAAGTTTCAGAAATGTTTGTTGAAATAGGTATTCTTTAATTTTTATAGGAAATAACATTATATGTTTATGTGTGTATGTATCATAATGTTAAAAGAAGTAACTCAGGTGAGTTGGATTTGGGGATCTCTCATGAAAAGGAGAACATTCTGTATTGTTTTGATTTTTTAAAATGGCAATCCTGCCTTTTTAAAATTTTTTTAGTAGACAGGTAAAATCATATTTATTTATTATGTACAACATGATGTTTTGAAATATATATACATTGTAGAATGGCTAAATCAAGCTAATTAACTTATGCATTACCTCACACAGTTGTCCTTTGTGGCAATAACACTTAAAATCTACCCTCTTAGCATTTTTCAAGAGTACAACATATCGTTATTTACTACAGTCACCATGTTGGTGATTAATATGGTTTGGTTGTGTTCCCACCCAAATCTCATCTTGATTTGTAATCTCCATAATCCCCCCATGTTATGGGAGGGACCCAGTGGGAGGTAATTGAATCATGGAGGTGGTTTCCCCCATGCTGTTCTCTTGATAGTGAATGAGATCTGATGGTTTTATAAGCATCGCGCACTTCAACTGCTGACACTTCTTTCTGCTGCCATGTGAAGAAGGACATGTTTGCTTCCCCTTCTGCCATGATTGTAAGTTTCCTGAGGCCTCCCTAGCCCTGAGGAACTGTGAGTCAATTAAACTTATTTTCTTTATAAATTACCCAGTATCAAGTATTTCTTCATAGCAGCATGAGAATGGACTAATACTGTGAAGAAATTGTTCTGCATCTTGACTGCATTAATATCAATATTCTGTTAGGATAGAAGCCAAAGGAGGCCACATACTCTCTCCACCCCATAGTCCCAAGGGTTCCAGCACATGACCTACACCAGACCATGTGGATGACTACAGAGTCACAATAGTGATGGAGATAATTTGTCAAAGAGGTTGATTCAAGGACCCACTGGTGGGTGATAAGTTTCCAGCTGGGAGATGCCAATCAGCTTCCTCATTGACTGGGCCTGTGGTTGGTGGTGGCTGGGCCTTGCTTCCTGTGGTTTCTGCCCACTTTCTAAGGCTGTTTCTCCAGCCTTCTTACCAATTCTATGAGCATTTCTACCTTGCCTTCCTTCCATTTAATTCCTTTCCTGCTTAAATAAGCCAGAGTTTGTTTTTGTTGTTTGCAAACCACAAACACTTGAAAGGGATAAGTATCTACTATGAGCAACTAACTGTGATTCCATTATCTCTTCAATTGTCCAAACCATCTCATTAAATGGGCAGCATTCCAATACAGAATTGTGTTTTTCAAGATTCTAAATCCTGGAAGGAACTAAACATTAGAGTTGTTCTAACTAAGAGGACTTTTAAATGATAATTCACTTACTAAATCAGCTTCTAATAATGAATGAATTTGCTGTGACTCATGGTACATGAAAATGATATGATCTGGTGGATAGAAAATACCTGCTGTGGGATGTCTCAGTGACATTCCCTTCCCAAGCCAAGATGGTTCTAAGTCATTTATAAGATTTGGAACAGATAAAATGCTATTTTGAAGCATTAAATTATAATTGTGCAAATATATGCAAATATACATGCAATTTCTAAATCTACGTAACAATGGGATTTTTTTAAAGCCAAGAAAATATTCCCCAAAAATGTATGCAGAAAATATTGAGGCTAGTTCAAGTCAGTCTCACCCTCTCTTAATTAGTACTTTACTTTTTCAGTGTTGACAAACCTAAACTCCAGAAATAGTCACGCAATGAAATCCGCCAAATCACCTCCTCTGTGTTTTTATTTTATAGCTGAGGAAAGTGAGACTCAGATGGGTTATAAAGTTTACGTCTAAGATACCACACTAGTAAATTTGAGCCACAGCACTCATATTTATATTTTTTCTCTCCTGGTGTCTCTAAAGGTAATTTTTCCAGATCTAACTTCCAGTTCACTCCTTTCTTCAAGGGTGTTTGCAAAGCAATGTCTAGTATATAGTAAATGATATGTACCTGTTAGCTGTCATATCATCCTTATGATAAATCCCTTCTTTATTCATCAGATTTTAAGTTTAATAATTACATTTTTATCTCCAGAGTTCCCTTTCATTCTTTTTCCAAATCTGTTTGGTCATGCATGATAATCCATTGTTGCTTGCTATCTTTATTCTCTTTTATTTCTTTAAACATGGTATTCTTAGGTAGAATGTCTTCTGTACCTGATAATGCCAGAGTATTTGAAGACCTCAGGGGTCAAAATCTGTTCATAGTTGTTTAGACTGACTGTCATCCATGCGTGTTTTGCCATTTTTCCCTAGGAGTTCTTACTTGCCTGAAGTTAACCTGGGAGCACCCTGGAGGCTCTAAGCTGAAGATGCTGACTCCCCAAGGTACTCTGCATCTTCTATTTCTGGACAATAGGAATGGCTCTCAAACTAGGGATGCTTTAAGCTATTGGCTTTATTTTCTCTGACTTTATGGATGGTACTAAAATAACCCTAGATCCATATGAGAACAGTCCTGTACCAGAGCTAACAAATTCCACTGGAGACCAGTATTGTCACTAATTAAATTCTATCCAGAGTCACAGCAGTGACACACATGCTTTTTTTGTTTCTTCAGTCTAGCTTTTCACTGATTGTTTAGACCCTGTGAGAGCAAACCTTTAGGAGGGCATCTCAAGCCCAGCATCCTCCCCCTTGCATGACCTCCAGATCCATTTTCTCATACCTGGTATGATCAATAATCCTCAACGTTTCAGGCACCTGGTTGCATCATTTTACCCAGAATGACTCTGCCTTCACAATCACTCACCTCTCTAGTGTCAGCTCATGATTTGTTTGTTTGAGTTGTGGTTTTTAGGACATTCCTTACTTTCTTGTGGGCTCAGCAATGCACAGGCAAGTATGGTTTCTTTGTGATTTATTCAGCATGTAGATATTCCACAGTATAAACGCTTTCCAGCTCATCTTATCCACCACATGGCTGGAAGAGGAAATTCATACAGACCTCAGGGATAACTCTAATTAATAAACGGCTGTTCTCTGGGCCCCACCAGCCAGGGAGAAAGAGGACCAGACACTTAACTTTCATCCCTCTTCTTCCCAGCCTTTTCAAATGCTCCCAGAAGAGTGCTGCTGGGCCCTAGGAGAATGCCTCTTATAGGTGCTGTGAAGTTTACATTTCCACCTTTTCTCTTTTGCTCTCTAGATTGCAATGCTGCTATTTCTGATCACCAGAGACATCAAAATGTTCACTCTGTCTCCCTTGTCCACCAAATCACCCTCTGTTTGCTCCTGCTGCTGCTGTTTCTGCCCAAAACCCGGGACACCAACTTTTGGATGAAGAATGCCAATACCAAGAGTCACAGCACCATCCCATTCACTCTAGGCTGGTTCACCCTTGTGATGAAGACCACCATCCCATGGCTATTGGCATCTTTATTCTCCACTTCCACACCAATCATAGACAGAACACCTTTCTATTTTTCGTCAGTGAGGGAGGCTCAGTGTCAAAGACATTCATTATCCCTATAAGCAACATGCTTTGAGTATATATACACACAAACACATACATACCTATATTTATACACACACACACACACACACCTATTTATCTGCACTTTTATCACCAATCTTATCTTTCTCATGCAATCAGGTCATTTTCTGCAGATTTGGTAAGCACCAGGAGATTCAGACATCATAACTCTCTCTCTCTCTCTCTCTCTCTCTCTCTCTTTCTCTCTCTCTCATTCTCTCCCTACTCCTCCCCGGCGGCCACCTCACTGCTTGGCTACCCTGTTTCCTGGGACATGGAGTCCTCATTTATACTCATTGAAATGTGTTGATGAGAATTTTGCAGAAAAAAATAAGAAAGCAAGAAGAAGAAAGAGAAGAAAAAGAATCACATGAATGAAATTTGGGTTCTAATTAATAAGTAAGACAGAGCAAAGTCTAACAAACCCAAAGTTGTATTTTTTATGCTATGAGCACATTGTTTATTTACTAAAGATGCTCCTCACTCCTTCCTAATTCCTGTGAGACCATGGAACACCCTTTAGAGGCAAGAATTGGTTTTCACCTCAGTAAACCTATTTTGAGCACCTGCTGGGCTGAAAGCACGCAGCTGGATGTGTTGAAAAATACAAAGTTGAAAATATGTCTCTTCCCTTTCACCCATGTCAATGCATATCAACCACAATCACCCTCCAAGGCTCATATATGCAGTTATTTCTGATACACAGTGCCTAGGACATAATACATATTCAATAAATATTTGCTTAGGGAACAAATAAATAGGTCTGCTTGGATGTCCAAACGCAATAAAGGCACACCACAGTACCAGCAGGTAGCGACACACCTCTCCCTTCCTCTCCCTTTAAAAACTACTCGAATAAGCCAGACAATAACCATTGGCATCAAACCCTGTTTCCTTCTTTGAACCACCCCAGTTTTGCCATTTCTCTTGCCTCCTTTTTTGCGGTACTTGCTTATCTCTACCTCATTTCACCACCTCAGTTCAGTTTTGGCGCCTTCCCATTGTTGCATGCTATTAGCACATCTACTGAAATGCCTGCCAGTTGATTCCAACTTTGTCGCAATATTTCATATCAGACCTTTTGGAGAGGGTCAGAGGTGTGCTGTCAGCTTTCCAGAAAGAAACCTCCAGCAAATACCAGGTTTCAGTTTCACTCAGCTCTGCCTTCCACTCTACCTTACTGGTTTTTAAATAGAGTGTTGGTACGTCCAGAGCTGTGTACCTTTTGGGAAGATTGCCCTGAAAGAAATCGCAGATAAAGAGAAATTAGTCTGGAGGCAGAAAGTTAAGAAAATATACGCTCATCCAAGTGAAAAGAAATGAATGAGCTAAGGTGGTAATGAAGAGGGAGAATCAGAAAGAAATGAGAGACACATTAAGGGAAGCAAATGGCCTGGAAAAGTGATTGGATGAGATTCAGATTCAGCAAGCTATGGTGGACTGGTGATCTGTGAAGCACGGTGCTGTATCAGAGAAAATGGCCTTTATGGATCAGAGCTGCCAGAGAAGGTGCCACAGAGGTGATGAAATGGGAGCTAAGCACTCAATGACAAAGAATAAGATGTGACTCCAGGTGGGAGACAATGATTGGGGAGCATGTGGTGGGAACCACAGAAACAAGCATGGATCCTGTAGTATCCCTACCATCAAGGCTTGATAGGGTTTCAAAGAATTGCTGGACATCTATTATCCTTCTCTGCCCAGCACTCATTTCTTCTTCTGAAAACAAAGCCCATCTTTCTAATGGGGAAGCAAATCATTGTGAATCACCAATACTGACCACTCCATTATCCTGGCTACCAGAGTGAACAAATAATACAACAAATGTGAGGACTCTATTACCATGACCTCAGGGATTGGTTCAAGTATGGACAATCGGCCTAAAAATATCCAATTAGAATGATTTAAAAGATTGAGATGATCTATTCCAAGGCATTAGGATTTGTATTTCTTTTTCTAGCTAAAATGAATATACTCAATTTATTTTCCCCCCTCCTCTACCCTACACACCCACTATTGTAGCCACAGGTACAGTTGTATGTAATAAAAACCCAATGCCAAATAGCCCAAGAGTTTAAGAACATTAAAAAAAAAATAGCCTGGTTCCCAAGCTACTTTTCCTTCCACTGTACCCTACTGTCTTCATCACCCTTGTAGAGACTTTGGCAGAGTTATGTAATACAGACAGTATATCCCCTCCAAGAAAGGAGATTTGTTTGCTAATTACACAACTGTCCTCTCACTGTTTCTGCTCTGCTACCTCTTGTTACCTCTTACACAATTTTTTAAAGACAGGATACAAGATGATGTGACTTTACATTGCACATGCAGGCACCCATGCCTTTAAAATGTGCTACTGGCTTTTATTTATAACTGATTTTATAGTTCTCTTTATTTTCCCATGCTAGGCTTTTCAAGGTAAAAGTTTAATTGTAAAATTGGATAGGGATTAGGGAGGAACAAATACCACCCTATTGTAAACAACCACATTTTCTCCATTGAAGACGCATGGCTGTGCTGGATTGCAGAGTTTGCAGGATGAGAAGACGTAGTCCACACCTAGGTGCTGATGTTCTAAAGTAATTCAAACCTGTGTTGTTCAGTTGAGGTGCTGGGAGTCTCTTCTATTATGATCTCCAAATTTAATGTAAAGAGTGTCTCTGAACACCTTTCATGAGGCAAATGTAATATAGGTCTCGTGTTCACATGTCCAGTGAAAATCCATGATCAATGGATTAAGTTTTTACTGGACTTTTGAGAAAAACATTTGAAAACTGCTTGGAATGATTTGGATAGGAATATTAAAATAAGCCCATGTCTAAAAAACTGTTAATGAGAAAACTTATGCTACTAGACTTTTAAGGGAAATCAGCAAATCACAAGAAAACGTGCTGAACTGGAAGATTATCTCAAAAAATAAAATTCCAAGGAAAAACTTAGGCTCATCACATAAACAATTACTCATATTTTTCTAAGCCTTTCCATTTACAAAGATTTTACTCACAGACTCTTATGCGAGTTAGAGAGAGCTGGCACTATTATTTTTATCCTCTTTTGACAGCTGCTGGAATTGAGGTGTAGGGTGGTTAAGCAAATCTGCAGAGGTCAGACAGCTAAGAAATGGGGAAAGCATGACACAAAGACCTCCCCTGCCTCTCGGTCCAGAAGGCAGCATGAAAGAAGATGGGATCTGCAGTCAGGGCTTCCCAGACATTAGCCACAACTTCCTGCTATGTATGACCAGCTACTGAATCTTTTTAATATTGCTGCTCTTTCTCACCTGCTATGGTTGCTCCTTCTGCTTGGAAAAATGTCCCCACTTTATTCTCTTCAAAAAAAAAAAACATAAAAAATCTTCTTGTAAATTTGTTTAAGTGCCTTGTACATGCCCAAAGGAGTATAAATCATTCTATTATAAAGATACATGCATGTGTATGTTCATTGCAGCACTATTCACAGTAGCAAAGACATGGAATCAACCTAAATGCCCATCAATGATAGACTGGATAAAGAAACTCTGGTACATATACACCATGGAATACTATGCAGCCATAAAAAGGAATGAGATCATGTCCTTTGCAGGGAAATGGATAGAGCAGGAGGCCATTGTCCTCAGCAAACTAACACATGAACAGAAAACCAAATACCTCATTTTCTCACTTACAAGTGGGAACTGAATGATGAGAACACATGGACACATCGGGGGAAACAACACACACTGGGGCCTGTCAGAGGGTAATGGGGAGGAGGGGGAGCATCAGGAAGGATAGCTAATGGATGCTGGACTTAATACCTGGATGATGGGATGGTCTATGCAGCAAACCACTATGGTACACATTTATCTATGTAACAAACCTGCACATCCTGCACACATACCCCTGAACTTAAAATTTTTTTAAATTAAAAAAAAAAATCTTTATCAGCTCAATATCATCACTTCCCTTAGGATATCTTCCCTGATACTCAAGCCTCCCCTCAAAAGCAGGGTTATATGCCCATCTTGTGCTCCTATAGCTGCACCCTATGTCTGCCCCAAGTCTCCATTGCACTTTTCAGAGTAACTGGTCACTTATATATCTCATTAGGGGTAGAGACATTATGAGGTGCAGTTGTCTATTAAAGTTGAAAGCAAACTCTAAGGATGCCTAGGTGAATCTCCTGCAACCATTTCTTACTAACTGTGGGATCTTAGGTAAGTTGATTGGGCCTTCTATGCTTCATTCTCATATTTGCAAAATGGGTATTTCTTAGTTTCTTATGGCTCCTGTAGCAAATTACCATTAACTTGGTGGACAGAAACATCAGAAATTCATGCTTGCACAATTCTGGAGGCCCAAAGTCTGATATCAAGGTGTTGGCAGGGCCATGCTCCCGTGAAGGCTGTAGAAGATGATCTGTGTCTTGTCTCTTCCAGCATCTGGGGGCTCTGGGTGTTCCATGGCCTGTGGCTGTATCACCCCAATATCTGCCTCCATGGTCCCATTGCCTCCTCTTCTGTGTGCTTCTTCCCTGTGTGTCTCCTACAAGGGCACTTGCCACTATATTTAGGGCCATCTTGGATAATCCAGGATGACCTCCTCATCTCAAGATACTTAATTACATCCGCAAAGACCCCCTTCCCAAATAAGGCCACAATCACAGGTCCGGGGATTTGCATATGGACGTATCATTTTTGGATGATCCCTATTCAACCCACTACAAGGCATTATAACAGTTTGCTTAGTTTTCATATTTGTTGGGAATATTGAAGGAGATGATGCACATAAAGCTCTCAGAACAGTACCTGGCAAAGAATAAAATGTTCAATGTTCAATAAATGATGGCCATTATTATCATTCTGTTTCCTAGTGACTATCACAGAGGCTGGCATATACATACATATATATATATATATATATATAGAGAGAGAGAGAGAGAGAGAGAGTGTGAGCTATATATATAGCTATATATATATACTATATATTGAGAGCTATATATATAGCTATATATATACTATATATTGAGAGCTATATATACGCTATATAGCTATATATATAGCATACATATAGTATATATACATATATATGTATATATACTATATGTATATATGTATATATACATATATATGTATATATACTATATGTATATATGTATATATACATATAGTATATATACATATATAGCATATATAGTATATATACACGCTATATATAGCGTATATAGTATATATATACGCTATATATATAGCATATATAGTATATATACATGCTATATATATAGCATATATAGTATATATAATATATAGCATATATATTATATATATGCTATATATACCTATATATGATATATAAGCTGTATATATAGATATTATATATATGCTGTGTATATATTATATATATGCTGTATATATTATATATATACACTATACATATACACTATATATATATATACACTATGTGTATATATGTAGCTCTCAATTCTTATTTTCCTGTTTTCCTAAGTTAGAGATGTTAACTAGCACACTCTAGATATATTGCTAACATCAAGGGCTTAAATAGATCATGCTAGTTAATCTTCACTTTGACAAGGATATTCAGTTAACCAGAATTCTCCTCCCCCATGACATGTGAATCTTGGCAGTGCTTCCAGTTGCAGCTCTTTCTCAAGGGAAGGATCTCCATGTTGAGGGCATGGAGAATTTTGCTCTTTGCCAGTCCTCAAATAATGAATGACTTCATTTAAAATAAAGTTGAAGAGGTCAAGTGTATGTAATTATAGACGTGGGAAGGCTATGAAAGCAACCATCAAATAACCACCCTGCAAGATTACAGGCATGAGGAGGGACCGAGGCTGGAAAAGAAATGACTTGCCCAGGTCATTCCTTGAGTTGGCAACAAGGCAGGATCTCTATTCATCCAGATTCAGCCCAGTCTTATTCTCACCAATGCTCTGCCTCAACTTGCTGACACCATTCAGTGCAAGAACTAATACCCACAATAGTATCATCTATTTGAAAAACTGGAGGATCAGAACCAATTTATGTGACTCAACAAAATCTTACTCTCATAAGCTCTCAAGACTCTATTCCAATAGACCCATGTAATAATAATACATAATAGCCTTATAATTTGTATTTTGTATTTCACTTTTATTTGCAAACAGTACCTCAGAAAAGCAGTATAAGATATTTCAGGCTTATTTGACACACCTAAAAGTCCTCTACTTTTCTCTTCTTTTTTATTTTTTTGTTTGTTTTTACTTTTGTTTTTGGAGACAGGGTCTCAGGGTCTCACTCTACTGCCCAGGCTGGAGTGCAGTGGCATGATCATGGTTCACTGCAGCCTCGACTTCCTGGGTTCAGGTGATCCTCCTACCTCAGCCTCCCAAGTAGCCACAGGTGTGTACCACCATGCCTGGTTAATTTTTGTATTAGTTTGGTGCAAAAGTAAGTGAGTTTTTGCCATTAAAAGTATTAATAATTGCAAAAAGCACACTTTTGTACCAACCTAATACAATATAATTTATAATATAGATATTTTTAATAATATTTTTTGTAGAGATGGTGTTTCACCATGTTGCCTAGGGTGGTCTTGAACTCCTGAACTCAAGCTATCTGCCCACCGTGACCTCCCAAAATGCTAGGATTACAGGCATGGGCCACTATGCCTGGTCCAACTTTTCTTCCTAATAGGATCACTCTTTCCTCTTCACAAACTCCATACCTATTCCATGCCTCCTCACTGCACACTTCTGTTCAAACCTTTTTCTTTGTATCTTGAACACCTTCTCCTCTATTTCTACCTCTCCAAACCCTATCATTCTTGAAGTCTCTGTTAAAATGTTATCCGCTCCATAAAGTCTTCCTTGTTTGCCACCAAGTGACATTTCCTGTCTCTGAACCCTCATTTTACATCTTTTACACCTTTATTGTGGCATTAATCATTTTCTAATTTATATTTACTTACCCTCCTTTTCTATCTCTCCCCTTATTTTATTGAAGTCACAGAGACGTCTGTAAAATGAGAGTCAAACAAATAAACTGGAAAGTTCCTCTGTCCACAGGACTTTCAGAGAGAAGTTAAATGTGTAATCCTGATACCTTGACCACAGCTAAATGGACCAGGATACGACCCCAGTTCAAGACCAGCCAATCCCTAGACTGACCAGCAGCTATGAGGCAGCAGACAGGGGTGACAGTGATATGCTGGAGCTGGCTTATGCTAGCTTATGGGCCCCAACTGTTCCATTTTCAGGATTTGAGGAGCCAGGTGACGTTATGTTGACAGCTTGAAACCATCTCTCGTAGGAGTATTTGTGCCAAGGAAATTGGCAACACACAGGTGTCAGGGTTTCCCCTACCCCCACCCAACCTCCCACAGAGAACCAGTTATTAAACATTACCAGCACAACACTGATGATAGCAAACTGAACCTTCTCCCCAGGCAGTAGAAGTGTGAGACCTACAGAATGAGCCAGCGGTCCTTAACACAAACAAAGGCAGAACTAACTCAGAGAGGAGGCTGGGTGCAAAAGACAGGACACAGACAACGGCATGAGGCAGCAAAAGCCACAAGGCTGAGAGATAGGAATAGAAATAAGCTGGTCAGTAATGGCAGGTTCAGAATAAGCAGAGGCAGGGAGTGGTGGAATTGTGACGATGACAAATTCCTGGAGTAGAAACAAACAAGTGCCTCTGCCTCGGGATGATGACTAATCCTGCCTCCTGGATGCTTTGCTGGATCCCACATGACCTTTCTAATTCCTACTCATCTGTGGGGCTGGCTTTGCAGGGATTCCTTTTTTCCTCACTTTCCTGCCTCCCAGATAAACTCTCATCACAGAGGACGTGCAGCCCAGAGAACACAATAGAGTGACCATTGCACTTTACAGCTCATAAACTGCTTTCACATCTATCCTCACATTGAATCCTCATGATAACTTTGGCAGGCACACAGGACACCAGCTCTTGTGAGCCTCAGCCAACACATGAGATAAGGAAGCTGAGGCTCAGAGAAGCTGCAAGACTTGCCCAAATATATGAGGCTAGAACAAAAAAGAAATGACATATGATCCCAGGTCCTCTGGCCTCAGGATCAGGGGCTCAATCCACTTTGGGCATAGGTGAGCTGGGAAGTCCACATAAGATGGGAAATGCTTTAACACTTTGTCCTCTCAGATCACAGCCCATGAATGACAGCACGGTTAGTCAACCATCAGAAGGAGCGAAGAGGCCAAGAGATAGAAAAAGTGAGAGAAAAAAGAAAATGAAAGAGATGAGGAGAAAATGTGATTTGGAAGTTTGGGTATCACATATAAATAATATAATATATAGGTATGCACACACACATAAATATACATGTACAGTATACATGTAATATCACATTATGTATGTTATGTGGCATCAGACATACCTGGGTTAAAAATCTCAGCTTCCCTACTCATTGGACACGAGAACTTGAACAAGCCACTTACCCTTCCTGAGACTCTATTCATAAAATGGACATTAGTTTCTCCGTCCACTTTGTAAGATTCTGATAAAGCCTGATGAGAAAATGTATGTAAACTATCTGACACAAAGCTGTCCATAAAGTAATAATTTAATATATTTGATATTTAATTACTATTATTTTTAAGAAATAATTAAAACAATAAAAAGCTATAATCACTTAGTTATTAATTAGGATCATTAATCTGCCTTTATCCTAAAAAAAAAAAGTCAGCTAATGAAAGAACTCCTCTATATAAATCAAGGATATTTTATACATGTACACAGTCTGCTCTACCAAAAATTAAAAATATCATTGAAAACATACAGGATTCAAAATTAAATGTCTTTAAATAAAGCATAAAGCAAAAACAGCTGCTGCTGGAACTTGGTCCCTAGGCAGGTTTGATTTTTGAAAATGACAAAGAGGCCAAATTGTGCTTCGATTCCTGCCTGAACGGAGTGAGAGATGGGGTGTGACTGCCTCCCTGACAGCCTGCTTGGGGGAAGAATGCAGATGCTTAAACAAAGGATATTGTATGCTGGACACACAGCTTTCTGGGACTCTCAGCCATCAGGGAATTCTGCAGCCACATCACAAACAGCCTTGCTGAATTTTTCCTTCCATTTTCTAAACTAGCAATCACCACAAAGAAGACACCCTAACGGGTGCCATGAATGCAAATTTATTAGGCTGATCTGGGATAACACTCCTTGCCACCGGCAGAAAAATCACCTATATTCCTGGAGACCTTAGTATGTGGCCTTATCACTTCCTAGTAGAGCCTCTGCTACAAGACTAATTCCACCTGGAGGATAAGTGTCTTATGCTGCAACCTAGAAATTAGACCCAGAATATGTACTGGGGGAGGAGCTGTTTGAATATGACTCAAATATAATTTTTAAATATAATTTTAAAGTTAAGTAAACAAAAGTAAACACAAAAAATAAAGCCAAGAATTAAACCAACCAAACGGCACTCACCTTAACCAATGACCACCTTTTGCATATGTGCTTCCCAGCTTCTTTTCCTTCTCGTGTATGTGTTCACAGAATTGAAGTTAGAGTATCTTCATGATTTTGCAATGCAAATTTTTAGGAACTAGCTCATTGTGTAAGGGGAGTGGAACAAGAAATGGTAATTTGAAGGTATCCATCTTACCCTACGCAGGTAGGATGCCAGGGTGCCAGAAAGTGTCATCACTAGAGAAGCCTCACTTCTCTGAGAAAGCAATGTCAAGTTAAGGTGCTTCTCTTTGTACTCCAGGATGAGAAACAGCCCCATAGTGTTTTTTATTTATTTATTTATTTTTATGTTTTTGAGATGGAGTCTTGCTCTGTGGCGCAGGCTGGAGTGCAGTGGCATGATCTCGGCTCACTGCAACCTCTGCCTCCTGGTTCAAGCAATTCTCCTGCCTTGGTCTCCCAAGTAGCTGGGATTACAGGTGCGTGCCACCATGCTCGGGTGATTTTTGTATTTTTAGTAAGCTGGAGTTTCACCATGTTGGCCAGGCTGGTCTCAAACTCCTGACCTCGAGTGATCCGCCCACCTCGGCCTCCCAAAGTGCTGGACCCCATAGTGTTTTATCTCTCCTGCCCAGTGTTCCTGCTACACAAACTGAGTCCAGGTTTTTGACCACATCTCAATGTCTTCTCACTGTGCTGCCACAGCTGGTGTTCACTGTGCCTAAAACTCTTTTCCCCACCGTCCATTTATCTCTCTGACTCCTTTTTACCACTCAGATCTCTTATTTCCCACCCGTTCGCTCGCAGACCTTTGCTGAACCTGACCTGACCTGCCACCTCAGGCTCCAGGAGGCCGTACAGAAAACTATAGCTGCCGCTTCCTGGCACTTATGACAGTATTTTAATTTTGGTTTTCATGTCAATCTCTTTTCCAACGGGGAGACATGAAATTACATCCAGAAGGGAAGGGAAAGACCAGGAAGCCTGGCTCGCGCCACCACCACGGATGCAGGTATGCCATGGTGGTATTTGAGCAGCAAGAGCCTGGGCCTGAGAGCGAAGTGGGAGCAGTGAGGCCAGTGGGATAGCAGATGTGTCTGTCCAGATGCTCTTTCTCTAGAGCTCTGTCTGGGCCTCCAGGCTGGGGCTGGTCCTCAAAAAAGATCACACCAGAAGAAAAGGAATCTTCAAGAAATACAGTCATGATCAAACAGCCTGAGGATCAGGGAAAGGGATGGGTCAACATCAGTTCCTACTAGCAAGCCAATTCCAGAGAGGAGTGGGAAAGGGAGATGACTGCAAACCCCAGCGGGGGTTCCCTGAAGAACTCCTAGACCCTCAACTGTCAAGATGGAACAGGAAGACATGTAGCCAAGGATGGCAACAGTGGTAAGCCACAGTGCTGTTAAGCATGCTCCTGCGTCCAAAGAGATGCAAGAAGGAACACAAGCAGATGGTCAGCAGTGCCGAGGCTGTCTGGGGAAAAGGAGATTAGAATTTCCCTCTGTGGGCCTCAAGGGTAGGACCTCTCTAGACCACAGAGCTCCAAAATAGCTTATCTGTGCATTCATGTGCCCTCCCCCAGAAGCAACCAGAACAAGAGCTGGTAGAAGGAAGGTGCTGGATAAATCTATGTTGGATGGATGGATGGATGGATAACTGCCACTGTAGGATTACCTGGAGATAACTGTGTCTCAAGAAGTAATAGAGAAACAAGGCCAGGTGCGGGGGCTCACGCCTGTAATCCCAGCACTTTGGGAGGCCGAGGTGAGGTGGATGGATAACCTGAGGTCAGGAGTGAGACCAACCTGGCTAAAATGGCAAAACCCTGTCTCTACTAAAAATACAAAAAAATTAGCCGGGCATGGTGGCAGGCACCTGTAATCCCAGCTACTAGGGAGGCTGAGGCAGGAACCCAGGAGGCGGAGGTTACAGATAGTTGACATCATGCCAGAGCACTCCACCCTAGGTGACAGAGTGAGACTCCATCTCAGAAACAAAAACAAAAAGAAGTAATAGAGAAACAGTATCACTTGGGCAGTCCATCACCTCTGCCAGGTGTTTGGAAGGACAGATCCAGAAGACAAACAGAGATGCAGGCTATGGAGCTCCCTGGAGCCATGGCCCCACAGGGAGGCAGCTGAGCAAGTCTACAGAGGGAAGCCTCACTGGCTAAGATTCTACTCTTCAGTCACATCCTGCTCCTGAACCAGGTACCAGACTGTAGGCCTGACTCAAGGCAGGGTTCCATCATCCATATGTGCAAATGAGGAATGCTTGAAATTTTAGAATTCTGAAGGACTTCAGGAGTCCTGAGGAAGTTTTCGCAGTTCCCAAACTATAATACTTCAGTAGTTCAGAAATCCATATAGATATTTCATATTATTATATTGTATTATAGCAATGTTATATATTATTATAATTACATTATATATAATTATTATAGATTCTATAATTATTATATATAACTGCAGATTCAACCAGCTGCAGATGGAAAATATTCAGAGAAAAAAATAGTAAATAACAATACAACGATAAAAATAAAACTTTAAAAAACAATACAACTATTTACATAGTAATTACATTGTACTAGATATTATAACTAATTCAGAGATAATTTGAAGTATACCACAGGATGTTTGTAGGTTACATACAAATACTATGCCATCTTACATCAGAGACATGAGCAGTCACAGATTTTGGTATTTGCAGGGGGTCCTCAAACAAATCTCCCACAGATGCCAAAGGAAAACGGTGTGTGTGTCTGTATGTATATACATATTTTATATATATAATATATTATATTTTTGATGATATAATATATTGATGATGTTTCAATCAACAGCTGCATATATGATGATCTTAGAAGATTATAATGGAGCTGCCCTACACAGGTGTACAGTATTTAAATGTTTCACATTGTGTTTATGCTGTTTCTTTCTATGTTTAGATACATAAACACTTAACGTTGTGTTACAATTGCTTACAATATTCAGTACAGTAAAATGCTGTACAGTTTGTAACCCAGGAGCAACAGGCTATACCATGTAGCCTCTGTGTGTAGTGAATTATAGCATCTAGGTTTTTGTACGTATACTCTAATGTTTACACAATGACAAAATCATCTAATGATACATTTCTCAGAGCATGTCACTGTCATTAAGTGACAAATAACTATAATGTGTAAATGTGTGGGGTATGTGGATACATACATATGCATGCATATGTGTGTATATATATAAAATATATAATATTGTGTATATATATAATGTATATAATATATATAATATATTATATAAATAATATATAATATATAATATAAATAATATATATTCTATATAATATATTATATATTATATATAATATAAATAATATATATTCTATATAATATATTATATATTATATATAATATAAATAATATATATTCTATATAATATATAATATATTATATATGATATAAATAATATATATTCTATATAATATATTATATATTATATATAATATATAAAATATATCTTATATAAAATATATAATATAAATATAATGTATAATATATAATATATAATATTATATATTTTATATATAAGATATATATTTTATTATATTATATATTATATACTTATATAATATAATATATATTTATATAATATAATATATATTTATATATTATATATTTATATAATAATATAATATATATTCATATATTATATATTTATATAATATATAATATATATTCATATATTATATATTTATATAATAATATAATATATATTCATATATTATATATTTATATAATATATAATATATATTCATATATTATATATTTATATAATAATATAATATATATTCATACATTATATATTTATATAATAATATAATATATATTCATACATTATATATTTATATAATAATATAATATATATTCATACATTATATATTTATATAATAATATAATATATATTCATACATTATATATTTATATAATAATATAATATATATTCATACATTATATATTTATATAATAATATAATATATATTCATATATTATATATTTATATAATAATATAATATATACTCATATATTATATATTTATATAATAATATAATATATATTATATAAATACATAATATATATTATATATATTTATATATCATATAATTATATATAAATATATATATAATTATGTATCATATAAATATATATAATTATATATCATATATTTATATATATAATTATATATCATATAATTATAGATATATAATTATATATCATATAATTATATATAAATATATATATAATTATATATCATATAATTATATAAATATATATATAATTATATATCATATAATTATATATAAATATATATATAATTATATATCATATAAATATATATAATTATATATCATATAATTATATGTAAATATATATAATTATATATCATATAATTATATATATACAATTATATATCATATAATTATATATATATAATTATATATCATATAATTATATATATAATTATATATCATATAATTATATATATATAATTATATATCATATAATTATATATCATATAATTATATATAAATATATATAATTATATATCATATAATTATACATATTTATATATAATTATATATCATATAATTATATATAAATATATATAGTTATATATCATATAATTATATATAAATATATATAGTTATATATCATATAATTATATATAAATATATATATATTTATATATAGTTATATATCATATAATTATATATAAATATATATATGTATATATAGTTATATATCATATAATTATATATAAATATATAATATATCATATATTATATATAAATATATAATATATCATATATTTATATATAATTAATAATATATGATATTATATATTATATTATATATTTATATATAATTATATGATATATTATATGATATATTATATTATATATTATATAATGTATAATATAATAAAATATATAATATTATATATCATATATTTTATATATTATACATTATATTTATAATATATTATATATTTTATATATATTTTATATATATACACTATTATATATTTTATATATATACACACACATATGCATGTATATGTATGTATCCACATACCCCACACACTTACACATTATAGTTATTTGTCACTTAATGACAGTGACATGCTCTGAGAAATGTATCATTAGATGATTTTGTCATTGTGTAAACATTAGAGTATACGTACAAAAACCTAGATGCTATAATTTACTACACACAGAGGCTACATGGTATAGTCTGTTGCTCCTAGGTTACAAACTATACAGCATATTACTGTACTGAATATTGTAAGAAATTGTAACACAACGTTAAGTGTTTATGTATCTAAACATAGAAACAGCAGAAACACAATGTGAAACATTTAAATACTGTACACCTGTGTAGGGCAGCTCCATTATAATCTTCTAAGATCATCATATATGCAGTTGTTGACTGAAACATCATTATGTGGTACATGACTGTACCTATGTAGGGCAAGGGGGAAAGAGATAGAAGGATGATTTTAAGAAATTGGTTCACGCCACTGTGGGAGCTGGCAAGTTCAAAATCTATCAGGCAAGCAAGCAGGCTGAAGATCAGGTGAGAAATAATGCAGTCTTGAGATTGAAGGCTGGAAATGTAGGCAGGATTTCTATGTTGCAGTCTCTAGGCAGACATCCCTTCTTGTTAGGAAACCTTAGTCTTCACTCTGAAAGTCTTCAACTGATTTGACAAGGCCCATCCACATTATGGAGGATAATCTACTTTACTTACTATCAACTGATTGTAAATATTAATCACATCTACAAAGTACCTTCACAGGAACATCTAGACTCATGCTTTACCAAACAACTGGTCACCATAGTCTAGCCAAGTTGACACAAAAATTTCGCCCTCAAAGCCACAACTCTGCCAGCTCTCAGAAAGCCCCTATGATAGATGAAATAAGAAGGCTCTTGGCTTTGAAAATGCCAAATTCTTTGGCCACATTTCCAGACTCTGGCAAGGGGGAGACACATTCTGAGCAAGAGAATTACCAGTTTGTAAAATGCTGACAAGATGCAAACCAGCCAGGAATGGCCTTCTAACTGGGTGATTCACACATGCAGGGCAGGGCTACCTGGGCAGCACCTTCTCAGTGCATTCCTGCACCACAGGCGTAGTCCCCCTGACCATGCACCTTGCACCTCCTTGGCAGTGGGGAAAAACCTAACCACAGACGATGAAAAGGAGCTCTTGTATCATTAGGTGGGACTCTTGCCTCACCTGCCACACCTAGCTAGACCTGGACAGATGGATTCCATTGTCAGGTTGTTGTAAATGTTTTTCCAGCCCCAAGCCATGCATCCTTTCTGCATAGTTGCATTTTGGTGTCATGGGAAAGAACTCACACACCCTCACATACCCCTTCCTTATGTGGGCCAAGGAGAAGTGCCTGGAATAGGCTGTGGGAGCCCTGGCCTGGGTGCCCACCTCTCCACAGCCTGGCACTGGCTGAAGCTCTGGCAACACTGCTGAGTTAACGTGATGACTGAGTCACACTCCAGCCTGAGAAACCACGCCGTCCTTTTAATATCGTATTTTTCCTTTTTAAACAAGGAATCTGTTGTCTTCTCCAGACATGGAACATCTTTCTACTTTGGAGGTTGCTCACACCCTCATGACTGGAGTCAACTATAGGCTCAGTGCAGGTTGTTTTATTTTTCATTCCCTCATCAGTGAACAATGAATGCTAGAACCAACCCACAGAGTCCTTGTGACAGTTCCATAACATACTGGAGACAAAGTGCATGACACATAGTGTGTGCTGAACATCTTCTTCCTTCCCCTTCCCTATCATCTATGCAACATTCTTGCTGCAATGTAACGCCCCATGTATTGTCCCATTGGCTGATAGGACAGCCCCTCGAGACAAGCACTGATGATCCCTGGCTGGAAGAAGTGGAAACTGGGAGTCAGTTTGCCATCCTCCTGGATTTGGGATGGTAGAAGCACCTGCTTTGTCCCAAATTGATGCATTAGCTAGCACACTTGTGCCTTTTTGTTTTGCAATATCCCACAGATTAGGCGAAACAGGGGAAATGGTTGACAGGGAATATAGCAACAACCAACCAGGACAGGCAGGCAAGAGAGAGCTCTGGGGCTGCTGTGGGTGAGCCCTGGGCACAAAATAGGGCCACAGAAGAGGCCAGAGATACAAAGTTCAGGGCCAGGATTGGAGTGCGTGGTGCAGGGCAGCTGAGAAGAGGAGTTAAGACCTGAGCCAATGGACAGAGGGGAGAAAGAAAAGGCCACCTTACCCAGGAGGAACTAATTGTATGAGATTCTATAAACATGTCATCAGGAGAGAGGAAGGTGGATGGGAGAGGAGCTGCGTCAGAAGAAAGGCAGCTCCTCCACCCTGGACACTGTGTCTAAGCCACCATTGTCTCTTGCCTGGAATATTACAACAGGCTCTCAACGGTCTGCCTGCTTTCAACCTTGACACAACCTTGGCCTCCACAGAGCAGCCAGAGAGACTGTAAAGACATGAAGCAGCTGCTCCTCTGCACAAAACCCTGCAGTGACTCTTCCCCAAGAGAACCCAAAGTCCTCACAGAGCCCTTGCAATGCTCTCTGGGGTCCTTATGATCTGCCCTTCCCGTGTACTCACTCTACTCCAGCCAAACCAGTCACTGGGCTGGCCACACACACACAGGCACATGCCTGCTGTCTGAGGGCCTCTGCCCTAGCCACTCCTCCACCAGAAATGCTCTTTCCTCAAACATCCTCTGGGTGAACTCCATTGCCTCCTTCAACCCTGATCATATCCAATATTCTCAATGAAGTCTATCCAGCACATTGGATTTCCTACTGCAAATTTCCCCTGCCCCGCAGTCTCAATTTCCCTTACCTGCTCTTCTTTCTCTTTTTTGTCCATACATATTTTTTAAAATTTTGTTTACTTTTTATCATCTGTATTTCATTACTAGAATGTAAAAGCCTCTCAAAGGCGGGAACTTTTATCTGCTTTGTTCATGACTGTCTCTCAAGATCTGAGAATGGTCCCTGGCCAACAGTGGGTGCTCCATAAACATGTGATTAAGGAATGAACGAATGAATGAATGAGCCAATGAATAAAAATAGCCTTGGAACCAGATATATCCTGGTTGTTTTTGCTTTTGTTTTATGTAATTTCAACTTTATTTTGGATTCGGGGGTATGTGTGTGCAGTTGTTACCTGGGTATATTGAGTGATGCTGAGGTTTGGAGTACTGAGAATACGACCCAATAGATAGCTTTTAAGTCATTGTGCCCTCCCTCTCTCCTTTCACTCTCTAGCAGTCCCAGTGTCTATTGTTGCCACTTTATTCCCATTCGTACCCAATGTTTAGCTCCCACTTATGAGAATATGTAGTATTTGGTTTTCTATTTCTACGTTCATTCACTTAGGGTAATGGCCTCCAGCTGCATCTGTGTTACTGCAAAGGACATTATTTCTTTCTTTTTGTTGTTGGGTAATATTCCATGCTGTAGATATACCACATTTTCTTTATCCAATCCACTGCTGATGGGCACCTAGGTTGATTCCATGCCTTTGCTATTGTGAATAGGGTGCCGATGAACATACAAGTGCATGTGTCTTTTTGTAGACCCTGGTTTAAATCCCTACTTTCCACTACCTTTGTGTTTCTCCACTCGGGGAGGTATATTAAACTTTCCTCAGTGGTAGGATTGCTACCTGCAGTTTTCTGACACTCAGCATGTGTTGTGTTAAAGATTCAACTTTAAGGATAGAGTGTGGAGGTGAAATAGCATTAGAAGGAGTTATCAGGGCTTTGTCTTCAGATTTAACATCGACAGCAAGTTTGCTGCTACAAAGCTGCTCTTTTGTAAGTAGCAAATTGTTATTTTCCTTGAATTTGTGCTAATATCTGGCTTCTGGAAAATCTTTGATAAAAGGCAGGAAAAGGAGCCCCTAATACTCATTTCCTGGGGAATCCTTCCCCCAGGAAGGATTATACTCTCCTTATACTATCCAGCCAGAGTCACCTCTTTGGACTGTCGCTAGAATCCTTCAGAGCAAAGAAAGCAAAAAGGTTTAAAATGGGGGGACATGGAAAGAGGCTTAAGCAGCTTGGGAGGAATTCTGCAGAAAGAAATTGACTGTTGTCCTTCCTTCTGAAGCTCCTTTTTGTTGTCCAGTCTGGCTGGAAGCAGCAGGGTCTGAACCTCAGCCAAGGGACAAAGGGCTTTTTTGGCTAAGAGAAGTATAATTATGGTCATGATGGGCCAAAACAGGAGGGAAGCATTTTATGGGGTAACAGGGCCTCCCAAATGTCAGAATTGGTGCCTGCAGGATGTAATTTAATTCTGTAAGCACTTACTAAGCACCTGCTTTGTTCCAGGCATACTCACATGATTAAGAGACAATCCCAGGGCCCAGAGAATTCCCAAATTACTAGAGGACTCATTCATTCCATTTATTCATTTATTTATTTAATATCTTACTTCTTTGGCCATATAATTCAGTAATTAAGAACAAAGCCTTGAAATAAGAGAGTCAGGTTTATTCATTCATTCAATAAAGATATATTCAGCGCCTACTTAGGGCCCAACACTGTTCACAGCCTTAGAGAGAAAAAGGCAGACAAAATATAGATCCCTACCCTCAAGGACATTGATTGGTCGGGGCTTGTGGAGGGAGAGAGACAATGAACAATAAGCATAACAAATAAATTGCATAGTATGTTAGAAGCTGGCCAGTGCTATGGGAAAAAGAAAACACAGAGCAGGGCCAGGGGCCCAGGAATTTCGAATGCCGTGTTCAATAAGGCTGTCAAGGTGAACCTCACTGAGAAGCCCACAGGTTAGCAGAGACCAGGAGCAGTGAGAGAGTTGGGCGGGCTTGTGGACATGGCGTAGGGGAGGGAAAGCAATGCAGAGACAGGGACAGCTAGACACAAGGCCCTAAAGAGAGGCCATGCCTATTCTGTCCAGGGCCAGCAAGGAAGCCCAGGAGGTAGGCAAAGAGTTGGCGGGGGAGAGTAGTAAGAGAGTTAAGGCTGGGGCAGAGTATGCAGGGCCATAAGGGACATGGTAGGATTTCTGCCTTTACTGAGTGACATGAGTAGCCCTGGCAGGGTTTTAGAAGACAAGTGCCAGGATCTATCTCATATTTTAACAGAATCACTCTTGCGACTATGGTGGGAATAGACCTTAAGTGTATAAAGCTGGGGGCAGGGAGACCTACTAGATGGCCGTTGCAGCAATCCTGGGGAGAGGTGACAGCAGTTTAGGCCAAAATAGTAATACTGGAGGTGATGAGAAGTGGCTGAATCCTGAATGTTTTGAAAGCTGAAACAACTTGCTATGAATTGACTCTAGGGACTCCAAGAGAAAAGGATGAGTTGACGATAAATTGTAAGGTTAGCAGCCTGAGCCAATCAGGACTATTAAAGAGGTTCATTAAAGTGCGATCTTGAACATGTCTCTAAACTTCCATATTCTTCTTTGTAAAATGGAGAATAATGATATCAACATTACAGGGCTGTCATGAGTATTAAAAGAGATAATACAGCAAATCATTTGGCTTGTGAAGAGGGCACATAATAAAGATACAAAACCAACTAATTAATCTGACAGCATGTTCAAGGCACCAGAACAACACTTTGAGGGATTTTGACAAAGATGGAACATGCATGAGGTAGAATAGGGGGTGACTGAAATGAATAAGGAGACTGCAGTTTCATTCTCATGACTACTACTCACCACTTTATTACCTTTGGTAAGTCTCTTAGCCTCACTCTACCTCTATTTCTCAATATATAAAACAAGAGGGAAGTTGATCAACATCAAAGATCTACAAGCAAATCCACCATGTGTTTTTGCGAATAAAGTTTTATTGCAACACAGTCATGCTCATTTTTCTATGTATTGTCTATGACAGCTCTCATGCTACAACAGCATCATTAAATAGTTATGACAGAGACTGTACAGCCTCCAAAGGTTTAAATTACATCTGGCCAAGTACAGAAAAAGTTGGCAGGCTCTGGTCTAGGTGTTGTTTTTCACATAGTTGTTAGATACAGACATGACATGGCTAGGCATACATGTGCCCATAGACAGAGAGCATGAAATCTTTTCTTCAGATGAAGTCTTAGCCAGAAGCCTAATATATAACAGAATAAGTGTGGCTCTGGCCTGGTTGATGAGTAGAAGGGGTAGGAGAGATATGAACGGTGTTGATTCTATCTCAGGCTCTGACTACTCTCACATCCCGGGTCAACCCTGAGGTACCTTCTCTTCATCCTTGGGATGAAACACAGTTTGAAAGACAGCAATCTCAGATCATCTCTAGGGGGCTATTCCAGGCCTCTACTTATCTAGGAGACCATGCCAAATAAACTGTATTGATTGGATAACACTTATGGATAACACTTATGTTAAAGGTATTAAAACTGTTTTTTCAGTTTTGAGAAATGAACTGAGAAGTTAATTTTATACTGGGTAAGGTCAAAATTCACTTCTTGTTGTGGCAGACATTTTCAACTTCGTGAGCTAGAGAGGGGTAGCATTTCCACATTCCTGGCTTCTCCCTAATGACCAATTAGGGTATTAAGTGTCTGCCTATTACTTTGTCTTAATATAATGGAACCCCTGAACATTTTCAACTTCAATCGATTGTGACTTTTCTAATAAACTTCTATCAGGAAGAATCTTCCCTACTCTAACTTCTACTATTTTTCTTCAGACTTGGATACCTGTGTGTTATAGATTGAATGTTGTGTCCCCTCAAAATTCATATGTTGAAGCCCTAATTCCCAATGTGATGGTATTTGGAGATGGAACCTTTGGGAAGTAATTAGAGTTAGATTATTTCATGAGGGTGGGGTCCTTATGTTGGGTTTAGTGTCCTTATTGGAAGAAACAGCAGAGAGCTTGCTTCCTTTTCCTCTTTCTCTTTGCCATGTGAGGACACAGCGAAGATGGCTGTCTGCACCCCAAGAAGAGAGTCTTCACCAAATCAGCCGTCACCCTGATTATGGACTTCTAGCCTCCAGAACGGTGAGAAAATAAATTTCTGTTACGTAAGGCACCCAGTCTATGGTATTTTGTTACTAAGACACTGTACCTCCAGTCCAATGAGCTTACCAATTAGTCTCTCACCTCCCCATTCAAATAATCCTTGCAAATCCACATCTCACAAGAAATGTTGCTGATTTAACTGATGCTCTCTCTTTAACGCTAGTCCAAAATTGACAACCACCTGTTGGTCAACATCAACAGGCTCTCCCACACAAATATTCTATTACTAATGTCCAAAATAAAATTAACCACCCCCCATTTCCTTCTCCATACTCATCTTCCCTTCCTCACTTCTACTAATGTCACCATCATTCTCCCAGTCACCTAAATTAGCGCACTTAAGATTCTATTTTATACCCCTGACCCTCTGCCCCACAAACACAATCAACAGTATTTATTTTATCTCCATTATACATTTTTGCATTCCTCTCATCTACTTCATTTCTACCATCATTTTCTAGCTCAAATCTTGGTCACCTCTCCCTTTATTATATTAGTCTTCTAATTCATGTCCCCGGTTTCAATTACTCTCTCTTCAAGTCCTCTTTCACAAGACTTCCAGATAAATGCTTTTAACTGCAAATCTGATTATATCACTCCTCTATTCTCCATTGCTGGTATAATAAAGCCAGACATTTGTTTCTCATTTTAACCTGAATTTGAATTCTATCTACCTTCTTATCTTTAATTCGTACTATTCCTCTTTACATATTTGACATGCAAATTTGAAGGAGATAGTCACTCTCTACTAAACCTTGCACTTATTTTCCTCTGGCTTCTTCCTGTACTACCTCTTTGAGCTTTGCTGCATGTCCAAATCTTCCAAGGCCCAATCAAGCTCTTTTACTTGATGGAGTCTCCTCTGGTCCCCTCTCTCTCTCCTTCAAATACTCTCAACATTTTAACATTTACTTAAATATATATACACTTATGTATGTGTATATATATATTTATTTAATATATATTATATATATATTTATTTAATATATATTATATATATTTTATATATATAATATATATATTATATATATAATATATATTTTATATATATAATATATATATTATATATATATATACACACACACACACATACATACACATACCATTCCTATGACAAAAAGAGTCATTATAGGTAATAAATGGTGGGTATTCTAAGTATTATTATCATTTTCATCTATACATGTTTGATATAAAGTGTCTCCTAATAACAGAGCATGGCAGAGATGGCTTACTCTTCACCCAAAATTTCTGCTCCTTCTTCTACAGAATAGAGCTATCTCTGGTAAGGAGCTGCCCAGCCAGGGACTACACTTCCCTTGCCTTTTTGCATCAGTGAGGGACCAACTGACTGGTCTTGCAGTGGAATATGAATATAAGTGATGTATGTCCAGGTGATGGTGATTAAGATGTGGATGTTGCTTTTCTACTCTCTTGTTTCCTTTCTACTGGCTGGAGGCAGAGAACTCTGAGATCTTAGGAAAATTGCAGAACCCCAAGATGGGGAGAGTCTGGGTCTCTGAATCACTATTTGAAGGGAAGTTGTCTATGAAGCAGAAACACCCCCATTATATTCTCAACTGAGAAGGAAATAAACTTTTCTTACATTAAGCCACCAAAATTTGGGAGTTTATTTGTTAGAGAACTTCGTATTATCTTAATGAACAGAATATGCTAAATGCTGAAGGTACCAGGGATAAACAATAGGCAGGTAAAATTTAGAACACAGTCAAAATCTAGCCATTATGAAGATGTAGTTAAAATGTTGAGAGTATTTGAAAGACAGGGAGAGGGGACCAGAGGAGACACCACCAAGTAAAAGAGCTTGATTGGGCCTTGGAAGATTTGGACATGCAGCAAAGCTCAAAGAGGTAGTACAGGAAGAAGCCAGAGGAAAATAACGGCAAGGTTTCAGCAGAGAGGGACTATCTCCTTGAAATTTTCATGTCAAGTATATAAAGGGGAATAGTGAGAATTAAAGATAAGAAGGTAGACAGAATTCAAATTTAGGTTGAAATGAGAAAAAAGAGTCTGGCTTTATTATACCAGCAATGGAGAATAGAGGAGTGATATCATCAGATTTGCAGTTAAAGAAAATTTATCTGAAAGTGTTATGAAAGAGGACTTGAGGAGAGAGTAATTGAACAGGGACATGAATTAGAAGACTAATATAATAAAGGGAGAAGTGACCAAGATATGAGCTAGAAAATGGGAATAGAAATGAAGTAGATGAGATGAATGCAAAATATATAATGGAGATAGAAAAGTAAATACTGTTGGAAATAATATTTAATATATTATTTCCAACACAAAGATATATATAATAAATATAAAATATATTATATAAAATATATAATAAACCTATTATATCACATATTATATATTATTAATATAATATATAATTTATATAATATAAATAAGATATGATATTGTAGATAATATAATCATATTTATTATTTCCAACACAAATAATGTAACGATAATTATAATTTAAAGATAATAGTAATTACTTTTGAGATGAGAAAGGTTTGTTTCATAATATTAAGAAATGGTAATTATAAAAGTGCCAGGTACAGTGGCACACATCTGTAGTCCCAGCTACTTGTGAGGCTGAGGCAAGAGGGTCACTTGAGCCCAGAAGTTTGAGGCTATAGTGCTCTATGATCATGTCTGTGAACAGCCACTGCACTCCAGCTTGGACAACACAGTGAGACCCTGCCTCTAAAAATATTAATAATAATAATAAAAGCAACACTCATTGAGCATTGATTATAAAATGGACGAAGGACTTCACATACAAGGTTACTCAAGTTTATAAGTTGTTGAATGAGGTTTTAAACCCAGACCTACCTGTCTCTAAAGACCATGTTTTATCCATTACTAGTTTAGGCTTTCCTTCGTGTTATAGAGCTAAAATACACAGAACAATAGAAGTTAATATTTAAGGAGTCCTTCCTATTTGCCAGCCTCAAGTTTATACTTTACGTGTATTATGAAATTTAATCTACAACACACACATACACAAACACACACACGCGTATATACATACATAGGTATGTATACTATGTGTACACATACAAATATATGAATATATACATATATCCACATATCTGTGTGTATGTATATTTACATATGTACAGTTTACCCTCCAACAATGTGGGGGCTGGGGATGCTGACCCCCCCACATAGTCATAAGTCCCAATATGATTTTTAACTCCCCACAGACTTAACTGCTAATAGCCTACTGTTGACTGGAAGCCTATTGAAAACATAAACAGTCAATTAACAAGTATTTTGTATGTTACATGTATTATATACTGTATTCTTACAACATAGGAAGCTAGAGAAAAGAAAATATTATTTAGAAAATTATAAGAAAGAGAAAATATATGTACTATTCCTTGAGTGTAAGTGGATCATCATAACAGCCTTCATCCTCATTATTTTCATGTTGAGCAGGCTGAGGAGGAGGAGGACGGCAAAGACAAAGGGCTAGTCTTACTGTCTCAGGGGTGACAGAGGTGGAAGCAAATTCATATATAAGTGGACTCGCACAGTTCAAATGCACGTTGTTCAAGGATCAACAGTATGTATAAGAGAATGATAATCTATAGTGTATATATGTCTGTATATATGTGTATACCATATAGTACCATTATCATGTTCTTTATACAGATGAGGAAACTCAAGCCCAGAGAGACTAACTTATTTTTCAAGGTCTCAGTGAGCAAATGGTTCTGCAAATGTGAACTTCGGCAGCTAGAACACTAAGGACAAAGGTTTGCCACCTGGTAAGTCTTTGGGTTTGCAGTCCCGTGTGTCTCTGCTGACATGAGACCACGAGGTCATTAAGCACCAGAACTGTGCTGCATTCATTATTATATTCCCCGTACCTAACATTGCCTGGCACGCTTCAATAAATACTTGTTGAATGGAACTGACGAAGTTCAGGGAAAATTGTTACCAAAGTAGAACTAGCATTTACAGTCTGTGAGATTAGAGGAGGAGTAACAATTTCTGCCAGAAAAAGAAAACAGCCTGGCATTTCAAGAAGCAAATTAAAGTCCACATGTTTAGTGAACTTCTCAGTGTTTGTCTTCTTGGGAAACTTCTGCATTTCCGGCAGTGGGCCAGCGCTGGAAAACTGCATGCAGTAAGGAGGTCACTCTATCTCACCCAGGCTGTCGAGAACAACCTTATAACCCTCTCATTGTGTACCTCTCAGCCAAACACTGCTCAAAGACTCCAGAAACAGAAAAATGCTTTGATTATATTGGAAGTTTGGGGAATATGTTTGAGAAAGAGTTAAATCCCAGGTCTTCAAAAGTTCATCTTTTATGTTTGAAGCATTAAAAAAAAAATGAGGCCAGTGTGAAGAAGGTCATAAGATTTCTTAATGAGGTGACCTAGATTCATAAGCATAAAATGAATAATTAAGATTTGTGAGGAGGCATTAGGTAATACAAGGCATGGTCATATATAGTATCCAAATTAGACCCAATCCAAATCTTACTTGCTTTTTTTTTTAAGTGAAAGGCAGTGGGTTTGCATTTGGTTGTTGGCTTTTGATTTTGTTGTTGTCATTGTTGCTGTTATGTTTGTTTTCAAAGAACTGCTATTTAAATTTTCTGTGAAGATGGTATATTGTGTTCACACTTTGTTTCTCTTTTCCAAACAATACAACTGACAAAGAAAAATATGCATGTGTGTGGATGCATGCATGCATGTACATGCAAAAAGACATAGGAATAATGGGGGAGAAAAGATGACTTCTATCAGATAAGGAAGGGAACAAAGACACAAATGAGTGAGAGAGAATATAATCAAGGGCCAGGCATGGTAGCTCACGCCTGTAATCCCAGCACTTTGGGAGGCCAAGGCAGATGGATCACTTGAGGTCAGGAATTCGAGACCAGCCTGGCCAACATGGCAAAACCCCATCTCTACTAAAAATACAAAAGTTAGCCAGGTGTGGTGGCACACACCTGTAATCACAGCTACTCAGGAGGCTGAAGCAGGAGAATCACCTGAACCCAGGAAGCAGAGTTTGCAGTGAGCCAAGATCAAACTACTGCCCTCCAGCCTGGATGACAGAGGTAGACTCCATCTCGAAAGAAAAAAAAATACAATTTGAGAAATCGAGAATATAGCCAAGAGCCTCCTGGTCTCTGCACCTGGGGCTCAGCAGTGGGGCAAAGGGTTCAGGTCCCACAGAGTGATTATCATAAAACTTAAGCCATCCAAGATGGACAATCAGGACTAGGCTCACTGCTTAGAGCTAGTGGCTATACATACAGGGTTTTCCCACTTATAAATAAGGGGGAAAATCCCTGCTTCCCAGCTCTACATGGAGCTATGGATTTTAGCAGGCTTCAAACCCAAGAGGGACTGGAGGGCACAGTCACTACCTCACAATTAGAAATGGAACCAAGCTGATTTGGAGCCTGGCTTTACAACATTCCCATTATTGTTGTGTGTGAAACAGGATGTCTGAAATGCTATGGTGAGACCTAGAGACCTATACGGGCCTGAAGGCAAGGGGAAGACAATTTTTAAATCATTGGATAGGACAGAATTAATGTAGATAGAGACAGAAAAGAATGAATAAAATTCTCTCATTTAACCCTAGCCCTATTTCCTAGCCTAACCCTAATAGAACAGAAACCAGGAATCAGAAATGCCAGATACCTCTGACATTGGAGATATAGTGAAACAAAGAATAAAGGTGTGTGTGAGAAGCAGTTCGACTCCTAGGACACCTCATAAACCCCAAATGAGATAACTACTCTCCTCATTTCCACTTACACTCAGGGCCTCAAAAGATGAAGTTTATCACTTGAACCGTGGAATCCAAAGCCTCTGAACTCAGTGATACCAGGTACAGCTGAGGGAAGAGGGCAGAACTAAAAATGCTCAAAAGGAGAGCCCAGCTCCCTTTTTCACTCAACTCCCAGAAGGTCATCATCTAGGTTTATAAGCCCAGGGAGTAGCCTTGAGGATTCTGGACTATTGACCCCATGTGAAAAGACATGTAGTTACTGGACTACTAGTGATTCTGCAAGGAACTAGTTGACTCTCTGCTTGGTACCCAGTAGTGAAGCCCATCATTCAGAAAGTCCTCACCCCACGTGTTGGCCATTCAATGAACTTTTAAGTGCCTCACCTCTCAATATAAATGGACAGCAAAAAAATTGTCAGTTTTTTGAAGAATACTTCCAACATAATAGACAGATGAAAATAATTATTTAGAAGTATCAAAAAACAGAGAAAATGCAGTAAGAATGAAAGTTTTTAAAATGTCTCAAAGAGGTAAAACATAGTACATTCATGAGACAAGAACAAATACCATTTGGACAACAAGGAAAAAAAGAGCTCTTTGAAATTAAAAATATGACAGCAAAAATTTTAAATCCAATGTAGCGTTTGAAAGATAAATCTGAAGAAATCTCCTAGAACCAAAGTCCAAAGAGCTAAAAATAGGAAATTTTTAAAAATAAAGGATCTGTTTGGGAGGACCAACAGCTAAATATTAGGAGTTCCAGAAAGAAAGATTAAACATAGGGAAAGAAATAATAATGAAACAGTACAAGAATTTCCCATGATTAAAGGATATGGGTCTAGAGATTAAAAGACCCCATTGGTGTCTAGCACACTCTAAGCACAAGAAATGAAAACAAACTCTCACCAGGGCATAGTATTATAAAATACGAGAACAGTGAAGGTAAATAAAAGACTTAGGGTCCATACAGGAGAAAAATATACAATTTTACATACTCATGCATCAGAGTGGCACGGAACTTTTTTGCAGGAACACCAGATTCTACAAGACAATGGAGAAATATCTTCAAATGTGAAGAGAGGGGTAGTGATTTTAAACTTAGAAGTCTATACCAGGGAAAACCATCAACCAAATGTGAAGGTCGAAAGAAGAATTTTGCAAACTGGCAATATCTTTAAAAATTATCTGCCATGAATTCTTTATTTTTTAAACCTTTATTTTAGGTTCGAGCTACATGTGAGAGTTTGTTATATACATAATCTCATGTCATGAGAGTTTGTTGTACAGATTATTTCATCACCCAGGTATTAAGCCTAGTACCCAACAGTTATTTTTTTCTGCTCCTCTCACTCCTCGCGCCCCCCACTCTCAAGTAGACCCAGTGTCTGTTGCTCCTGTCCTCGTGTTCATGCCATGAATTCTTATTCAGAAAGAAGATGAAGGGTATGTTCTACCAAACAAAGCCATTAACCTAAAAAGAGAAAGCAAGGAATGAAAAACTAACTTGAACTCCAACCCAGGAGAGATGCAAAGGTAAGGTAATTCTCATGATGATGGTAAAGGATGTCCCCAGTCAACAGCTGCTCTCAAAGATGTAAGGCTTCAAAAAAAACAAAAACCTGTCTTTCTATGTGTGATTATTCCACACACCTCCACCCGTGATATATTGCCTTAATTTCTCTGAATATACTGAAAAAATGATTGCACTGTGTGAGTTTTAGAATGAATTAAGGATAGGTACACGGAAAAAATAGGCAAATAAAGTGAAGAATGTGTTAACTCTAGAGTAAATAATATATAAACTATATGCATATACATACAAACAAAAAAAGTTGATCCTAGTACCTTACCTTGCTCAATGGTGAATATTTACATACTGTAATGTAAATACTTTTTAAAACACAAATGTGATACAACTATATTGGGAGAGGTAGAGATAAGTACCCATCTTCCAAAGTAAACATTAAATAGATACTATCAAAAACAGAAAAAAAATAGCAGCATATTAACGTATACAACTGAAAAACCAAGAAATAGCAATATGTTCATGTTATTTGGAAATATGGAGGTAAATACAAAAAGAAACACTAAAAGATTTGAAATGGGTTGCCTCTGGGTACTGGTAATTTGGAAAGGATCCTAATATTGTAGAACTATTTGACTTTAAAAATATTTTCTCATGATGCTATAAAATCAAATTAAATTTAAAAGGAAAACATAAAAATGTATTAATGTGATGTACTACATTAAAAATATAAATAAAAACAATAGGTACAGGAAAAGCATTCAACATAACAAAATGACAAAATGCTCACTTGTTAATTCCTGACAAAATGCTTATCAAACAAGTAGTAAATATAATTTATTTAACTAAAAATAACTGCAAATGTATTTAATATAATGTATCCTTAGAAGCATTCAAATTAAGTGAAGAAATAAAATAAAGTTGTCTTCTTTTTGACTTCCATTTGAGGCCGTAGACAATGCAATAAGGAAAGAAATAAGAGGTATAAAATTAGAAATGAATAAATTATTATTTCTCCCAGTAAAATTTTCTCATAGAAACCCAAAGATAATTTATAGAACGATTTAGAACTTTTTTAGAAGTTCAGCAAGATTTCTAGATACAAGATCTATATACCAAACTCAATAAGAAATTCTGGCATAAGTGTAAAAATAAAGATCTCTTTTAAAATGTTTATCACATCATGTTTGTAATAAGAAAATGTTAGAAACCACTTAAATGTTCACGAGCAGAAAATTATTAAATTCTGTAATATTATAAACAAAATAAAAATGAACTAGAACTAGATATGTTAAAATGAATAAATCTCAAAATGTAACAAAAAAGTCAAATATTAAAAATAGAACGTTGATATATTTAAATTTGAAAAATACACTACTAATATCTATATGTTAGAATAGTTACAATGTTAGTGTTAGGTTTAATTGCTAGACATAAAGACTGAAGAAATAACAACAAACATGACAGCCTGTTTTTCTCTCATGTAAAAGATATGCAGAGGGATAGACCATACAAGGTTTATATATGGCCAACCCACAAGATAATCAGTCCCAGCATTCTTCCATCTGTCTCTCTGCCCTTCTCAGACAATGTCTTTCATCTCAGGATCCTAGATGCTTGCTATAACTCTAACCATTATATCAAAGTTCCAGTGGCAGGATGGAGAAAGAGGCAAAGGAGATGTTTTTCTTTATTTGTAAGGAGATTTCCTTCTAGTTACACACAACACAACTATCTAATATTAATGGCCAAATCTTAGTACTACAGTATTGCGAGGGCAACTGGGAAACATATTCTTCCCTTTAAAAATCAAGGTTTACCTGTTCCAAAGAAGAGAAGAATAGATTATGGTAAGCGATTAGGTAATGATAAACACCCAATTCACAATAATATTCTAATGGGATTCAGCAATTATCTCTGATGAATGACAACATAAAACGGGATGGAAAAGAAACACAGAGGGGTTCAACTGTACTTCTGATTATTTACTTCTTAATAAATATTATTTGAAGCAAATATTTCAAAAATATTAAGATGACAGTGAGGTGGTAATTTCGTGAATATTTGTCATATTTATTTTTGCTTTCTCTGTATTTTTAACATACCATGTAATTAAAAAATTAACAATGTTCAAATGGTCAATTTTGCACCATTGTTCCTTTATTTTTAAAAAGTAATCTAAGCTTCTATACACATATATACAAAAAACGTAGAATACATAAGCTATACTTAGAAGACACAAGCTTCATTACAAACTCTCTTATATGAGGCTTCAGTTATTTTGACTTTAAAATAAAACCCTAGATTCATCAAATATCTCAAGTTCTGGCTGCCCCTAATAAATCCTTGTTGTTCAGCCAATATCATACTGAATGGGCAAAACCTGGAAGCATTCCCTTTGAAAACTGGCACAAGACAGGGATGCCCTCTCTCACCACTCCTATTCAACATAGTGTTGGAAGTTCTGGCCAGGGCAATTAGGCAGGAGAAGGAAATAAAGGATATTCAATTAGGAAAAAGAGGAAGTCAAATTGTCCCTGTTTGCAGACAACATGATTGTATATCTAGAAAACCCCATTGTCTCAGCCCAAAAGCTCCTTAAGCTGATAAGCAACTTCAGCAAAGTCTCAGGATACAAAATCAATGTACAAAAATCAAAAGTATTCTTATACACCAAAAACAGACAGAAAGCCAAATCATGAGTGAACTCCCATTCACAATTGCTTCAAAGAGAATAAAATACCTAGGAATCCAACTTATAAGGGACGTGAAGGACCTCTTCAAGGAGAACTACAAACCACTGCTCAATGAAATAAAAGAGGATACAAACAAATGGAAGAACATTCCATGCTCATGGGTAGGAAGAATCAATATCCTGAAAATGGCCATACTGCCCAAGGTAATTTACAGATTCAATGCCATCTCCATCAACCTACCAATGACTTTCTTCACAGAATTGGAAAAAACTACTTTAAAGTTCATATGGAACCAAAAAAGAGCCCGCATTGCCAAGTCAATCCTAAACCAAAAGAACAAAGCTGGAGGCATCACGCTACCTGACTTCAAACTATACTACAAGGCTACAGTAACCAAAACAGCATGGTACTGGTACCAAAACAGAGATATAGATCAATGGAACAGAACAGAGCCCTCAGAAATAACGCCACATATCTACAAATATCTGATCTTTGACAAACCTGAGAATAACAAGCAATGGGGAAAGGATTCCCTATTTAATAAATGATGCTGGGAAAACTGGCTAGCCATATGTAGAAAGCTGGAACTGGATCCCTTCCTTACACCTTATACAAAAATTAATTCAAGATGGATTAAAGACTTACATGTTAGACCCGAAACCATAAAAACCCTAGAAGAAAACCTAGGCATTACCATTCAGGACATAGGCATGGGCAAGGACTTCATGTCTAAAACACCAAAAACAATGGCAACAAAAGACAAAATTGACAAATGGGATCTAATTAAACTAAAGAGCTTCTGCACAGCAAAAGAAACTACCATCAGAGTGAACGGGCAACCTACAAAATGGGAGAAAATTTTCGCAACCTACTCATCTGACAAAGGGCTGATATTCAGAATCTACAATGAACTCAAACAAATTTACAAGAAAAAAGACAAACAACCCCATCAAAAAGTGGGCGAAGGACATGAACAGACACTTCTCAAAAGAAGACATTTATGCAGCCAAAAAACACATGAAAAAATGCTCACCATCACTGGCCATCAGAGAAATGCAAATCAAAACCGCAATGAGATACCACCTCACACCAGTTAGAATGGCAATCATTAAAAAGTCAGGAAACAGCAGGTGCTGGAGAGGATGTGGAGAAATAGGAACACTTTTACACTGTTGGTGGGACTGTAAACTAGTTCAACCATTGTGGAAGTCAGTGTGGCGATTCCTCAGGGATCTAGAACTAGAAATACCGTTTGACCCAGCCATCCCATTACTGGGTATATACCCAAAGGACTATAAATCATGCTGCTATAAAGACACATGCACACGTATGTTTATTGCGGCACAATTCACAATAGCAAAGACTTGGAACCAACCCAAATGTCCAACAATGATAGACTGGATTAAGAAAATGTGGCACATATACACCATGGAATACTATGCAGCCATAAAAAAGGATGAGTGAATGTCCTTTGTAGGGACATGGATGAAATTGGAAATCATCATTCTCAGTAAACTATCACAAGGACAAAAAACCAAACACTGCATGTTCTCACTCACAGGTGGGAATTGAACAATGAGAACACATGGACACAGGAAGGGGAACATCACACTCTGGGGACTGTTGTGGGGTGGGGGGAGGGGGGAGGGATAGCATTAAGAGATATAGCTAATGCTAAATGACGAGTTAATGGGTGCAGCACACCAGCATGGCACATGTATACATATGTAACTAACCTGCACACTGTGCACATGTACCCTAAAACTCAAAGTATAATAATAAAATAAATAAATAAAATAAATAAATAAAAATAAAAAAATCCTTGTTGTTGTTATTAATCAGCATTAGGTGAACTCCTACTATTAATACATGGAGATAACTGATCACAAGGCTTTCTTCCAAACAATGCGTCACAGAATATACCCTGGGTGTCAACTGCCTAAATTTCTGGTTCCCCATTCAAAGGCTGATGCATTCCCCTATTAATTGAAATTGTAGTTATAGGAAGAAAAGTGGAAATAAGACTCTTCTGATAAGCGTGGAAGACTATGAATACATAATTTCACTCCTCTTTTGACAAAGATCTCTTTAAGTTCAGCCTATGGATCTCTGCTTAGTTGACGCTTCGACCAAGAACTTAACCATGAATACCTTTTTTCACTCCTCTTTTGACAAAGATCTGTTTGAGTTCACCCTACAGATCTCTGCTTAGTTGACACTTCGACCAAGAACTTTATGGTACCCCACCACCACACAAAGATTAAATTAGGTGCTGCGTCTTTTAAACTGCTATGGTGGTCCATAATTGCTTGTATCTTGCACTTCCCTATGCCACCCATTCCATATCCTTCCCTGTACTCTGAATGCCTGATTACTTGTTCATCTGCACCATAAGACCCCAGACTTCCTTGAAAGAAGGTGCACTGTTTGGATCACTGTGGTATTCCCAGCACACAGTCCAGGGCATGGCACATAGGTGTTCAATAAATATTTTTTAAATAAATGAGTAACTGAATGTCAGTCTTCTCTCTTTGGTATTGTCCTAAACACTGTTGTTGCTGCTTAGTCAGGATAAAGACCCTTGTGGTCCAAAGGCTTCCTTTACTACATCTAATTTATACGACTATAAAACACTGTGGAAAGCCCAACTGCCAGAAACTCACCCCTGCATGTTCATTTTACAGTAAGTGCTTTTGGAATTTCCCTCAACAAAAATATCAGAATTTAGAGGTCTCAGTTGCTGGGAAAACAATTCCCACTACCAACGGAAGAGTCACCAGACACAGCAACTCACATCATCCTACTGAAGGATTGAGTGTGGATAATGGATTACCGGAATTCCTACGTCATGAAGAGAAATGGCAAAGAACAAAATCTCTGTTCGATGTTCAGGCGCCTCATTCATTTCCTGTTTTTCCAGTAAGTTCACATTAGACACAACCCTTAACCTTTTCAGATCTCATCTCTTGTGGAGACACTGCGTCTTCCCAAAGCATTACAAAATCAGAGCCTGAAGCCTCTCAGACTACACGATTCCTTAACCTTTTCTGGCTCCTACTTCTCAAAATCACACTATTAAAAATTTGGGGTTCCACCCACCTTTTACAAAGAAGGCAATATATTTAAGGAAACCATTGTTATATTTATTAGGTATATTAAGCTTAAGGACTTAAAAATCACAAGACATATTGTTGATAATATTGTTGTTACTGTTCGTAGTGGATTAAATAGTGTTCCTTCAAAATTCATGTCCACACAGAACCTCAGAATGCGATATTTTTAAATACTGTCTTTGAAGATGTAATTAATTCAGGATCTCAAGGTGAAATTATCCTGGATTTAGGGTAGATCCTATGTCCAAAAACTGGTGTCTTTATAAGAAGAGAGGACACAGAGAAACACTCAGGGAAAAGACCATGTGAAAATACAGAGACAGAGATTGGAGTTATGTTGCCACAAGCGAAATAACCCCAGCACCCACTAGAAGCTGGAAGGGTCAAGGAAATTCCTTACCTACAGCCTTCAGAGGAAACATGGCTCTGCTAATACCTTGATTTCAACCTTCTAGCCTCCAGACCTGTGAGAGAGTAAAACTGTTGTTTTACCCAGGTTGTAGTACTTCGTTATGGCAGCCCTAAGAAACTAGTTTGGTTTGAAAACACCAAAACCAGTTGTTTGGTGCAAATAGTAAAAATATTATGTCTATGCAAAACACAATAATAAGAAATAGTGTTATCACTAAGAAGGATATTAGGAAAAAGAAATTCTTTTTTTTTGAGACGGAGTCTCGCTCTGTCGCCCAGGCTGGAGTGCAGTGGCGGGATCTCGGCTCACTGCAAGCTCCGCCTCCCGGGTTCACGCCATTCTCCTGCCTCAGCCTCCCAAGTAGCTGGGACTACAGGCGCCCGCCACTACGCCCGGCTAATTTTTTGTATTTTTAGTAGAGACGGGGTTTCACCGTTTTAGCCGGGATGGTCTCGATTTCCTGACCTCGTGATCCACCCGCCTCGGCCTCCCAAAGTGCTGGGATTACAGGCGTGAGCCACCGCGCCCGGCCGGCAAAAGAAATTCTTAAGAAGCATTAGGAAAGCTTGGTTCTACCCACGTCCCACCATCTGTGGTAAGTATGAAACTAAAAAGTTTGTATTAGTTGGATAATCAGTGTTTATCTCAAATGACCAGTAAAAGCAGCCAATTACACAAATAAAACTAGACTAAACATTTCAGAAATTTTTTAAAATAGAGAAAAGGGAATAATCACCCAGCAATTTATTACGCTGTTGGTCAGCACTAGCATTTTGTTGATATTTCCTCCTGGGAGATATTTCTTCCATATCCAATGTTATGTTCAAACTTTAAATATATGTTCTACTTTTAACATTTAGCATTGTAGCAAACCATATTTCTATACTGTTATAAACTCTTTCATAGGCAAAAAAGTCAAACTTTACTGACATACAATTGATAAAATGCTAAATCACATTTTATTGATACCTACATAGATAAAATGTAATCTTTCATTGAGAGGTTCTTACATAATTTACTTCAAGTATTCCCTATTGATGGACATAGACCATCTTCATTGTTTTTTCTACTACAAATAGTTATCCAGTAAATATCTTGTTTTAGAAATTTTAACAATATTTATGATTATTTTCTTAGGATGGGTTCTAAAAAAGTAAAAGGAGAAAAGACTCCTGGGTCAAGTAGTATAAAAATTTTAAAGGCAAAATACTTCCCAAAATACTTTCTAAAAAGAGTATACCGATTCATAATTCAACCAGCAGTGTGTGAAAGTGAGAACAGAAAATGGTAGTCTACATACTGAAATATTTACTAACTTCATAAGCAATAAATGACACATTATTTTAATTTGTATTTTTTAGAGACTGGAATAAAGAAAAACACAAATGCCTATGTTATAACCTAGCAATTCCACTCCTAAATGCATTTATACATCCATCAGTTTACTCCCAGGCATATATCCAGGAGAAATGAGTGGCGTGTTCACCATAGCTCTTTCATTCATAATAGTCAAACACTGGAAACAAACCAAATGTCCATCATCAGCAGAATGTACACATAAATTATGGTATATTCATAAAATGAAATATTACAGAAAGATTTTAAAAAGAACGAACTACTACCACATATCTCACAGGCATCACATTACATGAAAGAAGCCAGAAGCAAAGGAAAAAATACTGTTTAATTTCATTTATATGGAGTTCAAGGTCAGGTAAATGTAGCTCATAGAAATTGAAATCAGAATAGTGATGGAGGAAAGTGAAGAGTGTTGGTATTGACTGGGAAAGGGCACGGAAGTGGCTGTGAGGTATTGGAAAATTTGAATATCTCAGTCTGGGTGGTGCACAGATGAGCATATGCAGGTATAAAAACACACTGCATTTAAAATTAGTTCAATTTATTATGTGATGGTTATACCTTTATGGAAAAGTAAGAATTATAAAAAAAAAAATAACAAAGTGTGGATTTTGAAGGACACTACAAGTAGATGAACCTACTTGTGAAGGTCCTTTAAGGTAAATGGTTCATTGCTCCATTTACCTTAAAGTGAGAATTGGCTTCTGGATGATATCATGCTTTGCTGTTCGGGGAGTTTGGTAACGAACTCACTGAACTATTTACACATATGTTTGAAGATTACAGAAAACTGGACTTGCGCCCAAAAGACTTAGAAAGTAAAGAAAGTCATCTTAGCAATTACCATCTGGCAAATCTACCACTTCAATTATCATTTAAATAACTCTTTTAGAGACAAATTTTAAGCATAAAAAGAAAAAAAAGCATACTAAAATCTTCAGTAACTGGAGAATGGTACAAACACTGGGAATCAGAACCGCATTCTAAGCCAGGTTCTACAGTAAATGATTTCCGTTAACACCAGACTTCTCTGGATTTCTATCTTTATGTATTTATTTTTTTCAGTCCCTTTCGGTGCCTCCAAATCTTCCACTTGTCTAAATGTTGGTGTGCTTCGGGGCACCATCTCCCTACATAATTGCATATAATTCCATGACTTAAGTACCATATATAAGCCAATGTCTCCCAAATTTCTATCTCCACACCTGACCTCTCACCTAAACTTCATACTCATAAATGAGTCTTGCTTAACATCCTCATTAGATACTTAATAGGCATCTCCAGTTTAAGGCCTTGATTTTCCATACACACTTGAGTCTCCAAAAACTATTCCTCCTCCAATTTCTCCAACTGAGGACAAAGTTAACCATACTGCTCAAAGCCCCCTACCCAGAAATAGAAGAATCATAAAACTGGGAAAGCCCTTTCTCATTTTTGCTTTTAGGGCAAAGTCTCTCCAAACAAGAAGGAAAGCTTCATCAGTGCAAGGAATTTGTTTTTGTTAATTGCTAACATCACCAGTGACTAGAACAATGCCTGGCATGTTTTAGGAACATGACAGGAACACGTAGGATCAATGAATGAATGATATATTGAACATCATAAATTCCTAATTGGAATAATTTCTAATTATATATAAAGAACCATCTTTAGCAGTACTTTCATTTACTCATTGGACTGTTGTGAAGTTCAAATAAATTACTTATAGAAAATGGTTTTTTTGGCAATAAAATGGTAGCTTGCTCTACTAATCTCTGCAGAACAATGGTTTTCCAACTCTGACATTGTCATTTGTAGGTGAAAGTGGGAAGGTTTGTGTTTAAATCTGGACTCTGGATTTAATTGGGGGGACCTTAATTAATTGGACAACCTTGGGTTATGTGCTTAATCTCTCTGACTAGGTACTCACATCCATAAATTGAATATAAGTAAATCTGCCTCACAAGATTGTATTACAAATTACTTTAAATGATACA